>NC_000023.11:96837542-97462542 GCF_000001405.40 Homo sapiens
AAAAGCAACTCTTTGAGCAATTCAGCTCCACTGGGGCAGGAACTATGTTTTCTTTATTCCTCCCTCTGTGCCTAGAATTGGTAGATATTTAAAAGTTTTGATTGTATCATTGTAAGTAAAAGGGGGACTTGGATTTTGGTTATAAAAACGTTTATGCCACTTTCAGGAACAGATATATTGTATCATAATGCGATAATTCTTAATTGAAATGGCGGCCTTTTTGAACTCTTGTGGGCACATCAGAACTATTTTACTATATTTAGATTGTTCATGTGTGGCTTTTGGAACTTATTTCCCATCGTGTAAATACAGTGTATTCATCTGTTGATCCCCTACTTATTAGGCACCATGCCGCTACTCTTATAGATGTCATCTTATTTACCAGATATCTTCAGTATGTGTCTGAAAGCAGATATTTTAATCTCAGTTTTTCAAATTGGGAGATCGTGACTCAGAATTTAAGAATGCTGCCCAGTAAGTTGCTTGGCAGTAAGCTCTTGGGCTTACATTTGAACTCAGGTTGTGTTTGTCTTGAATATCCTTGATGGTCATAAATCTTTATCTTCTAAGAATGGAAATAATCTTTGAAAATAGCCAAAATTTTCTCCCTTAAATTTGATGAATAAGATGAGTGACTAAATTGATCAAATTCTGGCCTTAAAATATAAAGCAATGAGACGTGTTTTATTATTTGGGTGGTAAACTGTCCCTGAAGGTAATTTCTTCAGAATCAAAACAGGGATATTCAGCAATGTTTTCAGCAGTGGCAGCAGAACTATAGTAAGCATGTGGCCCCTGAGATAACTGTGATAGTCAATACACATTAGGAAGATTAACTTCTGTTTGTTATAAAACAAAACAGAATAGTTATTTTATAGTAACATTTTCATGATGCCAAAATAAATACTTTCATGTCATTATCTAATTGTATACATTGTTTTAAGAAATGTAAAGAAATACTGTATTAGTACAAAATTACACCATTTATGTTAGTGTGGAATGTTTGATCATTTTATTTCTAAGGGAAAATTACAAAACTGTTTAGTTCACCTCAGTTTCTATAATGCAGCCTCTAAAGTCTCATTTCTTTAACAGGGCCTTGTGGGTGTTCTAAAGGAATGATTGAAATGAAAAGAAATGAGAGAGTCAAACAGTGTACCGTAATAGATGAAATGGAAAGTAATTATGTTAATGTTGACTCATTATGAAGCTCTAACCATTTTTACCTGCTCATTTCTGTGTGGAAACCTGTGCAGCTGAGATGCTGAATAAGAAATTCTTGTACAAATGAGCCTAGAGGCATGTTTCTAGTATAGGAGCTAGGTCTATGCAGAATTATAATGAATTTCCCTAAGTCATTATTTAAATATGCTATCAGAGTAGGTGATTCTCCTGCCAGAAAATTTGGCTTCTAATGTTTATCATCAAATTTTTAGATGTATATTTGAATCTTCATTGCTGCATGTAATTCTCATTTGTTAATTAGAGAGAAAAAACCCTATATTCCACAATACATCTATATCATATATAGTGTCAGATTTTACAGGATAACCTGTAAGGAAGGGATTTATGAGAAAAAAATGTTAGCAGGGCCAAACAATGTAAATAAAAACATGTAAGTGCTTAAGAACGTGAGATTTGGAGTCAGATGGGCTAGATTGAAACCAAATCTGTCTGACTCCAAAACTGAAGCTTTTATTCATGGTCAGAAAATTTTGAAAGTGTCACTCCCCTAAATGCCTATACCATTCCCCCCATTGCGCTTAAATGTTTCTTTTTGCCAGTATTCTGTTTCTAAAGCATGCATTTTTCAGTCATAATGTATAATAAAGCTTAATGGTCTTGCCTCCTATGACTAAAATGTCCTGCCAGTATTCTGGAAATAAAATATTATAGAGAATCTCTCTGATTATGTTAAATTGCTAACGATGGCTTAATTACTTGTTAGAAAAATGGTACATTGTCATTTTTAATTTACAGACACTTAATTTTTTCCTATGCTAATAAGTGACTTCTAAAACAATTAAATCCCTGAAACAATTAAATACCTAATTTTTGTTAAATTATATTCAACATTAATTTAAGAGTTTAATTAAAGCTAAAGAACATTTTACCTCGGGCATGAACTTTTTCCCCTTTCTGTCAGATGTGAATGCTTTTAAGTAATAAACTTAAATTTCATGTTCTTAAAATTAATGTTGGTGCTTATAATGTTATTTTGTATTTGGTGGTTTTTAATGGCAGTCTTTTATGTTTGGAATTTCAATTTTTGTATTATTTCCTACAAAGATGCAAGAACTAGTTATACTTTACTTTTAACAGTGAAGTCTTGATAGCATAGAATTATTACACCAGAAGGAATGTAAAAATTTCATCTAGAGCAGAGCTGTCTAGAAGAAATATAATGCAAACCACATATGTAATTTAAAATTTTCTAGAAGCCACATTTAAAAAGTAAAAAGAAACAGGTGAAATTCATTTTAATAATTTATTTTATGTAATCCAATATATTTAGTACATTATCATTTTAATGTGTGATCAATATAAAATTAATGAGATATATCTTTTTATTAACTCTCCATAATATGATGTGTATTTTACATTTATAGCACATTTTAATTCCAACTAGCCACATTTCAAGTGATTGGTTGCCACATGTGACTAATGACTTCCATATTGGACAGTGCAGATCTAGAGTCTCGATTTATTTCCCATCCCTGTATCCCTGATGATATGGCACACTGTGAATAGTGCTATTGGCTTATCAAGTGGTGCATACTTCCCTAGTAAGGGATTATTGGAAAATCCAGGTGAGAGGAGCTGTCTTCTGTAGTTTTGGAGAGTAAATGCATTCAATATGATCCTGATCAGCCCATAACCTGGGGTAGGGGAGCTTACATTCTCCACTGGGAATCACTGATCTTATTTGACCTCTTTATATTCTGCAAGAGGAAATGAGGCCCACCTTCATTCCAGGGTCCATGTTCTGCAATAAGCTTGGCCCTCTTACATTTCTTTCTCTCTTGAAGTAGCCTTTTCCTGTGTTGTTTGTTCATTTTGGGATTTTTTTTTATTATTATTTTTGAGACGGAGTCTGGCTCTGTCGCCCAGGCTGGGGTGCAGTGGCGTGATCTCGGCTCACTGCAAGCTCTGCCTCCTGGGTTCACGCCATTCTCCTGCCTCAGCCTCCTGAGTAGCTGGGACTACAGACGCCCACCACCATGCCCAGCTAATTTTTTTTTTTGTATTTTTAGTAGAGACGGGGTTTCGCTGTGTTAGCCAGGATGGTCTCGATCTCCTGACCTTGTGATCTGCCCGCCTCGGCCTCCCAAAGTGCTGGGATTACAGGCGTGAGCCACCGTGCCCGGCCCATTTTGAGATGTTAATCAGTTTCCCTTCTCTTCTAGTTTTGGATATCTAATGGAAGATTATCACATATCATGAATGATAGTTCTGTTGATGCTATTTCTCTTATTAAATGTTCATTGCCATTATCTTCTTTAAATCTCTACCATTTAAGTCACACTGTTGAAGACTCAACTAATCAGAACCAATTGCCTTGCATTTTGAATGTGAACTGCCCATGAATTCTCTGGATTGAAAAATATTCTCCCTCCCCTCTATTGATTAGTAATGTGTTTTTTGTTCCTTTTCAACATATATTCTAAACGTTTATAGAGTCCTCTTCACTTTCATGCTTATGTTATCCTCTTATTAAATAAAGTAATGCCAAGCCCATCATGTGAGTGTTTCTTGGGAATTGAGAAATTTAGAATTGGGAAAATAGAGAAAGAACTCAGAAATCAAAGGAACCTGGCTCACTGTGTTCAATTTGTTCACATTTCAACCTCTTAAGTAATGAAATATCTTCTGAAATAATTGCCTTCTCCTCTCCATTCCCTTCCCACTTCCATATTTTTAGGCCACGACTTTTATAAGAGCCTCTCAGATTGCACTCCTTATGCCTTGAAAGTGCATCCAGAGTTGTCATTCTAAAAATAAATCTAATCATGTGTTCCTTTTTGTCTAGCAGTCATCCAGCATGGCAAGATCCCCAGGGTTCTTAGAAGCTTGGTTCCAAAACCTACCTTTCTACCAGCACTACCTATCATTTCCTTTTGTTCTGCTACCCATTCCCCACTAACCAGAACACCCAGCACTCTAGCCTGATTGTTATTCATAATTTCCCAATGCACTGTAAACTTTCTGTCATGCGTGTCCCTGTGAAGAGACCACCAAACAGACTTTGTGTGAGCAATAAAGCTTTTTAATCACCTAGGTGCAGGCGGGCTGAATCCGAAAAGAGAGTCAGCTAAAGGAGTTAGGGGTGGGGCAGTTTTATAGGATTTGGGTAGGTAGTGGAAAATTACAGTCAAAGGGGGTTGTTCTCTTGTGGGCAGGGGCGGGGATCACAAGGTGCTCAGTGGGGGAGCTTTTGAGCCAGGATGAGCCAGGAGAAGGAATTTCACAAGGTAGTGTCACCAGTTAAGGCAGGAACCGGCCATTTTAACTTTTGGGATTCTTCAGTTATTTCAGGCCATCTGGACGTATACATGCAGGCTTGGGCTCAGAGGCCTGACACTTTCCTGCCTCTGTTCATGATGTTCTTCCTTTACAGAATGCCCTCCTTCCCCAAGCTACACTAAAGGTCCAGTGCCATTTCTGTTGGTGTAATGTCCCTCCATAAAGAGTAATTAGAGTTACTCTTTTCTTTTTATTCTCCTAACACGTTTTCATTTACAGGTTTCTTGTTTTCCACTTTGTGTGGTAACTTCATGTCTCTTGCTTGTTTGATAGTAAACTCCTTGAGCTGGAAATAAACGTAGCTGGCATTTATTGAACATCTAGGTGCTAGACATCATGCTAGGTATGTTTCCTTTATATTTGCAACTCCAGCATCAGAATAGTTTATAGTAGATGTGCAGTAAATATCTGTGGAGTTATATGTTTGCATTTTTAAATATCCATTGGAATTCCTTTAGGAATCCTAACTTAGCATTTCCATAGGAGGAGGAAAATGCCATGTATAAAATACCTACTAGGTGCTTTACAAATATTATTTCATTTAGTATTGTCAATAACACTGCAGTTGGAGTATCCCCATTTTAGAGATGATTAAATGAAACTAAGTAAAGTGGTCTAATTACCCAACTCTTTCACCTAGTAAATGGCAGAACTATGATCTGAATCCAGGTATGACTGAAGAGTGTCTCCTTAGATTTGAAAGTACAGATGTAGAGTAAAGAAATATACTTTAGTGGGGGTAGGAGGTAACAGTCTTTGCTAACTAGATCAATTGATTCATGCAAAATGGGTATTAAGGTGCAGGCATTTCCATCTGATAGCCTTTACTTCCTTTTCCCAAGGTGCACTAGTTTAGTCATGTTACTTAATGTTTCCATTCACCTGTGTTGGTGAATACTAAATTTTGGGAAGGTTATTATTGGTAACATACTGATACAGTTTGGATGTGTGTCCTTGCTCATCTCATGTTGAAATGTAATTCCCATTGTTGGAGGTGGGGCCTGGTGGGATGTGATTGGATCATGGGAGCGTTTTTCTCATGAATGGTTTACCACCACCGCCCTGGTACTGTCCTTGAGATACTGAGTTCTGTGAGAGCTGGTTGTTTAAAAGTGTGTAGCACTCTCCGTGCCTTACTCTTTCTCCATGTGACATGCAAGCTCCTGGTTCGCCTTCCACCATGATTGTAAGCTTCCAGAGGCCTCCCAGAAGTAGATGCCAGTGCTTTATTTCCAGTACAGCCCGCAGAACTGTGAGCCAATTAAACATCTTTTCTTATAAATTACCCAGTTTTAGGTATTTCTTTATAGCAATGCAAGACTGACCTAATACATGTACACATGTGAAATTTCAGTTAGTAAGACATGACTGTGGAAGGGAAAACTCTTCTAAGTTAGTAAAAAGTCTGAATTATAGGACCTTTTCTTGAAAGTAGAGTGGTCGGGAGTAGGCCAGCATCATTGCTAGCATAGGACTGTTGTAGGAAAAGCTGGGTTCTTGTCACATGACCAGGAAAGGTTAGACTCACAGATACTTGGAAGGGCAAGACAAATGGAATTTATGGGGCGAAAAAAGAAAAAGAAAAAAACTTTAAGCAGTGCACTTAGGAAGCCTGTTAACTACTCTCGCCCCACTACACAGGAATTCAAGAGCCCAGCTCCTCCCTGCGGCAAAAGGCAGGAACTTCCTTGGCTCAACCCTGCTCTCCCAGTATGCATGCTGGTGGAAGATTATCCGTGGACCCTCCCCGTTATCTGCCTCCTGCATCTATCAGGACCTTAGGAAGCCTGTTTTACTGAATGTATGAAAGCTTTTAGTAATTAGCATATCAATTATTTGTCCATAAGAAGGGGCTTCACAAGTACTTGAGGGCATTTGAAAAGGAGTAGAAAACTAGCATAAATTGAGTGGCATAATTTATGAAATCCTCACCCTATGTGGTAGGTTACCAGAGATTTGTAAATAGAGGCTCTAAGAGGTTAAATCATTTGCTTAAATTACAAAGTAAATAAGTGGCGGAATAGCATCCAAATATACATTTTTCTGACTTCCCCAATGCACATACTCTTTCAGATATGCTAAAATGTAATTTCAATATTTTCTCTGTAATATTTGATACTCCATTAATTTCATTAACAAGCATATTTCATAAGTAGTACAAAGATGAATTTCAAAATAGCTCTAGCAATAGGCACCAAAAATCCACATTCATAATTCTTCACTATACATGCTAAATGAAAACATATTTTAACCATTTAAACCACCATCAATCAATTTTTTCTTTTTAGTTATGCATAAGCTTTACATAGGTAAAGTGGCTTATTTTTGTGTTAAACAAACATGCTTAAAAGCACAATTTAAAGGTAATATTCACTGTTATACCTTTAAAGTGAAATTAATATTCTTTACTAAGTCATTAGTTTACTTTTCCTTTATTTTTAGATCAAGTTTTTAATTCAGCTTCAGCCAAAAGGAGATAATATAAAAATAAATTCCATTTAAAAAATGGAAATAGTACAACTTTCATTGATTTATACACAGATTCTGAGGATCTAAATGCTTAATTGTTTTAATCAGTCCAATTTCCAAACCCATCGTAGTATATGGTGATACTTCCGTTTCATATATTTTTGTGGATAACGGTAAACCTGAATGAGTCTAGAAAATTTATATTCACACACAGAGTTTTCAGGGATATTTAGCATATTGCAGAGGAAGTGTTATTTCACGTCAATACACTAAACTTCTCTGAACCCCCCTATTCATCGAAAACACTGAACACCCCATTCATTACACAAGCTAGAGCTCTTAAGAGCTAGAAAGCTTTAACATTCTCCTTATAATTCAGTTATGGTTATGAAATATGAAAAATAATATTTTATGATTTATTTTAAAACACTTTGTTAAGGAAAATACATTTCTTCTTAGTCTATCATTAATCTGGCTTTACATATGGGCTGGTCTCACTTATCCTGGAGGCAGTTAATCATTAAACATTTTTAGTGGCAAAAGCCTTTCCTTATAGAAAGATTTTGTCTTCCTGTCATAAATTTCTCATTTTTCTTCCTGGATTTTTAAGCTAGAAAACACTGTAAATATTTTAAGGTTGCACTGCAATTTTTCTGCCATATTGAAATGATAGCTGTCTGACATCATTTTTCCTTCTTTATAAGTGGCATATTGTTTACTAGTTCATGACGTACGTCTTCAGAGATACTTAGGTACTCAACTCTATGCAAATATACACTGATTACCTTTGCCATAGACACTAGATGACTACTTGATTAAAATAACATTAAGACGACTAGCCAAAACCAAGACTAACTGCTAGTGAAAAGAAGCAGCTATCAGTTAATTGAAGAACATCTATATCTTTATTTCCCTTTAAGTATTTAGAAAGTCTTATTGATGAGGTACCATTTCCATATTCAAAAGACAGGGATCTGTTAACCTTTTAGTGAATGAGACAATTCATAATTTTTCCTTGTTTCTGTCTCTGTTAATCCTAACACACAATTACTCTATGTAGGGAAGCAGGAAACTCCATTTACAATGATTATTTGGGGTTAATTTCATTTAATGGCATTCTTGACAAAGATATGAATATGGCAAGAATATTTTTATATTTTACGTTTAACCTTTGTAATTTAATCTTTCTAATTTCATTTGATATAAAGCGTAAATGAAAGCAAAAACACCATTTATAGTTGAGTGTGAATTTTTTTCTTTTTTTGAAACCAGTCTCACTCTGTTACTCAGGCTGGAGTGCAGTGGCATGATCTTGGCTCACTGCAACCTCCGACTCCTGGGTTCAAGCGATTCACCTGCCTCAACCTCCTGAGTAGCTGGGATTACAGGCACATGCCACCACGCCCAGTTAATTTTTGTATTTTTTATTTATTTTTTATTTTTTAGCAGAGACAGGGTTTTACCATATTGGTCAGGCTGGTCTCGAACTCCTGACCTCAGGTGATCCACCCGTCTCGGCCTCCCAACCAAAGTGTTGGGATTACAGGTGTGAGCAGCTGCCTCCGGCCGAGCAATACATTTCTTTGTGTCTCTGCATTAGCGTTATACTTTTTTTTTTTTTTTTATATTGAGAGGGAGTTTCGCTCTTGTTGCCCAGGCTGGAGTGCAATGGTGCAATCTTGGCTCACTGCAACCTCCGCCTTCTGGGTTCAAACAATTCTCCTGCCTCAGCCTCCGGAGCAACTGGGATTACAGGCATGTACCACCACGCCCGGCTAATTTTGTATTTTTAGCAGAGACGGGGTTTCACCGTGTTAGCCAGGCTGGTCTCAAACTCCTGACCTCAGGTGATCCGCCCCCACTTGGCCTCCCAAAGTGCTGGGATTATAGGCATGAGCCACTGCTCCTGGCCTAGTGTTATACTTTAAATATTTTTATTTGAATACCTATAATTATGAAACCTGCAATATTAAGCATAGTTAAACTTTCAAATAAAGCAAATGTATAAATATATCCAATTCTATTCATATTCACTTAGTCCACTTTCTCATTTCACACATTTAACAAAGCAAGCAATGATAAAATATGCATGTCTTGAGTATTATAATTTGCATTTGAAACTGCAGAATCTTCTGGCTGAATGAATCAATAATGCAAATATCTTTCTAATTAGATATTTAGTGTTTTTTAGTTGTATTTTGTAAAATCTAAAGTTTTGTGTACAAAATAGTTTTTTTTTTTTTTTTTAAAGAAATCTGACAGATCTTTTGGTCCTGTGTTTCAAAGTACATTGTGAATTTTGACTGAAATCACAGTTGTCTTTGGTATACCAAAATTAAGTTCTGCATAGTACCTATTTTAGTGTTACAGTCAGTGTAACTGCTGGAATATTCAGGTCTAGTGGAATCAGTAATTATGTAAGCCTTTCTTGTTAGAGGATTTCTTGGCTTAGATACATCCCTTATATGTGCATTGCCCCTTATTGCCTTATTGTCATTCTAATTACTACCACTCCTTTGTCCCCATCCCCACCCCATGGCCTTCATTCTTTGTTGCTATCTTTGTGAGTAGAAAGACAAACTATAAGGAAAACTTGTATGTGAGCTGTGTGGGGGGAGCGGGTGAGTTACAGTTATTTCTAATATCTAAAGAGTTGTGTAGAAGAATTAGACTTGCTTGATGAAGGCACAAAAGGAATAAGTAGAACCAAGGAATAAGTTGCTGTGATAAAGGCATGAAATAATTGATAACCCAAGATGCCTCGATTTGGACCTGCTGCCTTAAGAGATACTGAGTTGAATGTTAAGGCAGTGAAGTGCAATGGAAGGAATCTGTGAGCTTGGAACCAGGCAGACCTGTATTTCAATTTTGGGTCTACTTCTTAAATAATAGCTGTGTGGTCATGAGCAAGTCACTAAGTGACAGAACCTTGGTTTCTTTATTTCTAAACTGGGAGATGATGCTTACCTTGCAGGTTGTTGTAAAAACTAAGACATGATGTGAGTAAAGCCCCTTGGCACAGTGCCTGTCATGTAATAGGTCTGTCTATTATTGTTGTTTTATTCATTTTTTGAGTGATCAAAGGTTGCTCTTTAAAAAAAAAAAACAACTCTAGGTTTAGTGGTACATGTGCAAGTTTGTTATATAGGTAAATTGCATGTTGAGGGATCTGGTATACAGATTATTTTGCCACCCAGGTAATAAGCAGAGGACCTGATAGGTAGTTTTTGATCCTCACCCTCCTCCTACCTGCCAACCTCAAGTAGGCCCCCTTGTCTGTTGTTCCCTTCCTTGTGTCAAAGACCACTCTTTAGAAATGATGTTGAAAGATTGTACAAGGTAGTGAACTAATATAATTTGTATTATCCCGTTTATCTTGTTGATATGATTCTATATTACTTTTAAAGATATATGGTTGACTGGTAATGAGCATTATCCCCTTCTCTTGTTATTGGTATACTGACTAGGTTAGTAATTCATTTTTATTTTTATCTTTAAAAATTATTATTATTATTTTTTTTAGAGACAAGGTATTGCTCTGTTGCCCAGGTCAGAGTGCAATGGCGCAATCATAGCTCACTACAGCCTCTACCTCCTGGGCTTGAGGGATCCTGCCATCTCAGCCTCCTGAATAGCCAGGAGAATAGGTGCACAACACCACAACCAGGCAATTTAAAAAATTTTTTTGTAGAGTTGGGGTCTCGCTTTGTTGCCAGGCTGATCTTGAACTCCTGGCTTCAAGCAATCCTCCCGCCATGGCCTCCCAAAGTGCTGGGATTACAGGCATGAGCTGTTGTGCCTGGCCAAGGTTAGTAATTCATGGAGAGAAAATGGGATTGATGCTTTGCTTTCCAGACTTCCACAGGCTTTTTAAGTGAAAATGCAAGTTGACATATGGGAATTTTAAAATTATCATTTTGTTATTGATTGCTATGCCAACCAATACTCTTTTGTTTGTTTCTTCCCTTACTAATTTAAGCTATTTGACCTGGAACTATAGTTCATGTAGATCTTGTGGGCATTTTCCAAGTCGTTATTTCTACAATGCCTATTAATATGTGTCTTCTATATCAAGCAATGGCACTTTTTTTGTTGAATAAATGGATACAGGGGTTGAGCTGTTCATAATTTGATGCATTTTCAGGCTGTTGTAAGTGAATTGACCATTTGCTCAAAATCAGTGAACATTAAGCTATTAAAGTAATTTTCATGTCTGCATTACTGATGTTTTTTTTGGAAAAAGTATGAAATTGAGGAGGATCATGATAAAATGCATTTATCTTTATTCTGCCTTTTTGAAGAGAATCTTAAAGGGCACAAGCCTGTTGGCAGAGATATTCTTAAGTGATAAATGATAATGACAAGAGTGGCGATGGTTTTTTCCATCACAGTTTTGGGGATCAAGGTGAGTCAGAGAGAATGATATCCTAAACCTTAGCTTCTTCATTAAATGACAACAAAACTGTCATTTGCTGATTTTTGGCCATCAGAAGTATTATCTAGATCATATTATCTATTTATAACTTTGGGATAATGGGTTTCTGATTTTATGTAATGTACTTCTCAGCCCTTTTATTTATTTTTTTATATAGCTTTGATTCTTTGAAGCTGGTATGTGAAGCACAAGCTTTATTTATTTACTTATTTAGAGACAGAGTCTCGCTCTGTTGCCCAGGCTGGAGTGCAATGGCCGGATCTTGGCTTACTGCAACCTCCGCCTCCCAGGTTCAGGCAATTCTCCTGTCTCAGCCTCCCAAGTAGCTGGGATTACAGGCATGTGCCACCACGCCCGGATAATTTTTATATTTTTAGTAGAGATGGGGTTTCGCCACGTTGACCAGGCTGATCTTGAACTCTTGACCTCAGGTGATCCACCCAGCTTGGCTTCCCAAAGTGCTGGGATTACAGGCTTGAGGCAATGTGCCTGGCCGAGCATTATTTTCAAAGTGTGCTCAACTGGAGTGCTTCTTTCTCCTAGGATGCCCACTATTTGTGTAGGGCCAATACTTAATGATTGTTTTTTCATGATTGCTATTAAAGATACTATTTTTGTTACCCACCCTGATGCTCGTGCTTCACATAACAGCTTCAAAGAATCAGCGAGCATTTGGAAATGTATAAAATGACTCCTGTCTTTTGTCAGGAGTAGAATATACTGATAAAATCCTTTCTCATGAATGATGAAGTTGCCAGAAATTTGGAATACTTTTGGACTGACAACAATTACATGATAAAATATTGTGAAAACTATTTGTGAATAAATAATGAACCAATACTACTTCTGTTCACTCAGAACAAACATAATACAGTGGTTCAGAAGAGCGTAGTAACCTTCATATTGCTTAATAGTTCAGTAAACTTTTAATGCCTCTGAAAATGCATAATAGTTCCTTAAGAAAGCATGGTAGGATAATCAGAAAAGACTTTTTTTTTTTAATTTGACACCAAAGGGATTCATATATGACATCTGTTCATTTTTTCCACTTCCCTTCTTCTAGTAAAATACCTAGAAATAATTATTCCTAGAGACCATGTGATATTTCCACCTTTAGTGTCTAGCCTGCAATTATTTCAACAAAGTCCTCTTGGTACAGTAAATAGTAAACCCCACTGGACCAAATCCTAATAGTATAGTATTGGCTGCCATAGTGTAACACACATGGTATGTTTACATTAAATTGGTCTCATGTCTTAAAAAGCATTTGTCTTTATATTTAGTATAGATACAATCTAGAGATAGATTAACTGGCTAGATGATGATGATAATAATAATAGCTAATCTTTATTGAGCACTTACTATGTGGCAAACATTGTTCTAAGTGTCTTATGTGTCTTAATTCACTTGTTATAACATCCCAAATGAAGTACGTAGTGTTTTTATTCCACTTTATAGAGACCTAAACTGAGGCACAGGGATTTAAGCAACTTTCCCAAGATTACACAGCTAGTTAAGTGGATGTAATCCAGGTAATTTGATTCAAGGGTCCATTCTCATAACCATTATGTGATACTGCTTCATAGCCATTGTGTGAGACTTTAAGAGATGCTGCAGTGCTTTCTCCTTTTTCACTACTTCACTATTTCTCGTTCATAGCCCTTTGTTCACAGGGAAAACATAGGAAGGGAAAAACTAGAAGCTCCTTGAGTTTCACCTGTTTATTCCAGATTTTTATCTCGTGGTGTCTCCCATTGTATAAACTGAGATCAGTAAGAACTGTTATTATGCCATATGTTTCTAATCATAGCAATTGCTTCATTCTCTGAGGCATACAACACATGAAATTATTGTCAGACATACTGATTTTATACGTTTACAAATGCTCGTTTAAATAGCCATTGAAATACAAACTTCAGTAAAGAGAGTAATGTTTGGTTTGCATGATGTCTGAATTCTAAGATTTGGCAATGGAGTAAAGATTTTGCCTAGATCTTATCTTTTTCCCCCCATTCTACAGTGAGGTACAATGATAATTGTTATCATAGTGATGACCCTGGGAGAGCATTAACATCTTTTGTTCCCTAGAATGTACTTATTGAAGCAGGAATGTGGATGATTATGTTTATGTTTGATTTTGTTTGTTTTTGAGACAGGGTCTTGCCCTGTCACCCAGGCTGGAGTACAGTGGTACCATCTGGGCGCACTGCAACCTCTGCCTCCCAGGTTTAAGCAATCCTGACACCTCAGCTTCTGGAGTAGCTGGGACTACAGGCGCATGCCACCATGCCAGGCTAATTTTTTGTATTTTTGGTAGAGACGGGGTTGCGTCACGTTGCCCAGGCTGGTCTTGAACTCCTGAACTCAAGTGATCTGCCCGCCTTGGCCCCCCAAAGTGCTGGGATTACAGGCGTGAGCCACCTTGCCTGGCCGGTTGCTTATGTTTTAGATGTACAGTTGTCCTTAGGTGTCTGTGGGGAATTGGTTCCAGAACCACCCCCCCTTGCCAAATCCCTTATATAACATGGTATAGTATTTGCATATAACCTGTGCACATCTTCTTGTATACTTTGAATTATTTCTAGATTACTTATAATACCAAATACAATGTAAGTGCTATGTGATTAGCAGCTATACTGTATTGTCTAGGGAATAATGACAAGGAAAAGAGTCTGTATATGTTCGGTACAGACAATCATCCATTTGTTTAAAAAATATTTTTGATCTGCAACTGGCTGAATCCATGGATGAGGAACCCACAGCCGCAGAGGGCTGACTGTATTTTTACTGACAAAAGTTTAAACATAAAAGCAATAACCAAAAAAGGTAGTTTAGTCACAAAAAGTTTAAAGTGAAAATTAAATTAACTACAACATACTGTAATTCATGCCAAACAGTTGTTCCTCCTAATCAATATTTGAATTTTGAAAGAGAAGTAATTGTATATATATTGTAAGAATTCCACTGTAGATGAGTCACAGAGCAGATTGATGATCGTATTTTTTTGCTATGGTAGTTAAAACTTTTTATTCAGATTTTTATTTAGTGCTAAATGAGTTCAAAATGTATATTACCTCTCTGGAAAAGCTCTTATGTTAGACTGTCAGCTATCTAGTCCATTTTATATTTTCAACTTGAAAAATGTTTAAAATGTTAATTTATTTCAATTAAAATTTAACAGGTTGAAATAAAATGAACATCAGATTTCTCTTTTGATTCACTCCAATTCAGAAAAACAACTTTTGAAATCTTACAATGTGGTAGGCACTGAACGTTTCAAAGACTGTTAGGAAATGGTTCCTGTGTTTTCAAGCTTTTTCCAGTGGCCAGTTGGTCACATTTATCAAATGTACTAAAACTATGTTTTTAGACATACTCTTTAATATATTCATGTGAAGTTTACAGAATTATGTTTGAACACAATCCTTTTTGTAGGTGTTCACAGTTTCTATGAGGTTTTACTTCACTGGTTTTCATGTTATCTTCATAATAGCATTTTAATGAATATTTATTTCTACCCAACTCCTTACTATTACAGCTGGAGGGAGCTGTGCTACAAAGAGAGCACTCTCTGTTGAGAGAAACTTGGAAAGTTGAGTTAACATATTGGCCTGGGTTGCTAATCCCAAAGAACAGGAAGTCTTAGGGCTAGAGTGAGGGAGGAGATTGGGTGGAAGGGGTATAGTCTGAAGTCTCCAAAGCTTAGAGCTCTGACAGCCTACAGTTTTATTTTGCCCTTCCAATCCATCCAATGTGACTCTTTTGACATTCTTAAAATAATTGAGAAAAAATTTCTGATATAGCTTGTAAATTCTGCTAATTGATCCTTTAGTAAATTGACCATTTGGCAAATAGTCTTTTCTGCGACTACATCAAGAGTCCCTGTTGTCAAAGAAATGCCTTAGCAAATGGAAGATATAAATAATACCTTTACCAAGTTACAGGTAAAAAGGTGCCCTATTAATTAAGTCTGATTTTCAAAATAACCCACTGAAGAGTACAGGGATTATTATCCCTAATTAATATCTGTATTTAATACTGGAAGATTCAGAGAGGCTAAGTGAGTTGCCCTCAGTTAAAAGATAATGAAAATGGAGGAATCAAGATTTGACTCAGGCATTCTGGCCAGTAAGTGTATTTCCATTATACCATTCTGAAGATAATCACTTTGTTTAAATAATTTCATTTTTCACATTTTGAGGGCTAGAGAGATGGGGACGGGAGATGAAGGAGTACTGAAGTTTGCTCACTTGATGACATGTTTATGTATACTTTTCCTGTACTTAGGAAATCAATTTCACAAGACATTGTTTTAAGAAATTTTAAGCCTGTTATTATAGACATGAATTAACTACACACTGTTAATTTAGAAATTATTGTTAGAGCAGTTATTATTTTTGTACATGACAGCATTAGAAAATAATGAAGTTCTAATATTTTGATTTTTATAGCTCACATCCCTATTCTGGGTCTCCTTTCCAAGTTTTCAAACTTAGCAGGACCACAGAATTTCTTGTTTTAGACTGCTAATTATCTTAAGACAAAAAGGGATCATCCTAGGTTCTGCTGGTTCTCACATTAAAGAGAAATTTCCATTTTCCATTAATGTATTCAAATACATTCACTTTAAAGATACCTATACTGTACTGCTAAAGAGATTACCCTCTATGTCTTATTCTCTATTTTAGGACTTCAGCTTTCAGAAACAGCTGTAAAACTTTCTTAAGCATTATGAATATAATATTTCTCAACTCATCTTAAAACACTTACTATTTACTATTTCTCTTATTAGATATGGCTTCTGAAATGGTTTAATTGCACTTCAAAACTATAGCATTTTATTGATTTTATTTTTTGAAAGCTGCTTTATGTTCTGTAGTGTTTAATGGAGGATAAGTTACTAGTCACATATGATACTGTGCATACGCTAGATTTAAATGTTTAGTGCTTACTTTTGACAACTACGTAAAGAAGATCTATATACTAGTTCTGGATTTATTTTTGAAATGGAAAATTGTGCTTTTAAAATTATTATGGGTAGCTTCAGTTTGTATCACAGTATACCAGCACCAATACATTACTGGTGTCATCTTACGTGATGTATGAAAATTTGAGGTACTAGAGTATTGGTAAAATGCTATTTACCCCTATATTCTTACTCATTTAAATCCAAAGCTAAGTCTTTCTACTGGTACTAAATATTTTACATCGCAATGGAAAATTTTAATAACGTTGTACAAAAATATATAGAGAAACTAACAAAAATCCAAATGACCTCATTCATCTTTTAAGCAGTTAAAGGCAGTGGAATAAAGTGTGCAAAATAATGACATGCAAGATGAAAACCACCTAAACCTTATTTTCCTTTCCTAGCCTAGCTTGTTCTATTATGGGTTTTATATGAACATACTTTGAAATGAAATCCATTAGTTGAAAAACAAAAATAAAATTCTTAACCAAGTGGCAGGCATATACAATAGTCCCCCCTTATCCACAGGGAATATGTTTGAAGACCCTCCAGTGGATGTCTGAAACCATGGATAGTACCTAACCCTTTATATACTCTCTCTCTCTTTCTCTCTCTCTGTAGTGTATATATATAAAAAACCAAGACTCTCTCTCTCTCTCATATATATATATATATATATATATATATATATATATATATATATCCATCTGATAGCCAAGGCAGCTACCAAATGACTAATGAGCAAGTAGCCTATACAGTGTGGATACACTGGACAAAGAGAGGATTTGTATGCCAGGTAAAAGAGTGTGGGACAGTGCAAGATTTCATCATGCTACTCTGAATGGTCCACAATTTAAAACACATGAGTTTTTTATTTCTGCAATTTTCCATTTAATATTTTTGGACCATGGTTGATTGCAGGTAACTAAAGCTGTGGAAGGGTAAACAAAACTATGGATAAGTGGGGGGCTACTGTAACATAATCTTTGGTTTTTAGGTATATCTCAGATGTATCTGAAATAAACATTGAGATACTGAATGAATATTTTATAGCAACCATCTTTTCTTTAAATCTAAGCATCCTTCTTAACTCTAAAATTATGAATCTAATTTGTGTTACATTTTATATTGCTAATTTCTTATTTTTTTATTTTATATTTTATGTTCAGTCCATCTTTCCGTTGCTTGGAATATTTTTCTGAGGTAATTAGAAATTTATATCTTCTCCTTAGATTTTTTTCTGAAGTCTTGTTACAGTGTGATGGTTTTTCTTCATTTAATTAATTAGAGAAACTATAGTATAACTAAATTCATGATTGAACACATTTTATACAAATTACAATTGAGAGCCGAGGGACTATCTTCAGCATTAAAAACTCAAACATTCCTAACTTTACTGTAATGCCCTTCAAATTAGGATTGGGTTTATTTAGCATATAAGAGCAAGGGCTATGCAGTACGTAAATACAATACGTACTAAAAAAATGTTTTGTTGCATATTCATTTATTTATTCATATATATTATTACAATTTTATTGAATTTTGTACAAACCAATGCAGCAATAAAAAACTATGGCTTAGTCTATATCCTCATGAAGATGAGGATAGACTAAGATATAAATATAGATATAGATATAAATATAAATATAGATATAAATATAGATATAAAACCAATATTCATTTTAATCATCCTAAGTGCTTAAAGAAAACATCCAGGAGATTAGAGGGACCTAGTTTGGGAGGACAGGGAAGGCTTCCCTGAGGAAGTGATATTTAAGCTGAATCTTTAAACATGAATAAGGATTAGATAAGCAAAGAGAATAGGAAATTTTTTTTAATATGGACAAATTAGAGCTTAATATTTTAAAAATATATAAATCTGAGATTGGATATTCCGAACTAACAATTCAAGTTATTTAAACATTGTGAGCTTTATAACAACATGGAAATAACAATATATGGCAGTTTTAGAACCTTGCTGAAAAATAACCTTGGTAAATCTAAATTTTATTTAAAATGAAGCTGTGTGGCACACATTGATTCAAACTGTCTGTAAATGGAGTATTGAGAAGGAATATGACAGCCAGCAAATGTCAATGGCGACTTTGATTAAGAACAGAATGTTGAAAAACAAATACCTAACAAAAACTAATCAATTAAAGTGTGTGTGGAGTGGAGGGAGGAATAGCTCAAAACACGAAAGATGTTTATAAGGAGCCACTATGATATCTAATTCTCCATGCCATTTAATAAGCAGACTAGCCATGACTGTGTACCTGACCTGTTGACCCCAATAACTCATTATTCAAGTGTTTACTAGATAATTTTCATCCAACAGCAAATTTCACTGTGCCTATTCTAGGTAACTGTATGCTGGGGCCCTCTGGGTGATAAAAGGTGTTTTATTAGCTGCTTCCAGACACCCCAGTTCTCACAAGGTTAAATAAATTGTATGCCTGCTAAATGAGTTAGCAGGAGATTTAAAAATAGAATTCAAGGTTTTTTTTTTTTTTTTCCTTTGTGCTTTCTTACTGTGGTTACACTATCTTTAAAGTTTGTGTTGGTTTTTCAGCAGCACAGGTCTAGATTAGTTGCATTTGTATACTTCCAAAGAGTTGCATATTTATTTGTCCTAATATATATATTTAAAAAAAAAGTTGTTCAGAGATAAAGGGTAAACACAATAAGCTTACTGATCATTCAAAACTGCCTGTACCTACTCATTTGCTCTTTCAGCAAGTGTTTATTGAGTATCTGTGGTGTGTGGTGTTGAAGGGTTATCCTTAGGAAACCCAAGAAAAAAAAATGTGGTCTTGGCCGGGCGCAATGGCTCATCCCTGTAATCCCAGCACTTGGGGAGGCCGAGGTGGGCGGATCACTTGAGGTCAGGAGTTTGAAACCAGCCTGGCCAACATGGTGAAACCCTGTCTCTACTAAAAATACAAAAAAATTAGCTGGACGTGTTGGCTGGCACCTGTAATCCCAGCTACTCGGGAGGCTGAGGCAAGAGAATCGCTTGAACCCGAGAGTCAGAGGTTGCAGTGAGCCGAGATCGATCCACTACACTTCAGGCTGGGAGACAGAGTGAGACTGCATCTTAAAAAAAAAGAAAAGTGGTGTTTGCACTTGAGGAGTTTTTGATATTACTAATGTTATGAAAGGTCTGCATATTCTCACAAGACATGAAGCTGAAAACGTAAAATATCCTTCTGAATTCTGGGGTTTTTTGTTTTAAATTAGGGAGATTTGGAAAATACCTGCTATAGTATTTCATTTCTGCTGTGTTCTATGTGAATATAATGTGAATGCTCACTGAATGTATATGCTATACCACTGGTTGAAACTTCTGCAAGTTTATTTTCACTTTTGAAGGTGTATATTATTTCCATTTTTACAGGAAAGAGGGAGTAAATACACTCAGGACTAATAGTTGCTTATTTACAAAAATGTTCAGAAATTACAAGTCATTACTTTAATAAAAAGTTTATCATAGTACTGAGTGTTTCAAAATATTATTTCTAGAGATATTGTTTATTTTCAGAGAAACAATCTGTTGAAATGTAGATTTCTAAAGTATTTTCTGCATTTGATATCAAGTGTCCATAGAAAAACGCAGTATCCTTTAGGGGTACCAAGCTAACTAATAAGTGTGTTTCACATACATTTCGAAAGTTATGTTGCTTTTATTATAAGTTGGAATTTTCTTCCCATTGGAATAACGAGCGTTTTCTTTAAAAAGGCTGTTAAAGAGAAAAAAACACTGACCCAGGAGTAGCCCAAACACCTGGATTGTGATGCTTTCAGCGATATAGCTGCATGAATTTCAACAGCACAGTCACCTAGCATGAATCTTGTTTTCTTTGTTGTTATCTGCCCTGCATGTCACACATGGTTGTTACGAGGATCAAATGACATAATATATGTGCAAATGCTTGTAAGTTACAACTTGTTGTATAATGTAAGGTACACCTATTTTCTGAAAGCTAAGCTATAAGTATTTTTTATCCAGTAGAGGGAGTCAACCATTTGCATGTTATAAAAACCAGATCTAAATTTCTTCTCCTCTTAAAATAATTTATTCTTAAATCAAAGTAAATATTTGGAGTAAAGTATATGTGTGTGAGAATTCATTTTTATTGATAGAACAGTGATAAAATATTTGATGAATACATGGGTATTTAATAATATATTACATATATTGACAAAACTCATTTGATTCCCTTGAAGTACACTTTTTTAATTTTGTATTCCAGGGTACTAGGTAAAATCATTCATGGTGGTCATTGGTTGTTTATGCTAGATATTGGACTATTTCAGCCTTGATGTCTACTGTGAACACTGATGTAGTGGCCAGTGGTGACAATAAAGTAAATTGACAACCATGAGTCAGAATTTTAGAACTTGGTTGAACCTTCCATGTGGCATGGCTGTAGATGAAATGAAGGCTCAAACAGATGTGGTGAAATGGCATTTTATCTGGCCTATTGACAATATCCAAGGAGTCTGCTCTGGTCATGAGAATGCAGCTGCATGTTCTTTCAGGCAGACCTTTGGCAGAATTGTGGTTCCAGGAGATCAGTCTGGTTTGGAGCAAAAATTCTTGCCAAGCTTTGGGATTCACCATGCAGGATGCTATATTCAATTCCTAGAGGGAAAGGTTAGCATAATGCCAAGTTAGCTAGTGTTCAAGTCAGGTTCCTGGCCCAGCAAGGGACGTTTACCCTAAGTACCTGGGACTCAAGACTTAGGACAGGAAAGATAAATCTAGATGTGACTTACAGGCAATACTGTGGATCCTAACTATTTTGAGTTCCCTTGTCATAATTGAGCCTGCAGACAGTAGGTGTCATTGCCTGGAAGCAGCCATTTGTGAGGCTGGAGGAACATACTAAGAAACACACAGCTGAAATGTGACAGATATGTCCGCTTCTCTCTGCTTCTTTTAACTGATGTGGGAATTTGATTGATACAACCAAGAAAAACTTGTTATTTTTGATACCTCTGAAGACAATCCCTGTATTAGAAATTTAAAAGCCTGGAGTCACATGTATTTGTGTCTCATGTTCCAATTGAAGGTTTGAATTTTGAAAGAGTTTAGGAGGAAGATAAGTCAATGGTTGACTATGTACCTAAATTTATTAAAATTTTAAATTAAATATTTAGTAAAGTGATGTGTTATCAATACCATTTCCTTATAACAATAGTAGCCAGTTTGAGAACATGATGAAAAAGGTCACATTCATAATAGTAAACAAGTATAAGCTGATTTTAATAAGCTTAATAGGAGGGTATATAACCTACATAAATCTACAGCACTTTGAGAGCTATAGAAAGCGACTAGAATAAATACGAAGACAGTGCAATTCTAGATGGATAAAGGCCATAAATATATAAAATTTCTCTTGTAAATTTATACATCTAACATAATTATAAATAAAAACAGGAATTTTAGTTGACTTTATTGAATTTAGCAAGATTATTATACAGATGGAAGAGGAAACTGGCAAGAATGTAAAATGCCATTTTGAGAACCATGGGCAATATTTTGGTGATGGGGGACTAATCCTATAAAAAGATGAAGGATTCACATTTTTAAAAAAGGGAGATATTATAATAGCACACACATTCATGTAAATAAGTGGGAATAGAAAGAAAGTTCAATAATAGATTCTTATTTATTTATTTATTTATTTATTTATTTATTTATTTATTTATTTTTTGAGAGGGAGTCTCACTGTGTTGCCCAGGCTGGAGTGCAGTGGTGCAGTCTTGGCTCACTGCAAGCTCCGCCTCCCAGGTTCATGCCATTCTCTTGCCTCAGCCTCCTGCATAGCTGGGACCACAGGCGCCCACCACCACGCCCGGCTAATTTTTTGTAGTTCTAGTAGAGACGGGGTTTCACCGTGTTAGGCAGGATGGTCTCGATCTCCTGACCTTGTGATCCGCCCGCCTCGGCCTCCCAAAGTGTTGGGATTACAGGCGTGAGCCACCATGCCCGCCCTAGATTATGTTTTTGCATATGTATATTATAAATATGAACTATGTTTTCTGTAAGGATAGAAAATAATGGGGAGGAAATATACATTCCAATACCATTCATTAAGTAATCTGCCTGTAAATCTGGCTCCATAACTCATATTGTGTACCAAAATCATAGACAGATTAAAAGTAAACATTGAAGTGAAAATATTGTAAGCTTTGAATTAATTGAAGTTACAAAAGGACAGATTTACAACTTTGAATAAATAAAAGCTAAACTGTATAGAATGCTGTAAAATATAAAACACTCAGAAAAATACCTGCAAGTTTATTACACACGGGATTAATATTGTTAGTATCCATGCACTGCATAGAATGTGATGGAAGCATCTAGGTTTGGATAGATAAATGTGCAAAAAAATAGACAATACGTATGAGTGGAAATAAAATTAGTAAAATGGGAAAAACTTTAACATACCAATTGAGAAATGCAAAATTTGAAAATGAGGTATCATTTTCCATCTTTTCAATTGGAAATCTTAAAATGGCATTGCCTAATACCATGAAATTTGTGCATTACTGTATTATGCTGGTAGCATTAAATCTGTTTGAAAAGAATTTGACGGAATATACCAATCCTTGTATCTATTGACCCCTGTGATTTAGTATTTTGGACAATTTACCCTAAGGAAATTATCCAAAAGAAGAAAAAAGTATTTATTTGCAGGATTGTTTATACTAATGGAAAATTGGGGTGGGCAGAAACCTTAATTCCAAGAGGGCAATGCTTAATTATGAGCCATACACTCAGGAGTATTATCAGGTAGACACTAGAATGACTTAGATATGCTGTGTAGAAAATGAAAACATTCCTCTGATACAGTGGTTAAAAGAAATTACACGTGTCATATGATGTATGCTTTCAGTTATGTACAATGTAATTATATAATCGTATGTTAGATGACAATGTGAAAACTAAGCTTCTAGTCTGGTGGGATTTTTAATGACTTATAAAAAATTCTCCCCGGACTTTATGGGGTAAAAGGAAAATGAGAATGGCAGAGATTTTTAAGGTTTTAATGTTATGAATGCTAAAGTATTCTGCTAAGTAAAAATGATAATAACTTTTATTGATCATGTTCTATGGACCAGGAACCATAGAGTGTTCTGCATTTATTCTTTCGTTCTGAAATGCTTGAAAACTGAAAAGGAGGTTTAGGCAGGATATACTTGTCTCCATAAGATAGAAGGGCTGTGATAGGATGGAACAATTTGAATAGTCCTTTTTCATTCCATTGGAGGTTAAAAAAATCTATTATCAGTAAAGTAAAAATTATAAGGAAACAGATCTTAATGCTAACAAAACAAAACAAAACAGCAACATACGTGTCCCTTTCTTTGCTTTCTCCACCTCAGGAAATTGACATTGCCGTACTTCCAGATGTCTAAACTAGAAACTTGTGTTTCATACTTGATTCCTTGCACTTCCTCATTCTCTACTTCCAATCTGTGACCACATTCTATCTATTCTAACTGCTAAAATATTTCTGAAACTCATCTGCTCCTTCCCATTACCCCTGTCACCTTTTTAGTTTAGGCCACCATCCTCATCACCTTGATTACAATAGCAGTCTCCTAACTGGTCTCTTTCCTTCCATCCTTACCCCCTTTCTTCTATTCGCTACACAAATCTAAACATGTCACTCACCAGCTTACAAAAATCCTCAGTGATTTCACTTCGCTGGATTAAGTCCAAACCCCTTAATGGGGCTTTCAAGGTCTTCATGACTTATATTTACTTCACCAGCATCTGCTCCCCAGCAAATAAATTCATTCTCCCTTTCCTGCTCCTTGTCCCTTTCCCCACCCCATCTCTCTCAGTCACACACATGCAAATGTACACACAAATACATGTACACCCCTACAGCCATACCGAACTTCTTCCATTTCCATGACTCTGTTTCATTCTCTCTCATCACTGAATCTTCCACGGTGCTGTGCCCTCCACCTGGAACACTCTCCGTTACTTGTCCAACCTCGCCTGAGCTTTCTCTTATGATCTCTTGTTCTTGCTTATCCTTCAGTTTTCATATTAGACATTCCTTCTCCTACAAAGGCTTTTTGGACATCTGGGTTGCATCCTCCTATGTGCTACCCTAATACCCCATTCCATACCCTTTATACTTACATTACTGAAAAATAAGGACCACCTGAGTAGCATTGTACCTTTGGTTTACTACCATATCCGTAGAGTTAGCAGAGTGTCTGGCACATAGTAGATGCGTGCTAAGTATTCATTGAATGAATTTGTATGGTTTGGGCCTGTGTTGTCAACTACTTAAGATTTATATTTTTAACTTCAAATTTGAGCACTGTCTTCTTGGTCATCATATTATTAACAACAAGCACAATGCCAAACACGGTACATTTTCAGTAATGATTGGAAATGAATGAGTAACTCAGTAAGTATTTGAATGAATGATCATTGTAATGGTGACACCTCACTGAGATTAATGAGCATTCATCCTTTCTTTAAGTTCCCTGAAGGGAACTTCATTTGTCTCTGTTTTACCTAACATAGTGTCTTACATGTAGTAGACACTCATTGGATAATTACCTTCAATTCCCAAGACTGACCACTATGTACAGAGTTCCAGCTAGTGCTGGCGTTAATTAGGTGATCTTGACCATATCTGGAATTTGAACTTGAGCTGGATTTCTCTGTATATTTGTGTATGTGTGCCTGTATGCATGGTCATGTCAACATATATTTTTTAAAGACATAGACTGGTTTTGTATTATGTATACAGTGACCATTAAAACAATGCCATCACACTACAACCAGTCAGAGTTCTCTTCTTGTTGTTGGTTGTTCATTTGTTTTACTGTGGTTGTTTTTGCCTTGGACTTTGAGAGAATCCTGGACTGTAAACTTTTAAGGCAAGGTTTAAGTCTTGTCCTAATCATTCACTGTGTAGTCAACAAGAAGGTGTTAGGACTTGAGAAAAAAAATTACCTGAAGGAAATATATATGAGAAACGCTTTATGGGGAAATTTTTTTGTCTTTTCTGCTTGACTGTAGAACTTCAGGTGTTGTGTAATACGTATTCTTTCACCTCCACTTCCCTCTGTAAATGTGCTTTACTCATAAATGTCTGTCTATAAAGATGTGTCCTGGGTCTTTAACAAGTAGGAGGTGGTACATACTTGAATAAACATCCTCTAAGTGGTTGAGGTTGAAAAGGTGCAAATCTTTCCTAGTTGAAGTAGGAGAGGCTGTACCTGCTTTGTTATGAGTCCTTTCTTTGTGTTCTCATTATTCCTTTTTTTTTTTTTTTTTGGTTCTACATTTTTTTCCTGTACTATTTTGTACAGCTCCTTTCTTATTTTTTTCTTTCACCTCTCAACTCTTTCATTATCACTCTTTTTTCATTTATTGAAACCATATATCCATGTTTTTTGAGTGACTTTGACCAGAACAGTTGGTTCAGCTTTCTTTTTAAAATAATATTTAATGTATTTCAATTATAAAAGTAACAATCTTTAATTTAGAAAATCTGAAAACAAAGGAAATTTTAAAGAAGAGAGTATGTATCTAAAATCCTCTTACTTAGGTATAATTATCATTAACATTGCTATAAATTACTATTTAGATTTTTTACCTAATTGAAATCATTCTGTACCTAGAGTTTTTTTTACCTAATTGAATTTTTTACCTAGTTGAAATCATTTTTTACCTAATTGAAACATTAGGTAAACATTTTTACCTAATTCAAATAATTCTGTACCTAGAGTTTTGTATCTCATTTTAAATAATATTGAGTCAAAGATGTATTTCCACATCATTAAAATACTTTAATAGGCCAGACACAGTGGCTCATGCCTGTAATCCCAGCACTTTGGGAGGCCAAGGCGGGCAGACTACTTGAGCCCAGAAGTTCGAGATCAGCCTGGGCAACATGGGGAAAGCCTGTCTCTCTTAAAAATACAAAAAATTAGCCGAGCATGGTGGTGCGCACCTATTGTTTTAGCTACTCCGGATGGGGAGGTGGGAGGATCGCTTGAGCCCAGGAGGTCAATGCTGCAGTGATATGTGATCACGCCATTGCACTCCAGCCTGGGAGACAGAGTGAGACCCTGTCTCAAAACAATTTTTAATGGCTGCATAATATTCCATTTTAAATAGATAAAGCTTACCTCTTTATTTCCCGATATTTGCACTGTTCAATGTATTTACAAGTTTCTCTGATATAAAAATGATGTCATGAATAACTTAGAACGTGAAGTCCTAGCTACAGTTCAGATTGTTTCCTGTGAAAGATTCCTAGAAGTAGCATTATCAGGTCAAAAATAAGTCATACTTTTTGAGGCACTTTTTTTTTTTTTTTTTTTAACCACATGGCTTTCCAGAAATGTTATGCCAAATCTGCTCATTGCTATCAGCATTGTAAAAGAATATCCATCTTACCCCATGGGTAGGGCTTTTTAGTTTCTTTAACGGTATTGTAGTTTCTTTAACAGAATATTAACAGAATACTGTTAAAAATGGATAAAAATGGATAACTGTGTGAACTGTTATCAAATTAATTAAACAAAGAATATTATTTGGCATACATATTTGAATCTTGTTCTGAAGGCAGTGGGTACATGGTGTGTTTTCTTACAATTGGAATGTCTTGTGTGTGTGTGCTGGGTTGTTATTCTCTGAAATTGCATTACTGTGTTAAATCCCCAAACTAAAGCAGTGAATTTTTTTGTAAGTTCTGTATCTTTGTGGCCTTGACAACTGAGCCAGTCCTTTGGAGAATAAGCAATCCTGGACTGCATTTTAGGACAATGAGAACTGCCAAAGTCATGAGAGAGAAAGACGAATGGATAGGACACTGAAGTAGAAATCAGATGCCCTAGGCTTTATTCCCACATCCATTTGTCATTGTGTATCATGGCCAAATTTGATTAAAGAACTTTCCCAATCTGTAAAACGGGGATAATATGTCTCACCTTACAGGGATGGTAAAGGGATTACTGAAATATTTTTTTCTAATTCATTTTGTGTTCTTCCAAAAGAGCTCTAATATTCAGAACCAAATACTGAAATCTATCCAAAATCTGAATGGTAGAAATTAACTATTATACTTTCAAGCATTTTAAACCCCAGTTTATTAAGAACCTAACCCCTTAGTGAAGAGGGACAGATAGTCAACAGAAGAATAAACAAAGAAAATACCAAATAGTAATGAGCCTCCAAAAGACTAAAACATTGAGTGTTCTTTTTTGTTAAGATGCCATTTTAACCCATTTATGCCAGAGGCTGCAGATTTTTTATGTGAACAATCAGACCTTGGCGATGACCTTGAGCAGTAGGATATAATAACTCCCACAAGCTTAGTGTTCCGATACTGGAACAGTAGGCATAAGTGGGTTAGTTGTGTGCTGCATCATATTGGTTGGCCAGAGAAGGCCTGTGCAAAGAGGGGATATTTGAATGATGGGAAGGAGACAACCATGTTCAAATTCAGGAAAGGGGCCCTCTAGGCAAAAAGAAGAACACATGCAAAGGTCCTAATGTGAGAATGGGTTTTGAGTGTTTGAGTGCCAGATAAGAGACCAGTTTGGAAGTTAGTAATTTGGGGCAGGGGAGGGCATCAGATGAAGTTGTAGAAAGAGGTAGGGGAAAAATTACCCAGGGCCTGGCAGGCCCCTGGAAGGAGTCCAAATAGTCCATAGTTTGGATCTCTCATACTTACTAGCTGTGTGACCTCAGATAAAGTTTTTTAACTTGTGTGAATTTTTGTTCCCATTTATAAAATGTGTGTGATTACTGCTTTTCAAGATTGTTTCTAAGGATTAGGATAATAAATTTAGTGAGTAGTACAGTGAATGGCACATAGTACACTCAAGAATTGGATATTGTTGATGATGATGTTTGGACAGGAAATAAATGTCCATTGTGTACCTAACTATGTGTCAGGCATAGGGCCAGACACTTTACATTTATTTATATTTAAATCCTCAAAACAATTCTATAAGATATAATGAAACTGGGAAAAATTGTTACTTGTACAGTTAAACAGTGGTCTTAAGTAGCAGACTACTGGATTCAAATCAAATTTTCATGACTCCAAAATTAGTTATCCCTCACTCCTGTATCATATCGAGGGAGTCAATCAGTTGTAATGTGTTGGTTGCTTTTGTATGTAAATATAATTTGTGACTAGACGTGCTTTTAGAGATGAGGCCAGTCTTTGACCTTACATGAACAGCTCTTGCCAGGTGGGAAGTTTGTGAATGTTCATATTCCTCTCAATGCTTAGGATCATGCCTCGTTCCTCCTAGAATTTCTTATTATATTCCTTGACTAAGTGGATCTGCATAACAATATTAATACTTGCCTGCAACATGCCCCAATTTTTAAAATAACCTAAGGAATATTCAGGTTTTTTGTTTTTGCAAGATTTCTTATTTTTCCCAAAGACATATTTCATATAGCAGTCTTTTCCTTTGAGAGTGTTTTGCCCTTAATTGTACTAGTTGGAAGTGTCAGAATAGTGCATTAACCTACTGAGCTCCAGATGGCTGACTTTTTTTTGTTATTTTATCTTGTCTTGTTTAAAGGAATATAGAATTGGCAGCAGAGCCCACTAACTGATGTCAGATTTGGTTAGCATAAATTGTATGTTTAATATCAAGTAAACATGCACTTAAAAATCATATGAGTTGTACTTTTTATTCTTTGCTGTACAAAATCTTCACTGAATATATTTGATAAGTTGAAAGGCTCATTCATTTTGTGAGAAAGTTTATGAGATTACTGATTATATTACTTATTGAAAATATTTAGTATCTATATCCTACTTTGGGTGTAGAAAAAAGAAATGAAGCCTTTTGGAGGTATGTGTGTGCATGTCTGTTGAATTGTTAGATTATACTAATTTTTTCTCTGAGAAGTAAATGACATGCTAGAATAGTAAATTGTATAATGTGGACCATGAAAAAGTATTATTTCTAAAATAATTGTTTTGAGGAAACAGAAATGTGTGTTTCCTTATATTCAAATTCACAACTTAGGTCCTTAGAGGTAAGAATGCTACCAGCAGAAACAGATGGTTGGTAATCTGTAAAAGTAATGCCATCATATTGGGTAATGCCATACTGCTGTTTCTATTGGCATAACCTCTAACTATGACATGATATATAGCACTTATGGGCCAGAACATTGTTTGTACTTTTATAAAAACCCTACAAAGTCTATACGCTCAAGTACTAGCTCAGTATTCTTATCAGGTTGGGTTTTTGTTTTGTTTTGTTTTGTTTTTTTTAGACGGAGTCTTGCTCTGTTGCCCAGGCTGGAGTGTAGTGGCATGATCTCGGCTCACTGCAACCTCCGCCACCCAGGTTCAAGCGATTCTCCTGCCTCAGCCTCCCAAGTAGCTGGGTTTACAGGCGCGTGCCACCATGCCCAACTTATTTTTTGTATTTTTAGTAGAGACAGGGTTTTACCACGTTGGCCAGGCTGGTCTCGAGCTCCTGACCTCAAGTGATCTGCCCGCCTCGGCCTCCCAAAGTGTTGAGATTACAAGCGTGAGCCACCGCACCTGGCCAGATTGTTCTTTCAAGTTAGGATAGGACTTTGGGGTAAGCAGTATTTCGTGATATTCACTGTATACCATTTTAGAACTGAAATTGGTTCATGCAGCAAAGATGAATTATTTATCACAAAAGGCTTGAATAACCTATACATGCATCACTGCTATAGAAAATAAACACATATGTTTGAGTTTGTTAGGTAAAATTAGTTTATTGAAATGAAATCCCCCAAAATCAACTTTCATATATTTTTTGAATTTATATATACTAATATAAACAAGTCATTCCTCTTTTAAATATTAACCAGAGGAGTATCCCACTAAGATACTATTTGATTTCAAATATGTCAGTGTTAACTTTAAATATTTTAATTATACTGTTTAACTACGTGGCAACATAGGGTACACACTATAGCAGCATCTCTTATACAACTTATCAAATATACATGTTAAATACAAAACCCATAAAATTTAAATTAACATTATTTTAAGTAATAAATCATTTGCTGACTCTAAATTGCCAATTACAATGTGAATATACTACAGTGCGGGCACTTTTGGGTTCTCTGTGCCTACCGTGCCGTAGGATAACCCAACTGTGCCACTAGTGTTCTCTGATCTATGGTTAAATTTTGATTGGTATAGCATGCTGCGATGTCATTTGGTCTTTATTTTGGTACATATGTGTTTTCACACTAAGGCCATCTCATTAGCCAGAGGTAATGAAAGTTGTACTTCCTGGTAACAGTGTGAATATATGGATGCTGAGACTAATTGGCAGGACTTGGTTATAAGGTAGTTATCTAGATGATCCAGCTTATGCCTAGCTTTATCATATTAAGAAATGAAACTTCAGAATTTTAACATTACCTTACCAGACTCAGGGATGATTAAAACTATGTTCAAGGATCCCAGTTTGAGTACCATTGCTGTGAGCTCCAGGTATATTGATCTAACAAATCCCCGAACATAGCATGTTGTATTATGACCCAATATTTATTGTAATTTCTAACTGAAATAGCCTTATCTACCTTTGGTGAACAGTTTTTACAGCTGGGCAGACCTTCTTCCCCCGCATAGAGTCAAGTCCTTTAACCTTCAAACTCCCTTATCACCCCCTATCTATTTTGAAGGCACATATCACATTGACAGTGGTCTGCATGTTGTTGCTTACCATACCTGAATAAGCTCTGCTGGGATGGTGAGGATATATCATCGCTTATCTCTGTACTCTCAGTGCCTGGAACCTCATGGGAACTCAATTCATGCTGACTGGTAATATTCTAATACAAAAATGATACCATATGCACAGTAAGAGATAGATGCCTTGTGTCTCTGTAGTCTATTTTGTGAAGAAACCGAGAATCTGTATAATCAATGTGTGTGCAGAGAATATAGTGAATGTGTGTGCAGAGAATATAGTGTCCAATTAAAATTTTATGCTTTAAAGAAGAAAAGCTTTTGCTTTAGTATGCATATAGTGGCATATTCCAAATCATAGATTCAACAGGGCAGGACCTTTGGGATCATCTAGCTCAGTGGGTTTAAAACCTTATTTTATTTAACATAAGAGCAGCTTATTCATAAAAAATCATATGTGGGATATGAATAAATTAGAAGATAAATGTGTAAATGCCCTCATTTTTGGGGGAGCAGAGACTTGGGAAGTCTCCCCAGGAGCCTTCCTTTTTTGCACATTCCCTACTCACCCTCCAAGGCAACCTGGAAAACACCTCAAGGAATTCCATGGACCCCTGTGAAAATAATAGTCTTCTCAGGCCGGACGTGGTAGCTCATGCCTGTAATCCCAGCACTTTGGGAGGCCGAGGTGGGTGGATCACAAGGTCAGGAGTTCGAGACCAGCCTGGCCAATATGGTGAAACCCCGACTCTACTAAAAATACAAAAATTAGCTGGGCGTGGTGGCGCACGCCTGGAGTCCCAGCTGCTCAGGAGGCTGAGGCAGGAGAATCACTTGAACCCAGGAGGCGCAGGTTGCAGTGAGCCGAGATTCCGCCACTGCACTCCATCTCAAAAATACTGCTACTACTACCACTACTACTACTACTACTACTACTACTACTACTACTAATACTAGTCTCCTACCTAAGGTAAGAATCCTTTTCCAGCATCTCAGACCTAGTGGCAGGTCTTTGCTTGAATAATTTAGGTGAACAGAAACTAATAACTTCATAACATGAGCAGTCAACTAGGCAATTGTTAACGAAAGTACTCACTAAATTAATGATAAAATAATGTATAATGGCACCAAACATTAGTTAAGTGCTTATTATATACCAGACCTTATGTTTGACCAGGATCCTTATTTCACCCTTATGACAAGCCTGAGGAGGGTAGATGCTTTATTGTTCCCATTTTGCCAATAAGGAACCTCAGGCCCAGGAAGTCAAGTAATCACTTGACTAAATTCATACAGCTATTAAGGTAAGGAATATTTCAGAAACTTTTGCCTGCTTTTCCCTTTTTGTTATAATCCTCCTTTGGAAGCAAATTATGCCCCTTTTTAAGATGGTTTTGTACTGTCCTCAGAGGGCGACTCTATAGCCTGGGTTCTAGCCTTGCTTCTGACAGTTAGATATAGTCTCAGACAAGACATGACTTCTCCGTGACTCAGTTTTCACAGCAGAAGAAAAAATGGTTTTAGTAATATTTTCCCTGTTGTTAGATTCAGATGAAATAGTATGCAGGAAAAGTTGTGAAAGCTGTTTTTGCTATAGAAGTTTAAGGTATCCTTTATTTATTTATTTTTTTTCTTGAGACAGAGTCTCGCTCTGTCACCCAGGCTAGAGTGCAGTGGCGTGATCTTGGCTCACTGCAAGCTCCACCTCCGGGGTTCACGCCATTCTCCTGCCTCAGCCTCCCGAGTAGCTGGGACTACAGACGCCCATCACCATGCCCAGCTAATTTTTTGTATTTTTTTTTTTTTTTTTTTAAGTAGAGATGGGGTTTCACCATATTGGTCAGGATGGTCTCGATCTCCCGACCTCGTGATCCGCCCGCCTCGGCCTCCCAAAGTGCTGGGATTACAGGCAATCCCATTCAGTGCTGGAGGCACACATCCATTTATTCATGTGACAATTAGTTACATTTCTTTTTATTTTTCCTTGTTTTCCTATCCTTTGGCCATTTTACTATTGATGCACTACCTCCCATCAGCAGGTAGACAAGGAACTGATAAAATTCAGTGTGTTCATTTTGTCTGATAGCACTTACTAAAATGTTTAGAAGGCTAGCGTTTTGAAAATAATAGGGTAATTTTTTGTTTTGTGGAAGGAATATTTCTTTATTTCATTTACAATGTATAGCTTCATTACCTACTTAAAATGCAGTTTATATCTAGGCTGTAGGATACATTTATAATCTGCAAAAGTATTATTAAACTTGCTTTGTTACACTGTCTAAAGTTACTCTTGGAATCGGATTTACAAAATGGTAAAGCAGAGAGGGAAACCATTTTATTTAAATACCTTCATAATCTTTGCCCCAACACAACAAATGTTGGTAAGTCTTACTGTTGTTCCTATCTTTAAACAGTACAATGAAGAGATTGCCTATGCGAAATACATTGGTTATCCTATTGCACATTATCATTGATCAAATCCTGCCCATTTTTTAAAGTCACTATTTACATACATGAACTTTCTTTATTTAAAATGGTAGTGGGCCGGGCGCAGTGGCTCATGCCTGTAATCCCAGCACTTTGGGAGGCCGAGGCGGGAGGATCATGAGGTCAGGAGATCAAGACCATCCTGGCTAACACGGTGAAACCCCGTCTCTACCAAAAATACAAAAAAAATTAGCCAGGCGTGGTGGCGGGTGCCTGTAGTCCCAGTTACTCGGGAGGCTGAGGCAGGAGAATGGTGTGAACCTGGTAGGCGGAGATTGCAGTGAGCCGAGATCGCGCCACCGTACTCCAGCCTGGGCGACAGAGCGAGACTCCGTCTCAAAAAAAAAAAAAAAAAAAAAAAAAGGTAGTGTACTTTTTCTTCTGTCCTAGGACAGTGGGTGGAGTAAATGCAGTGTAATTCCAAAATAGAGGTAACAGGCTACTAGAAGGGTTCTTACTCATTTTGTGCCATGGGCCCCTCTGAAAGTTGGTGAATTTATGGGGACCTTTTTAGAATCATATTTTTAGATGTAAAACACAAAAGACATAGGATTATAAAGGAAACCAATCATATTAAAATGTACTTATAAAATTGTTTTTAAAAATTATGACACATTCCAGAGACATAAACACATATGTTCACACAAAAACCTGTGCATGGATGTTCATAGTTTTATTCATAGTAGACAAAAACTGGAAACAGCCTAAATGTTCTTTAACGGGTGAGTGGTTAAATAAGCTGTATTATCCATACTATGGGATACTGTATGGCAATAAACAGGTATAAACTATTGATATACACAATAACTTGTGTGCCTTCCCAGGGCATTATGGTGAATGGAAGAAGTCCATGTGCCAAAAAGTTACATATAGTATGATTTCATGTAAATGACATTCCTTTTTTTATGGGTACATAGTAGGTGTATATACTTAAGGGGTACGTGAGATGTTTTGATACAGGCATACAATGCATAATAATCACATCAGGGTAAATGGTACAATCTTTAATTGTACAATAAATTATTGTTGACTATAGTCACCCTGTTGTGCTATCAAATGCCAGATCTTACCCATTCTGTTAAACTATACTTTTGTACCCATTAACTATCCCCATTTCCCCTCCCCACCCACTTCCCAGCCTCTGGCAAGTATCATTCTACTCTCTTATCTCCATGAGTTCAATTGTTTTAAATTTTTGCTCCCACAAATGAGAACATGAGATGTTTGTCTTTCTTTGCCTGGCTTATTTCACTTAACCTAATGTCCTTCAGTTCTATCCACGTTGTTGCAAATGACAGGATCTCATTCTTTTTTATGGCGGAATAGTACACCATTGTGTATATGTGCCACATTTTCTTTTTCTTTTTTTTTTTTTTTTGAGATGGAGTCTTGCTCTGTCACTCAGGCTGGAGTGCAGTGGTGTGATCTCGGCTCACTGCAACCTCCACCTCCCTGATTAAAGCAATTCCCCTGCCTCAGCCTCCCGAGTATCTGGGATTACAGGTGCACGCCACCACGCCCGGCTAATTTTTTTGTATTTTTAGTAGAGGCGGGGTTTAACCACGTTGGCCAGACTGGTCTTGAGCTCCTGACCTCAGGCAATCCACCTGCCTCGGCCTCCCAAAGTGCTGGGATTACAAGCATGAGCCACCACGCCTGGCCCCTGTGCCACATTTTCTTTATCCATTTGTCTGTAGATGGATACTTAGGTTGCTTCCAAATCTTGGCTATTGTGAATACTGCTGCAATAAATATGGGAGTGCAGATATCTCTTTGATATACTGATTCTTTCTTTTTGGCATATACCCAGCAGTGGGAATGCTGGACCAAATGGTAGCTCAATTGTTAGTTTTTTGAGGAAGCTCCATACTGTTTTCCATAGTGGCTATACTAGTTTACATTCCCACCAACAGTTTATGAGGGTTCCCTTTTCTCCACATCCTCGCCAGCATTTGTCATTGCCTTTCTTTTGGATGGATACAAGCCATTTTAACTGGGGTGAGATGATACCTCATTGTAGTTTTGATTTGCTTTTCTCCAACAATGCATGATGTTGAGCACCTTTTCATATACCTGTTTGTCCTTTGTATGTCTTCTTTTGAGACACGTCTACTGAGATCTTTTGTCCATTTAAAAAAATCAGATTATTAGTTTTTTTCCTGTTGAGTTGCTTGAGCTCCTTAAATATTTTGGTTATTAATCTCTTGTCAGATGTATGTATAGTTTGCAGATATGTTTTCCTATTCTGTTGTCTCTTTGTTGATTGTTTGCTTTGCAGAAGCTTTTGAACTTGATGTGATTCCATTTGTAAATGATACTTTTGAAAAAAAATGATAGAAGTGGAGAATAGGTTAGTGGTTGCTGGGGTGGAGGGTTGTGGGAAGGAGATGGGTGTGGTTATTGAAAGGCCAACTTGGGGGATCCTTGTGGTGATGGAACTGTTCCATATCTTGATTGTGGTGTTGGTATACCTGAATTTACACATGATAAAACTGCATAGAAATGCGTATATATATACACACACACACACACACACACACACACACACATATAAAAATATATATACACATGTATATATACACACACACATATATAACACACAAATAAGTACAAATAAAACTAGGGAAATTTGAATAAGATAGATGGGTTTTATCAATGTCAATATCCCAGTTGTGATATCATAATATAGATTACCAGGATGTTACCATTGGGGGAAAAGGGATCTCTGGGCATTATTTCTTAGAACTGCATGCATATTTCCAATATCTAAAAATAGTTTGATTAAAAAATTGAGACACAGTAATTGTAGTTCTTTACAATATTTGTTAAATAACAAGATAAAGTGGCAGGTTGTATAACTCAAGTAATTTTGAAGAAGTGATAAGCATAAATGATAGTTAAGGTATTTTCACAAGTGCACTATGTGTGGTATAACAGGAAAATAAATGTGACTTGGTGACCAAGTTGCAGGGGCTGCTAATACCACTGTAATCTGTTTCCTATATTCATAGTTGAAAGAAGTACTAGATTTAAGTAAGAGGTTACTGAAAATATGTTTTCCTTTCCAAATTCACATACCCCCTAAATTTAGACCCCAGGATAAGAACCCCTGACTTTATATCTTTTTACATTTCATTATCTGTTATATCTCAAAGGCCTCTGTCAAATAAAAGAGAAACATAATGTGTATTTGTTTTGCCTCAAATACCATGGATAATGATGGGGGCTCATAGAAAATACTAGTGGACACACTTCACAGTTTTAATGATTTACTTGCTATTACTCACCCATATGCCCATTGTTCACCAAAATTGCTTAACACTAGTTTTAAAAGAGAAGTATATGTGGATTTTAAGTATAGAATAAACTACACATTATTGATATGAAAAAGAAATATGTCAAATTGATTGCTTATTATCCAGATTGACTAATATTGACTATCATTAAATATTTTAATTTGCTTTCGCTAGGAAATCAGTTAATGATGGTTTAGCCTTCAATTGTCCGTATCTCTGAGAGTATCTAGATCAAATGAGGCTATTGTTTTATAAGAAAGGAAGGTTAGTGTTTTGGGATTAATGTTCTACTTTAAAATATCACCTTTTTGTTTCCTCTAATGTTAAAATCTAAAATTTTTTGAATATTTGAGTAATTATTTGAAATTATTATGAAGTATTTCCTCTATACTCTATTGGTTAAATATGTCTTTCATAACATAAGAAGTAACAATATGGACACAGAATTAAAAACTATGTTTAGAGTTTGTGTACTTGACATTTCTAATACAGGCTGAGCATCTCTAATCCAAAATCGAAAATGCTCCAAAATCCAAAACTTCTTGAGAACCAACATGATGCCACAAATGGAATATTCCACACCTGACCTCATGTGTTGAGTCACAGATAAAATGTGGCCAAAACTTTGTTTCATGCACAAAATTATTAAAATCATTGTATAAAATTATCTTCAGGCTATTTGTATGAGTTGCATATGCAACATAAATAAATAACATGTTTCAACTTGAGTCTTGTCCCCAAAATATCTCATTATGTATTTGTAAAGATTACAAAATTGGAGAAAATCAGAACTCTGAAACACTTCTGGTCCCAAGCATTTTGAATAAGGGATACTCAATCTGTAATACAAGTGCTCAAAAAATCATCTAAATATTTGTTCTGTGATGGTCTAAGAGTCTGTAATTTGGGAGTGAAATGCTTAATTGATATTTAGTAGACAGAAGCTTCAATAAGGGAACAATAAATGATTTCATCATATACAACCTTATACTTTTCTTTCATTAAACATTTTAGCTAATCATATTTTAGTAAACTTATTTAAATTTTTTTGGGAAAAATGGCACATATAATCTGAAGAATTATGATGCTTATACATTGCTGTAGAAAAGCTTTTATCACCCCTGCCCTATAATTTGCGGTATATTCTCTTGTTTTGCCTATTATTTTCATCCTCTGAAAATGCCTTAGTTAGAAACAGTGTTTCCTGCAATGGGAAATGACACAATATGAAGTTAACCTGATGACAGTAATTTTCTGTGTAGGTTTTTTTCTTATAGACTTCAATTGATAATATGTAGTATCTTTTACCCTACATTTTTTTGTGTGGTTAAAAAAAATAAATTAAAAAAAGACTTAAAGGTTAGACCTAAAACCATAAAACCCTAGAAGAAAACCTAGGCAATACCATTCAGGACATAGGCATGGGCAAGGACTTCATGTCTAAAACACCAAAAGCAATGGCAACAAAAGACAAAATTGACAAATGGGATCTAATTAAACTAAAGAGCTTCTGCACCGCAAAAGAAACTACCATCAGAGTGAACAGGCAACCTACAGAATGGGAGAAAATTTTTGCAATCTGCTCATCTGACAAAGGGCTAATATCCAGAATCTACAAAGAACTCAAACAAATTTACAAGAAAAAAACAACTCCATCAACAAGTGGGCAAAGGATATGAACAGACACTTCTCAAAAGAAGACATTTATGCAGCCAACAGACACATGAAAAAATGCTCACCATCACTGGCCATCAGAGAAATGCAAATCAAAACCACAATGAGATACCATCTCACACCAGTTAGAATGGCGATCATTAAAAAGTCAGGAAACAACAGGTGCTGGAGAGGATGTGGAGAAATAGGAACACTTTGACACTGTTGGTGGGACTGTAAACTGGTTCAACCACTGTGGAAGACAGTGTGGTGATTCCTCAGGGATCTAGAACTAGAAATACCATTTGACCCAGCCATCCCATTACTGGGTATATACCCAAAGGATTATAAATCATGCTACTATAAAGACACATGCACATGTATGTTTATTGTGGCACTATTCACAATAGCAAAGACCTGGAACCAACCCACATGTCCAACAATCATAGACTGGATTAAGGAAATGTGGCACATATACACAATGGAATACTATGCAGCCATAAAAAATGATGAGTTCATGTCCTTTGTAGGGACATGGATGAAGCTGGAAGCCATCATTCTCAGCAAACTATGGCAAGAACAAAAAACCAAACATCGCATGTTCTCACTCATAGGTGGGAATTGAACAATGAGAACACATGGACACAGGAAGGGCAACATCACACACCGGGGCCTGTTGTGGGGTTTGGGGAGGGGGGAGGGATAGCATTAGGAGATATATCTAATATAAATGATGGGTTAATGGGTGCAGCACACCAACATGGCACATGTATACATATGTAACAAACCTGCACGTTATGTACATTTACCCTAGAACTTAAAGTATAATAATAAAAAAATTTTTCAATGCAAATTGCATATTAAATTATTTTAAGTTTTATTATAAATTGATTTTAATATATTTTTTATATTTTTTGATACATAAATTACATAACTGTATTACTCTCCCAGTAAGAGATGGCTTTCTTACATAAATGGAGAGAAGCCATCTAAAGGTTCTGCACTATATAGCATTCTCTGTTCAAACCAAATATACCGCTATCAGAATAAATAAATAGATTCACTTGGATAGGGCACTTATTTTGTGTTTCCCTTTCCTCCTTGAACTCAAGGAACTGATGGTGATGAAAATGGCATTTTGATTTCTTATGTTTGAAAGTTATAGGAGCCTCTCCAAGAACAACAGTATGAACCTTTGTAGATATAATCCCAAATATGTTAATCTATAGCATTATATTTTCAGAGAACATGATGATAGATTAGAAACTTATTTGATTAAAATAGCCAAAGAAATGGACTTCATTAGGGTTTGTAAATCATGGTCAATAACACTAACAAAATTACTGTTTTCATGAAAATATTGCCCATCCTATTTGAAGATGACATCCCTGATACTAATTGCTATCTATGTGCATGCTGTATAGCTGAAAAGACCTGTGTACAATCAATAGTTCTGTCTAGTGTCTGCAGCAAGATACCTTTACAGCTAAGAACCATAAAGCCTTTTCCCAAGTTGTAAGTAAGTCTGTTTTTACATTAAAAAATGACAGACCATGCTCAGACTAAGTCCATCTAAACTCAGAAGTGATTATCTCCACTGCAAACTAGAAGTGTTCTTTCTTAGAATATTGCTTCTCTGCTGTTGATTTTAACATTTCATATCAGAGCAAGGGGAATCTGTGACTATTAAACTGGCCCAAACTACCTTTTGATTATTTGTGTACTGTCTTAAAATAATACAAGCCCAGTCACATTGACTAGTATCTCCATCCTAATGATTTTCAAATTAAGGAATGGCTTCAAATTAGGAAAGCTCTTTGTTCACCTAGGTTTGGAATAGCATGATGTATGCTAATTGCTAACTTTGTCTGCATTATTTTTTAAAGATCAAATGGGCACAGTGGTAATTTTCATTAATCTCATACAGAGCAGCTAATTAAAATTTCCATTATTACCCATCCATTATCTAGTTGTTTCCTTTGTTCAGTATCAGAACAGGATGTTAATAAGCCATTCTTGTCTTACAGCCCTATTAAGTATTATGAGAATTAATGTATTGCACTATTTTGTTTTTAGGTGATTTTAAAAATATTTTCTTGCACCATATTGATTATACTGAAGGTACTTTGACACCTTGACATTTTGTAATAGAGATTTCAGAATTAAATACTTGTTGCTTTAACGTTTTATTCAATATTGAGCAAAAGTAGTATATAGTAGAGACAGGAGCTATCCAAGGACCAGAATATTTGTTTTAGTCTCATACTCTTACTGATTATGTGAACTTAGGCAATTACTTGGATTCCTCATTTTTGTAATGAGGATATTAGAAGAACTGATCTTTAAGGGCCAGTCCAGCCTTAGCTTGCTATCATATTTTCATAATTTTCAAATATGAACTTATGTTAAAATCTCAAAGTCCTTCTAAGCTTGGTAAAAAGCATCTGTTCTATAAAGTTATATATTCTCTGTCATGCTCTAGTAGATTGTTTGCTTCCATTCCTTATAACCAGAGAGGATCCTAAATTTTATAATTTAAGCTTGTTTCTAAGACTTGGGTGGGGAGTGAGCCACAAAGTGATGGGCTGGCTCACTTGTCCACAAGGAGTACCTCGGCCATAACCATATGTCCCAATTAGACTAATCCTGTAGGGAATCAATTAGAAAAAGGGAACCAACATTTTCTCAGTAGATTATTCTGTGTCCATGAGATGCCCAATATAAAATACCTCTGAGCTGTCCTCAGCATACCATACAGTGTCTCAGTTTACCTGTTCTATATTCAGCATCTCTGAATATATTACAACTGAAAGTCTCAGAACTATAATATTCTGAAGCAAAACTAAGCTTAGAATCTTCAGCATGTTGAAACTCATCACTCATCTACCCTTTTGTTTATTCTCTATCCATCCATCCACCCAACCATCCATCCATTCATTCATTCAGGAAATATGTATTGAATGCTTACTTAAGCACTGTCTTAAGATCTGAGGATATAGTGGTGAACAAGGCAGGCAAGAATCCTGTCATAAGAGCTTATGTTTTAGCGCAGAAGACAGTAAACAACTAAATTACAAAAATAAATTTTCATAGAGGTAATACTGTAAATGATATTTAAAATGGTGTTGCGATGATAACTAGAATGTGGGGTGGGGAGAAGACTATGGAGCTGAGATTAAAATGATGGGAGCCAGCAATGGAGAGGTTGGGATAAGGGTCTTCAAGGCAGAGAAAACTGCAAAATACAAAGGTCACGCAACAGGGTTAAATTCCATATACAATCCTCTAGGGGAAGATTAGTGGTGCCTTTTTATATATTAATTTAGAAATAACTTTGAGGATTATATGAAAGCGGTATGTGACTACAGACTTGAAAATTTTAATTCGTTTTACTAGTAGTTTTCAGACTGGCACATGTAGTAAATAGATCCCTTGTTACTGATGAACTTTGTGTTGTTGTAGAAAGTGAGTTGGCCGAGCAAAAATAAAACTATAATTTTGAATTTGCAAAATTATGCTTTAAATATTTACTTGCTATTATTCCTTGTGAAATAATAGATGGATAAGGAAGTTACAGGAATATGGACATGATCTCTCGGTGATGGTTTTACTTACTGTGCCATTTAGGTGATGATGATTCATCCAGTATACTTTTTTATTTGTGGAGGAGACGGAGTCTTGCTCTGTGGCTCAGGCTGGAGTGCTGTGGCGGGATCTCAGCTCACTGCAACCTCCACCTCCCGGGTTCAAGCTATTCTCGTGTCTTAGCCTCACGAGTTGCTGGGATTACAGGCATGTGCCTCCATGCCAGCTAATTTTTGTATTTTTAGTAGAGATGGAGTTTCACCACATTGGCCAGGCTGATTTCGAACCCCTGACCTCAAGTGTTCCACCCGCCTCAGCCTCCCAAAGTGCTGGGATTCCAGGCATGAGCCACCGTCCCCGGCCCATCCAGTATATTTTTAACGTCTACTGTGTCTCATAACGAAGCAAGAAATACCAAGTCAGTGGCCATTATACAAAATATGGGAGCTCAAAGTATGAAATCGTATTCCTTGTTCTGCAGTTATTATGGAGAAGTTCAATAATAACACACTTTTATTGAAGCTCACTAAATTCATGACCGGTGTTAGTTATGTGGCATAGATGGAGTTCCCAATGTAGAAGTGAGACAGACACAAATAATGACCTCTACCACAATATTTTAAGTGCTATAATAATTATAATATTGCCACAGCGCTAAGGGAATAGAGTTCCCCTATATGTTATAAGCCTTTATCAGACTTTAAAAATTTAGCATCTAATGGGATTTTTGAAATTCAGAAATTAAGAATGATTAACACTTTCTACATTGAGGAGGCATTCTCAATAAAAACCCAAATAGTGTGAAATCATAGGGAACTCATTTCTCATTATTAACATTTTTTTAAATGTCATATCCTCTAATGATAATACCTCTACCCAATGGGGAAAAATTCCTTTCCTTATGATCTCCTTATAATATTATATTTCCTATGATAGTATATCCTTATGATGTTATTTTATAGTAAGTATCCTTAGATGCTTAGCAGAAACTGAGTGTAATTTTTATGAACCTGTAAAATGGGACTCAAGCTTGGAGTCTTAATTCAGGGATATACATTTACAGTATAGGAAAGGGGCAATTATGATTAGGTACGTCTAGAATGTGAAACTATCAGTTGTTAGTATAGTGAATGTGTTGACAATATTTTCCTCCCAGCCTTTTCCCTGAACTACTTATATAGTTATAGCAAGATGATGAAGTTAAGGAGCTGTGATGAGATGAGTTCTAGAAACAACTCCATCTATATTGAAAGTTAAGTTAAAAACTAGTCACTATCAGATAAATGTATTTAATGACTTTTTAAGATTAATCTACAACCTGAGAGTACCAGAAAGGAATAATTGGGAACTGGTGAATGCTTTCAACTGATTTGATTAATTAACATGCTAATTGGAGACTATATTGTTTTACATTTTAATAACTGTTTTCACTTATTTTTTTTAGAAAGGCTGATACTCTGATATCTTTCAATAGATTTGGGTTATGTATAATGGTATATATTAAATTTTATTTGCTGGATTTTGTGGAATTGAATATACATATCTTAACTAGGAAAATTAATAAGATGATTTTTGAATGCTTATCCTCTGGGTTAAGGAGGACTAGCTAATATTAATTCTAATGCCTGAATTGTAAATTTAAGCACCCCTGTCAATGACACTTTATGTAATTCAAGTTCATATTCTATTCAGGTCATGAGCACCAGCACTGTAATTTTTTTTTTAAATGAGGTTGAGGAAAATGTTGAGATATATACAACACAATTTTACTATATCAATTCTGTGATCAAGAATTTTTAAGTGTGTAGCACTCTGCACACATTTTTATATAACAAAATAAATATTCTATGCATTATTTTACTTAAATTTTTTTTGAAACATTGTCTAAAATGGTCTCTTTGTTTATTTTATAGGGTGGGCTGAAAAACAGCAAACATGAATGCACCCTGTCTTCACAAGAATATGTTCATGAATTACGATCGGGTATATCAGATGAGAAACTTCTTAATTGCCTAGAATCCCTCAGGGTTTCTTTAACCAGCAATCCGGTCAGGTAAGTCGTTCTTATCATTTCGGTATGATTCATACAATTTGTAGTGCATATAATTGTTTGGGAATATAATAAGTTTTGTTATTTAAACCTCAAGATTTCCTGACTAAAAATCTGATGTTAATAAAACAGCAGCATCTGATTGTGAAGTCGTAAACTTTTAAAAATATATTTAGTTAGTTGGATCTCTAGTAATGTACAATTTTAAGAATACAAATGTTAACATAGAGCCAGAAGTTAAATATCCACATTTACATGGAAATCTATTTGTGGGATCAGATAATTATTATATATTTATTTATAAAGCAAATTAAGTATATTTGCTCCATGATTTTATTCTTTTTTTTTTTTGTGAGACAGAGTCTTGCTCTGTTGCCCAGGCTGGAGTGCAGTGGCACGATCTTGGCTCACTGCAACCTCTGCCTCCCAGGTTCAAGCAATTCTTCTACCTCAGCCTCCTGAGTAGCTGGGACTACAGGCACGCACCATCATGCCTGGCTGATGTTTGTATTTTTAGTAGGGAAGGGGTTTCACCATATTGGCCAGGCTGGTCTCGAACTCTTGATCTCGTGATCCACCTGCCTTGGTCTTCTAAAGTGCTGGGATTACAGGTGTGAGCCACCGCGCCCGGCCGATTTTATTCTTTTAAAACTTGAAAGGTATATATAACTTTATGTTCTTCTATAAGTTTTAGATATACTCTTCACATATTTCTGTAATTTTGAGATAGCAAAAAGTGAATTATTTTAACCAGTAAAAGAAGTGAGAGCATTAATAAACTTCTCAAAACTCTACTAATTTAGGCTATTAACTAACTACAAAGGATTGTTATTAGGTTACTTGCCAATGGTGGATTCCAGTAACTGTGGTTCCTTTATTAAGCCTTTAAATCAATAACACCCAAAATAAAATGTTTTATAAAGAAAAATAAAATTTCAATAAAATATCAAAACATTCTTGGCCGGGCGTGGGGGCTCACACCTATAATCCCTGCACTTCAGGGGGCTGAGGCAAGTGGATCGCTTGAGTCCAGGAGTTCGAGACCAGCCTGGCCAACATGGTGAAACCCCGTCTCTACCAAAAATACAAAAAAGTCAGCCAGGTGTGGTGATGTGCGCCTGTGGTCCCAGGTATTCACGAGGCTGAGGTGGGAGGATCACCTCAGCCCGGGAGGTGGAGGTTGCAGTGAGCCCATATCCCGCCACTGCACTCCAACCTGGGAGACAGAGCGAGACCCTGTCTCCAAAAAAAAAAAAAAAAAAAAAAAACAAAAAAACAAAAATCCGGGATCTATTTATGTAACTACTAGAATCTTAAGTTCAGAATTTACTCCATAAGAGTATATAAAAAACTTACTGTGATTTTATCCATGTTTTTCCTAATATATAATAGGTCTAAGTCTTGTACTTTTCTGTCCTGTCCACAGAGCCTTGAAAATAATTTAGAGCTCAGTCATTCAGTTTGGATTTATGTATAAATTGAAATATATTAATTACTTATTTATAGTGCACTTGGCAAAATGCCCAGAAAATTACAATTTTAAAACAACAAAAAATTTTTTAAAAGCCAGTGTTAAGATGTGACTTATCTTAGAGTATGATAATCGTTGAAAGACGATTGTCTTGCCATTTCTTCCAAAATGCTCCTAGGTTTTTTGTTTTTTGTTTTTTGTTTTTTTTTTTGAGACGGAGTTTTGTTCTTGTCACCGAGGCTGGAGTGCAGTGGTGCTGTCTCGGTTCACTGCAACCTCTGCCTCCTGGGTTCAAGCGATTCTCCTGCCTCAGCCTCCCGAGTAGCTGGGATTACAAGCCTGCACCACCACGCCTGGCTAATTTTAGTATTTTTAGTAGAGACGGGATTTCACCACGTTGGCAGGCTAGTCTCGAACTCCTGACCTCAAGTAATCAACCTGCCTCAGCCTCCCAAAGTTCTGGGATTACAGGCGTGAGCCACTGCGCCCGGCCTGATGCTCCTAGTTTTAATGGTTTGAATGAACAGGGGACGTGAGTTCTTGAGAACAGTAACTACGGTGGTGCATTTTTCCCCCCTGCACGTAACGTACAGCACTCTACCGTTTTGCCAAGCACTTTGTGCTCCTAAAATTTCTGTTGCATTGTTGTTTGAATGAATGAATAAATGAGTCTTTTAAAAGTAATTGTAGAAGTTGCAGCATTAAGAAATAAAGAGGGGGGCTAGTAAAAATGCATTTTTATAGAGATGTTGGGAAAGGCTTGCTTGAAATTACACGTGGGACTTTTAATAGATAGGCGCTTTGACCAGCTAAGCAACAGGGCTCCCCTCGTGTGGGACTTTTAGAATGTAGCAACCACTGACACACAGGGAAGGATTATGCGATCAGGTGAGAAGGTGGCCGACCCTGACTGGCTGGAAGCAGATGCATTCTGGTAGTTGATTGGTCCACAGGTAGCGTGACGCTTGTCACGTCCTCAGCCTCCCAGCATTCAATCGTAGCCTTTCGGACAGCTCGAAGCCTTCTGTGGAGAGCTCGAAGCCTTCTGTGGAGAACTCAAAGCCGTCCGTGGAGCCCCAGACGAGCCAAAGCCCACCTTCTCCTCAGCCTGAGCTGTCTTGAAGATGAGTAAGAGTGGGTTTGGGAGCTATGGCAGCATTTCTGCTGCTGATGGAGCGAGTGGAGGCAGTGACCAACTGTGTGAGAGAGATGCAACTCCTGCTATTAAGACCCAAAGACCTAAGGTCCGAATTCAGGACGTTGTACCGTGTAATGTGAACCAGCTTCTCAGCTCTACTGTGTTTGACCCTGTGTTCAAGGTTAGGGGAATTATAGTTTCCCAGGTCTCCATCGTGGGGGTAATCAGAGGGGCAGAGAAGGCTTCAAATCACATTTGTTACAAAATTGATGATATGACCGCGAAACCAATCGAGGCCCGACAGTGGTTTGGTAGAGAGAAAGTCAAGCAGGTGACTCCATTGTCAGTCGGAGTATATGTCAAAGTGTTTGGTATCCTCAAATGTCCCACGGGAACAAAGAGCCTTGAGGTATTGAAAATTCATGTCCTAGAGGACATGAACGAGTTCACCGTGCATATTCTGGAAACGGTCAATGCACACATGATGCTGGATAAAGCCCGTCGTGATACCACTGTAGAAAGTGTGCCTGTGTCTCCATCAGAAGTGAATGATGCTGGGGATAACGATGAGAGTCACCGCAATTTCATCCAGGACGAAGTGCTGCGTTTGATTCATGAGTGTCCTCATCAGGAAGGGAAGAGCATCCATGAGCTCCGGGCTCAGCTCTGCGACCTTAGCGTCAAGGCCATCAAGGAAGCGATTGATTATCTGACCGTTGAGGGCCACATCTATCCCACTGTGGATCGGGAGCATTTTAAGTCTGCTGATTGAGGCAGGGAAAACATCCTTTCATTTTTCGAAGACCCTTGCATCCAGCTGTGAGTAATTTTGACCTGTTGACTTTTTAGGAAGTAGGACTAAAAAAAAAAATCTCAAGTGGCATTCTTTGTCAACTCGCTGCTTTTCTAACTGCTTTGAACTTTTCGGATTTTCTGTATTTGAAGCTCAGAGAGAGACGGTGATGGATAAATTGACAACTCTGTAGGATTTACTAGCAAGCTAATGGAAACATGATTTTCGGGGAAGAAAAACTACAGAAAATGTAGAAATTTATTATTTAATTGTGTTGGAGCTTCTTTTTCCAAAAGAAAAACTAGTTGCAGTCAGGGAGCCAGCGAAAAGACAAAAAAAAAAAAAAAAAAAAAAAAAGTCTTGCTTGTTTTTATGTTAGACTTATTTTCCGTGTTTGGATTTAGCTTATTATAATGATACTGTTATCTCTTGCTCAATATAGTATTTAGTATTTGATTAATTCAAATGAGCTGAAGATACTAATTTGTGAATTCTAATGCTCAGTTCAAACATTTATGTGTGATTTGCTCTTATTACTATGAATTTATGTTTTCTTAAAATAAGATTATACTGTGTTTAAATAAACCATTTTTGCCAGGTTATCTTTGAAATTTTTTAAAATGTGGTGAAGTTCAATGATTATTTCATATATGATGTGGTATTTGGATGAAATTACAATTTATTGTAGTTGTATGGTAAATGGATGCCAGAGTTTCTGTAAGTTTGATGTGCTGGTGTATTATTTATTTTACTAAATGCTCTGTTTTATGTATAAAAAGGTAATTTTTAGGACGTTAGGGAAACAGCTCATAGGAATATGAAACTTACTGAGTTTAACACAAATTTATTCAAATGTTTTATTAAAGTAGTTTACAAAATCTTAACTTTCCTGTGTGATTTTTTTTTCTAAGTACATTTGAAAAAGCCTTTTTGTTTTATATCCTTGAGGATTAATAGTTTCACTTATCCAGAATTTTTTCTTTTCTATATATAAAATACCCAGAACATATGCTATAGCCTAGTTCTAACAATACATTTTAGTGTAGATTATATAAATTATGTGAGACTTTTAAATAATTGACCATTAACGAAAGCCCTCAGTTACCTATACACTAAAGATGGTGTCTTTCAAGATGCTAATTTTTTTACATTAGAGGAAATAAAAAACATATACTTTTTAATGAATATATGTTATATTTTATATATGTATATTCATATATAATATACAAATAGAAGAACATTATTTGTCAAATTGAATCATGAAAACTGCAACAAAAAAAAAATCTCTTAAATGGAACATTGCCAGTACTCCGTACTTTCAGGAAAACTTTCAGAAAATGGCCTGTGTCAGTGGCCATTAGAAAAACCACTAATTCTTGCTTAAGCTTTGTGATGCATATTTTTCTTCCCCTTGAAAGTAAAGAAATTGTAAATGGCACTCTTGAAAAGCACAGATGAATAACATACTATAAACCTGTTACTTAAATTATCAGACATTTTGAAAATTCTGGTCTTCATAAACCTAAAATATTCGGAACCACTTTTTGTTGAAAAAGGTTACCTGTCCTAGGGAAAATCATACTGGGGGAGAGGCAACAAGGGGCATATATACTTGGAATTGTGGAGCTGAAAGAGTCTAGCAGATACAATATTCTTTTGTGACATTAAAATCTGATATTTATGAGTATAATTATAGGTCACTCCCATAATTGCTTGAGCTGATTCAGCTGGCCAGTGGATGCGTAGCCACTTGTTTTTCCTATACTAGGAGCATGCGGAGGGGGAAAAAAACTCTTTTTTTTTTGTTTGGGAGGCCAAACTGCTTTTGTCCCTGCAAACTGATACACTGAGATATGTACACCTGAATTTAAGGCAGAAGACCAACCTCTCTCCCATCCTGTGAGGGGAAATGTCCTCTATCTGTGTTCGTTGGGGTTTTTTTAGGCTTTTAAAATTACTCCTCCCAACGCTTATTCTTCTGAATGGAATCGTGTGCTTTAGTGGATTCTGCTGCAGGTAAGAGATAGCAGTGGAAAAATAGTAAGTAGGTCTAGATATAATGTCAGTGGAAATAAAACACTTTTAGGCAGAAAATCACTGGATTGTTTTATACATGTATATTTAGTCCATGTTAAAGGTAGCAGATTTTTAAAGTTCATTTTGAACACCCACCTGGCATGCATACTTTTTCAATTTTGTTTAGACTGGGAATGACTTGGCTAATATCCCCTTTCTCCAAGGTCCTGCCCTGATAGTTAGCCACACCTTTTGAGGATAAGATACAAATCCTGGGGACATACTATTGACTATTTTGGGCAGGGACATTTAAGCCTGAGGAACCTGAAAAACATAATTGATGATTATAATCCACCCAAGGTTTTTTCCTATGGCTCACAGGCTTACGAAATGTATGTATTTATATTGAGGTTGATTCTAAATTAACTATGAATAAATATATTTGAAAGTGTTTTCAAGGCCAATATAATAATCTTACTATGGTCATAATTATTAGTGATCATTTTGTTACTTTTACCTACTAAATTTAGTAATATTTGGAGTAGAAGCTGAAAAACATAAGTTCTTATATTTTTTCAATTTCTGTTTACTTTTTATAACAGCAATTTAAAAAATGTAACTAGCAAGAATTATGTTTGTTCCTGAAACCTTTATTGAGTTCCTACTATATGCATTTAAGTGTTAACTTTAATTTTGATAAGCTTAAATTTTATTGACTTCTGAAATGCTTATTAAAGATAGTAATAGTTAACATTTTAACATTTATTTAGTATTTATTATCTCCCAAGTACTGTTCTAAGAGTAGGAGTTGTGTGTATGTGTTGTGCGTGTGTGTATGTGTGTGTGTGTATGTGTGTGTGTGTATGTGTATGTATGATCCCTGTGATGCGTAGATTTACGTTTTCAGCTCAGACCTCTCTGTTTCTCTCTCTCTTTTTTTTTTTGAGACAGAGTCTTGCTCTTGTGGCCCAGGCTGGAGTGCAATGTCACAATCTCGGCTCACTGCAACCTCTGCCTCCCAGGTTCAAGTGATTCTCCTGCCTCAGCCTCCTGACTAGCTGGGATTACAGGTGCCCGCCACCATGCCTGGCTAATTTTTATATTTTTAGTAAAGACGGGGTTTCGCCATGTTGGCCAGGCTGGTCTCAAACTCCTGACCTCGTGATCCGCCTGCCTCGGCCTCCCAGAGTGCTGGGATTACAAGTGTGAGCCACCCACCTGGCCAGACCTCTCTTTTGAAATTGAGACTCCATCTCCAAATGTCTTATTGGATGACATATAGGCATTTTTAATACATTAAAAAATAATGAAAAATTATGTGTGATATGTGTTTTTTATATATATATATAACACAGATATATATCTCTATATATGTACACACAGATACATATATCTATATATATACATACAGATATATATATCTATATATATACACAGATATATATATCTATATATATACAGATATATATATCTATATATATCTATATATATACACAGATATATATATCTATATATATATTACCATGTATATACAGATATATATATATCTGTGTATATATTAGTATGTATATGGCATTTACTACCCCTGTGCAATGTTTTAAGACCTTTAAATGTACATATACAATCAGGATAACAGTATTGTTCGTATTTTGTAGATGAACTTGAGGCTCAGAGAGGTTAAGTAATTTGCGCCATATTAAAGTTGCATGCCCAGCAAGTGTCAGTGTTAAGATTTAAACCCAGGCTTTGTATCTCTCGAGAGCCTAGGCCTTTAACAACTGGTTTGTACAGTGTCACAATAAGGAAAGTCTATTAAAATAGTATTCTTTCACTGTTGTTAGTATTCTTTCACTGTCATCACATACTGAATATTTTGACTTTCTTTCATTAATATTTGTCTGATTTAAATGAAAAAGAAACTATGAAAACTTTCAGCAAATGTGTAGAAGATAATATAAAAACACCTTTGTACTCATCTATCAGCTTAAGAGACAAAACATTATTTTTTGCTGTGGTAGAGAACTTAGTTGAATAACTTGGGAGTTTTTTTATGATATCGTAATACCATTTGGGCCTATATTTTCATTGATTTAAAAGATCGTCTGAAATTCTACATTTTCTCTAAATCTATGCATGTAGTTTTTGCAATATAATATCTTAAGAATATATATCAGTGTATTGAAAAGCCTATTTTTTTTTCTGATCACATAGCTGTGTGTAAATTGGGACTTCTTTGCCCTATCCATTGTGGATGATACTTCTAGTAATTCTAACACCATCTCTATGATATTTATTCCAATTTGCCATCATGTGATAAATTACGAAAACAATTTTTTAACATTAAGAGTTAATTTCCTTTGGTAATACCTTAAATTGGAGAAGTTCAATAAATAGCACTTAATATTATGTGGTTTGTTTTTACATATCACATGGATAATCCTACAAAGGAATAACAAAACTAAATTCCCCTTGTCCATATGGGGCTTATATATATGGAGCTTACATTCCAGTACAGGAATTCAGACAATTTTTTTAAAGGTGTACATCAAATATCAGGTTGTAATATGAGCTGAGGAGGAGATGTTGCTATTTTATATTAGATGATCAGTGAAAGCCTCCCTGACTTTAATGACATTTGCACAGAGGTCTAAAGGAAGTATGGCAGTGACCTATGTTCACTGGAGGAGTAATGTTGTTAGAAACGGAAAACAGCAACAGCAAATACCAAAGATGGGAGCATGCTTGGCATGTTCTAGGAATGTCAAGGAGGCTAGCATGCTGGAAGCAGATAATGTAGAGCCTTATTGACCATTCAAAGGACTTTGGCTTTTACTTTGAGTGAGCTGGGACACTGTTAGAGAGTTTTGAGGAATGGAATGGCATGAGATGACCTACATTTTTAAAGGATAGCCCTGGGTGGAAGCAGGGAGAACATGTTGTACATTACTCAGGCAGAAGGTGCCACTGGCCACAGAGGTTTCTAGCTGGTGAAGTGACACCCCAGGATCCTGTGACAATATGATAAATCATTCTAGTTCTTGATCACTCCTCTGTGGTGACCTTGGTCCAGTCAATGGACCTCTTTGGTCCTCAGTTTCTTGATATGTAAATGGGATTGGAGCCTTCCAGCTCTAAGCCTCTGTGTTCTGTATTTTCTTTTGCTTAGTTTTAATCCTCTTACCTTTGCTATTGGAACTAGATTAGTGTTTAGGTATTATTTTGAAGAGTGAGAAGAATGTTCCTCTATAAGGCTAGAGGATTTCCTAATGTTTCATTATTTTTTGTATTTATAAATGTATTTAACCACCCCCAGACAGATATTTATAATTTCCTTTAAATACGGATGAAAGCAGTTCCTAAAACTCTGTTGCATAACTGTTTTTGAAACCTGGTGTTCATTAGAACCCACACCGTTGTCCTCTCGTGGGTAATTCTCCTCCCTACCACAGTTTTAATTGGTTTCTTTTTGTTCAGCCCCTCGTAAAATTTAAAAATATATATAAATAAGTGTACACACACACACATACGTATACATACTAACAGTTTTACCAAACATCCTCAAAACAGTCATTTTGGAATATTAAGTGGGGTCATGAATTTCAAATTCACATGGTATTTAATCACTCAGGTGATAAAGGCTCTAAGAAAGTCATTTTGGTATATTATTTTCTGCTAAAGCAAATACTTAAAAATCCCTTTTATAAGCCCTCATTAACTGGTCCTATCTCAGATCACTCTGTTACTGTACATTTCCCTCAACATTTATTTTTTACTATATACATTTACCTGTGTCTGTTTATACTCTGTAATAGTTTCATGCATGCATGTCTGTTTTTCTCATTTAGATTTTAGTCTCCTCTGGGGAAGGGACCCTCTTACCCTCTTATTTGTCTCGTGGTGGCTGGTACTGTGTAATTTATATATACTAATGTGTGATTTGATGTAGTTATTGACCCACCATCAATAAAAACCTATGCTTCTCCACCAGTGGGAATGAATTTGCATTAATCGGCACTATTTTGTGGCCATGCATTTTTAGCTGTAATCAGAAAAAGAATGAAGCTAACTTCTTCCACATAAGAATGAAACCTTGGTTTGAATCATATTCACAATCCACAGACAACATAGCATGCTTTACACAATAGCCTTGTTACAGTTGCATGGTGAATTAATGAAATTGAATGTTTACAACTCTATTTAACACTCTAAAAATCCATGTGCTTTGACCGTAAAGTAAATCCCAATCTGCCATCACAAATTGCATTAGACTTTGCACATACCATGGTCTATGTGTGATTTAGAATGAGGACTCTGTTATTTAGAGATTTTTGTTCATATCTCTTTACTAAAGTTTATGAAAGGAAGCAGTGCCTGCTGAGAAATGACCAATGAGTTTGGACAGTTTTATTCCCAGCCAATTCATTGCAAGATGTATAGGTATTTGGCAATACATTTTATGAAGATCCAAAGAAATACGTAGCAATAGATCATTGTCACTAAGGTTTCCCAGCACATGACAAAAACAGCAAATATTGCTTTGAAGAATAGTATCACAGAATTGTGATTGCCTAGAATTCTTGTTAGAGTTGTTGCTGAAATTGCCTCACAGCTTTAGGGGTATTTTACCCCACGAGGAAATTGTTTTTTCTGTTTGGTTGGGATCCACTTATCTGCCAAACTCATGGCATAGTGTCTGTATTCACATCCTATGATGATAGCTTCCTCAGCCAATATTTCCAAGCCAGTGAAAACATAAAATATCTTTTCAAGTTGATACATGTGCAGTTATTTGCATTACCTCTGGAATATTTGTGTTTATTTGATGCTATCTTCCCTTTAGATTTAAACATATTTTTCTAGTGTATTTACAAATGTGCATTTTAACATAATCATAATGAAAATAGATGGATCTTGACAACAATACAAATTAGGACTAGAAAGCACTTTCTGAATTGTAGGTCTTAATAAGTATTTAAACAACCTGTATTAAACTTATTAAAAGCTTGGCAAAGCGGCCAACAGTACTTAGAAAGTTAATATAAAGGTAGGTACAGATCAATACTCTTAGAACATTTTGCAGGGGACTAACTATGAAAGATGGAATAATAAGGATACTTTTTACAATGTAGAAATGTGAACACGGCTTAAAATTGTGAGCACATCTCATAAAGCAGCATTATGTGCGGTATTACTAAAGCAGGTTTTTAAATATTGGTATTTGGAACTTCTTTGCTTTCACTTTCAAATCCATAAATCATTTTAGAATAGCACTAGTATATTTATACATACAATACGAAATGGTAAACTCATTGCAGTTGTCAATTTATATGCCTTTTGTTAAAATCTTGGTCAACAATTCAAATTCGTATCAAGTATATTCAGGCTCATTTGACTAAGTTGATACCATATATATTAAGTGACATGGAAATTTTAATTATATACTATTAGCTTCAAAACATAATTCTGACTTCGGCACATGCAATGATATTACCTCTTAATAGAAGCAAAGTAGATTTATGTGTCATACATTATTTTAAAAAAGAATTAGGCACAGCAAATACTCGAGTTTTTGAAGTATTATTAGGAGAAAATGCTACAGGCATTAGGATAAATAGTGGTTCTTGTGTTGGATTTATTTTATTACTATGTAAGCTCCACCAAGGCAATACATTTTCTCGTTTAAATGATGTGTTTTAAACTAGAAAGCCAATTTTTATATAATAATCATCTAAAATAATTAGAAACATGTAACTGGTCATATAAAGGTATGTATAATCTAGCAGCAGAATCTAGGCACACTGATTATATGGATTTCTGAGTAGAAGCCTAACTTCCCTCTTAAAACACTTATATGCATTTTCTACTTATTCAAAATTAGTCTTGGGAAGAAAATGCTTATAAATATGTCATTTGAAATATATTTATTTCGAGTTATATGAACTAATTTAACTAAAGGTCTTGGGCACATACTAGAGTTTTAATACTTCTCTCATTATTTTGAGAATATTGTAAAAGTAGTTGCAGCTTAAAATAAAAGAAGCAGATATTCTACTTCCGTAAGACAAAGGTAAAAATGCCAAGCTCCAATTAAATGAGGAAAGGAGGTGGAACTTTTCCAAAAACTTAGGACAATGTCAGGTAATGATTTGAGTATAATGTAGATCCAAGTTTCTTTGTGTGGAGTGGAGAGGGGTCGGGGGGTGTTTATCAGGTAAACAGTTCTGTCTCTCAGTAAAAGTCTCTCAATAAAAAGAGAGACATAGCTGTTACCTGATAAACGACATTGCATCTCTTTTGTGTTGTTGTTTGTTTGTTTTTCAGGAGGGTCATTCTTCCTAATTCTGAACTCATTTTATTTTGTGGTTCTTTAAATGAGGGATATTGGACAACAACAGTAGAATGAGTCCTTGATAGTTTTCCATAAAGTACAGAAGATTTCTATGAATGTCCATTTCCTGCATTTAGCCAAAAAGTAAAAAAATCAAGGTTATGATATTTCTACAATGACCAGGAATAATAGTACTGGAATGCAGCTTTCTAGTAATCTAACCTGCTACCAAGGTGTACTTGAGAAATGCCCCTGAGGCTCTCCCCTTGGACTGTCTATCATCTCAGCTGGACTTTTGATAGAAGTTGGATAGCTGACAACTCACAATTAAGATGCCAGCTGGCACCTGGAGTGCAAGTAGTCTGTATAGTTGATTGAAAGAAGATCCATGTGCACTAGATAACAGTATTTGCTCTATGACCCCAGCTGTTCGACTGGTGGTAGATAATGGACAGCTAATTTGGGGAGATTTGCCACCTGGTCAGCAAAGCTGTAAGTGTATAGCCTCTCACACCAGGCAGTTTAAACCTGGAATCTTCTGTTAAGATGGAATCCATGAAGGCAGAATATAGAAGATAACATAATGTTATAGTACTTCTAAAAACTAAAACATCTTCAAATGAGACAGTTTTGGTGACCTCTTATATGAATATGAATTTCAAGCCTTTCATATACCCGAAATCAACCTACTCCTGTTAGGTCAGTTCTGCAGCATCCAGTGTTATTGAACATATGCAGATTGACTCTATTTCTATTTTGGAGGATATTGCCTGAGTACTGAGTACTGCTACAGTTTTTTTTTTTTTCTTTTATGTGGTACCATACTTCCCTTGATACCAGCTTCCAAAAGAATTTCCTGGAGATCATATCTTAAATTGGTACGTTCAACATTTATTCATCAAAAACTATTGAAGATTGGAGTGCTGTAGTTAAACACATTTTTAAAAATTGAGTTATAAATTTCCATATGTGAATTAATATCTGTCAAAGAATATCTTGAAGTGGATACAGCACTAAAACTATATTAAGTATTAATGAATTTTTCTTCGATATAGAGAATGCTTAAGAATTTTATAGTGCCTTTGAGGTTCGCATTATGAGCATTTATTAAGATGGTATAATACTTTAAGTGTAAGTGGTGTGGGACATCAAGCTGGGGGTATTCTCTGACCTTGTGATATGCTTTGGATCTTCAAAAACTTTTCTGTCAGTTTATGTGCTTGATGAGCAATGATGTTGCTTTCTCCTGGGAAGGAGATGGGTTATTATGTGGGTTTATCATTAATTTTGGTTTCTGTTACCATTTTTGTATTGTTTGCAAATTATAATGATTTATCTGTTGAAATCATGTGTCTTAATTTGCTGATGACCATAGTTTGATTCAAGTATTCACCTTATTGCATTTCACAATGTGCTTAGAAAGTTGGAATGATAAAAGTTAAGAATAAATCGCTATAGAGGAGTTCATTTGGGGAGCAGGAAAAAATCGCATATACAGATTAGTTTTTCTTAATTTTTTTTTTTTTTTTTTTTTTTTTTTTTAGTTTATTTGTTTGTTTTGAGATGGAGTCTGGCTCTGTTGCCCAGGCTGGAGTGTAGTGGCGCAATCTCGGCTCACTGCAACCTCTGCCTCCTGGGTTCAAGCGATTCTCCTGCCTCAGCCTTCCAAGTAGATGGGATTACTGGCGTGCGCCACCACACCTGGCTAATTTTTTCTATTTTTCGTAGAGATGGGGTTTCCCCGTGTTGGCCAGGCTGTTCTCAAACTCCCAACCTCAGGTAATCCACCTGCCTCGGCCTCCCAAAATACGGGGACTACAAGCGTGAGCCACTATGCCTGGTCCAGACTGGTTTTTAAAATACGTGACTGGAAAGTTCTGAATCATATTGATATAAAGGATATTAGATAAATGTGAATTATCAAATAGCACTGTGGAGATTACAAGCATTATGCTGGACACATACTGCAGAGGTCTATATAAGCATGATATTGGGCTTATTAATCTGTGAACTCACAGCTGATTTGGAATCACATAATAATGTTCCACTATTTAAAATAATAATCCTTAGTATATTCTTTGTCTTAGAAAACTCATCCATGCATTCAGGATCTTGGCTCTGATCCTTGTGTGTATGATTTAGCATCTTTGATATTCCTCGTATGTCACATTTGCTCATTTTTTCACTTGTGATATCTAAATGGCTTTTACATTTCCATTGGCAATAATCTAGCTCAGGCCTCACTCCATTTGGAGACAAAAATTGATAGAGGAAGTGATTGGTCTGGCAAAACATAGTTACTGGGTTTATTGAAAATTCAGTATAACCAAAGTGAATAAGGTAAAGTGCAAAAGGATAATGAAGTCAAGGAAGTTAGTAGGAAGCAACCCCAAAATGGCTGACCAATGTCTTTCATGTTGAGTATGGAAGCAAGGAAGGGTTACCAAGGACTGTTATTCCCAAATGAAAGGCGAGTGGCTTTATTTTTTCAAACTGATTCCTAATATTTGTGAAGTATTTTGTGTCAGACCAAATACCAACTAATAGTTACTACATTTTTTGAAGTGGGTATTTACAGGTATATATCATTGACATGTCTACAGCCAATAGTCATAAATTGTAATATGATAGGGCTCAGTATTTTATCTATTGGTACATGGAAAACAGAAAGAAAGTATATTTTTTGGACATCTCTGATGTTTTTATTATCTAAAGTATCCTGTGCCTTGATGATGCAACCCAAAATTAATAATTAAAAAGATGAAAACCACCTCATTGGTATTGTTTTTACTTCTACATATAACCATTGGTGATATTTTTAATATATTAACTTTTATCCAATATTTGTTCATGAAAGGAAAATAAAATCTTGTAACCTCTAATTAATGATTTTTATGTTGTTGATAATATAGTTTAATGAGAGTATATAAGAATTGAGAAGTGCTGGATTCTATTGTTTTACTATTAGGAAGCTCTGTATTCTAAGATAAGTCACTAACCTTCTTTAGTTTCTTCATCTACAAAATGGAGTAACTTATTTTATTTCACAACCAGAAAAGCTACTCTTATTGGTGTGAGTTCTTTCATGGAGGTTTGTTTGTAAATGAAGAAAAATCCATGTTTTTAATTAAAATTATTTGTTTGTTTTGGCTTTTAACTGTTCCAATTAAAAAGAGAGTCTTTGTTATTTTGAATAAGGCCAAAGTTATTTCAGCAATTAAGACGTGCTTTCTTTACAAAGCATTTATATGTTTGAAAAGCTTTAGCAAGGATAAATGCATATCTTTTAGGTGTAGCTATATTTCTAGAGTTTTCTGAAAATAGGTACAAGTCAGGTTGACAATAACAGAAGGCTGATATCTCTTAGGGACTTTATACTGCATTTAGTCCTACAAATGCTTTGTTTGTATGTCATGTATATATTTGTTATTTTTGTGTTGTTATTGCTTTAGATGGTTTATTTCACTATAATATAAGAAAAATAATAGCAGATTTGGCTTATTTTGTCTTGGATAAAAGCCTTAACAAGTTGTTTAGTGGGGGATTATTAAGGATTTTGAATATTCGTTGTATTTATGTTGGTCAAAGGATACAAAATTTCATTTAAACAGAAGGTGTAAGTTCAAGAGATTCATCGTACATCATGGCGACTGTAGTTAATACCAATATATTGTATACTTGAAAATTGCTAAGAGAAGAAATTTTTAAAAGATTATTTTTAAAATTTCAATAGTTTTGGGGGTACAGGTGGCTTTTGGTTACATGGATGAGTTCTATAGTGTTGAATTCTGAGATTTTAGTGCAGACATCACCCAAGCAGTGTACATTCATTGTACCCAATATGTAGTCTTTTATCTCTCACCCACCTCCCAACATCCGCCCACTTACTTTGAGTAATGATGGTATTTTGATGGAAGTTGCAATGAATTTATAGATAGCTTTTTTTTTTCAAACAGGTCTTAGTTTATTCCAAGTTTTACAAAGTCAAAGTTGCATAAGTCTTACAAAGTCAAAGTTGCATAAGTCTTACAAAATTAAAGTTGCAAAGTGAATAGTGAAGCAAATCAAGAAGATTTTTTTAGATCATATAAGAAAAGGTAGTAATCAAAAAGTAAAACCCAGTTGCTGAATTTAGGTTAGTTAATATAAGGCATGATTATGTAAAACTGACTGTAAAATTGAGATCCAGTTTTTAAAAATCCAAGTTATTTGTAGGCAAATGTTAAACAATTAAAAAAAATTTTTTTTCAATTTTTTTAAATTTTATTTTATTATTATTATACTTTAAGTTTTAGGGTACATGTGCACAATGTGCAGGTTAGTTACATATGTATACATGTGCCATGCTGGTGTGCTGCACCCATTAACTCGTCATTTAGCATTAGGTATATCTCCTAAAGCTATCCCTCCCCCCTCCCCCCACCCCACAACAGTCCCCAGAGTGTGATGTTCCCCTTCCTGTGTCCATGTGTTCTCATTGTTCAATTCCCACCTATGAGTGAGAATATGCAGTGTTTGGTTTTTTGTTCTTGCGATAGTTTACTGAGAATGATGATTTCCAATTTCATCCATGTCCCTACAAAGGACATGAACTCATCATTTTTTATGGCTGCATAGTATTCCATGGTGTATATGTGCCACATTTTCTTAATCCAGTCTATCATTGATGGACATTTGGGTTGGTTCCAAGTCTTTGCTATTGTGAATAGTGCCGCAATAAACATACGTGTGCATGTGTCTTTATAGCAGCATGATTTATAGTCCTTTGGGTATATACCCAGTAATGGGATGGCTGGGTCAAATGGTATTTCTAGTTCTAGATCCCTGAGGAATCGCCACACTGACTTCCGCAATGGTTGAACCAGTTTACAGTCCCACCAACAGTGTAAAAGTGTTCCTATTTCTCCACATCCTCTCCAGCACCTGTTGTTTCCTGACTTTTTAATGATTGCCATTCTAACTGGTGTGAGATGGTATCTCATTGTGGTTTTGATTTTCGTTTCTCTGATGGCCAGTGATGGTGAGCATTTATTCATGTGTCTTTTGGCTGCATAAATGTCTTCTTTTGAGAAGTGTCTGTTCATGTCCTTCGCCCACTTTTTGATGGGGTTGTTTGTTTTTTTTCTTGTAAATTTGTTTGAGTTCATTGTAGATTCTGGATATTAGCCCTTTGTCAGACGAGTAGGTTGCGAAAATTTTCTCCCATTTTGTAGGTTGCCTGTTCACTCTGATGGTAGTTCTTTTGCTGTGCAGAAGCTCTTTAGTTTAATTAGATCCCATTTGTCAATTTTGTCTTTTGTTGCCATTGCTTTTGGTGTTTTAGACACGAAGTCCTTGCCCATGCCTATGTCCTGAATGGTAATGCCTAGGTTTTCTTCTAGGGTTTTTATGGTTTTAGGTCTAACGTTTAAGTCTTTAATCCATCTTGAATTAATTTTTGTATAAGGTGTAAGGAAGGGATCCAGTTTCAGCTTTCTACATATGGCTAACCAGTTTTCCCAGCACCATTTATTAAATAGGGAATCCTTTCCCCATTGCTTGTTTTTCTCAGGTTTGTCAAAGATCAGATAGTTGTAGATATGCGGCATTATTTCCGAGGGCTCTGTTCTGTTCCGTTGATCTATATCTCTGTTTTGGTACCAGTACCATGCTCTTTTGGTTACTGTAGGCTTGTAGTATAGTTTGAAGTCAGGTAGCGTGATGCCTCCAGCTTTGTTCTTTTGGCTTAGGATTGACTTGGCGATGTGGGCTCTTTTTTGGTTCCATATGAACTTTAAAGTAGTTTTTTCCAATCCTGTGAAGAAAGTCATTGGTAGCTTGATGGGGATGGCATTGAATCTGTAAATTACCTTGGGCAGTATGGCCATTTTCACGATACTGATTCTTCCTACCCATGAGCATGGAATGTTCTTCCATTTGTTTGTATCCTCTTTTATTTCATTGAGCAGTGGTTTGTAGTTCTCCTTGAAGAGGTCCTTCACATCCCTTGTAAGTTGGATTCCTAGGTATTTTCTTCTCTTTGAGGCAATTGTGAATGGGAGTTCACTCATGATTTGGCTCTCTGTTCGTCTGTTTTTGGTGTATAAGAATGCTTGTGATTTTTGTACATTGATTTTGTATCCTGAGACTTTGCTGAAGTTGCTTATCAGCTTAAGGAGATTTTGGGCTGAGACAATGGGGTTTTCTAGATGTACAATCATGTCGTCTGCAAACAGGGACAATTTGATTTCCTCTTTTCCTAATTGAATACCCTTTATTTCCTTCTCCTGCCTAATTGCCCTGGCCAGAACTTCCAACACTATGTTGAATAGGAGTGGTGAGAGAGGGCATCCCTGTCTTGTGCCAGTTTTCAAAGGGAATGCTTCCAGTTTTTGCCCATTCAGTATGATATTGGCTGTGGGTTTGTCATAGATAGCTCTTATTGTTTTGAGATAAGTCCCATCAGTACCTAATTTATTGAGAGTTTTTAGCATGAAGTGTTGTTGAATTTTGTCAAAGGCCTTTTCTGCATCTATTGAGATAATCGTGGTTTTTGTCTTTGGTTCTGTTTATATGCTCGATTACATTTATTGACTTGCGTATATTGAACCAGCCTGTTTGGCAGCATGGTCATTTTCACAATATTGGTTCTACCCTTCCATGAGCATGGGATGTGGTTCCATGTGTTTGTGTTATCTGTGATTTCTTTCAGCAGTGTTTCGTAGTTTTCCTTATAGAGATATTTTGCCTCCTTGGTTAAGTATATTCCTGAGTGCTTTTTTGTTTGTTTATTTGTTTTCGTTTTGCAGCTGTTGTAAAGAGGGTCGAGTTCTTCATTTGACTGTCTGCTTGGTGCCACTGATTTGTGTACATTGATTTTGTAACCTGAGACTTTACTGAATTCATTTATCAGATCTAGGAGCCTTTTGGATGAGTCTTTAGGGTTTTCTTGGTATGCAATCATATCATCAGCAAACAGTAACAGTTTGATTTCCTCTTTTCCAATTTGGATGCTCTTTATTTCTTTCTCTTGCCTGATTGCTCTGGCTGGGGCTTCCAGTACTATGTTAAATAGAAATGGTGAAAGTAGGCATCCTTGTCTTGTTGCTTTCAACTTTTACCCATTCAGTATGATGTTGGCTTTGGGTTGGTCATATATGGCTTTTATTACTTTGAGGGAAGTCCCTTCTGTGCCTCGGTTCTTGAGGATTTTTATCATAAAGGGATGGTGGATTTTATCAAATGCTCTTTCTGCATCTATTGAGATGATGATATGGTTTTTGTTTTTAATTCTGTTTATGTGATTTATCACATCTATTGACTTGCTTATGCTAAACTATTCTTGCTAAACTATTCATCCCTGGGATGAAACCCACTTGATTCCGATATATTATGTTTTTGATATGCTGTTGGATTCAGTTAGCTAGTATTTTGTTGGGGATTTTTGCATCAATGTTCACCAGGGATATTGGTCTGCAGTTTTCTTTTTTGTTACGTCCTTTCCTAGTTTTGGTATTACGGTGATACTGGCTTCATAGAAGGATTCAGAGAGGATTCCCTCTTTCTCTTTTGGAATAGTTTCAGAAGGATTGGTAAAAAATTTTTCTTTGAATGTCTGGTAGAATTCAGTTGTGAGTCCATCTGGTCCTGGAGTTTTTCTTGTTGACAATTTTTTTTTATTACTGATTCTATTTCCTTGCTTGTTACTGGTCTGTTCAGAGTTTGTGTTTATTCCTGATTTAATCTAGGAGGGCTGTATGTTTCCAGGAATTTATCCATTTCCTCTAGATTTTCTAGTTTTCGTGTGTAAAGGTCTTCATAGTAGTCTTGAATGATCTTTTGTATTTCTGTGGTATCAGTTATAATGTCTCCAGTTTCATTTCTAATTGAGGTTATTTGCATCTTCTCTCTTCTTTCTTTAATTAATCTCGCTAATAGTCTATCAATTTTATCTTTTCAAAGAACCAGCTTTTTGTTTTTTTAATCTTTTGTATTTTTTTTTGTTGTTTGAATTTCATTTAGTTCTGCTCTGATCTTTGCTATTTCTTTTCTTCTTCTAGCTTTTTGGATTTTGTTTGTTCTTTTCTTTCTGTTTTTTTTTTTTTTTTTTTTTTTTTTTGAGACAAGGGCACCCAGGCTGGAGTACAGTGGTTCAATCTCGGCTCAGTGCTGCAACCTCCACCTCCCAGGTTCAAGCGATTCTAGTGCCTCAGCCTCCCAAGTAGCTGGGACTACAGGCATGCACCACCATGCCCAACTAATTTTTGTATTTTTAGTAGAGACAGGGTTTCACCATGTTGGCCAGGCTGGTCTCGAACTCCTGGCCTCAAGTGATCTGCCCGCCTTGGCCTCCGAAAGTTCTGGGATTACAGGTGTGAGCTACTGCGCCCGGCCTTTGTTTGTTCTTGTTTCTCTAGTTACTTGAGGTGTGACATTAGGTTGTCAATTTGTGCTCTTTCAGACTTTTTGATATAGACATTTAGCACTGTAAACTTTCCTCTTAGCACTGCTTTTGCCATATAACAGAGGTTTTGATAACGTGTGTCACTAGTACCATTCTTTTCAAATAAGTTTTAAATTTCCATCTTAGTTTCATTGTTAACCCAAAAATCATTCAAAACCAGACTAATTTCCATGTATTTGCATAGCTTTGAGGGTTCCTTTTGCAGTTGATTTCCAGTTTTATTCCATTGTGTTCTGAGAAGATGCTTGATCTGATTTTGAGTTTCTTAAATTTATTGAAACTTGTTTTGTGGTCTATCAGATGGTCTGTCTTGGAGAATATTCCATGTGCTGATGCGAAGAATGTATATTATGCAGTTGTTGGGAAGAATGTTCTGTAGATTTCTGTTAAGTACATTTGTTCTAGGATACAGTTTATGTCTATTGTTTCTTTGTTGACTTTCTGTCTTGATGGTCTGTCTCGTGCTGTCAGTGGAATATTGAACTCTCCCACTCACTATGTTGCTGTCTATTTCATTTCTTAGGTCTAGTAGTAATTGTTTTATAAATCTGGGAGCTCCAGTGTTAGGTGCATATAAATGCAGGATTGTAGTATCTTCTTGTTGGTCCTGAGAGAGGAGATTTTTAAGTGTTCTCATAACAAATAAAATCAAGTATGTGAGGTAATTCCTGCGTTAATTACTTTGATTTACCCATTTCACAGTGTATGCATGTGTCAAAACATCATGTTGTACAGTATAAATATATACCGTTTTTATTTGTCAATAAAAATAAATATAAATTTAAAAAAACACATATTTAACCATGGTTAAGAATGTATGTATGTGCACACTGAAGAACATATAATCTCCACGGTATCTTTCTCAGCATTAGGAGGAATGGATTTTAAAATATTATATAAAAACAAGAAAAGACTAAAGCAGTACCTGTTACAGATAACATTCTGAGGAAAAAGAACATTTGGACTTGCTAAAATGTTTTTGACATCTACATTGAGGACCCAAGAAAATGATTTTCTTTTTAGGTTTGGTTTCAGTTATCTTGTGCTAAAAATGTCTGTGAACATTAAATTTCTTTGATCTTTGTCTACGTAGCTATCACACTCTGTAATAAGTCTTTAATTATATGTTTTTGGCACTGCACCTGGTAGGTGAGAAGGACTGTTGCATTTCTGTTGTTCACTCATCAAATAGCAATTACCCTTCAACTCTCCTTACCCCTGTTACTGTGAAAAAAAAAAAAAATTCACCAATTTCTCTGCTGCCCACTAGAATCAGATAGTATAACATACAAACTGGTTTAGGAGAAAAGAATATGTACAGGTGGTATATGCTAATGCCTCTATGTTTCTTCATTGCATTCAAATAACTTCTTACTTTATTCATGACATAAACTTGGTATGAGCTCTGTTTCATTTGCAGGGCTTATGGATTGGGAATGTGATTTTTTGGAATACGTTTACTTTAACAAAATTCCACAAAACTAAATGAAATTGGACATCCTGTGGTGTGCATGATAGAATTTTAACTATATTACTTATCTTAGGAAAATAAACCAATACATTTTTCTTGTGGAAGTTAACATTTTATTATAAGTTTGACTGGTTATGTTACTAAGAAGGCATCTTTAATAAGTGTCCTAACATAATTATATCTACTATTTCAAACATCTGAAGAAGATAGAAAATGTGAGTAGCTTTTACTTGAATATTTGGAATACTCTTTCCCTTCGCTTCCCTTATTGACCGTAGATTGAAGAGTCTATTTTCATTGTCATTCAAATTTTTTGGTAATTTTTTCCTCATCATTACTTTGGAACAAGACCTTCTCTTATACTTTTCTACCAATAATGTTTAAAGGAAGGTGGGGAGGAAAATATTCTTGATTGTTAGCCTGTTAGGCATTCAGATAGATTTGGGCATAAGCCATTTCTTAGACTATCTCCAAAGTAACTTAGACAGCTTATGAAATTGATTTTAATAAATAAGGAACTTTTATCCTTTTAGAGAGTGTTTACTTATACTGTTGCCCTCAAGAGATTTTTATATGTAACTAGAGCATTTAAAATTATTTTGTAAATATGTAAGAGGAATTTGTCTTTATGCAATATAAACAGCTAGAAAGAATGCACATTTCCTACTTTGTAAGGAACTCCTAAAAATGGATGAGAGGCATGAAACATAGTAGGATTTTTGCAGTAAGACTGATAGAATAAACGCAGCCAGAGAGAAAGATGGAATGTCTTCTTTGGTGTTTCTAAGGCAATTGTAATCTATCACAACATTGAAGTCAAAACCACTCAGAGGTAGAACTGGTAAACTGATGCATTCAAACTTTCTATGAGTCACATGAAATAAATGATCAGTGACTGTCAGGCTTCGAAGGTTTATGCACAAATGTCTGAAAATGGTAGTGTTACGTCAAATAGATATTTTATAATTGGTCAGAGATATCTCATGGATTAATCTACTATGATGAATAGTTTCCAAGGACATTCAAATGCCCAAAGCTATTGTGTTTGCTTTCATGTAGAGAAACCTGAGTGGACGTATATGTTTTTATGGATCTAAGACCAAGTCAGTTGTAGTGTACACAAATCCACGTATATATTATACATGTTTATATATTTTTTAGTGGGTATATATATTGACAGTGAAACTGTTTATGATGTTTATTTAGCCGAACAAATTTTCCTTTTAAGATGCGGAAAATACTAAGGTTTACTTGGTTACTGTTTATGCAGATTTGATCCATGGACTGAATATGTGATACTGTTTATGTTGGGCTACATACTGGTTTTAATCACATGGAACTCTTTCTTTCCTTAAGTGTATGCAACTAAAATTTGGTTTTAGTTGCATTAAAAAACATTACAGTAGCAATATTGGTGTTTAAGTGAGATGTTTTCCTATTTTAAAAAAAACAAACCAAAACCCACCACTCAAGATAACATTTAAAGTCTCCTCAACCTTTTGAATTAGTTGTTTCACATGTTATAATTTTACCAAATTTCTGAATTCCCCCAAGAAACCCTGAACTATCATTCATTTTATTTGATGTTCCAGTGATTCAGGTTGTAGTTTGAGATTACACATGGGAATAGAACACCATTAGAGGGAAATAAAATCCTTTGTACAGAACACATAACCCTCTATACTAGCCTTTAGCACTGCACAAACAGTGATAAAGGGATGACATGACTAATATTGGACTCCTTCACATGAGACCAATTGCCTTTACAGCTTATGGGATTCAGTATAGAAGTTTCTAATTTTAGCTTTAACTCTTTTGAAAGAGATGTTAATTTGGATAATCTAATCATTGATGGACATGCAGTCACTATTTTCTATTATATCTTCATTGTATATAGCATACTGAACTCATCTGTTCATTACATCTTTGGTTTTACATTATATTTAAGTGAAATGTAACTAAATAATTCAGAGTCTGAATCTCAAATTTATGGGAGAAAGGTTGAGGTTTTGGGAAACTGTGAAATGTTGTCCTTTATAAGAATCTATGAGGGAGCACAGTCTTATTCCCTCCTTCAATAGGTACATTTATAGAAAATTTTCCTCGTTTTGCTTTGCCCTGAAGAGCTAGAGAGGGGAGAATCTTGCTTTCTCTTAGATTTAGGGTTAATTGAATCTTCTGATACCTTCATTAAATGTAAGATTTTCTTTCCTTTGATCATGCTGATCAGTATAAGTGGGTCCTTTAAAAATAATGACCTTAGAAGTTCTAAAGGCTTGAGATAGGTTTCTGTTTTAAAACTTCAATATATTTTTGATATAATTCTGTCAGGATTATACATGAACTAAAAATTCTCTCCCCCTCACCATTATAATTTCCATATCTATTCTGATGTGAATTGGCCAGCACTAAATACAATTAGAATTAAGTATACACAAAATTGGATAGTGACCAGTTAAAACACATGAGGTTGGCTGGGCGCGGTGGCTCACGCCTGTAATCCCAGCGCTTTGGGAGGCCGAAGCAGGCGGATCATGAGGTCAGGAGATCGAGACCATCCTGGCTAACACGATGAAACCCCATCTCCACTAAAAATACAAAAAATTAGCCGGGTGTGGCGGCAGGCGCCTGTAGTCCCAGCTACTCGGGAGGCTGAGGCAGGAGAATGGGGTGAACCCGGGAGGCGGAGCTTGCAGTCAGCCGAGATGGTGCCACTGCACTCCAGCCTGGGAGGCAGCGAGACTCCGTCTCAAAAAACAAAAAAAAGAGGTAATATGAGTACCAAATATTTAAATTATAAAGTCTGGCCTCAAACTCTTGGGCTCAAATGATGCCCCTGTTTCAGCCTCCCGAATAGCTGAGATGACAGGCATGACACTGTGCCCCAGTCTTATTTTTAAACAAGTCAATAGAGTAAGTTTAGTATAATTTTAGTCATCTGCATGTTTTGTAAAAATTAATATAATTTTCATTAAGTGATTAAAAGTTGTGTTAATACTGTGGAAAAGGATTCTTTAATTTATGCCTAAAATTCATACTGCATTTTGGACTAGAAGATTCAAACAACATTCAGATTTTTGGTTTTTAACATTTTCCAAAAATTTCTTAATGGCTTTATTGTGATGTTTTATATACATTATTTCATTTAATAGTCACAAAGACTTCATGGGGTATAGGTAGTATTCTCATCCCTATTTTGAAAATGCAAAAACAAGCTTAGAAAATTTACGTATATTATCAAAAGTAACACAACTAGAATATGTAGAGATGAGATTAGAACCTAGATCTGTTTTCCTCTAAAGCTTATGCATTTAGCCATGCAGCTATGTGGCCCCACAGCATAATCCAATGATGGATGATGGAATATTTTCTTTATTTTTGGGTGAACTTGGAAAAAAGTCTTTAATTTTTAGCTTTTTGAGCAGCGTAACAGATATTAGCCTCCCTGATAGATACAGCCAAACCTTTTTTACATAGGGTTGGAAGATGCTGTCTCACTGTGATTCAGACCTCTTGTTCCCAATATAAGCTTCCTGGCTTCCTTTTTAGTCTCCAGATATAATCTTGGCTGCTGGTTCACTCAAACATTAATCTTCCTGACTGGTCTATTGTTTTTGTTTGGGTGGTTCATTTGTTCCACTTGGTCTCCTGACATGTGACCACAAATGTCAACTTGGATGTGTAGCATGTTAAGACAGTTCTTTAACTTAGGTAACTTATAACACAAAATCACCAATATGTTAATACCTTAAAAAGTGAGATCGTGGACTTACATAGCCCATCCAAAAAGAAATAGTATAAGCTACATTTTGGCCCTATTCTTTCTGATAAACTACCTTACCTAAATGTTGACTGAAAATTTTAGCTGAAGTCTCCAGTTATCTGTCCTTAACAGTATTTTGTAGATTTCTTATGATGCTCAGGACTTTACTTATCCTATCTAAATAAATGAACTAAGCTGTTAAATAATGAAACGTATGTTTGTCTGTCTAGGCATAGATATGTAGATATAAACCGTTCTGTAACACCACTAATTCTTCTTAAGCAAGGTATTAGAGCTATTAGCTAGATGTTATAGAAAATTGTGTACCGGTCCTCTTTTAGTAATTTCTAAGGATGTGGTTGAAATAAGCATGTGCTTAAGAGTCAGATATGGATTTGAGGCCTAGAACTGCTACTTACTTGTTGAGTGATGTTTGGGAAGTCACTTAACTACTTTGCTTCTCAGTTTCTTTACCTAGAAACAATTTTCAGAATGGCTAAACTTAAAAAGACTGACAAGGATTTGGGGCAATTAGAACTGTGATATTTTGCTGAAGGAGTGCCAAATAGCCACTTTGGAAAGCAGTTTTTAAACCGTTAAACATCTACTTACCATAAGACCCAGCTGTTCCACTCCTAGATATTTTTTTAACAGAAATGAAAGCATGCTTACACAGATAACTTACATGTCAATGTTTGTATCAGCTCTATTCATAATCATCAAAACCTGGGGACAACTGAAATACTCATCAAATAATTAATAGATAAACAAATTGTGGTATATTCATACAGTAACAAGGAATGGAATACTAATACATGCAACGAAATGGTTGAATATCATAGTATTCATGCTAAGTAAAAGAAGCCAAACACAAAATTTGAAAACTGTACAATTCTTTTATAATTATATTCTGGCAAGCACAAAACTATAGGGACCCAAATCAGATAAGTAGTTGCCAGGATGCTGGGAGTAGGGAAAAGGGATTGACTGCAAAGGGGAATAAGGGAATATTTTAGGGTGATGAAAACGTTTTATATCTTATTTGTATTGGTGGTTACATGACTATACATTTGTTAAAATGATAAATTTTACTATATATAAATCATACCTCAGTAAAAAGGAAAGAAAAAATAACTCATGTTTGGGTTGGTTATGAAAATTATTAAGAGTAATTTTCCTCCGTTTTTCCTTCTGTTTGGTTCTTCATTATTCTCTGCCTGTTCTATGTCCCTCATAAATGTAAGGTCCATGAGAAATGTCAGTTTCTTATTTCAGGGCTGAGATAGTACAGAAAAATTTATGTCTTTGTCTGTAATCTCTGAGTAAGATTTTAAATCAGGTCATCAACTGTATTCTTATCATTCTAGATGTTCCAGTTAGTACTAAATAATTCAGAGCTGGAATTTGCATACTCCATGAAATATACCAAATATATCTGTTTCAACTGGATTCCTTTTTTTTGTTTGTTTGTTTTTTTTGAGACCGAGTCTTGCTCTGTGGCCCAGGCTGGAGTGCAGTGGCGCGATTTCAGCTCACTGCAACCTCCGTCTCCTGGGTTCACGCCATTCTCCTGCCTCAGCCTCTCCAAGCAGCTGGGACTACAGGCGCCCGCCACCACGCCCAGCTAATTTTTGGTATTTTTAGTAGAGTCAGGGTTTCACCGTGTTAGCCAGGATGGTCTCGATCTCCTGACCTCGTGATCCGCCCGCCTCGGCCTCCCAAAGTGCTGGGATTACAGGCGTGAGCCACCGCTCCCGGCCCTCAACTGGATTCCTGATCTGTGTTCTGCGGCACTGGGAGGGCACAGTATGGTTGGGAGGGCATGTAAAGCAGCCTTGAGTTCTGAGCCTGAGTCTTGCCTGAGAAAGGCTTCCCCTGCTTCTCAGCAATCCATTGTTCCCTGCCAGTGGTTCTCAAACTTGAGCAAGCATCAGATTCACCAGGAGAATTAGTTAAAACATACACTTCTATCTTCCTCCCAGCTACTGATTCAGTAGGTCTGAGGTAGGGCACAAGCATTTTGATTTCTAACAAGTTCCCAGATGATGTCAATGCTGCTGATTTGGAGTGCACACTTTGAGAACCCTTGATTTATGCTTACTTCTAGTGTTTCAATGTCAGAATTTCTGCCCACATGCTCACATACAGGAGCCAACATTTTGTTTTTAAACTGCCTCCTCATTTCATGACCACTTTTGTATTGGCTGAAATCAGTATACTCTATGTATATGAGAAAGGGAGGCTGGGGGAGGGGGGTGGAGGAGAAAGAGAGAAAGAGAAGCAGTAAAACAGTAAGTGCTTGGCTGGAGTTCACAAAGTGTTTGATGTCTGAAAGGCAGAGAAATGGTGGTGCTGGCAAGAGAAAAAGGAAACAAAGCTATGTCTAGCCACACCTCCTTCCTTTTAACCTCTTGCGCATCGTCATCGTTCGTAATTATTTTATCCCCTTAGCAACGGGCTCATTTCAGGCTCCCATTCTCTCTACTTTAAAAGTTTTAAAGACTCTTACTAGGCCTCCTCTGCCCATTGGCCTAAAATATTCTCATTTAAGACTTTTCCCTGTCTAGCTTGTAATAATAGGTCCTGCCTCCTCACACTTAAGTTGTATGATTGTATCTTATTTTTTTTAAGAAAAATAGTAATTTTCCCTGAATAAAACCAAAGTACCATAAACTGCATCATTTGAAACAGGGGATGTGTGGGCGACTGATTTCAATTGAACAAATATGAATCATGTTCTTGTGAATCATGCTTCCCTACACCAAGAAAGAAATAACCCTAATAATTTTAATAGCAGTAGACATAAAGAGAATATAAGTAAAATTCAGAATTTTAGAAACAATTTGTGGTAAATTTAAAGAAATCATGGATTATTTCATCTTCCCAAATACCAAAGCGGATATTGAGGACTATATATAAATTTGTTCAGAATTCCTATTATGTAAAGGTTATTGCAGGGTACAGTGTGCTGTAGTGATATCTGCTGATTTTTCTCTGTGATAAATTATATATTACATATTATTTAAGTATATTATACTTAAAGCTGATGTCCCTTTATCCCTCTACCACCACCTCACTGATTATCGAGGCTTTAGAGAAAATAGCTGGTTGCACTAGATGATTACATGCCTCAATTGGATAGTAGCTTGTTGCCAATTATCATTACAGTGCCATATTGATTTTTTTTCTTGTTTCCATTATGGAAATTAAAGCAGAATTTGTTTAAAATGAGCTTCTATGTATATTGTGGATGGCGATTGGTTCTGAATATGAGCTATTTTAAAAATATATTTTCTTCAGTGGTGTGATGTCTCTGATATTCCCTTAAAAATTTAGGTCTCTGCTTTGTTGATAAGATTTACCTTAGGTAGCTATGAAATGGATAAAGACTGGAATGGAATGGTTTAAATATAGACAGCATAGATGTTATTATTTCACATAAGTCTATATATTGATTTATGTTTATGATGTTCTTGGGTAGTATGAGATTGCTTATTCTATTAACCATACAGCCAGTAAATTTAATTAAATTTAAATTAGCAAATACTTACTTAGTGTTGGCTCTATTTAATATAAATATTTAGTGGCTATATATGAGCTACCTTGCTAAACACTATGAAACATAGAAATATTAATGAAATGATATAACTATCTTTAGAGAATTTACATGCCAAAGGGGTAGGTAAGACATGGCAAGAATCATTATGATTATGTCAAGCAGTAAGAGATAAATATTACATGGAGATTTTGAGGAAAAGGAACTCATTTGATCGGAGGAATTACAGGGGAAAACATTAATGACTTAAAACAGCCAATTTTAGTTTTAAATAGTTGGGAGAAATGGAGTTGAGGTTACTTTCTGGGAAGAAAGAATAAATGAGCTAACATGAGGAAGTGCAAGGTGGGCTCCAGCAATGATAATTTGTCTGATTTTATTGGCACATGTGTCTTAAGGCCTGAGGCTGGAAAGGTAGATTGAGGCTACATCAGAATGTTGAGCCAAATGATTTAAAATGTATTAAGTAGTCCAGGGAAAATTTTTGGACAGAAAACTTTGGTTGAGGGCAATTTAATCTGTCATTTTATAAAATGATTAAGAGAAAAGAATGAAGTTGGGGAATCACCAATTGGGAGTCTCCAGGCTTATTAAAGGAAAGATAACTAGGACTAAACCAGAATGTTAGCAGAGGCATTGGAAAGGAAGAAAGGGGCCATTTGGAGGAGGCATTCTAGAAGTAGAAGTAGAAGTAGAAGTAGAATATTTGTGAATAATGCTCTACATTAGCAGTGTTTCAGCCTTCTGCCACACAGGAGAATTTATGTCCAGCCAATCTCCTAAACCTGCGTACTCAGCTCCTGCCACATGGGTCTCCTCACAGTTCCTGGAACATTCTAAACACACTAGCTAATGCCTCATGACCCAATTTGCCCTTAATCCTTCTACTTGGAAAGTCCTCACTTTCAGAGTTCTGCTGAAATACCTAACCTTATCAAAGAATCTTTCCTGATCACACAATGAAAAATAGCAGCCTGCCACTCCTTTCATTCTATTTTCCAAGGTTTATTTTTCTTCATTGCATCAAAGCAATTATTACATTTATTATATAGTTAGTTATTTGTTCACTGTCTCCCTATCTCTAGATAGTAAAGTCCATGAGGCTAGTTGCTTAGTTTTGTTGCTTGTTATGTATCTCTCTCACCTAGAACATGCTTGGAACTTTGTAGACACTCGACAAATATTTGTTGACTGAATAAATAGAATAAATGCAAAGGTGAAAGAAATGGGTCATCAAATAATTATGCCAGTATTTCAAGTCTGAAGAATTAAAAGGGTAGTGATGTTATTAATAAAGTATCAAAGAGTGGAAGATAAGTTGACTTAGGGGTATGGAGACAGAGGAAGATGAATTCAGCTTGTGAATTCATGCTTAAGTATGTCATGCTGGTGAAACAACCAAGGCAGTGCTGTGTAATGGGCAATCTAAAATGTGGAGAAGTCTAGGATTGAGGCAAAGATCACTGAGTCATCCTCATAGAGTCAATACTTGAAGCAGTGGGAATTGAAAAAATAATGACAAGCAATATTGAGACAGAATTATCAGATTTGAAAATTAAAATTTTATTTTGGATATTTAATGTTTTAAAATTACTAACTTACTTATACATCTAATTTTTTGTTTATTTCTCAGCTGGGTTAACAACTTTGGCCATGAAGGTCTTGGACTCTTATTGGATGAGCTGGAAAAGCTTCTGGACAAAAAACAGTAAGAATAAACACTGAAATTAAAATCACCAAAGGGAAAATGTTTCAGCACAACATAATATACATTTTTCTTTTATTTAGGCAAGAAAATATTGACAAGAAGAATCAGTATAAACTTATTCAATGCCTCAAAGCATTTATGAATAATAAGGTAAGTAGTATTTATTTCTGCCCCTGTCACAAAAGGTGGGAACTTGCCCAACACTATGAAAGTATGAAATGAACAAAATATTTTTTTATTATTTTTTTTAATTTCCAGGGTACATGTATATAGGCGAACATGTGCCATGGTGGTTTGATGCACAAATCGACCCATCAACCTAAATAATAAACCCGGCATGCATTAACTCTTTTCCCTCATCATCTTCCCCACCCCGTACCTATTTTTTACTTATGTTTCTGCTGTACTAATTAATTGTAGACTAGTTATTACAGGCTTATAAATAATAAGTGTTTATAAAGTTTTACAGTGAGGTTAAATACACATTTGAAACCATATATAAAAGATAAATTTGATGTTTAATTTTCCAAAATGTGAGCTATTGTTAGTTTTCTCGATTTTTTTTTTTTTATTTCTATGCTGATATTTCATTTTAACCAAAGAAGTCCTCACAGCATCCAGAGGATTTCAGGGATGATATAACTTCTGTAGATCTAAATCTTTTAAAAAATGGAGCCCTATTCCAATGTTTCTTCTATTCAAATATATTGCTTTCATATAGGGAAGATAGATAAAACAGTACTTTCCATTGTCTATGCTGCTAATTTCCTCAGGAGGGTGAGCTAGTCAATGAAACAAACAAAAAAAATGATTGGAAAAAGTGTATTTGACTCTTGTCTATAATTTAGAAATGCTGTGTCTGATTCTTATTCTGTTTATTCCTCCAATAATTTCTTTCATGTGAACAGAGGTCTTTTTGATTTTATAGTATACTAAATGTTCAGAAAACATAACAAAAAGAAAGAAATGAACAAAATAGTGAGTGCTTGTTCAGTTTACAAAAGGGTCTTTATGATGTAAATCCTTATAATATTTAAGTAATACTTACATGAAAGTTATACTTTGCTTCACAAAATATTTATTGGTGGGTTTTTGAAATCATGCAAATGAATTAGTGTTGTTCCCAATTTTGGTAATAATGCTTTTTCTTTAATGGTAGTAGGAAAATTTAAATGTCGTTTGTTGAATATGTTTCCACACAGAGAATTTCTGTTCTATTGAAAAGGAAAATTATAGGGATGGGTTGACTTATTTGCTAAGAACATTGTAAGATTGAGATTTCTCTTTCTTTTATGTTTTATTAATGTCAGCAAGTTTACATACATATAAGACATCTCTGAAAAATTGCAGGGCTTTTTATGTATATGTATAATACTAGTTGTATTATAAGGGACCCTGTGAATTTTAGACAATAATTTTTCTTCTAAAAATAGACTTTACTCAGGTTATGAAGTTACAGTATTTTTTCTATAAACTATTTTTTTTACTGTCTTAGAAATGACCTCTTCATACCTATAGATAAAATACTATTGACTAATTCACTTAATTACCTAATTCCCTTTACATAGTATTTTAATAATCTCAAAATAGATAATAGAAATAATTACAACAACAAGTAGAAGTTTGCCAAATGTAAAATATGGCTATTAATAACCAATGCAATAAGATTATATATTAATCTATAGACAGTCTCAAGCATATGGAAATACATATAAGTATTTATATATTATACATACATGTATCAGCAAAGAATGTTACTGTATGAGCATATGCAATGAATGCTTGCTAGTGGACATGAGACTCCTGAATATGCTAGTTGTACTGTTTCTGGAAGTTTCTTACAGAAATATTCCCATCACTACTAGTACAGATTTTCTCAAAATCTGGGCTCTTAGTCTTTGGCTACAAAGTTAAACAGAATCTGATGCCCAACAAGGAAATAATGAGCATTGCTTCTTCACAGCTCAAGATAGATCTCTTTCGTCAATTGAGGGAAACAATGACATAATGGAAAGATAACACAGTTCTAGAATTCAGGAGATATATATAGTTCATGCTTTGTTCCTAATAAGTTGTGTGGCCTTTGGAAAATTACTTGACCTCTCTGAGTATCAGTCCCCTCATCTGTAAATTTAGCTATAGGACACTTTGTTCTAAATTCTTATTGACTCATGTTGTCAATTGTCGTGGCTTTTCAGGATGCTAAGTAATTTTAATCAGGACAGTCACTAGAGAGAGTCATAATAGTAAGATTCTTATAGAGCCCTTTTTTTTTTTAACAGAACATACTTTGATTTGTCAACATTTAGTTTCTTAAGAGTTTGGCAGTTTCGGAAAGCATAATGATTTGACTTAGATTATTCGAAATTGATGTTTTTAGTTAGGCCACGTTAATGTCTTGCACATAGGTGCTCAGAGCATGGATTAATGGATCTTTTGAATTATAGACATGTGAAACAATAGGCATAAAATATGCCTTCAGAATAGAAAATATGCAGTGATCTTTTCACTTCATGTTGGAATAAATTGTCCAGATCAAGGAATTAAGCTTTTATCCAAAATGACTTACACATCAAATTTTTTGGCCCCATGGAGTTTAGATTACCTACTTCAAAAACTCCTTTCTTTTATCCAATACATGTAACAATAGGATCATAAAAAGCAACCCATTGTTTCTTAACTTCCAGTACTATAATATTGCTCTGATGTTTGGATTAATGATTTTCCAGATATATTTTTCATGTCTTCTTTTTTATTTTTGATGTGTCTCTATATATTAAAAACTACTTATAAACATTAAGTAAAATTTTTAAAACCTAATGATTTCACTCTCAGTCTCAATGACTCATAAAGCTATTAAGTTTGGTAATTGCGTGGTCATTGTCTCTCAGTTTTGCAAATGTGTTTTTCACTAATATTCATTACTTTTAATCATCTACTGGCCACCTTTATACATACTTATCTATTTTGTTTTTGTTGCTTCTTTCAAGACTTGTTTCTTGCATTTTCTTTTTTTTTTTGGTCTTATCTCCATATATTTTCCTATTTATTATGACCTGTGATAAACTCACATTTAAGAGCTTTAGCTATGTTCCCCATCTGCCACTCGGAGTTCTTTTAGAAATTAAATTAGGGCTGATGGAACTATTCATATGGTTGGTAATTAACTGAAGTTTAGCTGAAATGGAAATTTTGCTCCGATGAAATATCCAATTTCACCATTAGACTGTAAAATGAAGCAAAAATATTTTATAAGAAATCTGAAAAATACTTTGTGGGACAAAGATAAAATAATATATTGCTTTCTTAATGTAATGAAAACTCAAGTTTTAGACTTTCATTAGAATTTCTTTACTTATTTATTAAGTGCGTGCATGCACACGCATGCACACACATATTCATGCTTAGAAAATAAATGAAAATGGTGTTTTCTCTCCTTAGTTGACTTGTGACACTTAATAAAACCCAGGTGCCATTTCTTTAGGTTCACAGCTTTTGTAGTGCAGCACAGCTGTCTGAATCAGGGAGGATAAGAGAGAGAAGGCATGGGAATATCCATACTGAGGCTTATACTGGCATATAGTATTCAAAAGAGCCTTTTAAAAAAAATTTCTCTTTTTCTTCACCTTAATTTTTCATACAAACATATTGGACAATTTAACCACGAATTCCAGACATCTCCAGGGAGACCCAGTGACATAAGTAGAATCTTACTTTAGAAAATCATATCAGTATGCGCTTTATATGTTATTCTTTGTTGAAGAAATACTGATTGTTCCCATATTTCTCCAAATTTATGGAATTTTTAGGGCAGGCTAATGGAGATATATCTGATCAAGGAGCAACAACTCCAAGATGCAGTGATTTCATATAAAAAACAAAGACAGATAACTGCATTTGAAGAATATTCATATAATTAGGTAGAACCTCATTGTGGGGGTATGGGTTTTTGGAAGATCATTGTACGTTGCTTTTTTAAATTAAAGATATATTCCATAGACATTCTGAATGAAGGTTTTTTTTTTTTTTTTTTAGTTTGGATTACAAAGGATTCTAGGAGATGAAAGAAGTCTTTTACTATTGGCAAGAGCAATTGACCCCAAACAACCCAACATGATGACTGAAATAGTAAAAATACTTTCTGCTATTTGCATTGTTGGAGAAGAGAACATGTAAGTATTGCTATATTATTATATTTGCTGCATGGAAAATGACACTTAAGAAATTAATAAGTCCTACTTTTGTTCTCTTTCTTTGGATAACTTTCATGAAAACAGTATTTTAGATAATTTTTGATTGAAATTTTTATCTTGCCTGTTTATATTTTGGCTTCTTTGTTGACATTATAGAAACTCAGTTTAAACAGATAAAATCCTAGTGGGAAATTCTTGAAAGTTGGATTCAAAGTGATTGAGCAGAATTTTGTTTTGCTGGAGGTACAGCAATCATTAGAAAGTGGACAAAAATCAGAGAGTTATTTTGGCAAATACACACACATACATACACAAATACTGTGCTGCATATCACACAATTTGAATAGATGCCTTTATTTTACATTATCTTATAATAGTATTTTACTTTATATGCCATGGTAAATGAAAATTATTTGTAAAGTGAAATAAACCCACCTGTTAGAAAAAAACGGTTGTTGATAATTATTCAAAGTGTATATGTGCCACCAAATGCAGCAAGTTGTTGCTGAACATGCATTTGATCACATCTTCTTATGGAAATAATATTGAATCAGAAGCAAACTTTCAGATTTGATGACATTAATAAGTCTAGTTTGTAATGAACCCTTGTGATAAAGAATCAAATATCTGCTAAGGACCCGAACCAAAATATTTCCTTGGAACACTTTGCGTGACAGTAATAATGTCAATTTGAGTCAGAACAGGACTATGCAAAGATTTAAGGATGTTGGAATATGTTGACTTTCTCATAACTGTTAGAGTAAAATGAGATGTTGCTTAGTGTTAGCTACTGTCCTCAGAAACCAAAAGACAAACACTAAACAAAAATATTATCATATTAAGTCTCACCTCAATGATAACAAACTGAGAATGAGATAACATATGTAAAAGCAAGGATCCTTAGGATTTTATTTTTTAAAAGTCAGTTTATACATGTGTAAGAAATATTTTTTAATCACTTAGATTTTCAATATTCATAAAATACAATGTAGTCCAGTATAACTGTTATGATTTAATTATAATTTCAGATATAATTTGATAAGAGTAGTATACTATATAGAGATTAATTTGTTTTAGGCATTGTGTGGAGATACCAATATTTTTGGTCAGGTTAATAAGTTTCTTGTGCTAGATAATTATACATTCTTCTTTAATCACCTGGGCTTTCCTTTTTAGAGTCTTTTTTCTTTTTCCATTGTCAAAAAATGTTGATTAAAAAAATTCTTTAAAAAATAATCACTCTTTCCAGAACTTTATTATAAAATTACAATCTGTTTATGCTCCAATAAACTGTTAACAATTATAGGTGTCATATTATGTTTAAGTGATATTAATGTTAACACATGAAATATCAAAACCTGAAAATTTAAATTTTAATGTTTATCACTTAAGTATTCTTTTTTTAATGTCACCCAGAAAAGTTACTTTCCTTAAGATTTTTAAAATCGAATTTTCCTTTTGATGCCCTAAAATTATTTAGAGCTATCAATATTTGCCTTAAAGAAATATACGGACAGGAACACAATTCCTATATTGTAATGGTCTTTCAGTTAGACTGGAGGAATCAGTTCAAGAAATCTATTTTATGTGATAGTGACTGTAGTTAATAACAGTGTGTTGTATACTCGAAATTTCCTAAGAGTGTATGTAGACTTTAATTGTTCGTACCACAAAAAAATGTAAGTAGGCGAGGCAATATATGTTAATTAGCTTGATTTAGCCATTCCAGTATGTATACATATTTGAAAACATACAATTTCCATCAAAAAAGCAAATGATAATTTTTAAAAATTCTAATGGTATATATAAACATCAAATACCAGAAAGAAAACAGGGAATACTGAAAGGACCGGTGCTCATAGTGTCTGTATAAGAAGTATTTCTCATTTCTGTTTCTTCTTTTTTCTCTACAGTCTAGATAAACTTTTAGGGGCTATAACAACAGCAGCAGAAAGAAATAACAGGGAACGATTTTCACCAATTGTGGAAGGTTTAGAAAATCAGGAAGCCTTGCAATTACAGGTGAGTTAGTTTTGTCTTAAATTGCTTCTAGAGTTATATTTAGAGTACTCATTTTGTATGACATCAACTCCATTTTAGCTGGCATTTAAGTAGTATGGAATGTAAAACTAAAATTTTTTCTGTTGCTAGTTTGTGAGAATTGCAATTTGTTTAAAATTAGGAAAAATACTTTTGAATTATTATAAATGTGGCAGTTATGGCTGTCATTGATATTTAGACAAGAATTTAGTAATTAATGTAATAAACCAGGGAAATTGAAGCCTCAGCAGTAACTAAGGTAAAAGGGCAAGCAGTTCAGCCAATGCCATTATCCTAACAAGTGTTAGTGAAGTCGGTGGGCTTGTAGAAATGTAAGACAATTAAACACATCTCTCTTTGTGCCATTCAGACAATATTCAAAGGTGTGACTCACCAGAATAGAAGGGATTGAATTGCAATTCTTAGGTTAGCGTTAATTTGATAGCCCTGTGTAGACACAACTTACTAAATGCCTCCTTTAGAAAATGACAAAACTCACTATCTTTACCTAGATGGTTTCAGGAAATGATCCATTTTATGAATAGCTCTGTTCTTGAGGGATGAGAATGCATATTTATTGGCTGAACTTATGGTATGAAGTCCTGCACTAAACATTTTAATTTGCATATATTATTTGATTTAATTCTCACAACAACCTAGATATGAAGGTATTGCTATAGTATCTTTGTTTTGCTTATGGGACGAATAAGTTGAATGAGATTAAATAACTGGTCTAACGTGACACAGTTTTTAAGTGTCACAGTCGGAATTTGATTCCAGGTTTTTGGTCTCTGCTAATCTCTCTTTTAGACAATGCATACCATTTAATGTACCATGGAAAATTCTCTGAATTTTTTTTTAGTTCTCATATTGTTGTTCAACAAAGAGAAGGTAGTTTCCACATTTAATTTTATCAAGCTACTTAGCATCGAATGTTTAACTCTTCAAATTTCTTGCTTGATGTGAAACAAACACAATTAATTTTTTATGTATTATGAAGTATTTTTTGTATTATGTATTTTATGTATTATGAAGTATTTGTATTTTTGTTTGCCAGAGTTTGAAACGGCATCAGATAGATGAATTGGCTTGTCTAAAGAGAATCTGTAATGTTACAAAATTGTAATACCTCTCCAAATGTTGAAGGATCTTTGTTAATCATGACTTCTACTCCAACTATATTGAAAATTTTGGATCAACTTTTATGGTGTACTTTTATGTCAAATGTATTATTTATTTATTTATTTATTTATTTATTTATTTATTAAGATGGAGTCTCACTCTGTTGCTCAGGCTGGAGTGCGATGGACGTGATCTCAGCTTGCGGCAACCTCTGCCTCCCAAAGCAATTCTCCCTGCCTCAGCCTCCCAAGTAGCTGGGATTACAGGCATGCACCACCAAGCCTGGCTAATTTTTTTATTTTTAGTAGAGATGGGGTTTTGCCATGTTGGCCAGGCTAGTTTTGAACTTCTGACCTCAGGTCATCCGCCCACTTTGGCCTCCCAAAGTGCTGGGATTATATTACATATTTTAAAGATTAGTATATTTTTTCCCAGTGTTTTTTAATAATACATTGTTTCTTATAAAATTTAATCTTGATAAAATTTTATACCTCTACTGAAAGGTTGAAAACTGCCTTTTTTAGATGACTTTGAAAGTTTTGTTCATGTTCCTGTGGTTGGGCTTACCTAACTAAATTTCACTGGTTTTTCAGATATATGTGTATGTTTGTACTTCTCTTCGAAAGTTTGTTGAGTAGGAATGAACTCTTTTATTTATATTCAAAGTTTTCATTACATTGATATATTTTTAAAATCTTCTTTAAATAAATTTTTAGCTACAACTCTGTGAGTTATGTATTATTACCTCTGGTTTACTGATCAGGGAATTGAATTGGTGGAAGGCACTCCAAAATCACCCAGCTGTGTAAGGGATAGAGCTGTAATTTGAACCCATGTCTTTGTGATGCCAGAATTTGAATACGGCATTGCCTATACTTTGAAGGGATGCCTCTGCCAATGAGTAGTTCACCCCAAACAATGAGATGGGAAAGACATTTGCTAGCCTTCAGGAAGCTGGACAGAATGGAATGATAAAGTGACAAATTGTTAACAAGTAACATATGGAAGAATCATAGATGTCTTGTTAAGTATTCAATAAATTGTTGAATACTGATTATAGATGCAAACATATGCAGACCACAATTTAAAATTTCACATTTTAATGAGCTACAAAATTAGTAATTTGTTATATACAAAAACTAGTACTCTCACAAGAATTGTGAAGTGAGTTTGTTTATTTAGACTATTTAATGTGAATGAAAAGATGTCCTCTAAAAGTTCAAAAATACATGCAGAATACAGAAACAAAAACCCAAAAGTTTAAATCTGTTGTTTAAAAAATATAATTAGTGTTGTATTTTAACAGAATGACTTTTCTATTTCTGTAGTATCCTGAGACTTCCCAAAATGTTATTACAGTCTCGGGAAGTAATTTTGTTAAAATACAGGACTAATTATTTTTTAAATAACAACTATATACATTTTCCCCCCTTTTTGGGGTTTTAAAAAAGGTTATTAACTTCTCACAGATTTTTTTTCCTAGCTTTTAAAGTGAAATTTTGTACCTATGATAGGATTTTCATTATCTTCAGGAGTTCAAGAAATAGGTGGAAGATAAATCGCATATCTTCATACACTCTCTCTTCATTGACTTTCCTTCAGCTTAGTAGCATTCTCCGGTCTCTTTTGCAAAGCACAGATTATACACCAGCAGCTTCTTTTGATCTGACTTAACCTTCTAACTAGCCTCTTGTCTCTCTTTTTCATTTTAAAGTCCATGCCTCTAGAATAATCCATATTTGTTTTCTATGTTTTCTAAATTACCTTTTACAACTCTATTACAGTTCTCAAAAAGATTTACAGTGAGTGACTAATTTCAAAATCCAATGGCCTCTTTCCAATCTTGATCACTTGGCACTGTTGATCACCTTCTTCCTTGAAAATTTTACTTCCCTTGACTTTCTAGGCACCATTCTCTCCTTTGTTCTCTACCTTTATGGTTTTTTTTTTTTTTTCTGTCTTCCTAATGTATTTCTCCTCCTCTTACTTCCTGGGTATTTTGTTCCCTATGTTCTATCCGTGGTCCTCTTTTAGTATCATTTTATGTACATACATTCATATGCACATACACGTATCTACATGTACATGTATATACATACAGACACATACTTTTTTAAACAATTTTGTCCATGAATGTTCTGAATTGCTTATCTAGTTTTACAATCCAACTGTGGTAGTGATTCTTCAGATTTATACATCCAGCTCAGTGACTGGTATCATAAAATTAAGAAATTAAAAATAACATTTACAACCCATATGCCGGACAGTGTTTAAAATACTTTAATATGTTATCCCATTTAAACCTCGCAGCAATTGATTGAGAGAGATAGAAGTATTATCCCCATTTTATAGATAATTAAACTGAGGCTCATAAAGGTTAAATAACTTCCCTAGGGTCACAGTGTGAATAGAAGGGAAAGCACAGATTATACACCAGGGAGTCTGGCTATAGATAACGTGCTTTAACTACTAAGCTGTAACTCCTTTTATATTAAAACTTAGCTTATATCTCTTTCTGTTAACCTGATTTTTCCTAAGTCTTCTCTTCTTCCTGTGTTTCCTATTTTCGGTTATAGAGGTATCATCTTCTACCCAATCTTTAATTTTCCTCAACACTTCTTTCTTTTTTGTCCCCTGCATTCATCATCAAGTCTTATTACAAAGTATAGTATTGACTGTGAATCTAACCCATTCTACTTCCACTGCCTTTATCTTCTCCCACCAATATTATTTCAACAATTTCCTAATTAGTACCCATACTGACATGTTTTCTCTCCAGACAATACCCTACACTATTGTCAGTTATCTGTAAAAAATGAGTCCAATTCTAATACATTATCATTCTTAAAAATCTATGCTCATGACCCATTGCTAACTTTTTCATTGTGGTCCTAACTTAATATTCTGGCCTTTGAGCCTGTCATTCTCCCAAATGTACCATATGTTTGCGCCATACTACATTTGGTGTTTCCCAGATATGCTGTAGACTTTTAAATGCTCTCAAACATTTTATCATGCGGAACACTTTGCCTGAAATACCTGTATTTCCCCACCTATATCTGTTTCTTCTGTGTCTTGCATAAGTCTGGGAAGGCTTCAGTAATGAGGTGATATTTTAACTAGGCCTCGAAGGACAAGTAAGCATTTTTCATAAATTATCTTTGCTGATAGAGAAGCAGTACTATGGTAGGATGAGAGGTGAAAAGGGCTTCCAGGAGGTAAAATAGAGGCCAGAATAGTCTGGCAGTCACTTCATAAAAAACAGTGAGGTAATACCAGCATCCAGTTGAAACTGCTTTCTAGATAGCCAGGTAGGAAAACCTAAGGTATACTGAGCATGAATAATGGTTTATAGAACGGGAAAGTAGTATAGTTAAAATACAATGATGTACTATCAAAACAGCCCCAGTCTTCACAGGCTGCTGTTAGTTTGAAAGGTGCCATGTTTTTACAATATTTCAATATATACAAAGAAGTGGAGTAGCATAATTTAATACATTTAAAAACTGTTTTCTAAGATGCTGAAAATAATAATGAACTCTGCACATTTTGTAATTAGATATGGTACACAAAAACAGAGCTGTAAATATGCCCTTTCCTGATGTGTGATAGCTTCACTTACCCAGTCCTCGCCTATTTAATAGATTTGTCCTTTGGAATACAACTGAGAACTAAAAAATAAAACAAAAATTAAATAAAACAATCTGAGCAGCCTACAAATGTCACCAGATCTATCAAGTAAGCCTCATGGTGAGAACGACTTTTTGGCCTTTAATGAGAGCCTATTTATTCTCTTTTCATATGTTATCTTTACGAACCCAATTATCTGTTTTACATCCACAGCAGACTAGAAGTGCAGGTTGGAAGGTTGGGAGAGAGTTTATTCCAGAATCGTACACTGGAATCATCAAGAAGTGACAACTGATAAGCTGGCAGCAGGGGAGGGGTAGATAGAAATGTAATAAAAGACTGAAACTGGAATGCAAATGATAACAATAGACTTCACAGAGCGCAGAGGCTAGTAGCCCTGCACACTTCAGTACCTCCCGAGATACTGAGTTACACCATACCTCACTAACTCACATATTTAGTGATGACCCTGACTCAACAGGAAATTGTTAAATTATATCTAGTTTATTTTGCGTAAGAATGTGGGAATTATATAATTCATTTCAGAGAGTGTCCCATGTGAAACAAGATGTTGATACTTAAATAGATAAACAGATATATGGAACTATCCTATGTGGCTTGATTCTTTCCACAGTGGTTCTTGAGTGTTGAGATTTTACTGCAAGCATACTTGTAAATTAGCCATTAATGTACTCAGACCATCACATATGAGGGAGTAGCTTTGGACAAAGTATTAATCATTTGTCAGTGAAAGTGCATTTATAAGAAAACAAGGCATCGAGGCTTATGAATATGGAGAAAATTTGTGGAAATTAGCATTTATAAAGTGTTGAATGACTGCTTGATATTACTTAGGAAACTTGTTCTATTTATTGACAGTTTTATATTATTGTCATTTAGAAAATAGATTACTATAATGGGAGGTTGTTTAGAGATATTTGTACAATGTAGTCATTTTTGGTATTGACACAAAACTAACTTCTGACTTAAAGAAGGATGCCTTTATTTTAAATCTGTTTCAACACTGAATAATTGTCAAACCTATCATTTTCAGTAATAGAGGGTTGCCAGTGACCTCCATGATATAAAAAGGAACAGGCTGCTTTTGAAGTCATTATATTAGCTTCCTCAGCACTATTTGGCACTATTGATCACTCCTTTATCAAAGCTCCCTCCTCCCTTGACTTCCATGATACTAAACTGTATTAGTCCATTCTCACATTGCTATAAAGAGCTACCTAAGGCTGGGTAATTTATAAAGAAAAGAGGTTTAATTGACTCACAGTTCCACAGGCTGTACAGGAAGCATGACTGGGGAGGCCTCAGGAAACGTACAATTGTAGTGGGAGGCGAAGGGGAAGCAGGAGGAAGAGAGAGAAGGGGAAGGTGCTGCACACTTGTAAACAACCAGATCTTATGAGAACTCACTGAGTATCACAAGAATAGCAAGGGGGAAGACCGCCCCCATGATCCAGTCACCTCCCATCATGCCCCTCCTCCAACACTGAGGATTACAGTTTGACATGAGATTTGAGTGGGGATACAAATCCAAACCATATCATAAGCTCTCCTTGTTTTTCCTTCACCTATGTTTCATTTAAATTCTCTTATTTCTATGCTTGACCCTTAAATTTGCAGATTCCTAGAGCTTGATCCTCAGTCCTTTGGTACTTTGCTTTTCTCATATTGATGATCCTTGGGCAATCGCATCTATCCTCACAGCTTCAATTAACTACCACTCATATGTGATGTCTTTATCTGATCTCTTCTCTTCCTCCCAACTCACAGACCCCATATGTTCAGCTGCCTCCTGACTAGATTTCAAATTCAATATTGTCCTTAAATATACTTATCTTCCTTTTAAAAAAAATCCTTCTCCCTACTCTAATCCTCTCTCCAGCCTTGACCTGCATTTCTCTTGTATTCCCAATCCTGGTTGACCTTAGTATTACCTACCAATTAGCATATAGCAGAAACATACTAGTCATCTTAGAATCTACCCTTACTCCATCTTCCATTCCATTAGTCACCAGATCCTATCAATTCTATATCCTTAATGTTATATTTCCCTTCCTCGACATGGTATCCTTCTCTCTCCACCCTCACTGCCATTTTTAATTTCAGAGCATTGTTACATCTCACTGTTTTATCCTTTCCCTATGTTCTATTCTTCATTATGGCCCCGTTTAAATTATCTTCCCCAATGTTGTCTTTCTGAAATGCTTTTCTCAGAAATGCACTTCAGAATGCTTAAAGTCCAGCATTGGCTTCCCATAGTTCACTGCTTAAAGTCCAACAATGGCTTCCCACAGTCTCCAGAATTGCAGTCTAGTCCTAGCCCAAACAAAATACTTCATCTGGCTGTTGCTTTCTCTTTCGCCTCATATTCCACCACCCTTCTACATATGTTTTTAGTCTAGTCATATTGTGCTTTGTTTCCTATAGATTTTATGCTGTTTTATACCTCTACCTTCATACCTTTGTACATGACTTCCGTTGGCTTGGAAAGTACTCCACTTCTCAATTAACTCGCTCTGTACATTCACATCTTTCTTCTCTCATACTTTGACTTAAATCATCTTTGTTCCTAACTCCTGCTGGGCTAGGATAAAGAAAGACCTTGTTAATGTCAACAGAGTACTTAATAAGGTCAAGTGTGGAACAGTGTCAATAAAATTTTAAATGTACAATTTGTCACAGATAATGGCAATATGGATAATCTGTCTGAGAATGCCCTGGAGTTGTCAATTATTGTACCCCATAGCTCTGTGAATTGTGATTAAATAGATAGATGTTTGTATAGTTTTCAAGCCTGTAAGTTAAAGTCAGTAAAAGGTTCTAGCATTTTTCCAGTAATTTTATGAAGATATTTGTGTTCAAATATTTCCCTTTCTCTGTCACTTAGGTAAACAACAACAACAAAAAAACTTAAATTTCTTTTTGTAATGCTATGTCTTATGCCAATAAAATTGGAAATTTTTAAATGTCATTCACTTACTATATTTTAATTATTTTATTTGGGACAGTTAAGTGTTACAAATAAACCCTAGGCATATACAGATGAGCTTTGCCTTTTGAAAGTTTATCATCTGTTTTATAATATTTCACCCTTTATACCATACCACCCCAGAATGAAGACAACAGCATCTGGTGACTAAAGAATGTAGATGATTATTGTAGAAATAAAATAAATTGTTATAGTAAAGGAAGGATCTTAATGTGGTAGAAAACTGATAATGATTCAGTGTAGTATATAATTATACATGACATAAATGATTGGATACTTTATCACATGCACAGAACTGGTAGTTTTTAACTATGTATGCTTATGTATTCATTTAATAGGATATATATGCATCTCATGTTGAAATCTTATGACATCACTGAATGAAAATGCAAATATAGAAACCAATTGTATTTACTAATTAAACATCAGAATTGTGGCCCTAGCATATGTATTAATAATGGAGAAAATTCACTGATTTTTTGTGACTTTAAAATTTTGATCCTCATGGAAGCTGTATTTGTAACAATAGATATGGCGGACCATTTTGAAACATAGCCATTATAAAGACACTAAGCAACAGAGCAACTCTGGATAATGGACTTTGTGATATTCAATTCAAGGGCATTTGTTTTCTTTCTAAGATCAGGAGAAATGATATCAAGCAAGATTTGTGCGATATAATGTGGTAGAAAAAATGCAAGGCTAAAGGTCAAGAGAGCTGAGTTCTAGTTGTATCATTGGGGCTTATTAGTTATGTGATCTTGGGCAAATCATCCAATCTTTCTAGGTTTTCAGTTTCTTTACTTTTAAATAGCATATTGGACCAGAGTATTTTATGTTCTGTCTAGCTTTAAAATCTCATGATTATTTTCTGTCTCTGGAGTTGAATTTTTTTTTTTTTTTTTTTTGGAAAGCAGATTGATTTTGCATTGTTAGAGGACAATAGAGTACACTCATCTCTTAAAGATTTATATACTTGGAAGTTGAGCATATGAATTTTGAAATTTTCATTATTCAGCAATGAGTTTTGTAGTTCTTTGAAGTGAAGGTTTCAGAGATTAGGCCAGATCTCTTTTTTTCTTTAAAATCTCCAGTGTAGTGCTATTCAATCAAACTTTCTCCCATGTTCTATATCCCTGCTATCCAATGTGGTAGCTACTAGCCACATGTGGCTGTTGAACACTGGAACAATGGCTAGTGAAACTGAGCAACTGAATTTTTAATTTTATTTAATTGTAATTAAATTAAACTGTGATAAGTAGCTCCCATATAGAATAGCACAGTACTGTAGAGCGTGTGTGTGCGTGTATGCATGTGTTCACATGCATATACATGCTGAGTGTGGAGTGGGGTGGCAGAAGTAAAGGAGAGGAGTGGTAGACCATTATTTTGGATGATGGGATGCCATTTATACTTTACTGCTCAGGATGTACATGAAGTGGAATTTAACCCACTCCAAGAACCATTTTCTACTTTTGCTTTTTTTCTGCATTACATTATATATTATGATAGTCACTATGTGTACTAGACAACATATTGTTTATATTATTGTATGTTTTTCTAATTAACCTATAGTTTTAAAGCTACATATCCCCAGTATATTAAGCATGTTGCACCAGTTAAATTTTATCATCTTACCCATCCTTAAAATCTTTTGTTGCGAGAATCTATAAATGGAGTTTATGAGACCTTTGGAATGTGCTGGAAATTATATTTGTAGTAAAATTATATCATTTATAGTCATGAGTTTCCTCCTTGCTGTGTGGCCTTATATAAAGTTATTCTATCTGCTTTGAGCCTCCACTTCATCATCTGTAAAATAAGGATAACAGTAATACTAATCTTGTGTGGTTTTTATGAAGATGAGATTAGATGGTGAATTATGTAAAGGACCTAATACATTGTCTAATAACTAATAATAATAATGGTGATAATAGTTTGGGATTTCGTATTTAGCTATGAATTCAGGATACACAGAATGGGTTTGTCATGTTTATAATTAAGTAGTAATATATTCTTCCCTTTAAGCTAATTTAAATTTAATTTTGTATTTGTAAATAGTGACAATTATTTCAGTTTTGAATTTGAGATATCGTTTCTATTCTCTGAAAAGGGCAGCACTTGTGTAACGGCATAAAGGAATAGCAAAAATTTAGATGACCTTTTTGTTTTCCACATTCATATTACAATATACATATTTCTGTAAAAGAATATTATTTTATCAGCTTATGTTGGAAAATGACATGATAGCATGTTTATTCATCTGTTATTTGTAATTAATTAAATATCTATTAGAATATGATATATAATAAATGGTACATTGTTAAGCCAGTACCTTTACCATTTTAAAACTGACTTCACAATATCTCCTAATTGTTGTGTACTATAGTCAATGGATGGAACGTCTTTGTTTTCATATTAAACTATATGTTCATACATTGTATGTAAAGTGAGTATTTAATATATTGAAACATTATTAAAGTTATATTGATACATTCATTAATTTTATTGACTTTTATTATCTTTATTGTCTCCTGATCTGAATACTTTTATTTGTATAAAGATACAATTGCAGGACTCATTAACTTGTTTCTTACAGAAATGTTCTCTTTACTTGTAGGGTATTAATACAAGCCATTAAGCTAGAATTTCTTCTGGCAAAAACAATCCTAACAGATGGCAACTTTTCTCTCTATTAATTTTGGATTGGACATGCACTTTGGCTTGTTTGGTCATGTCATAGTTGTAACATAACAAGAGTCATTCAAGCAAATACAATGATAATATAGCTGTGGACATGTACAGTATGCAAATTTATAGCCTAGCCTATCAAAACTATTTAAAGATTTACATGATTTCCTGTTGTAAATAGGAAGGTTAAGTAATCCATTAAAGCATAAGCTTCATACTAACTTATCTGGTATGTCTTTAAAGGTAATGCCAAATGTATGGCAAATATTTAGTCAGTTGCCTAAGTGTTTTATCTTGATACTTGAATGTTCATAGAAATTAGACTATATTGTTGTATCATTCAGATATCTGGTCATGTTAGAAACAACCTTAATCAGCCCTTTTAAAGCATGTAACTTTTGATTTTTGAACATAGATGTGAGGCAGATAGGCTAATCTCCCAAAAAGCAACTTAAATATATAAGATACAGATTCAAAAGTAAAGCATACCTTTTAATCTCTTCTCCCTATTTTGGAAAAAATAACTCTATCATAATAGATCTGTAGATGTCAAGTCAAAATACATTTGAAATATTTGTCTTTCGGTAATATATTTTTCCCATGCTAACTATTAATTTATTTGTGTCTGCTTCTATAAATACTTAGTATCTTTATATAATATGTTTTTTTCCGAGGATTCCCCTTGTAGTTTGCCCTTTGAGCACTCTTCTACTCATTGCATTCTTTAAAAATAAAAAAATAATAAATTTAAATGGCATCTTTTCAGTTAAACAATTAGCCAGTTACCTTAGATTTGAGCAGCATTTTCCAAAAATGCTACTTAGGAATAATTTATGGAATACCTGGCACTTAGCATTTTGTTGATTCCCTTCTAGATTAAAATTACCAGCAAATAAGTTCCTTTTTATAATAGGGAATCTCAAAATCAGAAGGTAAGAAAAGCAAAACTCATTTTTCGGTATCAATATATTTAATCAAATACTTTACTTGAAAACAAGCTCTTACATATGCTTTATTATGAAATGTGCATTAGTATTAGTCTCCCAGTGCCTTCTAATTGATCTTAATTCACTTCCATTATTTTTTCAAACCTAGTAAATTAATTCATCTTAATTATATATTTTAATACTTTATATATTTTGTACAAATCATCCCATTAAGAGGATGGAGAGAGTTTAAATCAATGTAATAATTTATCTAAGTTATCACTGTTCCCTGTTTAATATTAGGGTACTTTTATATCTTTGATTTATTTTAGAAGTGTTTATAACCCTGTAGAATTGAGGCCAAGTGTACTGTGAGGACCACTGGACATGAAAGATACATTTTGTGATCTTTTCAAAGGGCTCTGTCTGCCCACTTTTGCAATTTGGGTTTTTCAGAGGGAGTTTAATATTTCTTCATATTATTTTTAAAAGCATAACATACTTGGTCATCACATCTTTGTTAGAATTATTTTGGACATTATACACTTTGTCGTTAATTTTATTGTTTATAATTAAAGTCATAATCATTATACTTCTAGAAATATTTGCATTTCTTATTTTATCATTATGTGTGTATGCCTTTAGTGAATATATTATCTTAATGCATTATTTCATTAATTTAATGTGTTTTTTTAAAACAAAATTTGCTTTCTAATTGCAGGTGGCCTGCATGCAGTTTATAAATGCCCTTGTCACTTCTCCTTATGAGCTTGATTTTCGAATACATTTAAGGAATGAATTCCTCCGTTCAGGACTAAAAACAATGTTACCAGTAAGTTGAATGTATACATTTATTATGCTGATGAATTTTAAAATTTTTTTCACTTCCACAAAAGTACTTGAAGCAGAGTAAATAAATGTGCTTTGCTATTTTGTTTTGTAAAGCATTAGACATTTTGTAAGCTTTTTTGTATTCCAGTAATAGCATTCTCTACATACAAATGATGATTCAGAATTCAGCTAATAATGTACCCAGAAGCGATGTGTTTTTGTTTTTTGTTGTTTCCCTCAAGTCAAAAGGGACTTCTTTTCTTTGAATTTTGAATATTGAAAACATGAGACTTTTTTTTTGGAGTTTCAATTTTCATTTAAAATATTCTGCTTTCCTCTTTGATAACCTAGATTGATTTCATTGGTATTCAGGATAAGCATGCATAGAGTTTTGATTAGCATATGCTAGACACATTGCTTAAGAATGTTACTCTTGTTACAAGGCTATAGGAACTTTTCAGATCAAAAACAATTTGTTTCTTAAATTAAATGTGAATATTTGCTGTAATTATGATAGTGTTAAAAACATTTTTGGAATGATTTTGTATGCTGAATCTGAAATAAATGAGCACACTTATTTTTATAAATACAAATACAACTACTGTGGTTTTATATTTTATTAAGTATATTAACTGAAGAGTGACTATTGCAGACTATGGCATTGTTCAAGACAAGTAAAATTCTGCTAGTGTCTTTAAGCTACTCAGAATATACCTGAGAGACAAGAAGTAAAAGTAAGGAAGTGAGAAAAAAGCACTAAGGAGAGAAAAAAACAACAACAACAAATGTCATTGAATGTGCATGTGTGTGCGTGTGTGTGTGTGCCCATGTGTATGACCTAGTCTACCAGAAATACCCAAATTGGGGACATTTCCTGGTGAGGAATCAATATGTAGCATAAATTTGTAACATATGGTGGGATACTTTTAACTGAAACTAGTTGAAACCCATCATAATAAGTTGTGTGATTGGACCTGTTAAATCCATTTTAATAAGATGTATGATTGGGTCCACCTGGTTTTGGAAATTTCTATGTCAATCCCACCTGAAGCAGTTCTTTCATTCTTGACACTTAAAACCAAGGCATTGGTTGCAGAGAATCAAAGCAACATTTTAAGTGACCCATCTAGAGATTAACTGTGCAGTTAACTTAGGCATATTCACCAATTATAGTTAGTGTGACATGTGATTATTCTTGTTTTTTTTTTCACTAATTTTCTTTTCATCCAAAGCCTGTAGCCTTGGATAGCTAAAGATAATCGTATGGTCTTGATTGTAGTTTGCTTTTGAATTTCCTTCTTGTTGGTTTCCATGCTTGTTTTTACTGGGCTGGTTCTCTGTTTATAGTAGCATCTTTGAAGACTTGCTGGCTGCAAGGGCTCTGTAGCATCCTCTACTCGTTTATTAATATGCCATGTTTTCTGCCATAGTTGTTGCTCTTACTTTTCTCTCTTTCATTCCCCTCTATTTATAATTGAACATTCACTTTCTGCTTTATACTACTGAATGGCTAGTCAAGAGAACTGTGACTCTCATTTTAATTTATTTTAGTCCTCATTTTTCAGAAAAGGTATGGTATTGTAGCTCTTGTCCTTAACCTTTTGCACTTTTGTCTGGGTATATTAATCTCTGCTGGGCTCAGTGGCCTCATGTTATTCATTTGGTTACACAGACAGCTAAGATTATGTGTCTGTGTTTCTAAGCTACACTTTTCCATTGGCCATATAGCCCTATATAAAACTTTTTGTGGTACCATGTGCTTCTTAATTTATATATTCTTTTTTAAAATTAAAAATAATTTTTAATTATGGATATAAAATAGTTGTATATATTTGTGTGGTAAAATTTATATTTTGATACAAGAACATGGTGTGTAATGATCAAATCAGGGTGATTGGGATATCCATCACTTCAAGCATTCATCATTTCTTTGTGTTGGGAATATTCTAATCCTACCCTTATAGTTATTTTGTAATACAAATAATTATGAACTATAGTCACTCTATTGTGCTACTGAACACTAGATCTTATTACTTCTATCAAACTGTATTTTTGTATCCATTAACCATACCCTATTTTCCCCCACACCCTACTACCCTTTCTAACCTCTGGTATTCTTAATATATACTTCCAATTAGACTTTTCTTTATCACATCTCTTCAGTATGCCCTGCTTCTCAGATCTCAGTGATTCTTCAGCAAGATAAAAGTGGGAAGAGAAAGTTTTGGAATAGAACCTACAAGGATTCTCATAATTTTTTTTTCCTCTCTAAGACAGTAGAGCTAAATATGATTAAATATGACTCTGATTCTCAACTAAGAGGTTGGGCATGTCCCCCTAAAATCTTACTGTATTGAGGATAGGGCAGACATATTTGGTTGGGAAAAAAAAAATCCTCCGCAGGTATTTCTTTTCCTTTTCCTTTTCCTTTCCATTTCCCTTTTTCTTTTTTTCTCTTTTTCATTTTCCTTTTCCGTTTTCTTTTTCTTCTTTTCTTTCTTTTTTGAGACAGGGTCTTGCTCTGTCACTCAGGCTAGAGTGCAGTGGCACAATCACAGCTCGCTGCAGCCTCAATCTCCTGTGCTCAAGCAATCCTTCCACTGCAGCCTCTCAAGTAGCTGGGAATACAGGTGTGCCACCACACCCAGCTAATTTTTGTGTATATATATGTATATATATATGTGTGTGTATATATGTGTATATATATATGTGTGTGTGTATATATATATATATTTATATATTTTATATGTTTATATTTTTTTTATTTTATATTTATTTTTGAGACAGAGTCTTGCTCTGTCACCAGGCTGGAGTGCAGTGGCGTGATCTTGGCTCACTGCAACCTCTGCCTCCCGGGTTCAAGCGATTCTTGTGCCTCAACCTCCTGAGTAGCTGGGACTACAGGTGCGCGCCATCATGCCCGGCTAATTTTTTTTTTTTTTTTTTTGCATTTTTAGTAGAGATGGGGTTTCACCATGTTGGCCAGGATGGTCTCCATCTCCTGACCTTGTGATCCGCCTGCCTCGGCCTCCCAAACTGCTGGAATTACAGGTGTGAGCCACTGCGCCTGGCCTAATTTTTACATTTTCTATAGAGACAGGGTTTCGCCATGTTGGCCAGGTTGGTCTTGAACTCCTGGCCTCAAATGATCCACCCCAGCCTCCCAAAGTGCTGGGATCGCATATACAAGAGTAGAATCATTATTCAGGCAGATAGACCTTGAGAAGATTAGCGATCATATATTTAGAACCGTAGATTTCACTACTATTGTTTTAGTTTATCACAACTTGGGAGCAGGACAGAATGGTCATGGGTTAACATATACTACATACCTCACATGTCAACTACTATCTAACCTACTAATGAATGAAATATTTAAATTTAAACCACTGGAATTTATAGTAACATTACATATCCTTTACATATGCAGTGAAGCTTAATAATATGGTCATAGATTGTCTTTAAAATCCTTACGTTTTCTTCTATTTATTCTTTTTTTTATATCCAGTTCTAACAAGAATTCCCTAATATTCTAGAATACAGTATATTCAAAGCAGCAAATTAGATGTGACTAGGGCTAATATTAATTGTTGGTACATGGATGAAAAATTATATGTATCTAGAACCAGTATGAGTTGGGAAAAACTAGTTCTTAGTATTTCAGTAATCCTTGAGATCAACACTGTAGTAGAGTGAAACTTTTTTTCATAATAATTATCAGAATCTTCAAGACAACGAATTTTTAAATTATATTCTTTAAAAATTTATTTTCAAGGTTCCTCTCATCCCTATGGTTAAATTTAGATGTTGAAAAATAGTTTGTATTTCATTTATATGGAATTTCACGTCTGATAAATTTGCTTTAGTAATTTAGAATAAATGAGTTGTTACAAACTCTACAGTGAATTTTAAAATAGGATTTTTTTCTGTACTTAATTTACATTGATTTCTTCTGAAATTTTCCCCATTTGCCTTTTATTTAGTTAAATAAATTAAGAAAATATTAGTTAAATCAGATAAGCGAAGGAAAAACATAGTAAGAAATGGTGTTGGTAGGCAGTGGGCATACTTTTATCTCTTTAAAAGTCTGAGAAACTCTTTCTTGTTTTAAAGACTCAATTTTGGTTGTTTGACTGTTAATCAGCAGTGTACTGGCAATGGACTTTGATTTCCTTTGAAGTGCACTATGTTATAGAAAATTACATATTTCAGGAATTCTGCAAAAAATAATTTTAGATCTATACCGCATGTCTTTTTAAAAAATAACAAGCATAGAGTGTTTCACATAATTAATAACAGTGTGTTTCAGTAACTTTGTGATAGTTCACGTTTTAAAATATAAAACTTCAGTGATAGATTTCCATTTACTTTTATAGGATACCCATCTTATTATTTGTACTATGTAAAAATTTTTATTCAGTAAATGATTATTTTATCAAGAATTTATGAATATTTCAAGGCTTGACATTTTGCTGGAAGGAAGTTTCATAAAGATAAACATATATATGTGTATGTATATATGAATATATATTTACAGTAAGTTCTTAGTTAATGTCATTGATAGGATCTTGCGAACTGCACCTTGAATCAAAACCATATACAGTAGGTCCTTGAATAATGTCCTTTCATTATAACATTGATGAGAAAAGAAAATTGGTTTTGCTATACGTATTTTGCTTCAAGTTGCAGTTTCCAAGAACTACTGAGGACAATTAAATGAGGACTGACTTTGATAGGTCTGGAGCATTATTAATAAAGAATATTTATAAAATACTGCATTTACACATGTCTAAATTTTATATTGTGCTATATGTGCTCATATACTATGTATATTGTATAAATAATGTCTGGGCCTAATTAAGAACTAAATTGCACATTTAACCAGTTATTTTCACTGAAAGCATTTTAATTATGCTGACTGATTTTCATGTTTTGTAACGTTCTATGCTAATTAAATGGCAGTACTTAAATTTTTCTGTTTTTCTGAAATATTTGAAAGTGTTTAAGTTTTATGATGAATTTCTGAGAGAGAATATGTGGTGACAAGAATAAGACATACTGTAAAATGCGTGACAGGTTGTTTCTGCAGTGACCAGTGTATTGGGTTTGTCTGGCTTATGTAATTTTCTAAATAGAGTTCAGAAATCACCTGATAATATGACCCAGCAATGTTAGATGATTTTGCATTCTAATAAATTTCTTCATTCCATTTCAAACTGGAAAACTAGAGCTAAAGCAAGTTATTACTAAAAATGAAACCAAATATAAATACATTTACTTGTTATGTTTTATATGAAATTGTGTAGAAACTAATTATTTTCATATGCTCTGCAGGTAAATTTTCAATAAATTATTATGTATGTGAGTGTTAGAAAAAAAAGCATCTAGAAATTGCTGAAATTTGTTTGGCTTCAGTAATAGCCATTACATCTCTATAATAGTTCTATTGAATAAAGATAGAAACAAGAAATGTATCCCATTTTGTTTTATCGACCTAATTTGAAGTACACCATGCTTGCATTTCCTTTTAGAGTTCAAGCTCAGCTCTGAAAATCCTAGTCCCACTTTCGGTATCACCCTTGAGCATCCACAGTTGTGATTATCGATTTGGGTTTTGAAAGCTGCAACTTAATGGACACATATTAAAAGATATTCCAGGTGATATATATTGAGCCCAACAATCTCTAGTGTGGCATGCTTCTAAATTTTTTATACTATTATTATGAAAATTATCAGAGGTTTGTAATGCATGTGCTTATAATGTATTACAAAAACATAACTTTTATGCCCAAGTTGGTATTTTGTGATTTAGCTAAGCAAAAATATAAGGTGGGGGAGGAGGTTAGATGTACAGCTTAATAAAAAGTCCAAACGCCTTTTTGCTTTAAAATCACAAAATAGCTTTTAAAATAAATGTGTTTATACATCTTTTCAAGCCATACTTGGGACTGTTGTGCTTGAATATATCCTTGCATTTGTTCTTCATTAATACAATTGATTTGTATTTGCATTTTTTGCCAGAGGCATATGTGAATGTTCTGACTGCATGAGTTCTTTTGCAATCTTTGATTAGTGTGTTTAGTCAAAATGACAGCATTTAATTTGGGTTGTTAGCAATTAGTTTTTTTCTGTTGTAGAACTGATCGTTAATTTTTTAATGTGAATAATCAAAATGTAGGGCATGGAAAAAATGAAGTGAATGCAATGAGGTCCTTTTATGTTGAAACAGAAAAATTTAGCTACAATTACTTTCAGAAAACCAAGTGCCCGCATAAATATTTGAAATTGCTTCTGTGTTTATAAATGAATAATTGTGTTCTGCCCTTTATTACCTAAATATGCCGTTGTCAAACTGTTATTCATGTGTTAAATTTTATGTTTATATATTAGGATCTAAAAGAAAAAGAGAATGATGAGCTTGATATTCAGTTGAAAGTATTTGATGAAAACAAAGAAGATGACCTAACTGAATTATCACACCGTCTCAATGACATTCGAGCAGAAATGGAATATCCTTTGACAAACCACAAAACAATTTTGTTTGCATTGTGAGAAAGGGATTTGTGGGCGATTTTGTGGAACATTATTAGAGTTCTTGTCTGCCCTCCCAATTTATATCCATTTATTTATATTAGAACCTTACTATGATGCTGTCCTTGAGATTCATGTTGAGGAATTGTCAGGCTGTCTTGATGATTTACACAGAGTGTATTGAAATCTGCACAATGGCTCACAGTATTATAGATATACTCTACTCAGTGGTCTTGAATAAAGAATAGCATAAGGCAATATATCTTACATGTAAGGATTTTTTTGGGGAAAATTTCACTGCGTTCATATGTGACTATAGGTGAAATACTTATTCAGTTTATTAAATCAAGCTTCAGTGACTTAGAGATAAAAAGCAATTCAAATAAATGTCTTATTCTGTATTCAAATATTTGTGTTTCTTAACAATAACAAAAATGTTTAGATGCAATAGAATCTGAATATAGCAAAGCTATGTGGTAGAAGCATCTGAGTCAAATACAGCTAGCATATAACCTTCCGACGGCAGCAATTTTATATAAAATGATTTTAGATCTAAGAGATGGTTGTCACAGCATTGCTGGCCATTTGTTTCGCACCTGTTATGTTTCTTACTTAATGGATTCTGGTGAACCTGGGAAACATGTCAAAACCAAAGTGACCTTTGAGTTGGATTTTTTCTCAATGATGTTTTCTTCCCTTTCCTACTGCTTGCCCCCACTCCCCAAAGCTGGAAGTAATATTCCCCTCCTTGAAATACCCAAAGTACCTTGTTTGTTCTATTTTATTTATGTACACTTCTGTGCCCCTGTGAGATTGAGGGCAGAAATGTTATGTTTAATCTTTTTTCCTTCAATGCATCTATGAAAGTCTTACACATAGGTATTGGATAAATGTGTGTGCAATGAATAACAATGTTATTATTTTAAGGAATAATTTCTAGTAATTTTTATTCATCATTAGTGGTGCCAGTCTACTGTGGCTTCTATAATATTAAATGTTTTTCATATCAATTAATATCTTGCTTTACATAGATTCCTCTTATAATCAAACTTCACCATAAAACTATTTTTGGATGCATTGTGTAGCCATTTAAGGACCTCATGAGACTTTAGCACAACACTCTTATGTGGGGTCTAAGAAGTAAGCCATCGTATGCTTAATTCTACTTTGGAGAAAATGTTGACATTTCAGGTTATTTTAGGATATTGAATTACATCTTGTCTTTTATCTTTATTTTACCTTGGTTTTCCAGGTCCTCACTTTTATTACAAAAATGGATCCATTTGTGAAATCTGATTTCTAGTTTACTAAAAGCATCTAAATTTCTGCAACTCTATATCTTGTCTCTACTTTCCATTTTTTATCAAATAATGAAATACAAATGAATGCAAACAATAATAATTTCAGATTTAGTATTTCATCTGGATAACATAAAACTGATTTTGTGACCTCTTAGCAGTTTACAGCATGCTCATTTGCCTTCTATCTTATGTGGCAGTGAAAATAGAGTAGTAGTGATTTGCATGAATAATATAGGTCCTCTATCACAACTACAGGGAGATCAAAAGGAAACCATTTTCACTGATGGCATTGCTGTTCCAATGGTACCAGCTATAATCTGGACTTTAAAATATGTATAACGGATCATTTAAGATTTTGACAGTCAAATGGTCTTGGACATGCTCTTGAGGTCTGTCTCTCTAGTTAAAAGATCAAAATGATTCCATAGAATCATTACTTTATGCAGATGTTTAAATACTGGATCATAGAGTTGAAGGTTTAAAAACAGTAATGGAAGCAAGATTATAAGTCAATGTTTTAAAAAGTTAAACTCCTTTGTTATGAATGAGACTTCCATCAAGGATCTTTAATATTTTTCCTTTACTTTCTACTGATATGAATGAAGTCTACCATCTTCTATATAATATGCTGAAGGACACTGCTGCTGAAAATTACTTCTTATCTATTCTACAACATTTTTTGCTTATCAGAAATGATTATTATATCAGGTAAGAGGCAGTTCTGAGAGTACTATATTTATAATTTGAATCGGATATTAAAGGAAAATGAACAATGTAGTGGGGCCTAAGCAATATATGCATATGTGTGTGTATGTATATATATATGTATATATATATGTATGTATATATATATATGTATATATATATGTATGTATATATGTATATATATATATGTGTGTGTGTGTGTATATGTGTGTGTGTGTATATACACACACACACACATATACACACACACACACACACAGGGTATAAGAGTTTGACTCTTTAGGTAACATTTTTTTTTTTTTTGAGACGGAGTTTCGCTCTGTCGCCCAGGCTGGAGTGCAGTGGCGCGATCTCGACTCACTGCAAGCTCCGCCTCCCGGGTTCACGCCATTCTCCTGCCTCAGCCTCCCGTGTAGCTGGGACTACAGGCGCGCGCCACCATGCCCGGCTAATTTTTGTATTTTTAGTAGAGACGGGGTTTCACCGTGTTAGCCAGGATGGTCTCGATCTCCTGACCTCGTGATCCGCCCGTCTCGGCCTCCCAAAGTGCTGGGATTACAGGCGTGAGCCACCGCGCCCGGCCCAGGTAACATTTTTTAAAAGGTGTTCATTTTTTAAATTTGGCCAGAAGAGACAGATGCACTTGTAAAAATGGGGTACTCCAGCGACAGGACTTTGGTAGCAATGAACCCAACAGATTGCACTGGCCCTGCAATGAATTTTCTTTGCTAGATAGTGATATCACAGAAAAAGCACTGAAGATTCTGGGATAGAACTTTAAAGGTTTTATCTTGTGCATATTAAGTAAGGTTTTACTGTTATTTCTCTTTTTACAGTATTTATCTACTAATAAATGTGATCTTAACATCTAAGAAAATAAAAGTGCTAATATTTCAGTTTTATGTCTAGTAGTGTCATCCTTCAAAATAAATGAGTATGAAAATAACCATTAAAGTTAAAAGTTTTAGAATCTAGTTAACTGGGAATATATCGGAAAACCACAAAGTTATGAAAAGGCTTCTGAGTGACTGAAATTATCCACAGACTGGTGACCATGATGTTACATTTAACTGTTCAAGAGACTCTTAGTTGTTCTTCATACTCTGATTTGCGTGAAATTCTGACAACCTAGGTTCTTTGATTTCTCAAAACCTGCTTGATTAAATGGAAAAGGAAAGCTACCATGAGGTCAGCACAGTCTCAACAAAAATTACAACTGTAAAGCAGCATAGAGAACTATTATAGTTCAGACCAGTACAGTAATTTGTTGGGCATCGTGACATTACAGAGAGATAAAAAATGTTTAAAATATTAAATTGTGTGCTGTTTTTTAAGCAACAAGGCTGGTTATACGTTAAAAATTATTGTTGTATTTTTAATTAAGTTCTAACAAATTTAAAAGGGGTACTGTGCCCAAAGGTACTCAGTTACCTGGGGAACATCATTTATGTGAAAGTATCCATTTCTCAGCAACTATGAATAAATAAGAAGTTATCCTCATATGGCATGTTTTTCATCCTAAGAACATCCATGTGAGGCAGAAGTGTGACAAGCATTTTATTCCACTTAGGGATGATTAACCTGGCCCCAGCTGTGTTTTCCTTATTTAACCATTGACTAGACTGAGGTTATAATCCAATATTATTTACTCTAGACCCGAAGATGACTTGAAAAAAACCAGATTTGTAATATGTATTACTATTTATTCTTATTCTTGGGACCAGACCCATTACTAAAGACATAGAAGAGCAATTAGAGTCTATTTGGCTTCATTTACAAACTTTTAGTAGGTTGGCTATTTATCAGCACACTATATTTAGGGAAGTTTATATCATAATTTGTCTATAGTCGTACTTCTTACTACTGATTTTTCTCTGTTGAATTTATTATCCTTTGACAAATACTAAATCTTACCCAAATTTTAATGCAAAAGTGCCTTTTAAAAAATTTTGCAGTATGTGAGTGGTCATTTTTAAGGCCAGAATTACGCTGATGGATTACAGAATTAGGATATGTTTTAAAACCTCTGACACTTTAAACAAATTGAAGCAATAGCCATGCATATTAAGTGTGTATGCTTTTATAAAATGGGTCTTTTAAAATGTGTTGCATAAATAGATCCTTGGATAGTCTTGTAATATAAGTGGCTCTGTCCAGTTTTGTAAGCTGTTATAGCTATCTTGACTAAAAGTGCTGTAGTAAATTCAAGACATTGCTTGCCACGTAATGTGAAGAAACTCATCCCTTATTGAAATTGAGAACCTGTGGATGCGTAGAACCATTTCTGTATCCATGAATGTAGGACTAATGGCTCATTTGTTTTTATTAACTTTAGAAACAATAGCATAAGTAAATAGAAAAGGTTGATAAGTATCTTTCAACACAAGCATGAATCCCTGCAAACTAGATTATGAAGTCACTAGATGTAGTTGATTACATCACAATGGGTTTGGTACTGTAACACCCAGACCATCCTTAAGCTTAGGCATGCTTGTCCTAAGAAAGTGTAGTGGCTGCAGGATTTTTTAAAACAACTCCAGAAAAAAGACCTAGTTCTTCTAATATGTTGAATGTTTTCTAAAGCAAATTGATCTGCATGGTTAGAAAGGCATTCATGAGTACTTTCTCTCCTTTTCAGGCCACAATATTATAAAATAATTGAGGAATGTGTTTCACAGATAGTGCTACACTGCAGTGGTATGGATCCAGACTTCAAATACAGGCAAAGATTAGACATCGATTTAACTCATCTGATAGGTATGTATCATAATCCTCATTGTCCTCTGATTGTGTTTTGTGCCTTCTGTATTATAAGCACTTTTTAAGTGAAGAAGTTCAGTAAGAAGCTTCAGTTCTTACTGAACTTCTATTCATATCTGGTAAATCATTGTGTCTCTGGGCACTCAATTGCTGTAATTGTTAATTATAATGATCATGAGAGTTCTGCCTGTGTGATTAGAAATATTAACCTGTTTAATAAGTTCCAACACTCCTGGAGGTAGTTTAAGCTTAGTGTTCCACAAAAACCCATTACATTATTATAGATGAATGCATTACTATTTAGAAACATGACTCTGAAATCTTTTCATTTTATACTGGTACCTTAGTGGTCTTGTAGAAATCATGTATACAATGGGGTCTCATTATAGTTATGTTATTAATGCCCAAGTTTTAGAAAAGAAATACAGGCTCATTTCAATAGCTTGAGACCTTCTAAGGGTATCAAATGGATCAATTTATATTTTCATAGACCTTAGAGTTAGAAAGAATTTGAGGTGATCATATTCATCTCCTTAGATTGCTGAGGAAATGACTTTATATCATCCTAGACTGGTAGTTAGCAGTACTTTTCAGAACAACCTCTGAAGGATGATCTGAACCTTCCCTTGTGAAATGTGCTATGCTATCTAGCCTTATGGCTAAGCAGTCTTATTTATACTTAATTGGAATCACTATTGTTAAGGTTTAAGCATGAACTCATTTGTCTTATATTTAAAGAAAGAAAACAACTATTATATGCCAATTATATATTATTTTTGACTCCACAGCACAAGGCAGATACACAGTAACATTCAAAGATGGATAACTTATTATTTATGTATTATTTCTGTTTTAAATGTAATGCATACTTATTTCAGGCAATCCAGAGACTTACATAAGTGACAAACCACCAATCACATTCGTGATCGCTCCCTTTTCAGCTTGGTACATTTCCTTATATCTCTTTCTCTATGACCTATCTATCTCTCTGTATGCTGATTTTTCTTGGAACTTTATATTATGAGAGTTTTTCCACATTAACCTTCAAAATGTGACTTTTAATGTCTGTATAATATTCCATTTTGTGAAATACCATAGTCGTTGTAACCAGTCCTTTCTTTTTGTGCGTTCATAATTGCTTTTAGATTTTCACAGTTATAAATGAATGTGCTGTCAACATTCTTGTATATAAATGTTTGGCTTTTTCTCACTATTTCCTTAGGATTGATTTCTGTAAGTGAGGGTATGAACTTTCAAAAAGCCAAATGCTTTTCAGAAAGCTTGTGCCAATTTACCCAGAAGTGATTGTGAATTTTAGCCTCATTGCATATTTTTCAATGAGTTTGAAAAACAAGTTTATTTTGCATTTTGTTGAGGGAGTCATAAGGGACTATTTTCAAATATGTATATTAGCTTATAATCCATTATAGACCATAGTTAGGACACATACACTATTGTTGATTTTGATCTTATTAATCTTAAACATGGAGTCATTGTCACCTCTCACATAATAAACTATAGTTTTTTGAAGTATTTTATAGTTGAAAAATAATTGAATACCTATAAAAAATAATAATTTAGTCAAGTAGTATTCAGTATTCAACAGACGTTTGTTTTGTGTACTGTGTACCAGGTACTTATGATTCTTTACTATTAATCAAAAGTGTTGGGTGAGGAGAGACGAACGGATCAGGTGAGAGAGGATAGTCAGCATCATAAACCCATTGTGATGTTATCCACATGTCATCTCTGCGACTGTGAACAAATCATTTAACTTCTCTAGGTTTTAGTTTCCTCAACTTTAAAATTGAATAAGTCACATATATGAGTGGCTCTTAATATTTTATGTTCAAAATCCTTTGTGAGAAGTTGACAAATACTTGGAACTTTGATTAGAACACACATATGTTCATGTACACAAAAAATTATCAGGTGCTTCAAGAACTTCTAGGAAACCCATGGATCTGTATTTCAAGATGACTTGGACCTGAAGAGATTAGTCTCTTGTAATTTAACAATTCTTTGAGTCTGATATCTTTCATAAATCAGATCGTATCAGATCTCTGCCTGAAACTCTCTGATGCCTTTCCATTGAAATTTAAATTCTAAATCATTACCAGCCATGGCTAGGACAGCTTAGATTCGGCTGTTCTTTGACTTCGTCATTTCCTACTTTCCTCCTCAGTTGCTTTAAACAAACAAACAAACAAACCAGCTTTATTGAGGTACATTTGATGTAAGAAAAACTACCCATATTTAAGGTATACAATTTGATAAATTTTGCTATTAATATAGACACTTAAAACCATCATCAAAATCAAGATAATAATCCTGTTACCCCCTAACTGCATTGTCCTTTTAGTTCTTTCTTTCCATGTCTACCACATCTTCCCATCCTGGGATATTACTGATCTCTCTCTTACTAGTTACATTTTATAGTCTCTCTCATTAGTTGCATTTTTTAAAATTTTATAAAAATAGAAACATACAGCATATATACTTTTTGCCTGTCTTCTTGCCTTCAGCATAATTATTTTGAGATTCATTCATGTTGTTGTATTGCATGTATCAATAGTTCATTCCTTTATATTGCTGAGTAGTATTCCAGCTTATGGATATACCATAGTTTGTTTATGTATACACTTGTTGATGGCCATTTAGGTTCTTTCGAGTTTGGGATTACTATAAATAAAACTGCTGTGAATATTCACATAAATTCTGGGTACTGGTATATGTTTTTATTTCTTTTTGATAAATAAGTGTGGAATGGCTAGATACAGAATAGAGTTTATATATACATAAAATAATGAGAGATACAATATTGCCCAAAAGTTGTTTATATTCTGAAGTGTTTGATTTGACCTGAGAAGTTTGAAGTTAGTTTCCTTATGTACATGATACATTTTGCCCCAGATCAGAAGTTAAGTAAAAATCTTTTCATGAAGAAGCCTGAATTATCGAATGTTATTCTGTCTCTCTCTAGCTTTTTTGTAGGACAATTTTGAATCTTGCTAAGACTATTCATATCTTATTAATATTATTAAGGTTACACATGGAGTCTTTGCCACCTCTCCACCCATAATAAACCATAGGATTCTGAAGTGTTTTGTAGTTCAAAAATAATTGAATACCCATAAAAATAATTTAATGAAATATATTTTTAGATGCTTGGTTTTGTGCCTCCACAATACTATCAGTGAATTCAGTTTGTATGCTAAAGAAAGAATATATGATTTTTATGTTTTATGTATAGTATAGGTCAATTTCCATTTAATAAGGGTTGACATAAAAATGATAGTCTGCATTGCAGAGTTATAGGCTAGAAGACGTCTTTTGTCTAGTGATCTCATGCCATAATTTCGAATCACTTTTGTTTGATCTTAATAGATTCTTGTGTGAACAAGGCGAAAGTTGAAGAAAGTGAACAAAAAGCTGCAGAGTTTTCAAAGAAGGTAAGCTTATAAAATATTAGCCATAATCGTTAGGTTAATAATTTAATCACAGTAATACTCTACCTTCTTTATTAATATGAGGGCTTCTAAATGTTTCATTTATGTAGTACTTTATACTTTTGGGTTCAAACATAGCCGTGGAATATTGATTTATTTCCTTATAAGGTAAGGTTGCTATTGTTCCCTCATCATCATGTTTAATCCATTATGGAAGAAAAACACTAGCCACATTATACTAAAGTGATACATGAAATAAAATTACATTGCTGAAAGGGTATAGTTGGAAGCAATCAACCAAAATAAATTCTCCCTTTGCTTTCTTGCAGCTGTCGCTTGCAATAGGTAGCTCTTTGGAGAACTGTGAGATGTTTAGCTAGTCTTTTCTGTTGTGGTCTTTTATGTCAGTGCTATTGATAGTACCAACATGTTGCAGTGTTTTCTCTCTTTCTCACTCTCTTTCTCTCTGTTTAGACTTAGCTTCTTTGAATTTCATAATTATCATTTTGTAAGTGATGCTGCTACTTCATGTAGGCCTGGTGGAATTTGAGGATCCCTTTTCTTTCTGTGTTAATGTCTTAAATGCCTTTGAGTAAATGCCAGCTTTGTGAATATCCGAATTGTATTCAGATCTAAGCTTGTCTTTTCCTTGTTTCATGGAAGCATAGCTATAATTTTATTAGCTTCTACCACAAGTTTCTCTTTTTTTGTTCTAGAGCCTATTAAGCATTAGTATAGTATTTCTGTCCTGTTGTGTGCAGCCAGAAGGATTGAAGCACATGTCTAAAAGCTCTCCAGTTTTCAGCCTTCTCTCAGCAAGATAATGTGCTTACATATTGCTGTCTCTTCAAAGTTATGACTTACCTTGGAGATTAGATAATCACTTTTGCTATCACTCTAGAAATTATAGAGTATTACTGAAGAAGTTACTTCAGGGCATCTGAAGAAATATCTTTGCTCTTTTAGTTACTAGAATAGATTCTAAGAGCTTGAGCATAAAATGTTTGTGTGGAGCTGTCATTTTTATTGGTGAAAGAAAATGCATGCTTTTTGATTAATAGACCTTCATATTTCTAATGTTCTTGTTTTAAGTAGCACATTTAAAATTCCCTTTGAAAAACCTTAGAATCTCCTTAAGTTTTGGCTGGCACTGTGATTAGACACTGCAAGACTGGAGCAAATTGTGATTATCTGTCTGGTAAAGTTTTTTTGTGAGCATATATATTATGGAAAAAGGAGTCCTAAAGTAATAGAAAAGAAATTTCAGTGTTTGATGCTTTAGTGTCATCACCAACATTTAGAATGAAAACATGTATGGTCTCCCAGTGGTTAGCTACATGCATCCCCTTGTTCTGGGTCATTTTAAGAGGCAGTATAAAGTCATTTTTTAACAAGTACTAGAATGAGAGGCAGTAGTTGTGAGATCTGATCTCAGCTTTTCCACTAATTAGCTGTGACTTTGGGTAAGCCACTTACTCTCTTTAGATCTTAGTTTCTTCATCATTAAAAGGAAAGAATAAAATTAGCGGACTTGTAAGAAGACCTCTTCCAGCTCACATATTTCAGGCTTCTGTGATCCCCGTTTGCTGTGTTTGCAGATTAAGGTAATTTTAAATTAAAAGCAGAAACATTGTGTGCCTCTCCTCCAACATACTAATAAACCATTTTTAGAGGAAAAAATGTGTATAGTGTGCTTGTGTAGGTGCCATGATTTAGAAGCACATAGGAGAAGCTAACTTTAGGAGTGGGGATGGGAGTACAGATTGAGATAAATCTTAACACGGATAGTAGTAAAGGCAAACAAGCTCACATTGGAGGATATCCATCTTCTTAATGAAGTAGGAAAACGAGGTCATTGACTGAAGGATATATGGATCCTTCACTCCAAGGATCTGGGGTAGGTTTGAAATTTAAAGAAATTAGAGAATATTTGGGCCAGGATCTGTGGGACATTTTCCCGGGATTCAAGGAGAGATGAATAAAAGCATTTCAGGTTCGACCCAAACAGTATTATTATCCAGTTTGCTCACCCACTCTTCAGACTTAGATCAGAATGGCATTTTATAATTTCCAAAGGTCAAAGCTACTATGAGGATGAATATTTGTTAACAGTGAACATACTTTTGCATTGTTCCACAAACTCTTAAGATGGTTTTGGGCAGTAGATGTATCACTTTTAGAAACAGAAATAACATTGTTAGAATAATGTATAGACTTCTAAATTGACTTGAAACAACATTGACAATAAAGGGCAAATAAAATGTTCTATAGCCAGTCCCAGGCAGTATTCACTGGAAATATGCAGGCAGGTTTGTGCCTGCTTAGAGCCCTGTCTGAGGTAAGGGCTAAGGCAGGATACAGTGAATAAATATTAACCATTCAGTCTTTTTGGCTTAGCACCCCATATTTTAACCTCTAGTTTTTCCTCTCATAACATGCTATACAAATGTTTTGGTTAACCATCTGAATGAGACTGCTATTAGGGCATCCTACTGTCAGAGTTTGTGAAGTACTGCTTTATGGATTCTAGACAACTAAGATTGTAATAGAAACAATTCCAATTTGTATTAATATACGTACATTTGAGCATTCTAAAAGTGCAATTTCTTTTCAAGATTAAATATAGTTAAGGAGTTGAAACTGCTTGATGGTTTATTTTTAGATTTCATTTTCTAATTCATTAAACTTAAAAGTATGGGATGAGGCTGCACATGGTGGCTCACGCCTGTAATCCCAGCACTTTGGGAGGCCGAGGCAGGTGGATCTCCAGAGGTCAGGAGTTCAAGATCAGCCTGGCCAACATGGTGAAACCCATCTCTACTAAAAATACAAAAATTAGCCAGGTGTGGTGGTGCGCACCTGTAATCCTAGCTACTTGAGAGGCTGAGGCAGGAGAATTGCTTGAACCCAGGAGGTGGAGGTTGCAGTGAGCTGAGATCATGCCACTGCACTCCAGCCTGGGTGACACGAGTGAAACTCTGTCTCAAACGGTATGGGATGAAATATTTTTAAAATTATTAATTCTAAAATTGAATTTTCATTACCAAAACAATAAAAATGTTCATTATGTGTGAAGAGAGACTTTTCAGTCTACCTTTTTGTCTTTGTATTTTTTTTCAGAAGTGAAAATGTGTTTTCTTACCTTGGGTAGGGGGCATATTTCTTCTTTACTACCCCACCTCCACTTGGATACTTAATTGTTATGAAAATAATTACAAGCTGTGATTTTCTGAGTGATCTGGGAATTCAACTAAGTAAAAACCACTCCACTTATTTAATACATAATGTTCTTTAAAGCGTTCTGAAAACTATATTATTAACTGTACATTGATGGTGATCATTGCAGTTCGATGAAGAATTCACAGCTCGACAGGAAGCTCAAGCAGAGCTTCAAAAAAGAGATGAGAAAATCAAAGAACTTGAAGCAGAAATCCAGCAACTTCGAACCCAGGTAATGAAAGAAGATATAGACTTTGTGTCATGTCACAATGAGTTTGATGGTAGAAAATTATCTTGTTATATAGAAGGAAAAATGTGACCAGAAGCAGACTTTTTGGCAGTTTTACATTTTCATTGAAATAACTATACAGATTTTATATTCCAGGGCAATAAATCATTTTAATGCTTGGAAAAAAAATAAAGCATTAGTTGCTCAAATGGCCCTGAATATTTTTAATAGAATATATTACACAAGCAAAAGTGTTTTTGAGATGAAATTTTCGTGATGATTTGAAAAATTGGGTACATGCTATTTTCTTTCAAAAAGAATGTAGAAATAGTCATTAATTGTAATTATCCCAAAAGCTTCTTGAGATCTCTTTGAATCTCAAGTAAATTTCCACCTACATTTCCTATGGTGAAAAGCTCCCATATATACTTAAAATTTCAATTAGGGTGTCTAAACTTTCAAACTGATTGTGTATTCTCCTCAATATACTTTATGTCTTAAATTAATATTAAGAAATTGAAGATGGGCCAGGCATGGTGGCTCACGCCTATAATCCCAGCACTTTGGGAGGCGGAAGCGGGCAGATCACGAGGTCAGGAGATCAAGACCATCCTGACTAACAGTGTGAAACCCCGCCTCCACTAAAAATACAAAAAAAAAAAAAAAAAAAAAAATTAGCCGGGAGTGGTGGTGGGCTCCTGTAGTCCCAGCTACTCGGGAGGCTGAGGCAGGAGAATGGTGTGAAACCAGGAGGCAGAACTTGCAGTGAGCCGAGATCCCGCCACTGCACTCCAGCCTGGGTGACAGAGCGAGACTCCGTCTGAAAAAAAGAAAAAAAAAAAAAAAGAAGTTGAAGATGATGTCTTAACATAGTGGGTGCTCAGTAGATATTTGTTGATTGACTAGGTCTGTTTCCACCAGTCTAGTGAACGATTACTTCAAAAGTCACCAACAAACTCCATAATACCCAATCCGGGGGCCTTTTCCTACCCTTAGCCTGTATTACTTATCTCTAATATTTGATCATTTCTTTTCAATAAATTAATCTCTTTCTCTGTCTGTTTCCCTCCCTCTCTTTTTCTTGGACTTCTTTTTCTACATGTTTGAGAACTTAGTTTCTCCTTATTTTTTCATCCTCAAATGGTGACCTTCCACAATATTCTGTCCTCTGCTCTTTTCTTTTTTGTGTATATTTTTGCTGTACTGTTCCATTCAGTATCATACATTCACATATCCCCTTTTAGTAGGGGTCAAGTCTCTTGAGTTTGTCTTCTAGTTCCAGCTCGTGATTAGCTACCCCCATAGGATGGTCCTGTTGCATGTTGAAATCAAACCCAGTTTTGTGGTTTTGTCTCTTTCCTCAAACCAGTTTGTTGTCCATTTCCTGTTTAAATTTTACTACCAATTTTAAAGATGGTGAAGCTGGAGTTTTCTTTCCCTTTTCCCTGCCCCACCCACTGACAAATTAAGCTAGTCAGTTTTATGTCTGTTCTTTCTTCAACTCCACTCATACTACACCTCTTCGCATCAAACCCCAGAAACCTCCAGGTCCCCTCTCTTATGATGTCTCGCCTGGACTATTACAATTGTTGCCTAACTTTTCTCCCTCCTCAAATTCATCCTTTATGTCAGTGGCAAATTAATCTTCCTGAAACAATTCCCTGATTATTGTTACTCCAGCCTTTAATATGTTCACTTGTTGCCTGTTGCAGACAGGATTAAATAAAATCTCCTTACCAGGAATGTTAAGACCCTCTGGCATGAGTTTTTCCTCCTTTATCTCCCCTTTGCAGCCTAGGCTCTGACTGCTCCCCTAACTACAGCCTCTGTTGCAGCTAAGTCACCTTTCCTCCCTTCACATTTGGAAATTACTGTCTCCATACTTAACCCTTCTGCCAGCATTTCCCAGAGATTAGTTACAGAAATGGCAATAGGTTGTTCATGACGAAAGCATTCCATAGTCCAATAAATTGAGTACGCATGAAATTCTCATCTTAGAGATTCATAATACTCATTAGCATATTAAAGGTCCCAGATATTTTACACTGAAGAAACCTGCCTACCTCTTTTTCATATAGATTTCCCATACTCATTTGACCACAGCACCCTTTATCTCAGAGCACCCTTCAACATCTCCTGGAAATAGTGTTTTCATAGAGCTTAGTTGAGAAATGTTGGCATACATTATTCTCTGTAAGAAATTCCCTCCTTTGCTCATCTGTGTGTGTGAAATGTATCCTTTAAGGAGAAGCTCATTAAGACATCTTTTGGAAAGCTTCACCAAAAACTCCATTAGCGAATTTCTCCGAACTTTCATATCACTTTTCTAGACCACTCATGGGATATTTGTGTGCCTGCTCTATTTCTTCTGCTAGAGCATAGACACCTTGAGGACAGTGTGTTTCTTATTAAAGGCCCCACTGTACCTAGCACAGGCCTTTACCGCACAGTGAGTAGTTGCTTACTTATGGTTAAATTAACTGTAAAAAGTGCAGAATCACGAAGCATTCTCAACTCCTGGCCTCAAGCATTCCTCCTACCTTAGCCTCCCAAGGAGTAGCTGGGATTACAGGTGCAGGCACAGGGCTGTATACTTTCTAGTGTGCCCAAAATAATGTCAAATACTAAATTATTCATTTACCATATTCAATTTGCAATACGATGTGGTAGCCTAATTTAATTATTCAATTCCTAATTGTTCATGGGAGGGAAAGGAAAGGCTGATATGATTTGATTTTTAAAGGCTGGTAGCATTTAATATAAATATTTGAGATTCCTTATTAAATCTGTAAAATATATATTTAACTTGAGTAAAATTTTATTTAAATAATAGCATTTTGTGGTTGTATAAAATTCCCAAAATAAATGTGATCTAATAGAGGTGAAAAATTGACTGATGTTTACAAATGTATATTACTTTGAATTATGTTGTCCATTAATTAAAAAATGGGAAACGACACACATTTTGCCTTTCGAAGTATGAAAAATATCATGTCATACACAAAATTTGTAGGATAAATTACTAATTTTCTGAACCTTTAATTTTGCCACAATTACTTTTATCTCAGTTAAGACTATAAAATGAGACTGTTTTCCATAGTTTTGCTACTTTCAAAGTAAAATTAAAATAATTTTACATATTTTAATCTTGTCTTTCTTTCTAACCTCAGAGAGAAAATTGCATTCCAGGAGAGGATGGTTATTTGCTAAGTATAGAAACACTTTAGTTGTATGTATGTATATACATACATTAACATTCATCTATGTGAAAAAACTAGTGTGAGTGAATATTATGGGTAACCTTTCCATGATCTTGTCTACCTATGAGTGTTAGTTTTAATATTTTTGTAAATAGGTCAGTCCTTTCAACTGGTTGTTCCAAACATTTGCTTCAGCTTACTTTCTAAAGATATTTATGGCTGTGCACAGTGGCTCACGCCTGTAATCCCAGCACTTTGGGAGGCCGAGGCGGGCAGATCACGAGGTCAGGAGTTCTAGACCAGCCTGGCCAACATGGTGAATCCCCATCTCTACTAAAAATACAAAAAATTAGCCGGGAGTGGTGGCAGGCGCCTGTAATCCCAGCTACTCGGGAGGCTGGGGCAGGAGAATAGCTTGAAACCGGAAAGCAGAGGTTGCAGTGAGCTGAGATTGTGCCACTGCACTCCAGCCTGGGCAACAAGAGCAAAACTCTGTCTCAAAAATAAAATAAAATAAAATAAAATAAATGAAAAAGGTATTTATAAATTCAGTTAGAAGAACTAAATAATCCAAGTAGAACATTTATATTAATAATGGTGAGAGGGCTAGGCACAGTGGCTCTTGCCTTTAATACCAGCAATTTAGGAGACCAAGGTGGGAGGATTCCTTGAGCCCAGGAATTTGAGACTGTTCTGGGCCACATAGTGAGACCCCATCTTAAAAAAAAAAAAATTAGCCTGGGGTAGTGGTGCATGCCTGTAGTCCCAGTTAGTCAGGAGACTGAGATGGGAGGATCACTTGAGTCCTAGAGGTCAAGGCTGCAATGCACTATGATTTTGCCACTGTACTCCAGCCTGTGCAAGAGCGAGACTGTCTCTGAATGAATGAATGAATGGGTGAGGACAAAAAGGACACTATCCCAAGAAATTTAATTAGCTTTTTTTGTTGTTCACTGAAAATTTGTTTATTAAGTTGTTAATGTTTTACAGAGTTCGTTCAATATTTTATGGAACTTAAAATCCTGAGTTTCCCCTCAATAATACAGATGTCTGTAATACAGACATTTGTACAAACTACTACAATTACTGATGCCTTATATAATTAGACTTCTATAACTTCCATTTGTCAGGTAAATAAAACACCTCTCAAAGTTACCACAACTTTAGGAGTTCACAAATTCCTATTTCTGCAGTTTTTCATTAGTATATTTTAAACTTTCATAAAAGAGGAAACCAAAACCTCCAAATCAAAAGCCTTAATATGAACCAACATTGAGAAACAGAGTAATGTAAGAAGCTCTTTTATTCATCACGGAGAACAAAAATACAGAATATTTTTACTAATTTATTTTCCACTAAAGAGAATACACTTTGTATTTAGATAAATAAATGTTTATTTACTGGGAGTTGCTTTTGGAGAATGATCCATAATTGCCCTATCAATGGTCACATATTGATACCAGGGTCCATCTCTTCTCTTCCACATTAATCTTCGTACTTCCAGCTCCTTTATCTGCAGTTCAGCCTTTTCAGTTTCAGTGTGAAGGATAGCCATTGTTCTTTCGTAATTATTTTCAGGATCATCATAGAAAGTATGGACAATCCATCTCAATATAGGATGCTTATAATATGCCCATTGTTCTGGGATATAGCCTTCTGGAATTCCTACTAGTTCAGTTTCACCAATGAATACATTCACTAGAGTTTCTCCAATTGCCACTGGAATCCCTATAAACAAAATATAGAATTTCAGTAAATTAAAAAAACACCCATTGTAGAATCCAGAAGGTTTCATGATAAATAGTCTTTTTCCTATGATCTCCACTGTGTTAAACAGGAGTGACAGCTTTAACAAAGCCACGGGTGAGGAAGCCCCTGAATCCCAGTCGAGCGTCAAGGCACTGGCCAGACAGCTGTCACTGCAGTGACTGAGGCCTGTTGCAAAAAACTCATGGCTGCCTTGGCTGCCTTAATTAGTTTTAAACGTTTCATTCTGTTAATCTAATGTCGTATCTTGATTAAAACAGATGTGTGTTCATTGGTAGTGGTTTCATAAGAATGTTTATAATGAACAGCTCTACTTTTCATATATATTTATCTAGCAAAGTGAGCCATTGTGATCAGTACTGGTTTAAGGAAATGGATATAGATTAATCATCTCTAAAAAGAACATGATATGGATTGCAGTGTTCCCTTTCATCTGTTATCCATTGTCATTAGAGAATGAGCTTGAAGTTACTTTCTGATAGAAATGTTATATCCTCCTCATAATCCTATCTATTTGAATTAATTGTCCTCATTGTAAATGGCACCCATTCATGAAAAGACAGTCTTTTATATTGGGATGAGGATGGTATTAGATGTAAGAAGAACCACATTGAAATTCTAATCATGTTCAGACTCTGAAACTTTTGGTTAGTCATTTAACTTTTTCTGCAGCTAACAGTTTCCTCATCTTTAAGCAGTGAAATAAAGGTGAGATAATAATGCCCTATCTGTATTACAGGGTTATAATAAGGATCAAAAGAAATAATAAATGTAAAAATGTTGATAAGCATATATTACTATGGAAATGGATGCTATTTAGTATTTATTATTGGTGTTAGAAGCCAGCTAAGTTACTAGAGCCATGAAACAGACTCTTTGTATGAAGCTAATTAGCCCCCAAGGGAATTTAATCCATAACCTTGTATTTATTATCCCATATTCAAACCAACTAATCTAACTGGCCCAAGCCATACACTGTACTTCTTTTGTACATATATTTATAAAGAAAGTTAATTTTTCATTATTTTAGAGGAGTATTTCACAAAATCTTTGAGGATACTGTATTAGTCCGTTCTCACACTGCTATGAAGAAATACCTGAGACTGGGTAATTTATAAAGGGAAGAGGTTTAATTGACTTGCAGTTTTGCAGAGCTGGCGAGGCCTCAGGAAACTTACAATCATGGTGGAAGGGGAAGCAAACACATCCTTCTTCACATGGCAGCAGCAAGGAGAAGTGCCAAGCAAAAGGGGAAAAGCCTCTTAAAAAACCATCAGATCTTCGGAGAACTCAGAATTATCAATTATTCATTATTCATTATTCAATTATCTCCCCCTGGTCCCGCCCTTGACACGTGGGGATTATTACAATTCAAGGTGAGATTTAGATGGCGATGCAGAGCTAAACCATATCATTCCACCCTTAGCCCTTCCCAAATCTCATGTCCTCACATTTCAAAACACAATCATGCCCTTCCAACAGTTCCCCAAAGTCTTAACTCATTCCAGCATTAACCCAAAAGTCCAAGTCCAAAGTCTCATCTGAGACAAGTTATGTTCCTTCTGCCTATGAGCCTGTAAAATCAAAAGCTAGTCACTTCCTAGATACAATGGGGATACAGGCATTGGGTAAATACACCCATTTCAAATGGGAAAAATTGGCCAAAACAAAGGGACTGCAGGCCCCATGCAAGTCTAAAATCCAATAGGGCAGTCATTAAACCTCAGAGTTCCGAAATGATCTCCTTTGACTCCATGTCTCATATCCAAGACATGCTGATGCAAGAGGTGGGTTTCCACAACCTTGGGCAGCTTTGCCCCTGTGGCTTTGCAGGGTGCAGCCTCCCTGCTGATTGCTTTCACAAGTTGGTGTTGCGTGTTTGTGGCTTTTCCAGGTGCATGGTGCAAGCCATCAGTAGATCTGTCATTCTGGGGTCTGGAGGATGGTGGCCCTCTTCTCACAGCTCCACTAGGCAATGCCCCAGTGGGGACTCTGTGTGGGGGCTCCAACCCCACATTTCCCTTCTGCACTGCCCTAGCAGAGATTCTCCATAAGGGCTCCACCCCTGCAGCAAACTTCTGCCTGGACATCCAGGCGTTTTCATACATCCTCTAAAATCCAGGCAGAGGTTCCCAAACCTCAGTTCTTCACTTCTGTGTACCTGCAGGCTCAACACCGCTTGGAAGTTGCCAAAGCTTGGGGCTTGCACCCTCTAAGGCTATGTCTTGAAATGTACCATGACTCCTTTTATCCATGGCTGAAGTGGCTAGGATGCAGGGCACCAAAGAGACTGCACACAGCGGGAGGGCCCTGGACCTGGCACAGGAAACTATTTTTCTCTCCTAGGCCTCCAGGCCTGTGATAGGAGGGGCTGCCATGAAAGTCTCTGACATGCCCTGGAGACATTTTCCTCATTGTCTTGGTGATTAGCATTTGGCTCCTCATCACCTATGCAAATTTCTGCAGAGGGCTTGAATTTCTCCCCAGAAAACGGATTTTTCTTTACTACTGCATTGTCAGTCTGCAAATGTTTTTAAACTTTTATGCTCTCTTCCTCTTGAACGCTTTGCCACTTAGAAATTTTTTCTGCCAGATACCCTAAATCATCTCTCTCAAGTTCACAGTTCCACAGATCTTTAGGGCAGACAAAATGCCACCAGTCTCTTTGCATTGCAAGAGTGACCTTTATTCCAGTTCCCAACAAGTTTCACATCTCCATCTGAGACCACCTCATCCTGGACTTTATTGTTTATATCATTATCAGCATTTTGGTTAAAGCCATTCAACAAGTCTCTAGGAAGTTCCAAACTTTCCCACATTTTCCTGTCTACTTCTGAGCCCTCCAAACTATTCCAACCTCTGCCTGTTACCCAGTTCTAAAGTTGCTTCCACATTTTTGGGTTGCTTCCACATTTTTGCATATCTTTACAGAAGCACCCAACTATCCGGTGCCAATTTACTGTATTGTTGTTCTCACACAACTATGAAGAAATACCTGAGACTGGGTAACTTTTTTTTTATTTTATTATTTCTTTGAGACGGAGTCTCGCTCTGTCACCAAGGCTGGAGTGCAGTGGCGTGAGCTCAGCTCACTGCAACCTCTGCCTCCTGGGTTAAAACGATTCTCCTGCCTCAGCCTCTCGAGTAGCCGGGATTACAGGCACGTGTCACCATCCCCAGCTAATTTTTGTATTTTTAGTAGAGACAGGGTTTCGCCATGTTGGCCAGGCTGGTCTTGAACTCCTGACCTCAGGTAATTCACCTGCCTCGGTCTCCCAAAGTGTTAGGATTACAGGCGTGAGCCACCGCACCTGGCTGAGACTAGGTAATTTATAAAGGAAAGAGGTTTAATTTACTCAGTTCTGCAGGGTTGGGGAGGCCTCAGGAAACTTCCAATCATGGCCAAAGGGGAAGCAAAACACATCCTTCTTCACATCGCAGTAGCAAGGAGAAGGGCCAAGCAAAAAGGGAAAATCCCCGTATAAAACCTTCAGGTCTTGTGAGAGCTTGCTCATGATCACGATTTGGGTGGGAACACAGAGCCAAACCCTATCAGATACCAACTTTCCTAGCATTTGTGTGTTAACAGAAGTAGTCACTGTCCAGAATTTATAATGCTTATAAAAAATCTACACAGGCCTTTTTCATATACTGTTAAACCCTTAGATCTTGCTAAATATTTAGATATTTTAGTAATATCTAAAAAAGTATATATGATCTTAAAACATAAGATAAATAAACTACAAATATCTATTGATATATATTTCTTCAGTTTTTTCAATTATATTTTATAAGCATTTAAACTTGGATTATTTATATTTCAGGCACAAGTACTCTCAAGTTCATCAGGAATTCCAGGTCCTCCTGCAGCACCTCCATTGCCAGGTGTAGGGCCGCCTCCACCACCACCCGCGCCACCTCTACCCGGAGGAGCTCCTCTTCCTCCTCCACCACCTCCTTTACCTGGAATGATGGGGATACCACCACCACCCCCACCACCACTTTTATTTGGGGGACCTCCTCCACCACCACCCCTTGGAGGAGTTCCTCCTCCCCCAGGAATATCACTTAATCTACCTTATGGAATGAAGCAGAAAAAAATGTATAAACCTGAAGTGTCCATGAAGAGAATCAATTGGTCAAAGGTAATACTAAAACTAGAGTTTTTTTACTTTGTCTAGCTTTTGTTGATCATTGCTATGTGTACACATTGTATAATGTTTGAGAGTATGACTGCTGACTCTTTCCGTTCCTTTGTGGGTTCATCATTTTATGTCCATCTTTCAATTTAGGTTGTAGATAATTGGAAACTCTCCAGATAGTTTGACATTGTGAAGCAGGCAAAAGGAAAATCGAAGTGATGTAGAGAATAATATTTGAAATATACCAACAAATGACAAGCAATTTTGATTCTTTTAACATAGCTTTTCTTTAAAAATTTTTTATTGATATGTAATATTTGTACGTATTTATGGGGTACATATGATTTTTGCTACATGCATAGAATGTGTAATGATCAAGTCAGGGTATTTAGGATACCCATCACCTTTAACATTTGTCATTTGTTTGTGTTGAGAACATTCAGATCTTCTCTTCTAGTTATTTTGAAATATACAACATATTGTTAACTATGGTCACTTTACTGTGCTATCAAATGGTAGAACTTATTCCTTTTATCTAACTATATGTTCATACCCATTAACCTATCTCTCTTCACCCTCCCACCTCCCACACACACCCTTCCCAGTCTCTGGTAACTATCATTCTATTCTCTACCTTCATGATACTCACTTTTTAAGCTCCTATATATGAGTGAGAATATATGATATTTGTTTTTCTGTGTCCAGCTTTTTTCACTTAACATAGTGATCTCCAATTCCATACATATTGCTGCAAATGACAGGATTTCAGTCTTTTTTATAGTTGAATGGTATTCCATTATGTCTCAATACTATATTTTCTTTATCCATTCATCCGTTGATGGACACTTAGCTTGATTTCATATCTTGATTTCATATCTTTGCCATTGTGCCTAGTGCTGCAATAAACATGAGGGTGCAGGTATCTCTTTGATATACTGATTTCCTTTCCTTTGTATAAATACTCAGTGGTCAGATTACAGCATTATTGTATGGTAATCCTGTTATTTAGGAGCATTATTGTATGGTAATCCTATTATTTATATTTTTGAGAAATCTTTATAGTGTTTTCCATAATGGCTGTACTATTTACATTCCTAATAACAGTATATGAAAGTTCCCTTTTCTCCACATCTTTGCCAGCATTTTGTCTTTTTGATAATAGCTATTCTAACTGGCATAAGATGCCAGTAAGATACCTCACTGTGGTCTTGATTTGTATTTCCCTGGTGATTAATGATGTTGAGCACATTTTCATATATCTTGGCCATTTGTTTGTCTTCTTTTGAGAAATGTCTACTTAAATTATTTGTCTACTCTTTAATGTGATTATTTGTTTTGTTGCTATTGTTTGGGTTTCTTGTATTTTTTGGATATTAGTCCATTGTTGGATAGTTTGCAGATATTTTTTCCCATTCAACAGATTGTCTCTTTACTCTGTTAATTGTTCCCTTTTCTATGCGGAAGCGTTTTAGTTTAATATAATCTCACTTACCCATTTTTGTTTTTGTTTCCTGTGCTTTTCAGGTCTTAGCCACAAAATCTTTGCCTATATTAGTGTCCTGGAGCATTTGTCTTGTTTTCTTCTAGTAGTTTTATAGTCTCAGGTCTTATGCTTAAGTCTTTAATCAATGTTGAGTCCATTTTTATATATTGTGGGAGATATAGGTCAGGTTTAATTCTTTTGCAAATGGATGTCCAGTTTTCCTATCATCATTTATTGAAGAGGGTGTCCTTTCCCCATTGCATGTTCTTGGTACATTTGTGCCAAATCTGTTAGCTGTAAATATATGGATTTACTTCTGGGTTCTCTATTCTATTCCATTGGTGTATATATCTCTTTTTACATTAGTACCATGCTGTTTTGACTACTATAGCCTTGTAGTATATTTTGAAGTCAATGTCCTGCTTTGATCTTTTTGCTCAGGATTGCTTTGGCTATTCAGGCTCTTGTGTGGTTCCATATGAATTTTAGGATTATTTTTCCTATTTTTTGTGAAAAAATGTTAATGGTATTTTGATAGGGATTGCATTGAATCTGTAGATTGCTTTGAGTTGTATGGTCGTTTTAACAGTGTAAATTCCTTTATTCTATGAGCATTGTCTCTTTCCATTTGTTTGTGTCCTCTTTAATTTCTTTCATCAGTGTTTTGTAGTTTTTCTTATAAAGGTCTTTTACTTCTTTGGTTAAATTTATTCCTAGGTTTTTTATTTTTTTGTAGCTATTGTAAATGAGATTGCCTTTTTATTTTTTTTTCCAGCAAGTTTATTGTTCAGCTATAGAAACATTAATAAATTTTGTGTGTTGATTTTGTATCCTCCAACTTACTGAATTTATTAATTATATGAGTTTTTTGTGGGGTGTTTAGGTATCTCCAAATGTCAGATCATGTTGTCTGCAAAGAGGGACAATTTGATGTTGTCTTTTCCAATTTGGATGTCCTTTATTTCTTTGCTTGACTGATGGCTCTGGCTAGGACTTCCAGTACTATGTTGAATAGGAATGGTGAAAGTGAGCATCCTAGTCTTGTTCCAATTCTTAGAGGAAAGGCTTTCATGTTTTGTCCATTCAGTATGATGTTAGCAATGGCTTTGTCATATATGGCATTTATTATATGGAAGTATGTTCCCTCTCTGCCTAATTGTTGAGAGTTTTTATTGTGAAGGGATGTTACATTTTATCAAATGCTTTTTCTACATCTGTTGAGATAATTATATAGTTTTCATTTTTCATTCTTTTGCTGTGATGTATCACGTTTATTGAATGGCATATGTTAAACAATCCTGGCATTCATGGGGTATATCCCATTGATTATGATGTATTATCTTTTGGATGTGCTGTTGGATTCAGTTCCCTAGTATTTTGTTGAGGATGTTTATGCCTGTGTTCATCTGGGATATTCTTTAATTGTTGTGTCCTTGTTTGGTTTTCGTATTGGGGTAATGCTGGCCTCGTAGGATGAGTTAGGAAGAATTTCCTGCTCTTTAGTTTTTTGGAATAGTTTGACAAGAATTGGTGTTAGTTCTTTTTTACAAGTTTGGAAGAATTCATTAGTAAAGTCATTAGTCCTGGGGCTTTTCTTTACTGGGGGGACTTTCTTGGTAGATTGTATGTGTCCAGTAATTTATCCATTTCCTCTGGCTTTTCAGCTTGTTAATGTATAGTTGTCCATAGTAGTCTCTGATATCTTTTGTATTTCTGTGCTATCAGTTGTAAGGTCTCCTCTTCCATTTCTGATTCTGTTTATTTAGGTCTTTCTTTTTTTTTTTTTCTTTTCTTGGATAATCCAGCTAGTGGTTTATCAGTTTTATCTTTTCAAAAAAAAAAAACCTAACTTTTTGTTTTGTTGCTCTTTTGTATTATATTTTTAATCTCTGTCTGGCTCAGTTCTGCTCTGATCTTTATTATTTTTTTCCTTCTACTGATTTGGGGTTTGGTTTGTTCTTGCTTTTTTAGTTCCTTCAGGTGCAAAATTAAACTGTTTATTTGACATCTTTCCATTTTTTCGAAGTAGTTGTTTATTGCTATGAACATCCCTCTTAGCATTGCTTTCCACAGGTTTTGATATATTGTTTTTTTAATTTTCACTTACATTAATACATTTTTTAATTTTTTTCTTAATTTTTTAATTGACCCAGTGGTCATTCAGGAGCATGTTCTTTAAGTCTATGTACTTGCATAGTTTCTGAAATCTCTCTTATTATTGATGTCTAATTTTATCCCATTGTGGTCTGAGAAGATACTCGATATGATTTTGATTTTTAAAAATTTGTTGAGACTTGGTTTTTATAGTAGCATATGATCTATCCTTGAGAATGTTTCTTATGCTGATGGGAAGAGTGTTTATTCTGCAGCTGTTGGATAAAATGTTCTGTAAATGTCTTTTAGGCCTGTTTGTTCTAAAGTGCAGTTTAAATCCAATGTTTATTTGTTGATTTTCTGCCTAGATGATCTGTCTAATGCTGGGAGTAGGGTGTTGAAGTCCCCAACTATTACTATGTTAGAGTGTACCTTTCCCTTTAGATCTAATAATATTTTCTTTGTATATCTGGGTGCTCCAGTGTTGGGTACATATATATTTTGACATGTTACATCCTCTTGCTAAAGTGATGCCTTTCTATATATATATACATATATATATACATATATATATATACATATATATATACATATATATATACACATATATATATACATATATATATATACACATATATATATACACATATATATATACACATATATATACACATATATATACACATATATATATACACATATATATACATATATATATACATATATACACACACATATATATATACATATATATATACACACACACACACACACATATATATATATATATATATATATATACCTACTTTGTCTCTTTTTACTATTTTTGACTTAACATCTGTTTGATCTGATATACGTATATTTACTCCTCACTTTTGGTTACCATTTGCAATTTAATATCTTCTATTTTCAGCCTATGTGTGTCTTGCAGGTGAAATATGTTTCTTGTTGGAAGCATATAGTTGGGTCATGTTTTTTAGTACATTCAGCCAGTCTATATCTTCTAAGTGGGCAATTTAATTGGTTTACATTCAAGTTTATTATTGATAGGTGAGGAGTTATTCCTGTCATTTTGTTAATTGTTTTCTGTTCATTTTGTGTATCCGTTGTTTTTTTCTTTCTTTGTTATTGTTTATCCATGTGGTTTAGTAGTTTTCTGTAGTGTTAACATTTGAGTCCTTTCTCTTTCTCATTTGTGTATCTGCTCTACATGTGAGTTTTATACTTTCATGTGCTTTCATGATATATTCTCTTTCAGACACGTAGGACTTCCTTAAGCATTTCTTGTAGGGCTTGTCTAGTGGTGATGAATTCCCTCAGTTTTTGCGTGTTTGGGAAAGACATTATGTATTTCTCCTTCATTTTTGAGGGATAGATTTGTTGGGTATATACAACTGGCTTCTTTTTTTCTTTTTTTCTTTTGGCACTTTAAATATAGTGTCCCATTCTCTCTTGGCCTGTAGCCTCTCCAATATGCTGCACCACGTGTTCCTGGGATGTAGGACACCTTGTGGGCTAGAGTGCTGGGACCTGGTCTCATTGCTGGATCTAGCCAGTATCACACCACTGCAGTCATCTGGGTGGATGTGGGGAGATTTCAGTGGGCTCCAAGGATGTGGAGATAGAGTATCATTCATCCCCAGGGCAGGATGTAGTCTGGTTGGGTTTGGGCTCTCAATCTGTTACCATACTGCACCTGCTTTGGTCTTGGTGGCATGTGTGGGATCCAGTGTGAATGCTCATTCTAGAGCAATGCCATTGCACACACTGCAGCTCGCTTTGTATACTAAAGACTAGTTTCAGGGCCTGTGGAGGCTGAGTGGCTCTCCTATGGCTAGAATCTTCAGAGTTCACAGTGGGAATCTGGACCACTGGGGATATGTTATTTACCCTTTTCCCACATTGGGGGAGCGTCTCTGGGCTCCCAGCTAATCACAGCCAGGCTTGCTGCCTGGATTCCCGCTCCTTCCGTGCCTCAGGTGTTTTCTGTAACTTCCCTGCCAAATTCCAGTGTTTTTACATGTTGTGATTATCTACTCTCTTTTTTGGCCTTTTATGGAGGATATGAGTGCCACCTGCCTCCAGTCAGCTGAAGCCTATTCCCCATTTTTCTTGAATAAAATCCTTTTTATTATTGAGCCTTTTTATCTTACTTGTTTTTCTTAGTGAATGACTTTTTTTTTAATTTTACACTTTCAAATAGTGTGGAATAAGTGACAATATTCAATATTGATATACCTTAATTTTTTTTGATGTATGAAAATACTTTCTTCTGAATGTTGTTTGGCTTTATTATTATTAGAAAATAATATGTCTGTTTTAAAAGGTTATTATGTAGATTGACACAGTCCTCATTCACTGGGAACTAATTTTCTAATGAAAATCCATTTACCCAGACAACCATCTGGGGAAATGTGTCATCCAATAACATATTTACAGTATTAGACAGCATCTATGTAGTAAGTTGGTTTAAACAGAATGATGGTTAAATCATTTTTCAATCTTATGCATATATTTATGCTTTGCTCATAAGAGTAAACTTGGAGTAAATGGTTTTAGAATGTAGTTTTCTTTTTAAAAAATTAAGTACAATTCATCAAAATTCAAGATTACAAAGCTGTTGCCTAGTTATCTTCCTGTGTTAATGTAGTCGTATGCTTCCTAATTTTACAATTTAGTATACGGTGTAATGGTAGTTATACATCACAAAACTTCATGGTGTATTGGAAGATAAAGTTCTAATCTTGGGTAGTAGTTAAGACCACAGTCCTCTGGAGCACTTATCTAGGTTTAAAATCCCAGCTCTGCCATTTACTAATTTGGGCAGCCACTTAAACTTTCTTGGGCTGTGTTTCCTCATCTTTTAATGTAGAGATAATAACAGGTGAAAAAATTATTACGAGGATTAAATTAGTTAATATATGCAAATAACTTAAGACAGTACCTGACACAACGTAGGAGGCGTGTGTCAGCTATCATTATGGTTGCTACCTTAAACCTAATGAGTGAACAAGGGGAATTCACTTTTCTAAGTCTGAGTTTCCCTGTTTTAAAAAACCCAGGAACAAGAAGATTTTATGTGAGTTGGGGTTAGGATTTCCTAAGTTATTTTTAAGACTCCTTCCAGTAGAATAGTTTTTAAGGTGCAATTTGCTTTGTGGTCTATTTCTATTGTTCACCATTTCGTCACATAATTCTGAATTTCCCAATGAATATTTACTTTATAAGTATTATTTAGATACATCCTGAAATTGACTTAGAGGATAGAGGAATAAAGGAACTGTCATTCAACCTTGCTGAAAGTTAGTTCCTTGAAAATTTAAATATGAGGTTATAATTTAGAATCTATTCTTTGTTATTTTTGTTTCAGATTGAACCCACAGAATTATCTGAGAACTGTTTCTGGTTAAGAGTCAAAGAAGACAAGTTTGAGAATCCAGATCTCTTTGCCAAATTGGCATTGAATTTTGCTACTCAGATAAAAGGTACATTTTTAAAAATAAAATATAAGTTCCCGATTCAGGTACAATTTAATTTAGTGCTTTGCTAAAAATTTCTAGTAATGGGTATATGTATACTTTTCCCACACTGGACAGGGTGAAACATAAATAGATTGACATTTAACTATATTTTACCTAGTAAATAAAGAAGGAAATTTATTTTACCTTTGAATTTTATTATACATAAATGTTATTATTCTTCTGAAAATACAGGTTTTATTTTTATTGTTAAATATGTGTGTTGCACTGCTCCATTATAAAATAGTCGTTTTTACTGAGAAGCAGGGAAGATGAATCCGTTGATTCATCATGTAAGAGAAAATAATGTAAGAGAACACTAAAGTCTCAGAATTTTTCATGAAATTGAAATAAGATTGGTCCCATAGTCTTAAATAGTCTTTCCTGTCATGCTTGTATTACTTATCAATTTGGATTCCTAGGAAATGTTATAGTTTTTGCTATAATTAGATATTTTCTATTAATATCAAAATCCAGTACCTTATAAGTATTGTTTACTGATTTGATAATAGAGTGCTTTGTTTATGATTAGATCCTTTATTTATTTGCTTGTGAATTTCACAGATGATTTTGTTACTATACAGGTAGCTTCTCAATCTCATAATAGATCGTTATGGTTCATTAATTTTTGGTATTTTATTTCAACATGATTATTTCACTAATTATTGTAGAAGTGATAGTTTAGTTGAGGATATTACTTTTTGTCTGAATGAGTCCTTGCAGTTGAAAAATGGAAATAATCCATACTCTCATGCCCTTGGAATTAGCACCTTTATCATTCATTTGTCTGATTTGTCACATTATGCCTTAGAATATGAGAATATAAATTTTGGAAGATAGAGAGGTGTGAAAATTAGTTTCTTTTTTTTAGATTATGTACACTGGAGATTGTTGTGCTGTATTTGTTGTTCTTTGTAAATTGAAGTTCATATGCACACACAAATCTGGGGTGATTAGACTATTCTGAAGAATTTTGACATTTAAAAAAAGTTACTACTATTAGGCCTACCTTTCTTTTTTCTCATTTGATATCGCAGACCTCACATTTAAAGAATTTTTCAATGATTCAAGTGATTGCCATTTATTATAATCACTGTTTAACGTTAAAAAATTGCTTGTAGCAAAGTGTTCATGCTTATAGCAAATTATTCATATAGTAAAATAAGGTAGTTTAACAAATGTAAATCTCCCTTCAATCTCAGACTTACAGCATTTTGCCCAGATAAAATCATTAATTCTAATTTTTCACATTTTCTCCTAGAAATAGTCTATGCCTCTCAACACATATGTGCATTTATCATTTTTTGTTTTTTATTCCTTGCTGTTTTCACCAACTGTGCCTAAAGATTATTCTGTAGGTGCTTGTGTTTATCTACTGTGTTCTTTTTACATACTGCATAGAATTTTGTGTATGGGCCTATCTTAATTTAATTAATCCCATATCAATGGCTATTTAGATTAGTTCTAGTCTTTTGCTTGTTTAAGAAATGCTGTGGTGAACATGACTCCATATATGCTGTTTTTCACAAATTCTACAAGTAAAATTCCTGGATAAAATGCTGTGTACATTTACAAATTTTAAAGATAGTATGAAATTACATTCTGATGAGTTTGTATCAGTTTATAATGTCACAAAGAATATATATGAATATCTGTTTTCCCAAAATCTTTGCCCACCTCAGAGGTGAAAATGGTAAATCATTGTTGTTATAATTTTTGCTTTTTGAATATGGAGTGAGATTGAGCACATTTTCTTATATTCACAGGCAATTTTATTTTACTTTCATTTTAAAAAATAATTTTAACTCTTATTCTGTATTCAGGGGGTACATGTGCAGGATTGTTACATGGGTATGTTGCATGATTCTGAGGTTTGGGACGCAAATGATCCCATCATCCAGGTAGCAATGAGCATAGTACTTGACCATTAGTTTTTTAATCCTTGCCCTCTTCCCTCCCTCTGTTCTCTATTAGCCCCCAGTGTCTATTCCCATCTTTGTGTCCAAGAATACCCAGTATTTAGCTCCCACTTATAAGTGAGAACATGCAGTATTTAATTTTCTGTTCCTGCATTAATTTGCTTAGGATAATGGCCTCCAGCTGCATCCATGTTACTGCAAAGGATATCATTTTTTATTTTTATATTTATTTATTTATTCATTCATTCATTCATTCATTCATTCATTTATTCATTTTGAGACAGAGTTTCGGTCTTGTTGCCCAGGCTGGAGTGCAATGGCGCGATCTTGGCTCACTGCAACCTCCGCCTCCCGAGTTCAAGCAATTCTCCTACCTCAGCTTCCCGAGTATCTGGGATTACAGGCGCCCACCACCCTTAGCTAATTTTTGTATTTTTAGTAGAGACTGGGTTTCACCTTGTTGGCCAGGCTAGTCTCAAACTCCTGGCCTCAGGTAATCCACCCGCCTCGACCTCCCAAAGTGCTAGGATTACAGGCGTGACCCACCATGCCTGGCCAGGATATGATTTTTTTTTAATTACGGCTGCATAGTATTCCATGGTGTATATGTACCACATTTTCTTTATCCAGTCCATTGTTGATGGGCACCTAGGTTGATTCCTTGTCTTCGCTATTGTAAACAGTGCTGTGATGCACATAAAAGTGCATGTGTCTTTTGGGGGAAATGATTTCTTTTCTTTTGGATTTGAACCTAGTAATGTGATTGCTGAGTAGAATGGTAGTTCTGTTTTAAGTTATTTGAGAAGTCTCCGAACTGCTTTCTATAGTGGCTGAACTAATTTACATTCTTACCAACAGTATATAAGTGTTCTGTTTTCTCCACAGCCTTGCCAGCATCTGTTTGGGTTTTTTTTTTGGCTTTTTAGTAATAGCCATGCTGATTCGTGTGAGATGGTATCTTGTTGTGGTTTCAATTTTTCATTTCCCTGATGATTAGTGTTATGAGCATTTTTTCATGTTTGTCAGCCTCTTGTATGTCTTTTTATTTTTATTTTATTTATTTATTTATTTATTTTGTGACAGAGTTTCGCTCTTGCTGCCCAGGCTGGAATGCGATGGTGCAATCTCAGCTCACTGCAATCTCCGCCTCCTGGGTTCAAGTGATTCTCCTGCCTCAGACTCCCCAGTAGCTGGGATTACAGGTGCCCGCCACCATGCCCAGCTAATTTTTGTATTTTTAGTAGAGACGAGTTTTCACCATGTTGGCCAGGCTGGTCTCGAACTCCCGACCTCAGGTGATCCACCTGCCTCAGCCTTCCAAAGTGCTGGGATTACAGGCATGAGCCACCATGCCTGGCCCATATGTCTTCTTTTGAGAAGTGTCTGTTCATGTTCTTTGCCCACTTTTTAATGGGGTTATTTGTTTTTTTGGTTGTTGATTTCTTTAAGTTCCTTATAGATTCTGGGTATTAGACCTTTGTCAGATGCATAGTTTGTGAATATTTTCTTCCATTGTGCAGGTTGTCTGTTTATCCTGTTAATAGTTTATTTTGTTGTGCAGAAGCTCTTTAGTTTAATTAAGTTCGATTCATCAATTTTTGTTACAGTTGCTTTTGAGAACTTAGTCATGAGTTATTTCCCAAGGCAGATGTCCAGAATGGTGTTTCCTAGGTTTTCTTATAGGATTTTCATAGTTTGAGGTCTTACATTTAATTCTTTAATCCATTTTGACTTTTTGTGTATGGTAAAAGAGAGGCTTTCGGTTTTGTTCTTCTGCATATGGCTAGCCAGCTATCACAGTGCCATTTATTGAATAGGTAGTCCTTTCTCCATTGTTTATTTTTGTTTGACTTTGTCAAAATTCAGATGGCTGTAGGTGTGCAGCTTTATTTCTTGGTTCTCTTAGTCTGTTCCATTGGTCTATGTGTCTATTTTTGTACCAGTACCATGCTGTTTTGGTTACGGTAGCCTTGTAATATAGTTTGAAGGCAGGTAATGTGATGCCTCTGGCTTTCTGCTTTTCGCTTAGGATTGCTTTGGCTATTTGGGCTCTTTTCTGATTCCATGTGAATTTTAGAATAGTTTTTTTTTTCTAAGCCTGTGAAAAATGACATTGGTAGTTTGGTAGGAATAGTATTGAATCTGTAAATTGCTTTGGGCAGTATGACCTTTTTAATGATATTGACTCATCCAATTTATGAGCATGAGATGTTCTTCCATTTGTTTGTGTCATTCATTATTTCTTTTAGTAGTTTTTTGTGGCTCTCCTTGTAGAGATCTTTCACCTTCTTGATTAGATGTGTATGCCTAGGTATTTCATTTTTTTTTTTTTGGCCTATTGTAAATGATATTGTGTTCTTGTTTTGGCTCTCAGCTTGAGAGTTATTAGTATGTAGAAATGACACTAGCTTTTGTAAGTTGAGTTTGTATTTTGAAACTTTACTGAAATTTTTTATGTGTTCCAGGAACCTTTTGGCAGAGTCTTTAGTGCTTTCTAGGTATAGGATCATATCGTCTGTGAGGAGAAATAGTTTGACATCTTTTCCTATTTGGATATCTTTTATTTCTTTCTCTTGCCTGATTACTCATCCAAGGGCTTCCAGTACTATGTTTAATAGGAACGATGAGAGAGGGCATCCTTGTCTTATTCCAGTTCTCAAGGGGAGTGCTTCCAGCTTTCCTCCATTCAGTATGATGTTGGCTGTGGGCTTGTCATAGATAGCTCTTATTATTTTGAGGTGTACCTAGTTTCTTGTGGATTTTTATCGTGAAGGGATGCTGGATCTTATTGATGGCTTTTTCCATGTCTATGGAGATGATCATATGGTTTTTGTTTTTAATTCTGTTTATGTGATGAATCACACTTATTTATAGATGTTGATAAACATTGAATCCCAGAAATAAAGCCTACTTGATCTTGCCAGAGTAACTTTCTGATGTTGTGCTTGATTTGGTTTGCTGGTATTTTGTTGAGAATTTTTGTGTCTATGTTCATTAGAGATAGTGGCCTGCAGTTTTCATGTTCTGTTGTTTCTTTGCCAGGTTTTGCTATCAGGGTGATGCTGGCTTCATAGACTTATGGAGGAGTCCCTACTCTTCAATGTTTTGAAACAGTTTCAGTAGAATTGGTACCAGCTCTTCTTTCTATGTCTGGTAGACTTCAGCTGTGAAACTGTCTGTTCTGGGTGTTGTTGTTTGTTTGTTTGTTTGTTTGTTTTTGTCATTTTTTTTTAATTTAAATTACTGATTTAATTGTGGAACTCAATATTTGTCTGTTCCGGGTTTCAGCTTCTTCCCGATTCAATCTTGGGAGGTTGTGTGTTTCCAGGAATTTATCTATCTCCTCTATATTTTGTAGTTGGTTTGCACAGAAGTATACATAACAGTCTCTGAGGATCTTTTGTTTTTCTGCAGGATCATTTGTAATGTCACCTTTGTTGTTTCTTATTGTGCTTATTTGGATGGCCTCTTTTTTTCTTTTTTAATCTAGGTAGCGGTCCATTTATCTTGTTTATGCATTCAAAGAATCAACTTTTGGTTTAGTTAATTCTTTGTGTGGATTTTTGGGTATCAATGTCATTCCGTTCTTCTCTGGTTTTATTCATTTCCTATGCTAGCTTTTGCATTGATTTGCTCTTGTTTTTCTGCTTCCTCTAGGTGTGAAGCTAGATCTTTAATTTGAGATTTTTCTAACTTTTTCAGGTAGGCCTATAGTGCTATTAACTTCCCTTTTAATACTGCTTTTGCTGCATCCTCAAGATTTTGGTATGTTGTGTCTCTTTTCATTTATTCCAAAAAAATTTTTATTTTCTGTAAAGGCATAAAATTTCTTTTTCTGTAAACTTCCCCCTCCATTTCTTTGCATATTTTCTATTGAGCATTTACGCTTTTGATTATGGACTTATTTGAATTGAATGCTACAAGAATCATAGATTTTATAAAATTTTAGAGTTAGTCTGGATCTTAGAAGTTATTAAACACAGACTCTTTGTTTTACCAATGAAGAAACTGAAGTAAGAGACAATGAGGTAAGTGTAAAACCCATTAAAGATAGCGTGGTATAGTAGGAAAAGCCAGAGGAAATAAATTCACACATACTTGCATTCCAGCTGTGATACTTGTAACCTCGGAGACTGAATTTTCTCATACATAAAATGAATAGGCTAATGTTTACCTGGTAGTATTGTGAGAATTAAACAAGGTTATATATTTAAAGCACTCAGCACATTGGTATCCCTTTCATTTAACTTGATGCTCTGTGTGTGTGTGTATGTGTGTGTGTGTGGGTGTGGGTGTATGTGTGTGTGTGTCTTAGTTATTGATGCTTCAGTACAACTGTTAATTCAGCAAAATTTACTGCTCTTCTTTTCAGCACTTGGTAGAGCTAATCAGTCAGAATTGAAGCAATTCTTACTGCAGCTGCCAAAACCTAATCAAACCAAATCAAAACCAAACAAAATTCATACAAAACCTCTCATGTATGTATTGCTGAGAATGCTTTATTTTCATTCCTCTTAACGTTGATTCTTTGAATTTTCTCTTTCACGCTACTATGACTTCCCTAATTGTGGATATTTAAGTAGAAATCTGGACAGTATCACCTTTCAGAACCATTACTTTTACTAAAATTTACTTCTGAAAGGACATATACAGGATCAATTATGCATCATAGCCTATTTCAGACATGCACACCATAGCTAAAACAAATTTTAATGATACTAAACTGCCATTCTTTTGTAACACACAGTAACTATTGATTGATGTTACTGTAACTGCTGAAGTTCCTTGTCATTCGCAGTGCCTTGATTCATACTGTGGTCAATAGGTGGCAGGTTTAGTAAGAAATCAGCAGGAGGGTCTGCTTTCATGAAACTTAAACTTCACCGCCTGGGTTTTCTTTTCTCTAGGGCACCTTTTTCCCCCGGTTTGCTGTTCGTTGCAGCTCACTCAGCTGCATTCTGGAAGGAGCATCATTCCTGTTTTTGCTAATAGCTGTTTCAAAACCTCTTAGACCAGTGTTCTAAAACCTCTGATTATTTTTCACTACTGCAAGAACATAGGAGAGCTCATGCCTCTGTCCTCACTACGTGTACTGTAAAGCACTACAAGTCTATTTTTCAGGAACTTGTTTAAGAGCTAAATAGGAGCTTTAAAACACACTAGTTCTCATATCTATAATATTTAAATGTTTAAATATTTAATATGTGAAAGTAGCATAAAATTATACTTCCTATTTAAATTAGTTTTAGAGAAAATTATTTTTAATGTTTTATTTAAAAACAGATTATTTCTGTTGTAGGAAAGAATGGATGTCTTGTTTCATTTAGGTTAAGTTTGTAGAGTATCTATTATGTGTGAGGTTCTATACTAAATGGGAGGGAAAGAAATGAATAAGATCTTGTCCAGGCACCAGGGAACTCACAATCTACTGAGAGAGGTAGGAGGATGCCCAGTATACTTAGTCAAGTTGTAGTAAATGTTAGAGTAGATACTTTTTAAAAAGCTACTGGGGTACAAAAACAAATAATTAATTTTGAGTAGGGTCAATGGAGATCCTAGAGGTAGTATAATTAGAGTTGGGACTTGAAATTTTAATAGAATTTCTATAGGGAAAGAAGGAAGGAAAGACGGCATTCTAGCTAGAGAATACCATCAGTAAAATGTTAAAAGAAAAACTTGAGACAAATCAAATTTTACAGAATTCATTTGAGCAAGGAATCATTCATTAATTGGTCAGCATTCAGAACCAGCAGGATTTCAGTGTGAGCATCAACCTTTCATAGTATGAACATGGGAACAAAGTAGAAAAGTCATCTAATTGTCTACGGATAGTCATTTATCTCATTTGGGCGTGGTGTGATGAGACATTTGCCTTGTCTGGGAATAGGCTCATCCATTGGCTGCCTACAGTTGGCTGAAGTTTCGCTATTTGTGATTGGCTGAAGCTCAGCTGTTTAAAATATACAGTTGGCGTCTCATCTCTGTGTAGGCCTCTGCACCCATGGATTCAACCAGCCATGGACAGAAAATATTTGAAAAAAATTAAAAATATAATACGCTGAGCGTCGTGACTCATGCCTATAATCTCAGCACTTTGGGAGGCCAAGGTGGGAGGATCATTTGGACTCAGGACTTTGAGACCAGCCTGGGCAACATAGTGAGACCCCATCTCTGCAAAAAGTACAAAAATTAACTGGGTGTGGTGATATGCACCTGGAGTCCCAGTTACTTGAGAGACTGAAGTGGGAGGGTCACGTGAACCTGGGAAGTTGAGGCTGCAGTGAGCCGTGATCGTGCTCCTGCACTCCAGCCAGGATGGCAGAGTCTCAAAAGAAAGAAATGTAAAAAATACAGTATAACAACTATTTACATAGTATTTACATTAATAGCAGAAACTGCAATTCCTTTTGCATCAACATAATATTTAGGTATTATAACTAATCTAGAGATGATTTAAAGTATATAGGGGGATGTGCATAGCTTCTATATGAATACTATGCCATTTTATAGCAGGCATTTGAATATTTGCTTTTTTTTTTTTTTTTTTTTTTTTGAGATAGAGTTTCGCTCTTGTTGCCCAGGCTGGAGTGCAATGGCGTGATCTCAGCTCACCTCAACCTCCACCTCACGGGTTCAAGTGATTCTCCTGCCTCAGCCTCCTGAGTAGCTGGGATTACAGGCATGTGCCATCACGCCCGACTAATTTTGTATTTTTAGTAGAGACGGGGTTTCTCCATGTTGGTCAGGCTGGTCTCGAACTCCCGACCTCAGGTGATCCGCCCTCCTCATCCTCCCAAAGTGCTGGGATTACAGGCGTGTGCCACCGCACCCAGCCAAATATTTGTATATTTTGGTATCTGCAAGGGCTCCTGGAACCAATCCTCAGTTGATACTAAGGGATGACTATACTCTTTCTTTAGGTTTCCATTTGTTAAGTTGGAATGTAAAGTTTGGAGACAGTCTTGGGCCAATGATCTGCTGTTCATTTAATTTATTAATAAGGAGGGGTGAAATGCATACTGCCTTGAAGGCACGGGCAGTCAGCCTTGGGTCAGGACTCTGGAATGAAGAGACTTTGTGGCGTAGGTGGCAAGGAAACTTCACGCTGAAGAATTAGGGTTTTATTCTTTAAGCATTAGTGATTTAGTAATTTGGTGATTAGCCCTTGAATAGGCTTTTTGTGGACAGATAGGTGATGGGAATATATGGATAGGTGATGGGAATATATGGATAGGTGATAGATCATTGATTGTGAGTAAATATCAGTAGACTAGGTAAGATATGATGATATCCTGACTAGTATGAATTCTTAATCTGCATCTCTAAGGTCTATTCTAGTTCCCAAATCTTGTACCTTCATGCTTATGACATTTACGTTCTACTCACAAGCCATAATAATGTCATATTACAAAATATGTTTCAAAATACTCTCTGAATTCATGAAATATATATGTTAGAAACAGCTGGAGAATATCCTGTTAGTAGCTTTGAATATGTATCATATATGTAAGTGTTGGAATTTGTATATATGTTCTAGTTTTGTTTATTATTCAATTTGATGATATTTGGGGGCATAGAATCATCAAGGCTAGAATGGTAGTGTCACTCTCCTTTAAAAACTATAGTAATTATAGACAATAATGATATTATATAAGATTTAAAGTAATGATGGTTGATATTAACTAAATTTGAAATAATAATAAAATATGTAGCTTATAACTGCTAATTCTAATTAGAATTTCTAGGGTTCTCTAGAGGCTTCAGGAAGAACAAAGATAGTGTGGGTAGAAGTTGTAAGCAATTTCTTTGCTTTTAATGTTGCTTGGAGGAAATACAAGAAATAAACATAAGAGCTTAATAAAATTTAGCTTCTTTAATAATATATTTCTATAGTGAAATTTAGCTTTAATAATAACAGAAAATTGAGGTGTTATAAATATTTGAAATGCATATAAATGTCATTTTGCAGTGCTTGAAATATTGGACATAGCTTCAACCTTATGGTGTAACTGAGATTGAAGTTGTGTGTATGTAAAAGCACTTTTTCTTTAGGATCATATTTTAATGTGTGTTTCTTAGTCTAAGAATCAACTGGCTGCTTCTGAAGACACCCACCCTTGCTTGGTTGCTCAATACAGTCTTCTATATTTAGTGAACTAATGAAAAGACAAAAGAGTGGTAAAGTGTAATTCATCTTTGCCTTCATAATATAGAAATTCTTGCAATTGACTTGAAATTAATGAGATGTCAGTCTCAGAGTGCACAGCCCTTGTAAGATGGTGCTAACGTGTCCAGAGAGAGTTCGTGTCCTAACAAATAATTTGTCATCTTAATGGCACAACATGCATCCTTCTGTAGTATAAGCTTTAATGTATATGGTAACAAACCAGGAAGGCTTAATTCTTTCAGGCAGCAAACTAAAAACCATACTTAACTATCTTAGTGTGTTTGGGCTGCTATCACAAAATACCATAAATTGGGTAGCTTATAAACAACAGAAATTTATTTCTCACGCTTCTGGAGACTAAGAATCCAAGATCAAAATACTGGTATATTTGGTGTCTTTTGAGGGCCTACTTTCTGGATTATGGAGGGTAGCTTCTTTCTGTAACTTCACATGGTGGAAGTGGTGAGCTGTCTTTCTGAAGTCTTTGTTTTAAGGGCACTAATACAATCATGAAGGCTCTGCCCTCGTGACATAATCACTTCTCATAGGCCCCACCTCCTGATACCATCACCTTGTGTGTAGGTTGGAACATATGAATTTAAGGGGGACATAAACCTTCAGTCCATTGCAATACCTGTACATAATTTCTTTTCTTTCCCTCCCTCCCTCCTTCCCTCTCTCCCTCCCTCCCTCCCTCCCTTCCTTCCTTCTTTTCCACTCTGTAACCCAGGCTGGAGTGCACTGGCATGATTACAACTCACTGCGGCCTCGACCTCCCAGGGTCATGTGATCCTCCAACCTCAGCCTCCCTGGTAGCTGGGACTATAAGTGTGCACCACGATACCTGGCTAATTTTTTGTATTTTTTGTAGAAATAGGGTTTCACCAGGAGGCGGAGCTTGCAGTGAGCCAAGATCACGCCGCTGCACTCCAGCCTGGGCGACAGAGCGAGACTCCATCTCAAAGAAAAAAAAAAACAAGAAATAGGATTTCACCATGTTGCCCAGGGTGATCTCAAACTTCTGGGCTCAAGCAATCCACCTGCCTCGGCCTCCCAAAGTGCTAGGAATACAGGTGTAAGCCACTGTGTCCAGCCCATAATTTCATCATTTTAATTATATCTAAAGTTTTTTGGATTTCTAAATATAAATAATTGTTTTTGTATATCACTTTACCAAAGTGTTTTTTTTTTCATTATGGACATTTTAAGTGTTTCAACTTATGATGACACACATTAATTTCCAGTTGTCATTTTCTAGCATTAATCACCTATTTTATGTAAAAGAAGGAACAAGGGATGTTTCAGCCAGAGATACATGACGTTGTTTAAGTATAAGTCACCAATTGTAGAGAGAAAGAGAGTATCTTCTGCCTTCTAAGCAAATAGACTTCAAAATAGCTCCGTCTTTACATATTGACAATATGTGGTGAGTGTACTACTTCTATTAATATAATACCATCTCTACAACATCTAGTAACAGCAATAATAGTAATAATTATAATTAAAACAATAATAAATTTATTAAACATTATATCCCAAGAGCGATTATAATTATTTTAAATTCATATCATACCAACCTCATACCAACCCTAGGTACTTGTATTGTTGTTTTGTCGGTTAAGAAACTGAGACTCTGGGAGATTAAGCAATATTTTGTTTACATATCTAGTAAGTGGCAAAATGGTGATTTGAGCCCAAGTTTGTTCTTAATCTTAATCACTTCTGTATGCTGTAACAATGACTTTTAATGGCTTCTATGCCCTTAGTAATTTGTGCATTTTGTTGCACTGTTAACTGATCCCTTTTTCATATGGTTAATCATATAGTTCCACATATATTGTATTATCTTGTGAAATATGTAATCCTATTATCCTGGCACTAAAGATAGTTCTTCAGAGCTCAAACCAAAACTAGGAAGCTGTACGTTATCCATGGAAAGAAATAAGGTTCTTTCTATAATTTAGATTTTTTTAGGCATTTTCTATGTAGAATCTGTCAGTGGTAAAACGTTGCCGTGACTTGAAGTCTGTCTTTTCTAATAATGAGGGAAGGAATGTGGTCTTCATGTCATTAGGCATTTGGTAATGATATATTAATATAGTTGAGATGCATAAAGTAATGAAATCAATTTTTCACTTTGACTCTTTTGAAGGTAGCTTCATAACATTACAGACACCTTGTGTTATTTTAATATGACACTTTTAGCTATGAGTTAATGAGACTGCCTTTCCCCATTTCAGTGATTTTTGCTGATAAATATATAGATTAAGCACAATAACAAGTGTTCTGTTAATAGCATTTCTAAGTCATATAGCTTCTCATTCATATTTGGAATCATTATTCTAAGTTAATTAGTTTTTTTTCTTTTTTTTTTTTAAACAAAGTGTTGCTCTGTTGCCCAGGCTGGAGTGCAGTGGCATAATCTTGGCTCAGTGCAACCTCTGCCTCCCGGGTTCAAGCAGTTCTCCTGCCTCACCCACCCAAGTAGCTGGGATTATAGGTGCACACCACCATGCCTGGCTAATTTTTGTATTTTTAGTAGAGACGGCATTTCGCCATGTTGGCCAGGCTGGTCTCAAATTCCTGACCTCAGGTAATCCACCCACCTTAGCCTCCCAAGGTGCTGGGATTACAGGCGTGAGCCACCGCGCCTGGCCAGTAGATTAGTTTTATATTGGCAAATAGAAATTATTTACATTGAAATCCAGTGGGAAATTGTAACATTGCTGTATAAAACTACAAAGAGGTGTGCTTTGTTCTTACTGGATATTAATGGCAGTTAAACTAGTTCCAGAGTATATCTTGCATGATATAAGAAGAATAAGAGATTTGTCTGATTTAAGAAATTAATTTAGAGAGGTTCAAATCTGGTAGCTTTTCTGAAGCATTCTATACAGGTAATCTTCCATTTAGTCAATTAATCCTTGTTGGTGAGAAAAATTTAATGCATTCTTTTCAAACCGTATTTCAGTAATTTGTGTTCATTACTCAGTTTTGCCTAATTTAAGGATAGCCCCATTTATATTATTATTATTATTATCATTATTACAGTAATCACTAATGTTCTTTTTAGAACAATGCTTATCATCTTGTAAAGTAGGTGTGCTGATTGAGCAAGCTAAATTTTGTTATTAGGTGTCTGGCAAACACCTAATGGGAGATGTCCCAGGAAATTCAAAATTATAACAGAAAAATATCTCGTCTATTTTAATGCATGCTTCTAGGAATACAGCTGCACTTGAAAACAGATTCACATTTTGTGTATGACTATTATGTTGAAAGAACTTTAACTTTTTATTTTATTGTTGTGAATAATATTAATTATTAATTATTAATAAATATTAATATTAATTATGGCTGCATAACCCAATATCCCCAAATTTAGCAATTAATAGAACACTCATTTATTTTCTCACAGATTCAGGAATCTTGGCAGATCTCAGCTCAGTCCTCTGTTTCAAAGTTCCTCACAAGGCTGCATAGAAGATGTTGTCAGGGTTGTGGTCCTGTGTGAAGGCTTGACTGGTGAATGATTTGTTCCTAAGCTCATTCATATGATTGGCAGGATTCAGTTCCTCCAGAGTGATTGGACTGAGGGCCTTCATTCTTGGATGTTTGTTGTCCAGAACCCACCCTTGGTTCCTTGATCATGGACCTCTCAGTAGGGCAGCTCATAAAAGTCCATTTGCTTCATCAGAGTGAAAGCCAAGGAGTGAAGACAAAGAATGAAAGCAAGTCATTCATAAGGAAGTCACAGTCTTTTATAGCCTAATTTCGTCATTAATAACATGTAACTAGGTTCAACCCTTACACACTGATAGGGGAATTACTCAAGGGCATGACTACCAGGATGCAGGAAACATTTGGGAGTCATTTAAGAAGCTGCATACTCACATGGATATATACAATTTGATTTTAACAAATGTTATGATATCTCTTTCTTTGATGACTTCAACAGAATCCTAATTGGTCTTTCTGCCTTCTCTCCTGTTTTGTGATAATCATGGCATTCCCATGTTTGGAACATTTCACTGACTACCTCTTCAGGAGGAGATTGAAACTCCTTGTCATGTGTTTCAAGGTTATTTACCTTTTCACTCCCACTAAAATGTACTTAGACTGAACTCCTTTGTTCCTGGAACAGAGACACTTAAAAGACTTGGAGACTTCTCCCTGAACACAGTTTAATTTAACCAATTCTTCATTTGGCTTGTATTTAGATGACACTTCCATCAGAATGCAGCCTTCACAATTTACTATCGTCTTGACTCATTCACCTCCCTCATTAGACACTGAGCTTGCAGGAAGGAGGAAGCATTTCTGTTTACTATTGTTTTCTCGCATGTACCACAGCTTCTGGCAAATATAAGTATGTAACACACAAATGAGTTACAGTTATATATACTTAGTTTCATTGCACTAAGACAAGTACAATAAGGTATGAGTACTAACCCATAATTATTTAGTCACATAGTAATGAAACAGGAAATTTTCCCAGACTCCTTCACTGGCGGAAACTGGAATGAGGGCACTGGAGCTAGCCAGCTGTTTTGGCTGGCTGCAATTGCTTGGATCTGCTGCACTCCACACCTTGCAGGAGGGGGAGCACAGCTGAGTTGGTGCAGGAGCCAGGGTGAGTGCTTCTGAGTGTCAGCAGAAGCAAAACTCTGGTGCGGGCCCTGCAGCAGCATCTAGAGGGGAGTACCCACAACCCCCGAAGCCCCAGAAGGAGTGTTACAGGCAAAGCGCTTATAGCCATCTGCAGATGGCTTAAGTGTTTAACAGCTCAGTGGACCCTGTTCCTTTTCACGAGGGCAGAGAGTCAGTGTAACAGTCTTCTGTAACCTGAACTCTTGTCTGGCATCCAGGAAAAATCAGTTCACACAATTGAATTTAAGGATAGTAAATGTAGGGGATGTTATTGCCAATGGAAGTGGCTCTTAGCCGGAAGGAAAGCTGGGAAAGGGATGGAGCAGGAAGGTATTTGTCCCCTGAAGTCCAGCTGTTTCCAGCTGGACTCTTTTCTAAAGTCCTGCCAATCAAGCCGTCCCTCTGAAGTCAAGCTGCTTCTCTCCAACGTTCAGCTGCTTCTTCTCATCTCCCTTTCTCTGCTCTCAGCCAGTGGAACCTAGGGTTTTTATGGGTACAGGATGGGGGGCAGGGTGGGTCAGAGTTGGTTTTGGGAAAAGCAACACTCAAGTGGGAAAACGGGGATGAAAAGTTTTCACTGTGGGCCATGGTTCCAGGCTTGAAGGTGGAGCCCTCGCCAGGGACCCTGCCCTTTTCTGCCTAGAGCTTATCTGTCTCCTATCCCTATCAGTAGGAACTCACCATCTTTAGTAATTCATTCAGTGTGTGTGTGTATATATCTATGTATATGTATAGAATATGAACCTGTTTCTTGAAAAATCCTTCTCATTACTCATTAAATACCAGAGATCTATATAATTGAGTCTGGCTGTGGCAGTTTGCTAATGTTAATTTGTACACTTATGTTCCCGTGATTTAGTAATTCACTCCATTTGGGTGTTTTTAAAAAAATGTGTACATCAGGCCAGGTGCAGTGGTTCATGCCTGTAATCCCAGCACTTTGGGAGGCCAGGGTGGGTGGATCGCATGAGACCATGAGTTCAAGACCAGCCTGGGCAACATGGTGAAACCCCATCTCTACCAAAAAAAAAAAAAAAAAAAAAAAAATTGGCCAGGCATGGTGGCATGCACCTGTGGTCCCAACTACTTGGTAGACTGAGGTGGAAAAATCACCTGAACCCAGGGAGGTTGAGGCTGCAGTGAGCTGTGATCATGCCACTGCAATGTAGCCTTGATGACAGAGTGAACCCTATCTCGGGAAAAAAAAAAATTGTATACATAATCACATATTTTCTTTAAAGTTTTCAAATGTGAAACTTAGATTTTTTTTTGTTTCAAAAGTGGTTGTGGTTGATTTAGTCAATAAAGTTTTAAAATGTATGGTTGGCCCACTTAAATAAACAACTTTAGTGGGCTGACATATATGTCCATTTCTTGATTTGTTGTTTCATTCTAAGTAAAATTTTTAATTTCTTTTTGTCTGTTTAAAAAATAACTGAAATACAATAATAATCAATAGAATAACTATCAAAAGGTTTTATGAGAATGAAGATAAATATATATCACAGATTCAAAACAAACTGACAATTTCTGTAATTATATGTTAATATTTGTTGTGCCTTCACTATATGCCAGGTACTTTGTGAAGTTTTGACATGGATTATTACATTCAATTTTGTTTTCTACCCTATACAGTAGGTACTGTTATTGAAATCATTTTGCAGATGAGCAAAGTGGAGCTTGAAATCAAGCTCAAGCAGGGTGATTCCGTAGCCTACATGCTACATTACTTTGCTGTGTTTACGACATAAACAAAGACTTGGAAATTGAATGTATTAGCACAATCCTGAATCCACAGCTTGTGCTTTTAAACACTACTGGATCACTCTGTAGTATAACTGTGCCTATGGCTCTACTATCAAAAATCTCACTTCAAGATCCCTTTATCTGCCCCACAGGACAAGGGTAAGGGTATTAATACATGAATTTGTAACCTCTGAAGTACCTTATTCTTGCCTACCCGATTCTACCTAGTTTATGTAGAGTATTAATACATTTCTATTAATTGGACCCAGTAAAAATGTACCCACAAAAGACAGAACTGAATGACTCCATTTGCCCACTAAATGGTTTACAACATATTGAAACATGTCTCTCAATATAACACCAATCTAGAAAGAGTGAAAATATATTGAGGTTACTAACCACCCTAGATTAAGTTTTCCATTGTGTGCCTGGTCTGCCTTTGTTTTATCCATGGCCACATATTAATACTATTCTGATTTCCCCCTGCTTCCTGGCACTGTTTCCTCTTGTTCTTTGTCATCTGTTGATACTGGCTTAAGGATCATTGGATGGCTGTTAATTAAATTAATTTTGTAGGAGTCTAAGCAAAATATGTGATGCATTCAAATGGCAAGTACAACTACTGTGAATTAACAATAGTTCCTCCGTTAGAATGGCTTACTGAGAGCTGACTGTGCCTGGCTTCATGTGATAAGAATAAACTGATAACTTGCTTCTGGCAATGTGTTAGGAATGTGTTGTTTCCTAGCATGTAATTGCTTTTAATAGTAGGTAACAAAAAGTAACTACTCTGTGACATGTGATGCTATTAGGATATTTGTAATTTTCTTTGAAAAGAGAAGCTGGTGTGATTAGGTACCTTTTGTTCTGCTAACAGCAGTGATAAAGATGCTATCACTCCTCTCATAGGTTTTACTTACTATTTGCTCTTGCAGAATCAGATCACATCCCTATTAATTATTGGCATTTTGGTTCTATTTTACATGCTTTTGTTTTCTGAATGCTGACAATTTAAGCATTTTAATGATTGACTGCATTAGCAAATATTAATATAGCTGCATGATAGATCAGCATATGGTTCTGAAATCTTTGTAATATAGTGTATAGACATTCATTTTTAACATTTTCGTAATCCATTTCCGGGCATAAACTGAACACATACACAGACTCATCAGAAATTTCTTAGATTTGAGGCAGGGTTTTGGGACACAAGCGATTTTTAAATACTTCAGACTGCGGCAAAATTTAGCTAAGGGATTCCTTGTTTTTTAGCAGTTCCTGAGAAGACTTGCAATCAGCCATATTTTGGGGGGAGTGCGGGTTCACTTATATTCTATGAAAGCAATGGGATTTTTTTTCTTTAGTGTTTTCTACTTGAAGGTTTTTTGGTCTGCTAATGTTGTCTATTATCTTTATGTAATGATGATGCCACCCCCTCTAATTAGTAGAGCATAATACTGTTTTGATTTTTAGTAATAATGTTTTTTTAACTGATCATATCATCCATATTTGCTTAATATTTCCTGTAACTAGTGACACTTTTTTTATGATGACAAGGGGCTGGGATAGAGTTTGTGGCCATGGTGCAAAACAAAGCTGACTGACTCAGTAAGCATTGAATTCATGACCTTAGTGTTATCAGCATAGTGCTCTAACCAACTTAAACAATTGGCCACAGGTAAATAATATGTGATGACAAAAATAGCTAAAGTTTTCAGCCATTTTAAGCTGATAATATTTGCTTTCTGCAGTAGCAGTGCCTGAGGCAGCTTCATATTATAGCTCTCTTAAATTGTTTAATAATGAAGACTTTTGAACATGCTTTTTAAATTTAGTGCCTACCTATATCACAATATAACAATATATAATTGATCTTATATTTTTTTCAAAAGGCAAGTCAATAAGTTGTTGATTTTGTTATTTTTAGGGACACAACTAAATATATTTTAACTAAGGTTTATTGAGAGAGAGAGAGAATTACTTGTACAAAGTCTTTTCTGCATTGTATCAATATTATGGTGTCATTTGCATTTTGTTCCAGTGATAGTCTCCATTTCCTCCAACCCTCAGAGACATTAAGGCAATTATTTATTGTAATCAACTCTTTCCAATTTAATAACGTTTTTGAAAATACCATTATCACTTTCCTTGGTGGGCAGTTTATATTTGTGCCTCAGTGTTTATATATTGCATAATATTTCCCTGAAAATTATTACCAAGAACTAAGTTTAATTAATTAGGATGGACCCTAGTTAGAATCTAATAAAGTAGTGGTCTTAAGAGTTTGTTCTGGTTTTTATGAATTTTGCAAATGGTTATAAATGGGTAATCTCTTTTTATAATTTAGTATTTATGTGGTATATGTAGCTTCTTTCAGTTATCTGTTTTAATAGAGGGGAACAAATGTACAGAACTTTGAAGGTATATGTGGAAGGGAAAGGTAATTAAATGTTTTTATGGTAATATTATTTTTGTATTTTAGTATCTTTAGCTCAGATCTATTTATGTTCCCCTAGACTAGGAGTAAGAAGCAAAAGGAGTAGTGAGAACAATCAACCTCTGGTCAGATATTTAGGGATTGTTTAGAGATCTTTTCAAAGATCATCTGTACCTTTTGGCAGCAAAGCAAAAAATGGGCTCTAGGCCTTTGGGAAATTTGCTATGTAGGTCCATTCTTAGGCCGTAAGTTTCCTCTGGGCCATATGTTAAAGAAAACCCAGTTATCTCGTATTGAATTCCTTTACGGTCAAAAGAATTACTAGGGACTTATGCTATTGGGGGTGTAATTTTAAGTTGTGAAACTCTTTTTGTTGATTGTCTGAATTCATTATCTCCATTATTTGTCTCTTGCAGCAACAGTGATATTGCTGGTCAGGGTCCAATGTCTCAGGATTAATATGGTTAGAATTGCAACAAATATATATAAAATGAATTAATTCATAAGCTGTGCTAGATTTGTTTTGGTCTGTGGTCATTCTGTTGACTGGTTGTTGAGGGTTCTGCACGTTCCTTAGCCGCTGGGCAATGGCCAACCAGAAATATACATGTGAGCTGGAAATTCAGCTGTTTATTTAAACAGGAGCACAGATAGCATAGACAGAAAGGAGTTGATTCATATGGTATTTGTTATATACTGTACATTCTTCTGAACATTTTATATATATTAACCCATTTAATTAATTCTCATGGAAGAAAACCTGTACGACAATGTTGTTATCTTCAATTATATAGGGGAGATAACTGGGTCATGGGGAGATTAAGTGACTTAGCTAAAGGTTACAAGCGTAACAGATAAGAAAGCTGAGTTCCCACTCAGTGCTCTTAATTAGTATACAAACTGCCAGCTTCCAAATTCATTTACACGATGTCAGTTGTATAACTGGCAGTCTAGATTCCTTTTATATATTTATGAAGTATATACCATATTGTAGAACTGTAGTCTTATTTCACTGGCCTTATACATGCCCTGACGGGTCTAAAGCTTATCTGAGTACCAGGATGGGTGTGACAGCAGGGAAGAGAATTTGTCTGGATCAGTGATATAAGCTCCAGTAGAGTTTCTAGATTATCCACATTTCTGTCTCTCTGAGTTGCTTCTGAGTCTGAGTAGTATTACTCATTCTTGGCATCTAAGGGTTCTTTTTGTAGAATCAAGTCTTGAAGATGACATTTGCAATTTTGGAAGGACATGAGAAACCCTAACAGAAGTTGCTGCTGCTGTTTTAACCCCTCCAATTTTGTGTTTGTACCAAACACAAACATTTTTTCAGTCTTTCCTATTGATACGGCTATATAAACAGATATATTCCTTATATACTGTTATATAAGGAATGATTCAGAATTCCTTTATAAGCAATTGCTATGTTTTGCAAGTTTATTTCACTATCATGTAAAAGGCCGAGGATTCTAAACCAATATTACTGTCTTTCTTTTGATATGTGTATTGATCATTATTCCCTACCATCTACCCTTACTGAAAGGAGGGGCCATATGGGATTAGATTGTCAGTAATGTTTTTATATCTTCCTTGAGGCCTCTAGTTCATATGACTCTTAGAAATGCTGTAACCTAAGTACCTAAATTATATTATCATGCCTGTTATGTAAATATTAATGCTTTCCTAATAGTCTTTGAAGTGTGGGGTTTTGAGTTCCAAGGTCATTTTCAAACATCTCCTAAGAGGTGACTGTTAGCAGGGGCAGGCATGACAGCATGCTTCTTTGACTGAAAGGAATCGATATGTCAACTTATCAAAATATGTTTTTTTTAATGCTGTTTCAAACAGATTGCTTTTAAAAGGTCTTGAAAAAATATAAACCAATTAAAAGTTGTGGAAAGCTTAATTTTATAATAATTTTTGTCAAATTCGTTATTAAATTGAAATCATACTGTGTCACTTTTATTTTTTGCATGAAAAACACCTACTTATTTATAAGAATCATTTTATTTAATGCCTATCATACTGGCTCACTAAACGTTTGGTGTTCATAGGCTTTCTTTTCTAATTTTTTGCACTTTCCAGTTTTGAATTAGAGTCAGGGATTATATGAAATATTTTAAATTTGAGTAATCAAAAAGGAGGTTATATAAAAGGACTTTGATGCATGGAAATATTAACAATGTGCATGTATATTAATTGTTGAACATTATGAGTAATTAAACCTATCAATAGTTACTTAAAATTTGTTTGATTTTAATATTTCTGAACAAACTTTAGCCTGACCACTGCCATTGAGGAAGTTGACTTTAGGACCAACCAACTTTCCATGTAGGAAGTAACAGAGTTACCAGGACATTAGAGTTTGTGACATGACTGTTTATAGAATGTCAATATTTTACTTATCACATTGAAATTCATCACTGATATCTTTGTAGAGGAAATGAAAATATGCCCTGCTTTATTATTCATATTTACATAACAGAAATACAAGATTTAAGGCATAAATGTGTTAATAATGCCTTGACTCTTAAGGACATGTACCCTGAAATTAATAGGACTAAAGCAACCTCTTTCCCTTACCATGTAGAGATTGACAATTGGGGCACATGAAATATTAGACATCTCTTTGCCAGTCAAAATACACAATACTTTGATGTACTGATAACTTTTAATGAAGGCACCAGCTATGCGTTAAATAAACCATTCAATAGACTTAATACTAACCAATGTTCAGAATTTGCTGGTTGTGGAAAATACATTTTTCTAGAGGTATTTAATGCTAATCTCCTTTACTAAGCAGTGATTAAAGATTTTTTGAGACCAAATTTTAATCAAAGATAAAATTTTTTTTACAACCCTTTCAGGTAATATCATAAGCCTAAATTCAGTGTAACTGAACTTTAGAAAATAGTCCTTTTGCCTATTTCTTTCAGAAATACACACCTCCCTTCTCTCACCAGACCCAGACACCTGCATAATCAACATAGGGATAAATTTACTTTGTTTCACAAATCTTATATCAATTGATGTTTGGGTATTAGGAGCTACATTTCTGTGTATAGGTGTTAATAAGAAATGATGGCCTACATAGAGACTAATTTGCTGTAGAAATGAGATAACAGCATTATTCTAGCAATTCTTCCAAGCGGCCATTGAGGCTGTCCTCCTCATCTTATTTGCTCATTCAACAAATATGTATTGAATTTCTATCATATGCCATACACTACTAGTTTTTACAGAATGGTTATTACTCCATTAGACCTATGACCCATGGAATGAGTAACTCTGAATTCTCTGTGGTAGAAATGGATTTTGTTTATCTTGTTTTGCCATGCTAGTATCTCTTTCTTTCTGTATTTTAGGCCCTGCTTGCTTACTTAGACTCAAGATAACTATTTCTTCCTCCTCCTTTCAGGAATCTCCTAGGATCCAAATTTTGTTTTGTTGTTATTTAGAGATGCTTAAACTGATGTGTATTAACTGAATCATTGTGTACTATGATACACAGTGTTTTCCAAAGCCCTTCTGCTTATTGTCTTATTTCTAGCCTGTTTTTATCTGAGTCCTCTCATTGCTTTGTAAACTCAAATATCAATATGATCAAAAAGATCCAGTCAACTTTGGGGTCACTGTATCTTGAAGTTTAGAAATGGGAATAGAGAAGACAACAGTTGAGTATCCAATAAGAGAAAAACCAAGATAGTGATAAAAAGTATTCAGAGTAGTGGAATATGCTTGCCACCTCAGTAGGCATTTGGTTTATAGAATTACTAATTAATTTTTTGTTGGAGAAAACTGCTTATATTTTCTTGGAAATGTATTTTTTATTTTCAAGAAGTATGTAGCAAACAGTCTTTCCAGAAAGTATGGGTTCCTTAATAATGTTCAGTAAATTCATTATTCTATACATTCTTATATTTAGAAATATATATATATATTGAGGATCTGCTCTGTGCCAGATGCTAGTCTAGGCCTTGGGGGATATAGCTGTGATTAAGGCGATGTGATCTTGACTGTTTTAGAACTTAAAGTCTAACAGTAAAAATATAATAATAAACATGTAATTATATTACTGTGAGTTTCAGATAGTATTGGTGCTCTAAAGAAGATAAAATACAGTAATATGATGGGAAAGTACTTAGGTGGGGGCTTAAGTGTGATGGTTATGGAAAATAACTTTAAAAGCATATGAGTTGGGAAATTTGAAAAACATACCCTCAGAAGCAGAATCCAGCAGGACTTGTTGACGGATTGGATGCAGTACTTTTTTTTTTTAAAGCAAAGAATCAAGATCTCTTTTAGATTTGGGGCTTGAGCTGAACATAGTACTGTCCAATAAGTATCTTATTGTAGCCACTGAATCAGAAAAGGCTGAAGAGGATAGTGTTGACAGAAAAAGTGGTCAGAGGATTAAAACAATGTGATCATCTAGAAAAACCATCTGTGGATGTACTATACCAACATTTTCAAAGGTAAGAAATACAGTGAAGCTCGAATTAGTTTAGTGTTGGTACATGGAAATAAATTGTATGGCTTTATCATTAACCTTTGCTTCAACTCTAGGGATTTGTGCTTTGTTTGATTGGACTGTAGAGACAATCTTTACTTTTCTGTCTATGTTTAACTATTTAGTCAAATGAATATTGCACCTCTAAGTGTTTCTTTTGATTTACTGTAGGCTGAGGTCATACTGTGTACTAGGCGTGAATTAATTACAAATTGAACAACTTTGCTCTAGTGAAGAGAGAATTTTATTCTCATTCCAACTAAATCTATGATCCAAGAAAGATCTTTATATTCTTTGTGTGTCCGAGGGGGACTGAAAGTATACTCATAAAAACCTGTTCTGATTTTAAAAAAAGAAGAAATGACCTTCATTTCTTTTGGATCTTCTACTAAATGGCTTTAAAGCATCACATCACAAAGTCCTCTTCCCCATAGAAATAATATTCTCTATCCAGGAAATTTTAAAAGGTTTGCATTATCTTGTTCTTGTGGTTGATAGTAAATTTAGCATTTATTAATTATTGACAAACTGCCAAAATGGATCATACATATGTTACAAAAAATCTTTTGTATAAATTTCAAAGTATTCTTAATGTGGCTTTATTGTTATTTATGATAGATCACTAAGGTCTCTCTCACTTATTTCTTCGTGCTCCATTCTTAAGCAGCCATTTCTCTAGGAACTTAGTCCTACAGAATGAGTGGAATTGGTAAAGTAATTGTGATCGTTGATGATTTCCTCATCTTTTTAATCCAGAAAAGTTAGCAACAAACCTGAATTCTTAGTGGGTTGTCTGAGCTTTGCAACTTTATCCAGGACCATGGAAGAATATTCCAACTGTACTATTTTACTGTATTTCAGTTTGGCAGAGAGGTATTTTAGCACCATTATAATAACCTCATTTATGAAAGTGTTGGAGAATTGCATTCTATAAGATAATGTAGCTTCTCTGTATGATAATGTTTTCACACAGTGTATTAGTGCATGTGGAAGTATATTGGAATTGAGATTTGCTAACCTGCATCTAAGATAGCTTAGTTTATTTGATTAGTGAACTCCAAATAAATTATTTTGGAGGGCCCCTGGGAAGTATATAAGAAATTTAAAAACCAACTCCTTCAGACCACTAGTTTCCCTTCTGTTTATGATGTTTATCACTTCACATTTTTAATTAGTAAAGTATAAAATGAATCATACAATTATAGTAGTGGAGTTTTTTGTCTTCTAGAAGTGACATCGTAATAGTTATTTTAAAACATGTAGAGAGTCATGCATATGTATGTGGAAGGGTAATCAACATTGTTTTAATGTCTTATGCTAAGTTGCACATACAAACACATCTTTTAATTTATGGAAGTTACTTACATTTCTACATAAAATCTCAGCTGTTTGTACATGTCCCAGACTATACTGGATTCTGGTTTGCTCAGTTATTCCTTCCTTATTCTGAGAGTTTAGCAAAGGGAAAATGTCAACCTCACCCTAGAGAAAGTAGAGAGCTAAGCAGTAGAAAAAGCTATTTGTGCCAGGCTTGGAAGACCCCAGTCTTTCCATTTCTGCCTTTCAAAGAAGCTCTTTCTAGGGGCATAGTACTAAAGATTGAGCCAGGGCTTTTGTTCTGGTTATTCATTGCACAAGGGTGCCTTGCTGATGGTTTGATTAGGGGCTGAAATTTGACACGGGTTCTACTTGTCAAGCTGTGTAGCCACAGGCCTATTTCCAACTAGAGTGCGCATTTCCGATTTTCACAACAGTATCATATAGTCTGGAGACAGCCCAGGCAGGCCATAGTATAGACAGCCACTGCACCTGGCTCTTATTCTTCATAGCTCCCTCAAAGTGTTTTCTGCAATACTTCCTGCTCTGTGCTCCTCTACCCTGTTTTTTAAATTTTTTTTTCGAAAAAGTTTTGTTTGTTTTTTATTGATACGTAATAGTTACGCATATTTTGGGGGCTACATCTGATACTTTGATACCTGTATACAGTATATAGTGATCAAATAAAGGTAATTGGGATCTTTCTTTTTCTTCTGAGCCTTTTCTTTGCTGAGAGGAAGCTAATACCACTAAGGGTGCTTAATTATTTATCTTTGTTGGAATAAGGTAAATGTTACCTTGAAGAGTTATATTTGCTATCATTATCAATATCACTGGAGTCTGGAATATATCTTAGTACTTTCTCTCTTTTCTCAGTAACCCCTTCCTTCAAAATGCAGCATCTTAAATGGTAGTTTGTGTACTTTCTGACTTCTCAGTGAATGATGTAATTTTGTTCATTAAAAAAAAATTCAATTTAAATAAACTTGCAGGTGGAAGGTGGAAAATAAATCATGATAATGGCTCACACATAGCATTTACTCTGTGCTAAGCATTGTTGTAATTGTCTTACATGCATCAACTCATTTTATCTTCTCAATAATCCTTTGAGGTTACTTATTATTAGTCCCTCTTTTTTTTTTTTTGAGATGAAGTTTCGCTCTTGTTACCCAGGCTGGAGTGCAATGGCACGATCTCAGCTCACTGCAACCTCTGCCTCCCAGGTTCAAGTGATTCTCCTGCCTCAGCCTCCCAAGTAGCTGGGATTACAGATGCACGCCAACATGTCTCGCTAAATTTTTTTGTATTTTTTGTAGAGAAGGGGTTTCTCTATGTTGGCCAGGCTGGTCTCAAACTCCTGACCTCAGGTGATCCACCTGCCTCGCCCTCCCAAAGTGCTGGGATTACAGGCATGAGCCACCGTGCCTGGCCTATTAGTCCCATTTTATACCTGAGGAAAATAAGGCAAAGAGAAATTACATAACTTGCCCAAGATAACACAGATAATAAATGGGGACATAGTGATTGAAACCAAGGTATCCTGTTTTATGGTGTTTTTTTTTTTTTTTTTTACTATGTTATAATTTATGAATTTGCTAATTGCTTCAATATTATTTTCTCTTTAACTTTTCATCAAGCTTTACAGTAAATCATTGCTTATTTGTTTTCCTGCTATTCATTGAGGATAAAGTAGCATCACATCAGTAGCTTTAAGAGGTTTGCCGTTTAATCTGTATTGCTTTTAGAGGTTAGCACGTTATAAAAGCCCCATTTCCATAATGGATGACTGGAAAAACCAGGTTGCTGTATATATGTGAACACATATATAACTAACAGTTTGTTTTCTCTGTCTCTAAGCTTGTGGGGTGGTATAAACAAACTTCAGTGTACTTTAAGTGCAGTTACTGTGCTTCAACTCATAAGCATTTCTTTAGAAAGAACATATACTCTGAAATATCTAGCATGCATTGATGAAGTAATCAAAATCTTGATCTCTAATATCTTTTCAAAGGGTTTCCTTCACTGTCTCTTTCCCCTGGAATATATTATGCATCTCTAGGTGGTCAAACACATTGAGACCCATACCCTGACTAAATTTTCATAATCCCTGGGGTTCACAATTGTTATTTAAAGTTCATAGATGTATACTTCACAAGTATAGGGGAATATCCTTGATATGCATACTGCTAGACCACTCTCTAGCCTGAAATGTTAATATGATGATTATAGAGGAGTTGGATCCATTTAGAACTATTAGGAAGATTATTGACAGTAATATTTTGACTGGTTAGTTGGCATTAAACCTCAATAGAACTGTGAAAAGGTGATTGGGCAAAGGGCAGTGATAAAACCAAGATAATGAAAGCACATAACAAAAGAAGATTTACCCTTTGTCTTTTTAACACAAGCCATGTTATTTGTCATAGTCCCTTTAATACTTTAGTACTTGCTCCTAATTAAAAGTATTTCTGGAAAGAGATCTGGAACAGAGCTTTCCTGACAAAAATCAGATAATGGATGATGTTTTGTAATACTGAGCATATTATATCTCATACCAACATATTTCTTTCTCTTTTAAGCCACAGGCATGATATGGAATGACCTGCCCATTCTCTCCCTGCTACTTCCCCAAATAGTTTTCCTATTCCTTTTATTTAAGGTATTATTCCGATGTTTGTGTTAGCAGGCAATGTGCCTTTGCTTTGCATTTTGTATATCCAATTAATCCATGTGTGATGATCACAACTGATTACAGCTCAGGGAATAAGATGGGGTGATGATATGACTAATGCATACAGGTAGAATTAACAAGAGACTTTTCTAGAAGGTGTTCAAAGGGCAGAATAAAGAGACTATCTTTAAGTGGGGAATCAGTAAAGAAGTCTACAAACTTGCTTCTAGCTGAAAAGATGGTGTAAGTGTCAATTCTGTTGTGTTCTCTCTCTCCCAAAAGACCTGGTGGGATACAAACAAGTTACAATGACTTCATTCTAGAGAAAACATGGAATCCACTTTGTTTTGTTAAAAAGTTCTTGAATCAAAAATTTCAACAAAGTATTTACAAAAATAATATTCTGTGTCTTACTTTAAAACTGATGATATCAATATCACACCAGTGTGACAAGACACTCTGATTGTGGTCCACTGGAGAATGTTCCATGTTAATCCAGAGGAAGAATTACTTCTTGTCATAGGATTATTGGTGAAGAAGGCCAGTAGACCAATATCTTGACTTTTTGGGAGAGAGTTTTATACCTTAGGCCCTCTTGGCAGCTAGAGATACTAAGATGAATAAGATATGGTTTGCATCCTCGAAGAGGTCCTTATTTTCAAAAGAGAGGATGTGTATTAGTTCGTTCTCACACTGCTATAAAGACATATGTGAGACTGTCATTTATAAAGAAAAGAGGTTTAATCGGCTTATGGTTCTGTGGGCTGTACAGGCTTCTGCTTTGGGGAAGGCCTCAGGAAACTTATAATCATGGCAGAAGGCACAGTGGAAGCAAGCATATCTTGACATGGCTGGCAGGAAAGAGTGAAGGGGGAAGTGCTACACACTTTCAAACAACCAGATCTCGTGAGAACTCACTATCATGAGAATAGCAAGGGAGAAATCTGCCCCCATGATGCAGTCACCTCCCACCAGCTCCCTCCCCCAACACTGGGGATTACAATTTAAAATGAGATTTGGGTGGGGACTCAGAACGTAACTATATCAGGCAGATATATAAAGTAATTGCTATACTACAATGTGGTAACTTCTATAAAGAGGCATGGAGGAATAATATTATTAAAGAATAATTAAAGATGAATTGAGATGTTTGCAGAGAAAAATAATATTTGAACTGGGATTTCAGGGCTATGTAGATTTTTATTTCCAAAAAACAGAAGGGTCTTCAGGGCAGAAGAAACTACATGGACAAGGGTATGATAAAGTGTCACATCATGGGGAGTAAGGCATGGAATGTTTGGTTGGAGAATGTGGTATGAAGGACAGGAGGGAGGTACATTGGAGACAACTGGTAAAGGATCTTTTTACTGTAACCTATGGGTAACCTTAAATGTATTTTTAATCAGGGTTTTGTGATGGTATGATCAAATTGCATTTTAGAATGATTGCTTTTGGTAGGAAAGTTTAGGATTGATGGGAGAAAATTAGGAGTTTTTTAAACAAGTCTCAATTGGACACTGTAATGACTTGAACTAAAGCAGTAGAAGTGAGGATGTAAAGGGGGAGCTAAATATTTAGAAAGTGAACTTAACAGTTAATTAGTGACATATTAAACTTGGGGAAGTGAGAGACAAAGGGGAAGCAGAAGTCTAATATGATTCCCACGTGTCTTGCTCATGCAGCAAGTTGGATGACAGTGCTACTTACTGCGATGAGGATGAATGGGAAAAACAAAAGTTAAGCTTCAGACATAATACATTTGAGAAATAAGATAGTTAAGTGGCTATAGGCTACTGTCTTGTAGGCAGTCATGTGTAGAAAGTTTGTAGCTCAGAAGAATATATGGCTTTGAGGGAGAGGTTGGGAGTCCATCCACGTATGTATGGAATTTAAAACCATGAGAATGTATAAAATTACTGTATTAGTCCATTCTCACATTGGTATAAGGAAATACATGAGACAGGGTAATTTATAAAGGAAAGAGGTTTAATTGACTCACAGTTCAGCATGGCTGGGGAGGCCTCAGGAAACTTACAATCATGGCAGAAGGTGAAGGGGAAGCAAGGCACCTTCTTCACAAGGCAGCAGGAAGGAGAAGTGCCAAAAGAAGCAGGAAGAGCCCCTTATAAAACTATTCAGATGTCATGAGAACTCACTCACTGTCATGAGAACAGCATGGGTGAAACTGCCCCCATGATTCAATTACCTCTACTTGGTCTCTCAGTTGACACGTGGGGATTATGGGGATTACAATTCAAGATGAGATTTTGGTGAGGATACAAAGCCTAACCATATCAATTACCTGAAGAAGAACTGTAGAAAGAGAAAAATAAAGAGGGCCCAGGATTAATTGCTGAATGCTAACATTTGAAGGGCCAATGGGAGGAAGAGCAGCCAGCAAAGAAAATGCCAACAAAGAAGTGGCAAAATGAAGAACAATATGATATAATAAATGCCGGGAGAAGAAACTGTTTCAGGAAGAAAGGAGGGACTAGTTTCGTCGTGTAGATTATTGCTTAAAGTCAGATAAAGGCAGCAAATATATTTTAGGTTTGGCAGTATCAAGAATGTTATTGATCTTAATGCATTATTTTCTAACACTTAGTGTAGATGGAAGCCAGATTGGAATTCTTTGGAGTTTAGGACCATTGGAGGTATCTGTTGATGTCAGTCATTGAGATAATACAGGAGGAATGTAACGTTTGTTAAGAGAAAGAAAGAATGAATTGTTAAATCCTATTGAATATGATAAGCAGCTGGAGATGTTCAGCAACTAGCAAAGCATATGATCTGGAACTCACAGACCAGTCTGGGCTGAGGCTAAGGATTTTGAAGGTATTCAGTAGTTGAAGCCTCACTGGGTATTCTCAGCCACATTTCAAAATAAAATTGGGTCCAATTTATTATGGAAAATTGGCAAATTTTATTAATATATAATACCTTACAGCAGTACACACATCACAGTTTACAAAGGAGACAGTTGACAAATGAATGAAATGTGTTAGTTTAGCCCTCTCTAAAGATTAATTATTTGAATACACTCTAATATTGGTTAAGGCAGTTAATACCTGAAGAGTATATTTTCTTTTTTTTTTTCTCAGTTAAGTGGCTGTAGGCTACTGTCTTATAGGCAGTAATGTGTAGAAGATTGTAGCTCAGAAGAATATATGAAGAGTATATTTTCTGAGTCTGGGATCCTAGTTAATATTAAAAAAATGTGACATCAGGCATTCATATAAAATCCAAACCTAATCAAAGCAGATAGTCCTATTTAAATAACTAGGCTTGAAAAAAAGAAAGGGTTAACAACTCAAATCTTGAATTTGTTTCCATTGTATTTACACCCTAGATTTCTATGAAGTGCCACATTACATTATATGCTTATTTATCTCTACTCTTCACCTAGAGATAAAATACAGTCAGACAAATAGCTGAGAATCTGAAATTCAAAGCAGTTCTTTTGAAAGTTAATTCTCCAGTAAGTTTCTCCAGTAAGTTTCATCCTCAGATTGCTTCATTCACAATGGAGTATAATGGTTGGTTGGAAATGTGGAAATGACCATTTTTGATTTAAATTACTTTTGTCACACAGTTTTTGATACTAGCAAAGAAAACATTGAATATGATTGACCTAGTTAATTTTAATTTCATACAATTCATAAAAGTTATGTTAGTAATTTTACAGAGTAAAACCTTTATCCATTTATGCTTCTGAAAAATGACCTTGTAAAATGTCAGAATTGCCATGGTATGCTTTTGAAAAATACTTAATGATTTGTGCTTGATGCATTTAAACTCTTTATTGAAGGTCAAGGATTCTATTAGGGCATTTTTGTCAGTAAAATGTTGACAGAAATGAACTAGGTAGTTGAATTCTCACTGACAATACTGTCACAATTGTTAAGAAATTGTCTAATGATAAGGCCAGATTTTGCTCATTATTTTTCTTAGTAACTACCACTAGTTCATTAAATATTGCCTTAATTAGAGTGTGTGTTAAGTGTCAAAACTTAATGGTCACAGTCACAATCCTTATTTAATAGATACTTAGTTTGAATTGCTATAGTTATATTATTCTCAATGACTGTGTATATATGCCATGCATTTGGATGAGATGGAATTGTGTGGGTATTCCAAAAGCACTGATGATTATGTTGATTTCAGTGTATTTTTGATATTCGATATTGAGCTTAGATACCCACAGTTTGATCTGTGAAATCACATTCCAAACTAGTAAAGCCACAAAATAAAAGCAATGAAGTAAAGCTGGGATATATTCTTATTTTCTTATTTATAACTCTTTCCTATCACCTAATCAGTGCAGTATATTTTGCGAACAGTCAGATTTGTTGCCACCTAAAATAAGAGTTGCAGTTGTTTCATGGTGATAGTTTTTCTCACCTCTGACCTCGTTAAGGAGATGGTTATAAACACAATTGTTTTAAAGGCCTAATAAGACATGTGAATATAGTGTAAAAAAAATCTTGGGATTATCTCTTTTATTTATGTCAGTGATTACTTGAATGGAAAATTCCTAGGTTAGTCTGTACAAAGATCACATTCCTCTGTGTATTTTTGTTATCTATACTTAGAGGTGCACATATTTATGTTCTGTTGATATAGCATATTGAGAAATGTTTTTAAATGTATGCATCCTAGAGATGCTATCGTTGTAGTATCTAGGAGTTGTATAAGTATGGTGAAATTAGCCCTCAGAATTTTTTTGCCTCAGTGTGTAAGATAAGCTTGGATGGTATGTACAGCATCATTCCCCCATACATCGTGCTCCGTGGTAAAAATGACCTTTTAACTTAGGTTTTTGAATCACATTTAGCAAATTGATGCATATCCTATGACTCCTTGGGTTTTTGCCAAGATTTTTCATTGTAGTATTCAATTCTGTTAAACTTTGTATGGCATACAAGAGTCATGCGACTTCTGGTTACTAATGATTATAGATATGTCTCAGTCTCAAAGCTCTGAATACAACTGTTCTTCATCTTATGAGATTTTGTGAGTTTCATAGGTCTTATGGAAGACCTTAAGTCGTCATTGCCCTTTCTCTAGGCAGGACTGTATTCATACCTCCATCTCAGTAATCATCTTCATTTTGTTAAGAATCTTCAATGTCTTGTGTACTTTGTTGGATTTTCTCATTTCATCAGATGATTGTGATCACGATCATTTTGATTATATTAAATGTCACACTTTTAATATTCCTTATTTGAAAAGATATTTCAGTGGATAGCATAAACATTAAAGGTGAGGTGGTGAATTTAGTGCAAAATGTGTAAGGTAGGCAACCAGCTATCATTTGTATAATTCATGCTTTTGTTACAAATGCCATTGTCCACTAATGCTGACTTTTTATCAGCTTAAATTGTGGGAGGCTATATTCGTAGTTAATTGACAGAATTTTATAGAGGCAGCAAATGCTTTTTATTTAAAGGACATCCTTAGCTTCTATATCCTGTGATATAACTCGTGTATTTTGCCAGTCAGTAGAAGTAGTAATGCACTGAAGAAATGTATATATTGTACCTCAATAAAAATAGTAATTAATATTTACCTTTAACTTCTGTGGCATTTTTTAGGATATATTAATAAACTCCATGTCACTTATCACAAAATAAGGAGAAAAAATACCTAAAATCTATTTCATATTTTCTGTCATAGTTTACTGAGCAGATTTTTGAATTGGGGGGAGAAATGACAGTTGTATTAGAACAAACTCAATTTAATGATCCCTCTATTTTTCTTTCTATAAGAAAAAAAATGATAATGCTCAGTTTATGGAGGACACATTAATCATTTTTAGTTTGAAAAACTGGATTCTTTTCATATTATTAAAACTTTTTGATGTTGATTGAAGCCAAATACGTTTTTTAATTGTCTTTGATGATCAAAATGAGGGATTCATGTACCTGCATTTCTCTGCCAAACGTAGCCCTTTACTATAGAATATATATTAGTGAACTTCACTTGCTTTATTTGTTCTTTATGCTGATCTGCAGGAGGTCATTATAAAATGTGAACCAAAGACCCACTAGCAAATAGCGCTGGGTTAGAGAAGCAGGATTAGAGATGCAGGCTCTGGAGCCAGACTCGTTGGGTTCAAAACTCACTTAAACCACTTCGTAACTGGTCTGATCTTGGGTATGATGTCATATCTCAGTCTCTTCATCTATAAAATGGGGATAATAATAGTATGTACCCTTTAGGATTATTGACAATTGAGTTAATAATTGTAAAATGTTTAAAATGGTACCTGCTGCATATTACAGATGGTATTCGTTGTAATCGTTTTTATCACTGTCAATAATGTCCACTTATTATAGCAGCAGATATTTTTGAATCCAGGGATGTAGTCAATTCTTTGTCATCTGTCTTCAGGGACTGTGACCTACACCTTTGACAATTTTGACAGTATTACTACCTGCTCAGCTTCCCTATAGTGTCTGTGAGCTGGCTAGCAATTTAGTACACTGATCTTATTTGGTAGATGAGGAAACTGTGGGCCAGTAATAAATTTACTTATGGTTATAAAGCTGGTAATTAAGAGTCTAATTTCGATTGGCTGGGCACGGTGGCTCACACCTGTAATCCCAGCACTTTGGGAGGCCGAGGTGGGCATATCATGAGGTCAGGAGATCGAGACCACGGTGAAACCCCATCTCTACTAAAAATACAAAAAATTAGCCTGGCGTGGTGGCGGGCGCTGGTAGTCCAGCTACTCGGGAGGCTGAGGCAGGAGAATGGCGTGATCCCGGGAGGCGGAGCTTGCAGTGAGCTGAATTTGCACCACTGCACTCCAGCCTGGGTGAAAGAGTGAGACTGTCTCAAAAAAAAAAAAAAAAAAAAAAGAGTCTAATTTCGAATATAGCTCTTCTGATGACTTGTGTGGTAGTACTTGTACTTCATGGCTTAAGTGTGTCTATGTATTTTTCTTTCATTTTTGAATAATGAGTTCCTTCAGGGTAAGAACCATGAAGTAAATGTACAAAATGTTGGTACATGTATCCATTGTTTTTGGTTTTCCAGGGGGCTAAAATTAACACTGAAATGCAATTGATATAGTTTGGCTGTGTTCCCACCCAAATCTCATCTTGAAATGTAGCTCCCATAATCTCCATGTGTTGTGGGAGGGACCTGGTGGGAGGTAATTGAATCATAGAGGTGGTTTTTTTCCCATGCTGTTCTCATGATAGTGAATAAGTCTCACAAGAACTGACGCTTTTATAAAGAGCAGTTCCCATGCACATGCACTCTTGCTTGCTGCCGTGTAAGACATGCCTTTGCTCCTCTTTTGCCTTCCACCATGATTGTGAGGCCTCCCCAGCCATGTGGAACTGTGAGTCCATTAAATTTCTTTTTCTTTATAAATTAGCCAGTCTTGGGTATTTCTTCATAGCAGCATGAAAATGGACTGATACAACAATTTATGGAATTATCTTTCTATTGATATCTGTTATGAAACTATGTATTTATACACCTAAAATGTGATAAAAGTCACACTCGAGAATGGAAGAGAATAGGGTTAATGACAAACAAAAGAAAAAGACGCAGGCATTGGCTTTAACCACTGTGAGTACAAGACATAGGCTAAAAAAGAAATCAGTGATAGGAATACATTATTTCCCAATTGTCCACTTTCAAAGTAAAGGCCTGGCAATTGTGGAATTGAAATTTCTTTTATCTTCAGTAAACAGAGATGGCTAAAATTTTCACGACTCATTTAATCCCGCAGCTTTTAGCTAAATAGTGTTCATTCATCTCTCTTGATTCTTAATTTAGTGATTCAGATTTCCATAAACATGAGTTTCTGTAAAACATTTATAATATTTGCCCATGTGCCAGTAGTCCTAGCTACTCAAGAGGTTGAGATGGGTTGATCGCTTGAGCCCTGGAGTTCAAAACCAGCCTGAGCAACATAGCAAGATGCCACCCCCACATACAAATGAATACACACACACACACACACACACACACACACACGTATGTCTACTTTGAGTTTTGTAAAATTATATTTCCTTTAAATGAAAAATGTAGCACTAGTGATTATGAAAACAAAAATTAGTATTTTCCCAAAGATTAATCTGCCATTGTTATCCATCAGTTCACCATCTAAGCCCCATTGCTCTCAAATTCAATGTTCAGTGTGTTTGAACTGTACCCTTGCTTCAACCAGGCCAATTTGTTTTTTCTCACTTATCCACACTGTCACACTGTCAGCCCATGTGCCTGTCACATACCACTTCCCCAAATAAAATTTCTGATACATTTGACTCAACTAATCACTGAACTTACTCCTTTACAGTCTCCTTTATTTCTTCTAATTATTCCTGATACCAGCTTTGAGAATACTGAAGAGAGTTAACTATGCCTGAGTGGAGCCTTTCATTTTCTTAATATGCATTCCATTAACATGAGCATTTTGTTCCTAAATGCCCTTGAGTTACTTTTAAATGTTCCCTTTGGTGTCCTCAACCTGTTTCTAGCTTTTTGAAGGTAAGAAACAGGTCATCTGTTTGTTTTGTTCCCTTCACAACACCAGTGGGTGTTTTGTTCAAGCTATTTCCTGACTAACTTCCTCAGTGGGGAAATGTTCAGGGTATGCAAATTTATTTTCAATTAACTTACATAATACAAAACTGGGTAAATACAGGAGTTGAGGTGATTTATGATTGCTTTAAAACACAAAGCCAGTCCAGGTGCGGTGGCTCACGCCTGTAATCCCAGCACTTTGGGAGGCCAAGGCGGGTAGATCACGAGGTCAGGAGTTCAAGACCAGCCTGACCAACATAGTGAAACCCTGTCTCTACTAAAAATGCAAAAAAAATTAGCCAGGCGTGGTAGCAAGCGCCTGTAATCCCAGCTACTCGGGTGGCTGAGGCAGGAGAATCGATTGAACCTGGGAGGCGGAGGTTGCAGCGAGCCTAGATCACGCCACTGCACTCCAGCCCGGGCAACAATGTGAGACTCCACCTCAAAAACAAAACAAAACAAAACAAAACAATAAAACACAAAGCCAAGTGTATTTATTATTAGTATGGAGTGTATCAGTGTTGAATTCTCTCTGTATCTTTTTTTATTTTTTTATTTTTAACTCTAATGGAAGAAGATCCTAGAAACTTTAAGGATTGTAGATTATATCTGTAGCCTTGATTTTTTTTCCACTTTGCTTGACAAAGGTAATCCTATTTAGCAATGTATTTAAGTGCCTCTGCATTTGAAAGAATGTTGATTTTTCCAAATAGGGTACGATATTTTATGAAAGTTTTTTTTCTTGAAAACAGAATGAGCATCCCAAGATCAGACAGAGAAGTAATATATAGATATAATTAGCTTTTCTGTTTAAAAAAAAAGGTGATGGACAAATACTGTCTTGATAATTCAAGTCAATAATCCACAAATGTATATTAGTCTCAGTGGCTGAGAGTCTGTGAGTCTGTTGTCACTCAGTAGGTCAAATCTAATCCGTGTATCTATAGTCTCTTAAATACTCATTTGCACATTGGATTAACTGTGTGTATTTAAGCATTACATGTTTTTATATAGCTAAGCTTGAGTATATTATTAAAAGTTTTATCCCTTTACTTTGCAATGAAAAGAAGTGATAATTTGTAATGAATATATATATATATACATATATATGTTTGCATCAGTGTCATGTGGCCCATCCCTATATAGAGTGGAACACGTATGATCAAACTATCTGAGTGCAAAGCCTCAATTTCATTTACTGTTGTGACAACTAATGTTTAATGTTAGCAAAGCAACAGATAAAATTCACATTTTACTAAAGCAAGACCATATTGATTCATAGAAGACTTTAGTTGTTAATTCTTAGGTCAAGATCTAAGTATGTTTCCCTTTTCCTTATTATTTTTACTTGCTGTATCAGACTGACCACTTCTCAGTATATTATTAGTTATGAGATAGAAAAATGAATTATGTTCTAAGTTTTCTTAACATTTCTAATTCTTTTTAATTTTTATTTTCGTGGGTCCATAGTAGGTATAAGTATTTATAAAGTACATTAAATATTTTGATACAGGCATACCATGTGTAATAATGACATCAGGGTAAATGTGATATGCAACACCTCAAGTATGTATTCTTTTCTTTTTGTTATACACAATCTAATTATAATCTTTTAGTTATTTTAAAGTGTAAAATAAATTATTGTTGACTATACTCACCCTCTTGTGCTATCAAATACTAGATCTTACTTATTTCATCTAACTATACTTTTGTACCCATTAACTATGCCTTCTCACTAGACACCTACCTTTCCTAGCCTCTGCTAACCATCGTTCTACTATCTATCTCCATGACTTCAATTGTTTGAATTTTTGGCTCTCATGAATAAGTGAGAATATGTGAAGTTTCTCTTTCTGTGCCTGGCTTATTTCGCTCCACATAATGATCACCAGTTCCATTCATGTTGTTGCAACTGACAGGATCACATTCTTTTTTTTTTTTACTGGCTGAATAGTACTCCATCATGTATATTTACCACATTTTCTTTATTTATTCTTCTGTTGATGGACAGTTTGTTTTGTTCCAAATCTTAGCTATTGTAAACAGTGCTGCAACAAACATAGGAGTGCAGATATCTCTTTGATATACTGATTTCTTTTCTTTTGGGCATATACCCAGCAGTGAGATTGCTGGATCATATGGTAGCTCAATTTTTAGTTTTTTAGGAACCTTCAAACTGTTCTCCATAGAGGTTGTACTAATTTACTTTCCCACCAACAACAATATACAAGGCTTCCTTTTAATCCACATCCTCTCCAGCATTTGTTATTGCCTGTCTTTCAGATGAAAGCCATTTTGGCTGGGGTATGATAATATCTGATTATAGTTTTGATTGGCATTTCTCCGATGATCAATGATATTGAGCACCTTTTCATATCCCTGTTTGCTATTTGTATGTCTTCTTTTGAGAAACGTCTATCCAGATTTTTTGCCCATTGTTTGATTGGATTATTAGATTTTTTCCTATTGAAATGTTTGAGTTCCTTATATATTCTGGTTATTAATCTCTTGTCAGGTGGGCATTTCACAGATATTTCCTGCCATCCTGTGGGATGCTCTTTACTTTGCTGATTGTTTCATTTGCCTTGCAGAAGGTTTTTAACTTGATGTGATCCTTTTCGTCCATTTTTGCCTTAGTTGCCTGTGCTTTTAGGATATTACTCAAGAAATCTTTGCCTAGTCCAGTGTCCTAGACAGTTTTCCCAATTTTTTCTTGTAGTAGTTTCATAGTTTGAGGTCTTATAATCTATTTTGATTTTTATATATAGTGAGAGATAGGGGCTAGTTTCATTCTTCCACATATAGATATCCAGTTTTCCAAATACCATTTATTGAAGACATTGTCCTTTCCCCCAATGTATGTTCTTGGCATCTTTGTCAAAAATGAGTTCACTGTAGATGCATGGATTTCTTTCCAGGTTCTCTATTCTGTTCCATTTTTCTGTGTGCCTGTTTTTATGCCAGTACCATGGTGTTTTGGTTACTATAGATCTGTAGTATAATTTGAAGTCAGGTAATATGATTCTTCCAGTTTTGTTCTTTTTACTCAGGATGGTTTTGGCTATTCTCAGTCTTTTGTGGTTCCATAAAAGTTGTAGGATTTTTTTCTTGGTAGGTTGTATGTGTCTATATTTGTGAAGAATGTCACTGGAATTTTGATAGGGATCACATTGAATTTGTAGATTGCTTTGGGTAGCATAGGCATTTTAACAATATTGAATCTTCCAATCCATCAACATGGAATATATTTTAAATTTTTTTTGGTGTCCTCTTCAGTTTCCTTCATCGATCTTTTAGAGTTTTCATGGTAGAGATCTTTCAGTTCATTGGTTAATTCCTAGATATTTTATTTTATTTGTAGCTGTTGTAAATGGGACTACTTTCTTGACTTATTTTTCAGATTTTTCGCCATTGGCATATAGAAATGCCTCTGATTTTTGTCTGTTGATTTTGTGTCCTGCAACTTTACTGAACTTGTCAGCTCTTATAGTTTTTTGATTGAGTCATTAGGTTTTTCCAAATATAAAATTATATTAACTGCAAATGAGGCTAATTTGACTTCTTCCTTTCCAATTTGGAGGTCCTTTATTTCTTTCTGTTATTTAATTGCTCTAGCTAGGGCTTCCAGTATTATGTTGAATAACAGTGGTGAAAGCGGGCATCCTAGTTGTGTTACAGATCTTAGAGGAGAAGCTCTTAGTTTTTCCCCATTTTCAGTATGATGCTAGCTGTTGGTCTGTCATATAATAGCTCTTATTGTGTTGAAGTATGTTCCTTCTGTCTCTAGTTTTTTGTGGGTTTTTATCATGAAGGGATGTTGAATTTTATCAAATGCCTATTCAGCATCAATTGAAATAATAAGGCTTTTATCCTTTATTCTGTTGATATGTTACATCACATTGATTTGCACATGTTGAACCATCCTTGCATCCCCAGGATGAATCCCACTTGGTCGTGGTGAATGATTTTTCTAATGTATTGTTGAATTCGGTTTGCTGTTATTTTGCTGAGGATTTTTGCATCAATATTCATCAGACATATTGCCTGTAGTTTTCTTTTTTAATGTGTCCTAGTCTAGTTTTGGTAATATTGGCCTTATAGAATGAATTTGGAAGTATTCCCTCCTCCTCTATTTTTTTTTTTTTTGAATATTTTGAGTATGATTGGTATGAATTCTTCTTTAAATGTTTGGTAGAATTTAGCAGTGAAACCGTCTCTCGGATTTCTTTACTAGGAGACGTTTTATTTTGGCTTCAGTCTCATTACTTGTTTATTGGTCTGTTCAGGTTTTGGATTTCTTCATGATTCAATCTTGGTAGGTTGTATGTGTCTAGGAATTTTATTTTATTTTTTTGGGGACGGAGTCTCACTTCTGTTGCCCAGGCTGGAGTGCAGTGGCGTGATCTCGGCTCACTGCAAGCTCCGCCTCCCGGGTTCACGCCATTCTCCTGCCTCAGCCTCCTGAGTAGCTGGGACTACAGGCACCTGCCACCTTGCCCGGCTAATTTTTTGTATTTTTGGTAGAGATGGGGTTTCACCGTGTTAGCAAGGATGGTCTCGATCTCCTGACCTTGTGATCCACCTACCTCAGCCTCCCAAAGTGCTGGGATTACAGGCGTGAGCCACCACACCCAATCACTGATTTTAGTGGTTTGATCTTGCTTTCCTAGTTCATTAAAATGCCTTGTTATTTATTTGAAGTTTTTCTTTTTTTTTTTTTTTTTTTTGATGTAGGAGGTTATAGCTCTAAACTTCTTTGTAGTACTGCTTTTGTTGTATCCCATCAGTTTTGGTATGATGTGTTTTCATTTTCATTTGTTTCAGCAAATTTTTAAATTTTCTTCTTAATCTCTGTATTAACCAACTGGTCATTCAGGAGCATATTGTTCAATTTCCATGTTTTTGTATAGTTTCCAAAATTCCCTTTGTTATTGATTTCTAGTTTTATTCCATTATGGTCAAACATTCAAGTTTTTTTAACGTTTTAAGACGTGTTTTGTGGTATGTCCTTGAGAATGATCCATATGCTGAGGAAGAAAATGTGTATTCTGTGGTCCTTGCATGAAATGCTCTGTAAATATCTATTAGATCCATTTGGTCTATGGTGCAGATTAAATCTGATGTTTCTTTGTTGGTTTTCTGTCTGGAAGATCTGTCCAGTGCTGAAAGTGGAGTGTTGAAGTCTCTAGCTATTATTGCATAGGGTTCTATCTTTGTCTTTAGCTCTAATAATGTCTGTTTCACAAATCTGGGTGCTCCAGTGTTGGCTGCATATATATTTTGAATCGTTATATGCTCTTGCTGAAATGACTCCTTTAACATTTTATAATGACCTTGTCTCTCTCTTCTTACAGTTTTGAAATCTATTTTGTCTACTCCTGCTCTTTTTCCATTGGCATGGAATATCTTTTTCCATCCCTTTATTTTCTATGTGTGTCTTTATAGGTGAAGCGTGTTTCTTGAAAGCAACAATGCATTTTAATGAACTATAAAAGCAAGAGCTTTTTTTAAAAAACATTTAACCCCTCTATGTCTTTTGATTGGAGAATTTAGTGCACTTACATTCAATGTTATTATTGATAAGTAAGGACTTACTCCTACCATTTTGTTATATTTTTCTGGTTGTTTTGTGGTCTTCTCTTTCTTCTTTCCTTTCTTCCTGTCTTCCTTTTAGAGAAGATGATTGTCTCTGGTGGTGTGTTTTCATTTCTTGTTTTTTATTGTCTGTGTATCCTTTGTATGTTGTTTATTTGAGGTTGTCATGAGGCATGCAAATAATATCTTATAACTCATTATTTTGAACTGATGCTAACTAAACACTGGTTGCATAAACAAACAAGCAAAGAGAAAACTAATAAAAACTCTACACTTTAGCCTCATCCCCTTGCTTTTTAACTTTTTGTTTTTTCTCTTTATATCTTATTGTACTATGTCTTGAAAAATTGTTGTAGTTATTATTTTTGATCTGTTCATCTTTTAGTGTTTCTACTCAAGATATGAGTAGTTTACACACCACAATTACAGCGTTACAATATCCTGTGTTTTTTCTGTGTACTTACTATTACCGGTGAATTTTGCACCTTCAAATGATTTCTTCTTGCTCATTAATGTCCTTTTCTTTCTGATTGAAGAACTTTCTTTAGCATTTCTTGTTGATGAAATCCCTTAACTTTTGTTTATCTGGGAAAGTGTTTATTTGTCCTTCATGTTTGAAGGATATTTTCTCTGGATATACTATCTCGGATAATAGTTCTTTTTCTTCAGCACTGTATATATGTCATGCCACTCTCTCCTGCCTGTAAGGTTTCCACTGAGAAGTGTGCTGCCCGATTTATGGGAGCTCCATTGCATGTTATTTGTCTCCTTTCTTTTGATGATTTTAGGATCTATTCTTTATCTGTTACTTTTGGGAATTTGGTTGTTAAATGTCTTGAGGTAATCTTATTTGGGTTAAATCTATATTTATATTCTATATTTCTTGTATATTGGTATCTTTCTCTAGGTTTGGAAAGTTTTCTGATATTATCTATTTGACCTTTTAAGGCTGTTTTCTTTTTTTCTTTTTTTTTTTTTTTTTTTGAGATGGAGTCTTGCTCTGTCACCCACGCTGGAGTGCAGTGGCATGATCTTGGCTTGCTGCAAGCTCCGCCTCCCAGGTTCACGCCATTCTCCTGCCTCAGCCTCCTGAGTAGCTGGGACTACAGGCGCCTGCCACCACGCCCGGCTAATTTTTTGTATTTTTAGTAGAGATGGAGTTTCACCGTGTTAGCCAGGATGGTCTCAATTTCCTGACCTCATGATCCGCCTGCCTTGGCCTCCCAAAGTGCTGGGATTACAGATGTGAGCCACTGTGCCTGGCCTTAAGGCTGTTTTCTATATCTAGTAGGCATGCGTCATTCTATTTTATTCTTTTTTCTTTTGTCTCCTTTGTGTATTTTTAAATAGCCTGTTTTTAAGCTTACTAATTGTTTCTTCAGCTTTATCATTTCTGCTCTTAAGAGACTGATGCATTCTTCAGTATGACATTGCATTTTCTAACTTCAGAATTTCTGCTCGATTATTTGTAATTATTTATGTCTCTTTGTTAAATTTTTCTGCTGGGATTCCAAATTCCTTCTCTGTGTTATCTTGAATTTCATTGGATTTCCTCAAAACAGGTATTTTGAATTCTCCATCTGAAAGGTCACATACATATTTTCCTCTCCAGGTTTGGTCCCCGATGCCTTAATTCATTTATTGAGGATATGTTTTCCTTAATGGTCTTGATTCTTATGGATATTCCTTGGTGTCCGGGTGTTGATTAATTAAATATTTATTGTAGTCTTGGCACTCGGGGCTTGTTTGTACCCATCCTTCTTGGGAAGACTTTTCAGGTATTTGAAGGGACCTGACTATTGTGATCTAAGTTTTTGGTCACTGCAGTCGTATCTTCACTAGGGGCATCCCAAGCCCACTAATGCTGTGGCTTTTGCAGACTTGTAGGGGAACTGCCTTGGTGGTATTGGATAATATCTGGAAGAATTCTCTGTATTGTCAGGCAGAGACTCTTGTTCTTCTTCCTTACTGTCTCCTAAACAGTCTCTATTCTGTGTGCTGAGCTACCTGGAGCTGGGGAAGGGGTGATGTAAATGCTCCTGTGGCGACCACCACTGGGACTGCGCTGGGTCAGACCTGAAGGCAGCAGAACACTGGTTCTCATACAAGGCGTATGGTAAACACTGCCAGGCTATTGCCTGTGTTTGCTCAAGGCCCTAGGGTTCTACGGTTAGCATGTGCCAAAGCCAGCCAGGGTTGTCTTCTTCCCTTCAGGGCAGTGAGTACCCTTTGGCCTTGGGCTGATCCAAAGATGCCATCTGGGACCCAGGGCCTGGAGTTGGTAACCTTAGAAATCTGCCTAGTGCTTTTTTCTGAGAGCCGAGCTGGGTCCCAAGCCACAAGACAAAGTCTGTCCCACACTTCCCTCCCCTTTTCACAAGCAGAGGAGGTTCTCCGTGTGGCCATCACCACCCCAGGCCTGCAGCAAATACTGCTTGACTACTTTGATGTTCATTGAAGGCCGAAGGGCTCTTCAGGCAGCTTGCGGTGAATGCCTCCTGGCCTGGGACTCACCCTTCAGGTGAATGTGCTCCCCTCTGGCACAGGGCAGGTCCAGAAATGTCATCCAGGAGCCAAGGCCTGGAATCAGGGACCACAAGAGCCTGCTTGGTGTTCTACCCTGCTGTAGCAGAGCTGATACCTAAGCTATGAGGAAATTCACCCTTACTCTTCCCTCTGCTTTCCTCAAGCAAAACTAGTGTCTCCCTGTAGGCATCAAAGCTGTGAATGTATTGGGTCACACCTGAAGCCAGCATATCCCTGACTGTCATTCAAGGCCCACAGCTAGTATTTCCTGGCTACCACTGCTAACTACTTAGTCAGTGCCCAAGGGCTCTTTAGTAAGCAGGTGATGAATCCTGCCAGGAGTCTGTCTTTCCCTTCAAAGCAATGTGTTCCCTTCTGGACCAGGATATGTCTAGAAATGTCATCTGGTAGTTAGGGTCTGCAGTGGGGGCTTTAGGACTCTTCATGGTGCCCTGTCCTTCTGTGGCTGAGCTGGTATCCAAGTGGCAAAACAAAGTCCTCTTTACTCTTCCCTTTCCTCTCCTCAAGTGGAAGGAAGGGGTCTCTACCTAAGCTGTGGGCTGCACTGCCTGGGTGGTGGTGGGGGGCTGACACAAGCACTCCCTTGGCTGACCCTAATGGTATCTCACTAAGTTATATGCCCCCAACCAAGTCCACTGACTCCGTGCCCACCACACCAGGAGGAGTTGCCCAGGAATGGCAGTTCTTGTGGCCGAGACTGTGTTATAAGTTGATTTAGGACTGCAGAACACTTTAGCCTGTGGTGGTGAGGTTTGCAGTGAATCAGGTACAAATTGCTGGCATATGCCCTACCTCTCTTGGTTAGGGCTTATCTAAATGTTCCCTCTGTGGGCACTGGCTGAGTTCTACCCCATATTGCTTTCTGCTATGACATGTCAGCATTGGGTTACAATGCAAAGTCCCACAATCATTGTGCTCTCTCTTCCCAAAGTGCATAGAATCTGTCTCCATGCCATGTGGCCACTGCCAGGAGGTGTATGTTGGGGGTGGGGAGTGGTGGGATAGGGATGGGGGGGATGGTGTTGGTGATTCAAAATGGTCTTTCCTACCTTCTTCACTGCTTCTTTTCAGTGGTATGAATTTAAAACCAGGTACTATGATAGCTTACCTGATTTTTGGTTCTCATGAAGGTGATTTTTGTGTGGATGGTTGTTCAATTTGGTGTTCTTGTGGGGAGGATGATCACAGTAGACTTCTATTTGGCCACCTTGTTATGCTTGCCTCCTGTAATTCCTGTTTCAGTTTATTCATCCTGAAATTAAGAAGTAGAAGAGAAGAATGGCAGATAGTGGCTTTCCTAGAGGAAAATTTTATATGACGTTTCAGAACATTATTTTTATTGTTATGAAGGAAATTTAGTACTTGTAAAAATTATCATACTGAACAGTTTTAGATCAAACCTAGGTACAACTACGGTATGATCTAAGATGACATATAGATCTTTCCCATTGTACTTTTCCAATGCAAACCACACCTCTTTCCTGTCTTTATTTTTGTTTCTACATTTTCCTTTCCCTTTTATTTCCCGTTTCCAGGCTTCTCCCTATCTTCTCTTTTTCCTTTAGTCTGTTCTACACAAATGTGTGCTTAGCAGAAAATTACAACCTATACTGGAGAAGGAAACAATCTAAATCTTTATATCTTTCAAAAATTTACCCCACATAATATTATTCATGATCATGATGAAATTTTCAAATGGTTTTGTTTTACTTCAAAAAGGAAACTCAAGAAAAGAAGCAAACTCTTAATTAATTGCTGTAATTCCCATATTTGCCTACGTGTATATGTTCCTGTTATCCTTTTAAATTAAACACATGAATATGTGAATTACACTCAAAGTATTCTTCTCTGTAAAAATTACAGTAGTCATAACTATTTATAAATGATAACCTGAAGCCCAGTTACTTCATAGTCCTTTAAATTCCATTTGATAAGCATGTTGTGTATTGTTTAGTCCTTGCTCGCTTCATTTGTTCATCAGCCATTCATCCAAAAAAATTTTGAGGATCTGCCATACGTTATGTTCTGTTTGGGCTGGGCTAAGACAATGAATAAAATGAGATTCCTGAAGTGGAATTCACAGTCCAATTAGAGAAACTGGTGTGCAGATGAACCGATAAGTTATACTGTAGTGTGGTAAGTATTACAGTTGAGGTGCAAGAAAACTGCCCTGGGAATCTTAAATTTGCCTGTTAAGATCAACATTTGAGAATGTTTTACATTGGAAGCAATTTTGTTTTTCAAGAATGAAGAGGGATTTGTGGCCTGTTGCAGTGGCACATGCCTGTAATCCCAACACTTTGAGATTCCAAGGCGGGTGGATCACTTGAGGTCAGGAGTTTGAGACCAGCATGGCCAACATGGTGGTGAAACCCCATCTCTACTAAACACAAAAAAAATTAGCCGGGTGTGCTGGCACATGCCTGTGATACCAGCTACTTGGGAGGCTGAGGCACGAGAATCGCTGGACCCTGGGAGGTGGAGGTTGCAGTGAGCCGAGATCGCATCACTGCACTCCAGCCTGGTTGACAGAGCAAGACACTGTCTCAAAAAAAAAAAAAAAAAAAAAAAAAAAAGAGGGATTTGCTAGTTAGAGAAGATAGTAAAGGGTATTTCCAGCAGAGGGATTTATATATGCATGTAAGGCACTGTTAGAGAATGATGTTACAAAGTTGAGTAAGATGGTTCCTGTTTGGAAGGAACCCTTCTTGCCACTTGGGAGATGGACATGAAAACAATTAGCCACCACTCATTTTGGATAGTGATATTGTAGGTTAAGATTCTACAGGAACATAGGGAGATAGTATTTCTCAATTTGTCTCAACTGGAAAAGCTTTATAGGACATACAATCGTAGTGCTGAACAAAATAGTTCCTGAGGTGAATGACCTCAATGATCACAAGATAATAGCCACTAACATTTATTGGAAGGTTACTCTGTGCTAGCCACTGTTCTAAACACATTACATGCATTCTCTGATTTAATGTTCACAACCATCTGAAGTAGATACTATTATTGAAGCCTAGTTAAGGGAAAAAATGTTGAAGCTCCAGATGGTTAAATAACTCCTCTACTCTCTCATGGAAATGACAGAACTGGGTGTTGAGCTGGGACAGTTTGACTCTAGATTCTTTGTCCACATGTATATCCCATGAAAATGGAACTTATTAAATGGCATATTGTCATTTTATATAAAATTTGAACAGTTTTATCCTCACTTCCATTTGTCACCTCTTTAAGTACATTTCTCACTATTCTTCAGTGTACATTTTCTAATCCAAACTGACTAAATTGTACACTCTTTTCCAACGTTATCTTTGTAAACTTACTACCTCTGTGCATTTAATAGTAAACAACCTAAAATATCAAGTTCTTCAGTATTTTGAATAGTTAACTGTACACATTTCTTTATATGGGTGTGGGATTATAGAAAATTTAACATTTATTGACTGTCTCTCCTAGCAAAGGAACCATAGTGGGTGGTTCTTCATCACAACATTGGAAAATACATATTATTAAAGAATGTTATAGCTAAGAACAGTGCAAATAAACCATTTGTCCAAGTTCACACAGCAGAATCTACATCTACAGTTTCTTCACACCACTTTTTATATTCTTTTCCTTTGCATATCCCACCTCTCAAACTAACTGGAAGCCACAGGCAATCTTGCTGCCTCTCTCAACTTAGCTAAGTCTCTCCCTTGCTGTTGCTCTTGTTTGCCTGCTGATGCTGGAAGGTTCAGGCATCCACACTAATTCAGTAATTTAGAAATGTATTTAATTCAGTAATTAGGATTTCTTTAATGCCAGCACTTAGGCCTCAACTACTGAGGTATGGCGTGTTCACTGACAACCACATGAAGTGACAGCTGACAGCAAGGGAGAAGACAAAATACCTATAAAAAGCAGACAGAAAAACTATTAAATGACAGCAGACTGGGACCATGAGCCTTTCCTGGTATTCTCTCTGTGCATTTCTCTCCAACTGAAAACTGACAAGCAAGAGCAGAGCAGCTGTCCACCCCCTTTTCTCCATGACTATTTTCTGCTCATTGAACACAGAAAGAAAAAGTGGGGGAGGGAGAGTTATTTCTCCAGGCCTTTCAGTTTGCTCTGTGTTTAGTCCATGACTGCTTCTTTTTCCTTATAAAGATGGCTGTACAACAGACCAAGGCAATGCTCAGCTCTCAGCAACTTTGTTAACCAATTCAAGGTGGTTTCCCAAGGAGGCTTCCTTACGGCATCATTCTGTTCTTGCAGACTGCTTTTCTGCAGTGAACTCTTATTCATTCTGCCAGGTTCAAAGGCTACTTTTTCCCTGTTGCTTTCCCTGGTCAAATGGGTCTTCAAAAACAAATTCTGGAGATGAGATCTCTGACTAACATTAGGAAATCTTGGTGCACTTGCAGGGTGATGTTTGAGATAACAAATCTGGCACCTGGACATGGCACTGGAGTGGGAGAAGTTTGGGGCAGGGGCATGAGCTATATGACTGTTTTAGCAACCAAGAAGTAAGATAACTAAAACTTAGAAACTATTAATAGCTATGGACATACAAGGGAAGGAAGGCGGAATCAGTGAGCATTGATGTTGGAGTCAAAGGATTGACTGGCTGATAAGCCTAGGAAAGTAGAGAATGGCTCTGATGATAGAAAAATAGGAAAGAGCCTCTTTGTGATGCAGTGTATTATTTCTATCTTTCCCATGTTTATTTTCATGACACAGTGGGATGTATAAGTAGTGATGAGTTTTAAGCAACAGAAATATAAATATGGAAAGATGAGCTTTCTAAGATTGTCAGTGAGGAGAGAGGAACCAGAAATACATTATTGCACTATGGGGTTAATGACAAAAGAAGGAAGAGGTAGAAAAGAAGGGATGGTGATCATTGTTTAAGTAATAGTTCAGGAAGATGGATAATGGAAAGGAATTCGGGGGAAATTTACAGGCAAAGTGGGAATATCTGCGAACCAGGTTGTTGGGTCCTAAGGAGGGAATGTGATTTGTTTCTTGGCTTTGTTTCTTAGATTTTATTTTCGTAAAATTTGCCTTTTTGTTTTGGATTTCTGGAGTTAATACTTCTGTTGCGTACTTTTCTTTGCCTCTATTTCTCCTCATACTTGTTTTCCACTCTTCCTCATGAAACATAATGTTTTTATCTGTTTTTCCTAATCCCAGTATAAATCTTGGCATCCACCTTTACAACACCTTGAACCAGATAAATTCTACAGCTTCTACTGCTCTGAGAACTATAGACATTTGTCAGAAACTGCCTGTGAGAGACCATCAGCTTTTTTCAGAGTGGGTAGGAGAATCTGAAGCTCTAGTGTGGTGCTTAATGGCAATGAAAACGCGTCAGTGTGCTTGATTTGGAAACAGGCACTGCCACTTACTAGCTAAGTGACCTTAGGAAAGTTATCTAACCTCTTACATCTCAGGTTCCTTATCTGTTAAATAGGAAGGACAATAATATTACCTCATAGGGTTTTCATGATGGTAAAAATAAAGAAAATATTTAGTGGTCTAGTCCATGGTAAATGTTATATGAGTGTTTGGTGCCATTATTATTGTTATTGTGTTCTTGTTATTCTGATGTATCAGTATATAGAGTTAAAACATGTGTATCGCTTAGGAATATATCCAACTTTTAGACCTAATTTTATTTTTTAGTATATTTGAGAAAGTTATCCTTAAAGCAGTTGCTTTTATTTTAAAAATAAAATGTTTAATTCTGTCTCTGTAAAGAATGGATAATGATTACATGAAAACATATTTCAGAAAGAATGGGGATAAGTAGCATTGTTTAAATCTAAAAATTATATAAATAACATGAAAGATACATGGGGAAAAAATTAGGCTACATATAGTGTTACAGTCATCAAAATGTACCATATTTAGCTTAAAATATTCTGCAATACTAACTGTTATATGGGAACCAATTAAAAAGGCATTCTTGAGGATATTTCATTTCTTATCAGGTAAATAAATGCTCTGCCCTCCATAAATCTACCACTATTTCATTTTGGGGAAGGTCTTGTTTTGATTTTCATTGATGCACAATAAAAAGTGACTCAAGTCAATTGTTTCCATTGTCTTTCCTATGTGTATTCATTTGTCATTTATTCTTTAAGTGACCTGCCTTCTGACAATCCTTCCAAGCTTCTTATAGTAGCAAGTATCCAATATGCTGACCTTACATCAAAGTTACTTTTTCTATTGTTTGATGTTATTATCTGTGCTTAAAAAATGACTCGTGTAAATATGTGTCGGTGTACATGTTAACATGGCATTTTCTAAATTGGGTGGCTTTGTAACACATCTTCCTCAATTTAAGCAAATACTGCCTCAAAATATCTTTTAAAAAAGCCTCATGTATGGAGGTTGCAGTGAGCTGACATTGAGCCACTGCACTCCAGCCTGGGCGACAGAGCGAGACGCCATCTGAAAAAAAAAAAAAAAAAAAGCCTCATCTAGCAGTTTACAGCAGATGATCTGTGTAAGACAAAATTAATAGCTGTATCTGGAGTACTCTAAATGTGGATTTATACACTAACCTATATATTGATCAATTCCTCTATGCTTGCTTTGGTTTTGAGCAAATTATATTTAAATAAGTTTGTTGCTAGGAATGTCTTAAAAAGCTACTCACCCTTTTTGTTAGAAGTAAGTAAAATGATTATGTCAGGACCTGCCATTAACTTGGTATAGTACGAATATATCCTCAGAATACTGATAAAATGGTATGTCTTGAAACAAATCACAAACTGTCAATATGTTGGTGATGAATTTCTTCTGTTTTCATTTGGATCAGTAGGTGGGGCAGTTCACCAAGTGTGAGATCGACATTTAATGTTTTCATGAAATGCAAACCCATCAGTGGCTAATTTGTGAAAAATAGATGTTGGGCTTTTCTTAAGGCTAAATTGTTCCCATTTGTTTTAGAGAACAACTCACTTAGCCTATGAGTTTATGCAATTTGGCAGAAAGTGAAAACATATTTGGAAGTATTGAAAGTCACTCATTGTTGATCTTTTATATTGGAATGCCAAGGTTGCATCATCAGAGTGTCGTTATGAAAAAAATCAAATAAAATTAGAAGAAAGAATCAGCCTTCTTTATAAACAGAGAGATACTATATATTTTAGGCTACTGATCTTTACTGTGTCTGTATAAAACGTTGGTCATGTTGATGGAGTTTATGCTTTCTCTCTTCAGGTTCATTCTGACATGTCAGGATATGGAAAGTCCTTTTTTCCCCCCTTAATAGTTTGAGACTGTAGCCACTGTTTCCAGAATGGAGTGCTATTGATACCTTTGACAAGTTGCTTGCCACAAAGAAAATTGCTCAAAAGGAGCTGCCCAATTCTTAGCTGCTATGTATTTAACTGTTGTCACGGCTTCTGTTGTTTCCAAGCTGTCCCACCATAATGTAATTTGTTTTAATCTCTTAAAGTATATCATTGCTTACATCATTATGCCCATCTACTTTGTTTATAGCTGCCTCAGCTCATGCTGCAAGTCTTCATGGTTGTGTGATAAGAAAGAGAATATATCAGTTTCACGGAGAAACGTGGTGGTGGTCTAGTCTTGCTGGTTAATGTTGAATGTGACTATTTTTTAAATCCTTGGCACGACTGGCAGTCTGTGAGGTGTGTCACGGGCCTCCATCATGGTGGTGGGTATGAAGCTGTGCACTACTTCTGTTTTTAACACCTTCCTTGGAGCTGCCTGAAGAAAATTGCAGGAATTTTTTAGGCACATCTACTGGAAAGTGCTTATTTTAATATTTGTCAACATAATTACCAGAAAACATTAACCCTGAAGTGTGTCTCTCAATACAAACTTGATAATCACTAAATATTTTTAATATAGGCCTTTGAGGAAAACATCGTAAATATCATTAGTCTTATTTTTCTCTATGAATTTTATTTACTATACATTAGTTGTTTAGAATTATCTTTTTTCTCCTTTGTTTGATGGTAGTGAGAGAAGAACACTACTTTTTGGAAGATTATAAATAGTACATTAAGTGAAAGGTCATAAATACTGTAAAACTTCAATAAAGCACTGGGCAACAACATGAATTCACATATGCATTGAATGGGGAGGAAGAGTTAGGAAGTGACCCTCAAGAATTTGGGACCTTCTTTGTTCATTTTACAGTCATATATGTTCAATGTAAGTTCCACTGTCCTTGTTTTAATGCTTTCATGAGATGATATAGATAAATTGAAATATATGGTTTTTAACTAAATTCAAGATAACACAAGTCTCCATTTTATGTAATTTAATTTTTTAGACTCCACCTGTGATCTTATGGCGCAGCTCGATGGCAGTTGGAGGTGCAAGTGATTCCCAATAATGAATCACCTTTCAAATGTTTCAATGATGATGTGATAGAAAAGACAGCTGCAGTAGTGTGACTTAAAAAGAAATTACCTGACTGCCCTTTTTTCCCAATTACTGGCACAATCTTCATGAAATCCAAATAAACTTAATAGAAGGAGGAAAAGCCATGTGAGTGGAGCTGACCTGCCACAAATTAATTATACTTAGTACTTTGTGCCAGCATGGCATGGTGGAGAGCCAGGACTCGAGAGAAACACATAAATATAGCAGGATCTTAGTTGCCTAGGTGAGCAAGGAAATTGCTGCTTGCAAAACATGTTGGAAGTTATTAGTTAGCATAAGATGTTTTAGCATTTGCATTTATTAATCTGACTTATGCATTTAAAATATGTTTCTGTATTTTACAAGACCAGATCTGGAGGAGGCTAAATGCCCCAAGTTTCCTTTCACACCAACATCATATGCTCATATATATTCAGTTGATTAATTATTTTAAATAAAGTGCAGCTGTCTTGTCATGTTAACAGGCCTCTAATTTTATTTGCCTATTCATATGTGAAACAGGAGAGGCTAGCATCTTAAAAATTCAGTGTAAAAGTTTATATGTACATGTTTATTTTATAACATTTTGGGGTGATTTTTAAAAATTATTTTTCAGACATTGTCAAATAAGGTAGTAAAACAAGATTCAGGTATTATTGGTTCTTCATTTTTATTTTTATGAGAAGTACTGCATTTGCTTTGCTGCTATTGCGACAGCATTGCCAGTAGACCAACATATACCACATATACTTTTGCTTTTAAATCCTGCTTAAGATACATTGATTTTAATAGAGGAAATTAGTGATATATTAAAAACCCATGAGCTTAATTAGCCATTCACGAATGACTAGTGCTATATTCTATTTGTTATTGTTTTAATTAACAGACTACTTTTTAAAGAGCATTTTAGGTTTACTGGAAAATTGCATGGAAAGTCCTATGTATATGCTCATCTCCTCCCTGCTCTCCAGTTTCCCCTATTATTATCTTGTATTAGTGTGGTACATTTTTTACACAATAATCAATATTGGTACATTACTAAAGTCCATAGTTCAGAGTTTACTCTCTGTGTTATATAGTTCTATGTGTTTTGACACATCATGTATCTACCATTTTAGTATCTTACAGATGGGTTTCACTGCCCTAAAAATCTTCCGTGCCCTACCTATTCATGCCTTCATTCCTCCCTCCAAACCCCTGACAACCACTGGTCATTTTTCTGTCTTCATGGTTTTGCCTAAATCTTTCCGGATTCTTTCACTGAGCTTCTGCTTCTTTCACTGAGCATTTAAGGTTGTTCCATGTCTTCCAATGGCTTGAAATCTCATTTCTTTTATCGTTGAATAACATTCCACCGTGTGGATGTACCAGCACCTACCAAAGGACATCTTGGTTGCTTCTAAGTTTTAGTAATTATGAATAAAGCTGCCATAACCGTTTGTGCTCAGGTTTTTCCTGTGTGTGTGGATATAAGTTTTAAACTCATTTGGATAAATACTAAGGAGTATGACTGCTCAATCATGGTAAGAGTATGTTTATTTTTATATGGCTGGTGCTACTTTATCCCTATCCCTCCAGTTTTATTTTGTTTTGTTTTTTGATATCGGATTAATAGAATTGAACTAATCACAATCCCTTTGTTCTTAACCCACTCTTATCATTGATTTGAGGGTGACTTTTTATTTAATTAGTTATTTATGATAATATAGTAAGTACTTCTGACCTCACCACCCAATACAAAATCTAGATCCTTGACAATCACATATTTCTTAAGTGTGTGTACTCCTTTGCATATTCCTTGCCTCCCCTAACCTGAGGCCAGTGCTATTTTAGTTTTAAATTTAATAATGTTTCCATATATATATTCTACATATATGGATGGAATTCTAATATATATACGGAATATATATATTCTAAGAGTTCAATGATTATTTAAGACATACTTCTCTAGAATAATCATCCAAATAATTTAAAACAAGATTTTGCCTCTGAATATGTAATAGGCATTAATAGATTTTCACTTGGATTTTCTAACATTAGTTTTTATCCATTTTGATGCCATTCCTAGTATTAATGATAAATTTTTCATTGGCAATATAAAAAGAAAGTCTTCTGCTAAAAAAACTAAGGCTGTTAGTGAAGTTATAAAAATCACAAAAGACTAGGATTGTCGCATCATTATGTGAAACAGATCCTTGGGGGAATACATCAGATTGTAATGCCACGACTCCTGTATTTTAAATCTACCTGCACCCTAAAGCTAATGGCAATAATGCCATTTCAACTGAAACATCAACTGGATTAAAAAAAATCCTAAAGGACAAGGAAAATTCAAGCTCTTGGCTATGCAGTGCTGCAGTTGACCCATTCACTTCTCTGTTCAGGTAATCTAGTTAACACAGGCTTCAGTATCAATTCATTTTAACAAAGGATGGTTAATGTCATTGTTTGTAACATTTTCTAGTGAGAATAAACCTGAAGCATACTATATAAATAAGCCCTTGCTTGCGCTGACTCAGGAACACAATTCTTAATTTACTTAGTGCTCTCTGCAGCTACTTGTGTATGTGTGTGCATGTGTGTGTGCATGTAGGTATATCTTATGGAACTTGCTTCTAATTAACAATACATTAGTCCTCGCTACTTCTAATTAGCAATGCGGTAGCCCTGCCTTATCCACAGGGGGATATAAAACCCACAATGAAACTGCGGATAGTACCGAACTCTGTAAATACTATGTTTTTTTCAAATACGTATGTATTTACAACAAAGTTTAATTTGTAAATTAGCCATAGTAAGAAACTAACAGCTATAATAATAAAGTAGAACAATAAAAACAGTATGCCAGCATCACTACTCTTGTGCATTAGGGCCGTTATAAAATAGGGTTACTTGAACACTAGCATGTTACCTCTACAGTTGATTTGATAACCAAGACAACTACTAAGCGACTAATGGATGAGTAGCATACACATTGTGGATATGCTGGATGAAGGAATGATTTATGTTCCAGGCGGGATGGAGCAGGACACTGAGAGATTGTATCATGTTACTCAGAGTGGTACACAATTTAAAACTTATGAATTGTTTATTTCTGGATTTTTCCATTTAATATCTTTGGACTGCAGTTGACCATGGGTGACTGAAACTGTAGAAAATGAAACCATGGATAAGGAGGGACTATTATAGTTAACTTTTGGACATGTGGTGTTTGTAGTAGCAAGGTGATTTTGCAGTTGTACTCATTATCACCTACTGACAAATATTATTATATATAAGGAAGATTATTTAAGCCATCCAAGAGGAAGTTGCAAGTAAGATGGACATTACTCTTGGTTTCTTCAGATGTTCTTAACTCTTTGAGAAGTAAAAAGTCTGTCTTTACTCCAGAAGGTAAGATCTTGCTGGATGGGGACCATCTTTCATTCCTCTTAGTGTCCTTAGGGACTTATGCAAAGAAAGACTTTTTTTTTTCCTTTTTGAGAGGGGATCACACTCTGTCACCCAGGCTGGGGTGCAGTGGCACGATTACAGCTCACTGCAAGCCTTGACCTCCTGGGCTCAGGTGATCCTCGCACCTCAGTCTCCCGAGTAGCTGGGACTACAGGTGCATGCTACCACGCCCTGCTCCTTTTGGTAATTTTTATAGATTTGGGTTTCACCATGTCACACAGGCTGGTGTCGAACTCCTGGCCTCAAGAAATCCACCCGCCTTGGCTTCCCAAAGTGCTGAGATTATAGGCGTGAGCCACCAGCAAGAAAGTCTTAAGTATTATTGCTGTATGAATGGATGTTGAGAGCTTCGAGTAATGTGTTTAGACTTAATATTACAAAAGACTCTCCTAAAGAGCAAAGAATATAATGTGAATGACGTAAAGGTGTATAAATGAAATTAATAATTAATAAATTAATGAAAAGTATAATAATTTTGAAATATAAGGAATAGTTAATAAGTAGAATAGTAATAGAAATGATTAGGGAAAATAAGTCATTGGTTATTAATATGTGAGTACATTTGATAAAGAAACACGCTCTGAGGCTTGGTGAGTGGAATGTACTGTATGAATTTACACTATAGTTCCCATTCAGGAAACAGTGACTAAGCACTTCCTTTGTGCGGAGTACTTTCCCTTGTTCTGGGGTTACAAAGAGGAAATTATATGATTATTGTCATCAGGAATCTTATAGTATAATAGATCATCGTGCCTATAAAGAAACAGTCTAATAAAACAGTTGTTATAATGGAAGCATTTGCTAAGTGTCAAAGCAATGGGAATAACAGGGAAAGAAAACCTAAGTCTGCATTACTGGAGGTGAAGCTGTGAACTACTGATAGAGAGTAGGATCTATTACTGGACTGGGAATCAGAAGACCAATTTATAATCCCAGCTCTGTACTTTCTAGCCCTGACATCAAGCAAGTCAATTTACTTCTCTGAACCTTTTTCCTTCAATGTAAAGTAAGGATAATAATATTAGGTCTATCTAGTTTTAGGATTATATTCAGGATAATGAGTAACTGTGAAAATGGTTAGCCTATAAAATGCTATGTGCATTTGCATATAAGCTGCTTTCACTGTTGACAGTGTGTGGTGTTGTCCAACCTGACCACCTTTGTTTGGAAGATGGCGTGGTACTATTTTTCTTCTGGTAGGTGGAATAGTAAAAGTTCAGCTGTGAAGGTTAATTTTTGGGGAAGAAGACCTGCATTAATTCTCCAGGTAGATGTCTATACACAAATGTAAGCTTTTTATTTACAATGTAAGTTATTTACATTGTTAGCTTTTTCTCTGAAAATGTTTCAAAACTATTGATGAGCATTTTATTTTTAGTAAAGTTATTTCATTATAAAATTAATACTTAGTTGTGGAAAATCTGGAAATATCATTGGCAAATTTGGAAAAAAAAATTGTATACATCAAAAAATTATTGTCATCTGGAATTCTGACATCCCAAGATAATTATTTTTAACTTTTAAATAATATTCTCAAAATTCATCTCATCAGAGAGATTTATGTTCCTTAAAATGTTAGTATGTTGCTGGGCATGGTGGTTCACACCTGTAATTCCAGTGCTTTGGGAGGCTGAGGTAGGAGGATTGTTTCAGCTTAGGAATTCAAAACCAGCCTGGGCAACATAGGGAGACCCCATCTCTACAAAAACTTTAAAAATTAGCCAGGTGATGCACGTCTGTAGTCCTAGCTACTTGGGAGGCTGTGGCGGGAGGATTGCTTGAGGCCAGTAGTTCAAGGCTTCAGTGAGCTATGATCACACCACTGCACTCCAGCCTGGGTAAAAGAGTGAAACCCTGTTTCTTTATGTACTATAGGGATATGTTAAGTATTTGGCAATTACAAATTTTATTCACATCTAGACATTTATTTGATAATTTGGGTTTCTAACTCTTATTAGTAGTTTGAAATTATTTATTATAATGTTTTGTCATTGGAAATAATGCAGATTTTATTTTCAGACTTTAATTACTTTATCTTGGATATTAGACTTGCTATTCTTATTCTTTCTTTGTTTCTAATATTTTCTTTCTGTTTAACTTCATTCAAAATTTCATGGTTTGGGTATCATTCTGTACACCTATGAATTGATTTAGATTATTTTAAAGAGTATACCAATAATACTTACAAACACATATCTAGTGCTTGCTATGTACCAGACACTGCTCTAAGTGTTTAATGCACCTGGACTAATTCTAACAGTAACCCAATGAAAACTAATATTTTCCTCATTTTATAAATGAGAAAATCGAAGCGTAAAGAGCTTAAGTAAATTAACCAAGGTCACACAGCTAGTAAGTGGGAGAGCTAGAGTTCATACCCACACTGTCTGGATTCATAGCTCAGACTCAACTCTTTCATCATAATGCACCTCTTGACTTACAGGACATTTCGTTAGTGACAAGAATTTCCAAATGTGGCATTTCATTTTCTGTTCTAAGTATTTTTTAGGACAGTATATTGGAAGCAGATTTGCATTCATACCTATAGAAGTAAGAATGTAGTCATTAAGGGAAAAGATTATACCATGTTGCTATAAGAGATATTTTAGATTCCGTGTTTTCTTTGCAATTTACCTTTTACCTATATAAATAGTTCAAATACCTTATCTTAGCAGTGATGCTACACATAAAACATGTTTTATTAAAACATAGCTAAAGATGACAAACCTGCTTCAATATTACCAAAGAAAATCAGATTACATTTGGAATAAATAATCAACAGGCATTCAAAAATATGTAAGTACATAGTTCAGTCTTGCAAGTTATAGTCTATCTAAAAATATATAGGTAAGTAGTAGTCTGGGAAGAAATTATAGCCATCTGCAATACAGTGAGATGGATACTAGGGGTTTTCTTACATATCAACTCATGCAAGAAGATACTGATATTGTTTCTTTAGATTATATGGGCTAATCAAAGCAAATTAGAAAACTTTACACTTTTAATTTACATTTAAGGTATTTTACCTGGAAAAATATTTCGATTTTATGTGTAGATTTTGCTAAAAATATGATATTGCATTTAATGTTATCAGTTAATGTTACCAAACTCTTCTAAATGGAGAAATTCTGTGAGATCCCTGGTGTCTCTAAAACATTTGGTAATACCTTCAAATGAACATCCAGCGTATTCATATCTACACATATTCCAGAGCCAGTGTCTCTAAAACAGATAGGGATTCAGATCATTCCCACATCAGAGAAAGACATGCTTTAGTCTGTGTAGGTTAGGGAGGCAAGAGTCACCCTCTTTGTGTGTGTCAGTGATTTATCACTCTTCCACCCAAAAGAAGGCTTGTCCTCTTTCCCTCAACCCTGTTAGTGCTTGGGGGTTTGTGTTCAAACATAAATTTTGTCATAGCTATACTATAGTAGCAGACATGAATAGATTCACTTATATTTCCATTTATTTCTCCTGAGTATGATCTGATTAGAAGAGGTAAAGAAACAAAGCAACTAGCCAATATGAAAGGCATATCATTAAAGCCAGAATAAAATCTGACTGTTCTTGATTTCCATCTCAAAATAACTGATGTCTTTCCTAAGTTGAGAATGACCTGATCTGTTAAAAACAGATTAACTCATCAATTCTGACCAAATCTTCTTAAGAAGGCTAATAGGCTTCTGTTGACTAGACACCATTCCCTGTTTCATTTTTCTGATATCCTGGATGGGGGTCGGAGTGTTGTTATTCCTGAGAAAATCGATATATCACTGTATTGGAAACGTTTGCTTGTGGTAGCAACAGTCTTGATGTTTGATCATGTTAGGTTTTATGAAGTGTTGATAGATTTAGCTCCAGACTTAAGAGTTACCTACCCAGGCTGGGTGCGGTGGCTCACGCCTGTAATCCCAGCACTTTGGGAGGCCGAGGTGGGCGGATCACTTGAGGTCAGAAGTTTGAGACCAGCCTTGCCAACGTGGTGAAACCTGTCTCTACTAAAAATACAAATATTAGCTGGGTATGGTGGCATGCACCTGTAGTCCCAGCTACTCCTGAGGTTGAGACAGGAGAATCGTTTGAACTCGGGAGGCAGAGGTTGCAGTGAGCCGCGATTGAGCCACTGCACTCCAGCCTGGGTGACAAAGCAAGACTCTGTCTCACACACAAAAAAAGAGTTACAGCCGGGCGTGGTGGCTCAAGCCTGTAATCCCAGCACTTCGGGAGGCTGAGGCGGGCGGATCACGAGGTCAGGAAATTGAGACCATCCTGGCTAACACGGTGAAACCCCGTATCTACTAAAAATACAAAAAAAATAGCTGGGCGTGGTGGCGGGCCCCTGTAGTCCCAGCTACTCGGGAGGCTGAGGCAGGAGAATGGCGTGAACCCGGGAGGCGGAGCTTGCAATGGGCCGAGATCGCGCCACTGCACTCCAGCCTGGGCGACAGAGCAAGACTCCGTCTCAAAAACAAAACAAACAAACAAACAAACAAAAAAACAAAAAAAAAGTTACATACCCAGAGATCAATTGAGAATGCAATAATCTCTAAAATAAATCATTACTTTTTAGTAGTCTAGAAATCATGTGGTAATATTAATTTTTATAAGTGGTAGAACAGAGTAATAAACAGTTTCAGCCATCTTTCTCCTAAGTCTCAGTTAAGAGTTTCTCCTCCATTGTGAAAGCTGAAAATGGGAAAGAACCTATTCTTCCTGTCTAAATGTTGATATCCTTGGACTCTAGGATCCAGTAGAGACTTAGGTATCAACACCAAGTATGGCATTACCTTACAACACTCCAAACAGACCCTGATTCATAATAGTCTGTGCTCTTGCCTGAAAACTTTATATATGAACATGGATATGTTTATTTGAAGGTATGTTTAATATGGGCCATGAGGACATTATGGTTACCTAACTGAGGATAGAGATAATAAAAGCATTTTAGAATCATTGTAATCCAAACTTGAAAGTAGAAACTTCACTTTAAAAAGCAAGATAGTTTATATTTTGATAGTGCTCCCAAAAGTTGAAGATTGTTCTTATGGGGACTCATATTGTTGCATAGTTGTTAGTAAAATACCATTTATAATACAAGTTCTGTTGCCATTTGGTTAGGAAATAAAAAGTAACCAATGTAGTAAATGCTCAATAAATATATTTTGATTATTTGTTGAATGCATTAACATATAATTGTAAAAAAAGTAGAAAGCACAAATCTTAGATGGAAAGGATCATAGAACTGAAAACATAATATAATTATTTTGCAGTACATCTGAGTTATATTGTGATGTACTTTCCTAACCAAGTCCAAATTAATCAGGAGCTCTGGGAGAATCATCCCTAGAAACAATGCCTTTAAATAGAGGGTCAGAGGAATTTTCGTATTTCTGGATTTCAAACTGCAGGTGGCTCTCTTGATCTTTCAGTTCTGAATTTAGGTTAAAGACTGCTGTTCTGCCTTCTTCCTGTCCTTGTTACATCCAGACTATCAGACTTCCTGTTGAAACACTGATAATTGTCTTATTATTGGATTGTAAGCAACATCGCTTTTTCTCACATGTAGAAGATAGAGTTTTTTTTGTTTGTTTGTTTAACAAAATATATTGCTTGGCCTTCCTTTAAAATGGCTCTGATTTGCCTTTGCATGTCTTGTGTGAGGAGTTGCTAAGTATCAATGGCATTGTTGATAATGCTTGTAAAATAGCATATCAGTATTCTAGCATTATTTTAAAAGAACAAAAAACAGGTGATTCTAATCATTTTCCTTCCTCTCATTTTCTGGGTAGCATTGCTGTTTTATCTCATAATTTATTTTGTACACATCTGGTACTACAGGAATTTTAGGAGTCCCAAAATGAATATGAAAACCTGTTGATACAACTTTAGGTGGAAACCTAAGCCTTATCTGTCCTTTTATTCATTCTGATGGTTATTTTAAAGAAATTGCTGGATACCATTGAAGTATAGAGATACAAATATTTTTATAAATTATGTGCCGAAGTAAATTATAAATCACATGGCTTATAGTGTGGATTCTTAAATTATCAATCATATCACTTCATATTTTTATAAGCTGAATATCTAATTCTTTTGCAAAGTAAGTTACGTGCAACTGCTACCTTTTAAAATAATAGATAAATCTAAAATATGGTGGGTGATAAAGTGCTAAAAAGATACTTCTTAGCAATACTTAATTGTGTTACAACTGTAAGCACCAACAGCCAAAAGATTGTTTGCAATAAAGACCTTATACTAAGACATTCATCAAGTAATAAAATATAACCTCAAATGTCTAATTCTAAGTGATATGTGCCTTATAAATATACTTGTAGTAGTGCTACAAAAAAGGCACAGATACCAAACTGACCTTAAAAGTGGCACATGTGGCGTTACTGCAGCTGGGCTATTGTCTTGGAGATTCACAGAGGAGGCCTCCCAGGAATTATTTGTATGTTCCTTTTGTGTAAAGTTTTTGTCTGGAAAGTCGCTGTGCAAACAGTAGCTGTTCCATAGCACCTGCTTCTGTTGAGGGAGAGTGAGTCTTTTATTTAGAGAGCATCGGTAGCCATTTCATTCATTACTGCACAATGGACTTACATAAAGAGCAGCATTCCAATGACGCCAAAAGAAACCAGAGCTTCCAACACGCTGAGGCGCTTGTAAACATTGAGTCTCCCTATGTTTCTTTCTAAACTTTTCTTGCAATTACATCCAGGTCTTTATTTTGAGGAAAAAAATAATTGATTCAGAGCAATAATAGGAAAAGTTATAAACTGCAATTTTTAATTTAAAAAGCTGTATTATGTAAAATGCTGTGGCAATGTCATATATAAGCTTGGTCATTTACATAATTATTGCTTTAATCTTCTTAAGGTATTAGAAAATTAATTGCATTATAGAAATAAGGATGCCAAAATATTTCATAGAATTTTTTTTAATGGTCATGGAATTGTTTTCAGTGTGCCTATCTTCCTAACATTTAAATGATTTTATTATTTTCGTGGCCAATCATCTTCAATATGATGTCAATATCCAGTGCATCTGCTACTTTCCAGCCCTTTCATTGACCCCTGGCAGTGTGGTACCCATGTTTGTTACTCTACTGAAACTACTCTCTCTATTGCCTCTAGTTCCTACCTTCTAACCTTTTCTCTCAGCTATTATCATTCTTCATCTTTATGTTTGATAAGACCTTCCTGATACATCTTCTCTTGGTTTTGTTTTTGTTTTTCAAGAAACCTGTACCCATTAGCAGTCACTCCTCATCTTCCATCCTCAAACCCCTGCCCCTGTCAATCACTAACCTATTTTCTGTTTCTATGTATTTGTCTATTCTGGACATTTCATATAAATGGAATTACATAATCTGTGTTCTTTTTGTCTGGTTCCTTTCACTTAGCTTATGCTTCCAAGGTTCATCCGTGTTGTAGCATATATCAATACTTCATTCCTTTTTATGGCTGAGTAGTATTCGGTTGTATGATATACCACAGATGGTTTATCCGTTCATCAGTTGATGGACATCTGGGTTGTTTCCACCTTTTGGCTATTGCAAATAGTGCTGCTATTAGTGTTCCTGTACAAGTACTTGTTTGAATGTGTCTTTTGAATTCTACTGGGCATGTATCGGTATATATCTAGGAGTGGAATTGCTGGGTCATATAGTGATTCTGTGTTTAACATTCTGAGGAACTGTCAAACAGTTTTCCAAAGTAGCTGTACCATTTCACATTCCCACTAGCAATGTAAAAGGGTTCCAGTTTCTCCATATCCTTTGCAACACTTGGTATTGTCTGCTTTTAATGTTAGCCATCCTAATGAGTATGAGAATATTATGGTTTTATTTGCATTTCCCCAGTGGCTAATGATTTCGAGCAGCATTTCATTTATTTATTGCCTATTTGTATATCTACTTTGCAGAAATAGCTATTGAGATCCTTTACTTTTTTCTTTTTCTTTTTTTTTTTTTTTTAGTGAGACAGGATCTTGCTCTGCCACCCAGGCTGGAGTGCAGTGGCACAACCTTGGCTCACTGCAACCTCCACCTCCCAGGCTCAAGTGATCCTCCCATTTCAGCCTCCTGAGTAGCTGGAACTACAGGCACATGTCACCACACCTGGCTAATTTTTGTATTTTTTGTAGAGATAGGGTTTTACCATGTTGCCCAGGCTGGTCTCCAATTCCTGGGCTCAAGCTATCCACCTGCCTCAGCTTCCCCCTTTACTCATTTTTAATGGGGTCATCATTTTATCATTGAATTGTTGCAGATATCTCCCATTCTCTGGGTTGTGTTTTCATTTTCATGTTAGTGTCTTTTGAAACACAAAAGTTTTAACTTTTATTAAGCTAAATTGATCTGTTTTTTTAATTGTGCTTTTAATGTCATATTTAAAAAACTGTTGCCTAATCTAAGGTCACAAAAATTTATACCTCTGTTTTCCTCTAATAATTTCATTGTTTTACCTAACTTCATTTTTTTTCCATGTGGCTATCCAGCATCCCTGCACCATTTGTTGAGTCTATTCTATTTCATAATTGTCACCCTTATCCAAAATTCATTGACTGTAAGAGATTATTTCTGGATTTTTATTTTTATTCCATCAAACTGTATGTCTATCTTTATGGCAGTACCTCAATGTCTTGATTACTATAGCTTTATAGTAAGTTTTGAAATTGGCAGGTGTGTGTCCTCTACTTTTTTCTTCTTTTGATACATACTGACCTACTTAGTCTTCTGCTTTCTTATGATGATCAGCTTTTCTTCCCACTAGTTTGTGACTCAGGTTCCTTTTTAACATTCTTCAATGGTTTCCATCACACCAAGCACCGACCACCATTACCTTCTCTGATGGTTTCATATGATCCCATTTTCTTCACTTAGAAAAATATTCACAGAGTCACAAATCCTGTCTAATTAATTCATATTTATTAGATGAGGAATAAGAAATGGAGGAAAAAGTCAAAAATCTTAACACAGTTTTTAACCACCCCTGGGTTGCCCACTTAACATCATTCAAATCTGCAGCAAAACCATAGAGGAGACTAAGGTAGTAGGGATGGAGAAGAGAAATTTTTGAGAAATCCTCAAAAGGTATAATTAACGAGACTATTATTGATAGAGAAATAATTGGGTACTGGAGAGAACAGTAAAACAAGTCCATTTTGCTATATTTTGGCAAAAATTATAATCACAGCTATTTTCTTTTTTTTCTACTAATAATTGGATGGTTATGTTTAAGAACAGTATGACAAAATATCATTTTAGTTGAAAGTGCTAAAGGATGATACAAATATTTTTGATGGTTTTGTTATACTTACTAGTAATCTAATATGACAGTATTATGCGTACATGTACCATGCCTTCTCGTGGGATACAAGCTATATTTGGCAGCAGGGGGAAATAACAAATCACAAGAATAAAGAGCTCATATTTTTACATTCATATTTTCAGAATGACTTTAGTGTTTCCCCTTGTGTTTCCCATGTGTGTTTCAAATCACCTTATTCAATTTTGCTATCTCTGACTCAGATATAGTGTACTATACATATATAATCTGTCATCAGTTTCATTTTTAAGTGGAAAATTACATTAACCTCTGGATTTTCAGTGAAATGTTTTTCATGGCACTATGAAAACACAATAGTGTAAATTGTACCATGTTGACATAGCTAATTATTCAAAACTGGGTCATGGCTTAAATTGTAGTGAGTAGAAACATACGCTTAAAATAATTGTAAGCCAATAACTATACTTTAGAGACTTTGTGCCTTTACTTGTCATATTTTTGAGACTCGATTTGATTTCCTGTTTAGTTTAACAAATTATTTTACTCAGGGCTTTACAATATCTGTCCAGCTCATTAGTTGTTACTTCTTTTACCCTTTTTATACTTGTTCTGGCTTTTCAAGGCTCACTGATTAACCACCCTTTGCAGCATTTCTCAGCCCTGGTGTGTTAGCTGAAGTCATACTACTTAGGGAGATTTTAGGTATTTTCTGTAAGTGATGTCCATGGGTGACTTTAGGGGAGCCATTTATGTATGGAGGCCACTGGCTATTGGAGCCTGACAAGAGGTCTCCATAACTAGTTTTCATCAGAATGCAAAATGATAAAATTTTGAGGAATAACCTTAGGCATTCATTGGAACCTATGGGGCGGGAGGGGGGGGGACATCCTAAACTGTGATAATAAAATACAGAAAGTTGGAAAAATAATGGAAAAATCTATAATTCTATAAACTTTACAGCCTACCTCAATGCACAAAAGGTGTTTATTATAGTATAATGTATTCCCATCTTTTGTTCAAGCATCATTCCATCAAGGGAATGCCCACTGTATTTAATCTTGTTAACAGTATGTTAATTGCAAGTGCTAGTTGTTTTTCTGCTTTCTTTTGTCAATTCACATTTATTAAATGCATACTTATTTTCTAGGCACTGTGCTGAATGCTAGGGGTACATAAATAAGACTCTGTGTCCTCGGGGAATGCAAGGATAGTGGGGAAGATAGATAGGTAATCAATTATTATCATAACATGTGTAAATGCCAGAAAAGAGAAGAGTAGGATATTGCAGGACCACAGAGGGGAGAAGGCCACCGAACTCCGATGAAGGGAAGTAAGCAAGAATTCCCAGTAGATGTTGATGCCAGATCTGAATTTCAAAGTCAGAATGGGAATTAGCCAATTGAAAAAGGATTGCAATAGCAAAAAATTCTAGACACAATGAGAGTACACATTGAGGCATGTGTTAAGGTTTGAGAAACTGTGGTGTTTTCAAGAAACTCTAAGTTGTTTGGTGTAAGTGATAGGTAGTGTACTTTTAGGGAAAGTGGTAAGAAATCAGGGCATAAAGGGATGAAGTTACCTACTCACTAATGGCCTAGCTTGCAGTATTTAGGAGTTTAGATTTTATTCTAAAACTAACATGGAATGAGAATATGTTAAGCAGAGAAGTAACACTCTCAGATTAAATAATTATAAAGATCACTCTGATTATGGTCTGAGAGATGTTTGGGACCTGGTTGGGGATGGAGAAGGGGCCATTTGGTCTTGAGGCAGAGACTAGTCTGGAGCTTCTTGCAATATAAATTGAGGCAAGACATTGCACATGTCATAAAGTAGTGAGAATAAGAGCTTTGTACATATTCTATATAGAGAAAAAGTACAAAATTTGGTTTTAGAACTTGATAAGGGCTATTATTTTACATTACTCAAATTACTAAATTACGGTTCTATTTCCTGAATTTATCCTTGTCATTTTGATTGGAATTTTGAGTGTTGGTTAGGCAATTTAGTGCCAGATCTTTGAACTGATCAGTTTAATGCCACTAGATAGCTATTAATAATAATAGCCATTATCTGTAGGCTTTTTTCTATTCTAATTTCCCTAATTTTTAAGCTCTTGGGGGGCCAGTGTGTTACCTCATTCTTGTCTCTTTTTACATCTATTACTGCTATGCTCCGCTTAAAAAAGCACTCAAGTCCACAAATCTTAGTGTAAAGGAAGTATTTCAAAGAGATTATCTCAATTACAAAAGAACTTGCATAAGTTTCCTGGAATATTTTTAAGAGAGTATATTATGAAAACTTAATTTTATTTGCACCCTTTGCCTAAAGGATGTACTGCTTTGTTTCAGAGAGTCTGACTTATGTGACTAACTACTTTGGCTCTTTTAAGTTTTCAGTTTTCCTCGAATAATTCAGTATCTCTATTGGGATCATTAACTGTTTACTTCACACAACCATTTACTAAAGACCTGGTCTACTCAAAGGACTATAATTCTAAGTAAGACAGTATGATGCCCTTAAGGAACATGTGTAAACCATTGTATGGTATCCTTCCCAAGGGTTCTGGATTCTGTATTTTGAAAGTCTCAAATTCACTGCCAGCCATCTACAAAGAGGTTGCTTCTTTTTCTGGTAGAAAAACAATTCCTAATATGCTATAAAAATTTTGTTGAGAATATTTGATCTTCAGATATAGTTAGGTTTCCATAGATACATCTAGACTAGATATCCATTCCGTGTCAAGAAATGAAAATGTGAGATTTTTATGAGCAAGATTAGCAAACAATTAAAACCAGTTTCCAACTTTAAATATTTGAAATCCTCACATTCACAGTGTACTTTTTTTCCTAAGTAAGATAATAGCGTCAGAGATCAGAAAGATGCCAGATCTAATAAACTAAGTCAGCTGCATTAGAATGCTAGTAAATGTCCTTTTGAAAGGTCATCTCCATTAGTCCTTTTGTTGCTCTCCTTATAGGGTTTTTCCCCCTCTTTCTCTCTCTTCTTTTGAAAATGGTCATAGCTTACTTTAGCTAAATAGAGAATTTTATGAATTATTTAAAGTCTCTGTATTTAAACAAAACAAAGCAATAGAGAATGTCTAAATAGTATAACAACATAAGTAAACACTTTCTTTAAAGATGTTTGAAAGAAAAGAGCTGGAAAACCAAAGTTACTGTCACAAGGATTGGTAAATTCCCTCAGGATAAGTTACTTTGTGGTACATATCAGTAATTTCTTTTTAAAGAGTTGCTGGATCAGTGTAAATTTTCAAACTCTAAATAAAACTATATATGTTCCATCTATGTCTTGATGATGATAAAGTTATGAGTAGATATTAATTACAAGCATCCTCAAAAGAAAATATACACTGGTATAAAGGGCCAACATGATTTTAACTTGCTCTTTTGATGATGACTTCTAATACTTCATGTCTATGTTGTTCCAGTAATTAGCATGAAGGAACTGCCCTGCCAGCTGGGAATGTCTTAAAGCCATCTTCTTATTATCTTTTAAGTTATTGATAATGTAACAGAGATTTTGAATTTAAAATATATAAATTCTGAAATCATTTTTTTTTGTAGAGCAGACATTGTTAGTGTGTGCATTTTTTTTTTTACTGTGACACTGTTTTATGAATTAAACTTAATAAAGGCAAGTACTTGTATTACTGCTAAAAATGAAAACCAAAAGGATCCAGATATTGCCAGATAGGATTTGGTCAGAATTATTTGTTTATAGAAATTAGGATTTTAAAAAGTCAATGAAAAATATAAGTGTTCCAACAAGCATTGTAGTCCACTTTTATTATTATGTATGTAGATAATTAACAGTTTCAATCATATTGTGAGTAGAAACGTATGTATGATATAGAGTGATCTTTAAAATAATCTACATGGTATATACAGAACAGATTTTTTTTAATGTTGTTAGCCTAAGGTTCCAAAAAATAGGAAAGTGGAAATCAATGTGGAATTGTCAAGTCTGCAAAATATCTTTCCTTGGGATTGTACAGAACTCATTCTAAAAAAAAAAAAAGTCAAAAACTTCATCCTGCAGCAATGTTCTTTCATGACTTAGGACTAGAAGAAAGAGAGAAATCAGACTACCATCATGTAACGATTTAAAAATTAATCCATACTTGAGACCCCTGTACCACTGAGTTTTTTTTAACATAACCTCCTCTTTTCTCGTATAAAAAAACTAGATTCAGAACATTACAGTTGAGGAGGAATATATTACCATTGTAACTACTGAACACTCTCTATTACTTAATTTTTTTAAAAGTGTGTATGTGTGGATTGGATACAGTAATCTAGGAAAGTCTCTGTGTAACAGTGAGCATGGTATTTTTCTAGACATTGTTGGTCTCAGAGGTCCCCATTAAAAAGAATAAGAGTTGCTACTTCTCAAACCTTGTCAGATACTGGGCATATTACCTGCATGCACAATGGAGGGTTTGAGGATACCAGTCTACCTTTGTGATAACCTTGTTTATACACTTACAAAACATATCGGCTAGTGTATGCATTATTTCTACAACACTACCACAGCTTTGCTTGTAAGATTTTGTAAGAAATACACAAGAGGAAGGAATCATAGGCCTTGGATTCTGAAATGTCTAATTCAGTCACAGTGATGCAGTGCTCAAATGAACTATAGCAGATTTAATGAGCAATCCAGGACAGAGACACATGTACTGGACACACTAGGGAAAGAGATTACGTGTACAGGGGCTAATTAGCATGAAATATGAATACATTCATATAAGTAGTCTTGATCTATGGGACGCCTTCATTATTGGGAATGATTTTTGCATGAAGTTAATGAAGAGAAATTCAGGAGTTATGCTGTATAAAGAATTTTAAAATAGTATTTTAACTTTTTGATTCTGCAAAGTCTCAATTTCTGGAGCAAAAAAGAAATTGCATATCATGAAATAGTATGAGCAAATGAATGTGGATCTATTTTCTACAGTGTCTAAAATATAACAAGGTGGGGAACAGTAGCTATCCTTCATTTAACTGATTAATCAACAAATAGACTTCAATCTCTTGAATTAGATATGTACAAGATATTGAGTGTCAGTTTGATATTTTAAATAAGGGAATGTGGTCATAGTGTATTCCAGAATATATACCTCTAGCCAGATAGTTGAAAGGCTTGGATTCAGTTTGTTGGGTATTCTAAGCATCTTTACCAAAGAAATCAGTCTTGAAGCAGGATTTAGAGAAAGAATGGATTTCGACTGGACATGGTGCCTCATGCCTGTAATCCCAGCACTTTGGGAGGCTGAGATGGGCGGATTGCTTGAGCCCAGGAGTTTGAGGCCAGCCTGGGTTACATGGTGAGACCCTGTCTCTACAAGAAATAAAAAAATTAGCTGAGCATGGTGGCATGCGCCTGTTGTCCCAGCTACTTGAGAGGTAGAGGTGGGAGGATCCCCTGAGACCCTGTCTCCAAAAAAAAAAAAAGATTTCATTTGTTTTAAGTTTGGTTAAGGCTTATAGGAAAAGGAGCCAGAGAAGTGAGAAGAATAATATTTGAAAATAGACCAGGATTGTAATATTAATTTGAATATCAGATACTTTATTCCATTTAAACAACAGTTTTATTCTAATTTGAGGTTTGAAATTTAACATATGAAAACTTGGAATTTAAAAGAATTTTTGATAAATGTTAAATATTGGAAGTTTGAGAAATTAAGCTGATTTTTGCCACTGCCCTTCAAAAAAGTTCAACATTGTATTGCTTAAATATGTGGCTATATTTATGTAAAATACACAATTAATATTAATATTTTATTATTTCGTATCTGACTTCAATACATTTTTATGTGCTTCCTGTTTGTGGATATCTTAGAAACTGCTACAGAAGTCAATATTCTTAGAAAATTCAGTAATTCAGAGATGTGAAATTAGAACAATAACAGCTTAAGTGGTTTATAAACAAAGATTATTTGCAAGAAATAGAATATTTCTGTGTAAGTTCATTGGGTTATGTGCCATCTAGCAGAAAAATAGGCTGTGTATGGTGTTTATGTTCAGTGTTCTCATGGTTGCCCATGGTACTGAACTCACACCTTTATATGTGCAAAATGTGTGTAAGTGAAGCAAGGAGTTAGTGGAGCTGGTAATCAGAATAGAATAGGAATGGGAATAAATTTAGAAGTGACCATCATTCTCTCTGTCCCAGCTTTGAACAAGTCAAAATGCACATGATTTTGTACATTTCATTATCAGGGCACCTTTTGAGAGAGAGAGTCGATTGACAAAAGATGGGTCGTAAATCAGACTAATTCTTTGTGTGACTGCTCTTTGCTTTATGGGAACATGTTTGACTTTAGGGACATAAACTTCAGGGAGGTGCAATAGGTAGATGACAATCATTAAAATAGCAGAAGACACTTGCTGAGTGTTGAGCATTTAAATTGTGCTAAATAATGTGCTGGATGAGTTTACCTAAGTCTCCTCATTTAATGCTAGCAGATTCCTTGTAAGATATAGGTACTATTTTTTTTTAATCTCAGATTTATAGTTGAAGAAACAAAGGTTTAAGGAGATAAGTATTTTGCTTGAAGTTACACAACTTTTAAGTGGTAGATCCAGTATTCAAATCTGAATCATTCATACAATTGAATGTATACCTCATTTAATTTAGTAATATATTATTCTTAAACATTGAGAGTAACAAAAGTTCCTTTTGAATCCGTTTTTCTATTTAGCTAGGCAATAAGATGGCCTCATTTCATCTTTTGTGTACTTTACTGTAGTACAGCTGTGAGAAAATCATACTAGGCTTTCTGCTGGTTAGATCTCAGACATATATGTATATTTATCTCCTGCTGCCTGTCGAAGCACTTTTTGCTCTTGCAAATGCCTGTAATCTGGCCTGTATGTCCTCTGTCACTGTAGGTTCCACAAAATAGGGTCTCTTTCCTTCCTGCAAGCATTGCCTTGGGGGATATTTTCATGTTTCCTTTTGTGTTCATTCATGGCATGTATGTTCATTTTATACCATTTAGGAAGCATGAGAGATTTTAAAAAGGTCTCTTGAATTTATATGACGCAATTGCAATTTAGAAGTAACCATCATTCTCTCTGTCCCAGCTTTGAACAAGTCAAAATGCACCTTAACGTTTTATTCATTTTGCTATTCTTTCAGTGATGGTTTCCCTATGTCTGCGGTTTTTCGTTTTTTACTGTGTGTGTATCCTTATATTTTTATAAGTACTTTATTCTGGTATGTAGTATATACTATAACCTGCTTTTTGAATCTAATATTTATTCTTGGAACATAAACTAATATTCTGCAAATACATGATTTTATTGGCTCTATAAAACTCCCTTGTAAGAATATACTATGATTTATTATCATTATTTTTTAAATTTCAATAGCTTTAGGGTAAAATTGGTTTTGGATTACACGGATGAATTACATAGTAGTAAAGCCTGGGCTGTTAGTATATACATCACACAGATAGTGTATATTGTACACAATAGATACTTTTTCAGCCCTCATCCTTCTCCCAACCTACCCCCTTCTGAGTCTCCAGTGTCGATTATCCCAATCTGCATGCCCCTGTGTACCCATAGCTTAGCTCCTACTTATAAGTGACAACATGCAGTATTTGGTTTTCCTTTCCTGAATTACTTCACTTAGGATAGTGGCCTCCGGTTCCATCCAAATTGCTACAAGAAATGTTATCTTGTTCTTCTTTGTGGCTGAGTCGTATTCCATATACACACACACACACACCACATTTTCTTTATCTGCTCATCAGTTGATGGGCACTTAGGTTGGTTACATATCTTTGCAATTGTGAATTGTGCTGTGATAATCATACAAGTGCAGGTATCTTTTCGATATGACTTATTTTCCTTTGAGTAGATATCCAGTAGTAGGATTGTTGGATCAAATCATAGATCTTTTAGTTCTTTATGAAATCTCCATACTGTTTTCCATAGTCATTTTACTAATTTACATTCCCATCAGCAGTGTAAAAGTATTCCCTTTGTACCACATCCATGCCAGCATCTATTGTTTTTTGACTTTTTTTTTTTTTTTTTCTTGAGACGGAGTCTCTCTCAGTCACCCAGGCTGGAGTGCAGTGGCGTGATCTCGTCTCACTGCAACGTCTGTGTTTTTTGACTTTTTAATAATGGCCATTCTGACTGGGATAAGGTGGTTATCTCATTGTCGCTTTAATTTTCATTTTCCTAATGATTAGTGATGCTGAGCATTTCTTCATGTTTGTTGGCCATTTGTGTATCTTATTTTAAAAAATGCCTGTTCATGTGATTTGCCCACTTTTCAATAGGTTCATTCATTTTTTTCTTGCTGATTTATTTACTAAGATTTATTTATTTCCCTGTTGTTCAATATTTAGATTGTTTCAAATTATTTGATATTATTATGCCACATAGAATAGTCTTGTATATAAATCCTTTTGTAAATTTCTTATTGAAATTACTGGTGGAAGGATATGAGTTGTTTTGAACTCTTGTTATGTATTGCAAATTTGTTTCTGAAAGGCTTTCAAATTTAGATTCCTACCAGCCATATGTGAGTAGCAATCATTTAGAACACTCACAAATACTGAGTGTCATGATTTTAAAAAATATTATATTTGTTAAATTGATGGGTGAAAAACTGTATCTTATTGTTTTTATTTATATTTATTTGCTTACTCATGATGTTTAAATAGCTTTATTACATATTGACCATTCGTTTTCGTCTAATTTTTGTTCATATAGTTTTACTCATTTTTGTTTTACAAGTATAGTATGTTTCTTATTTCTTTAATTATATTTATATGTTTATATTAACCCATTATCACCATTTTTGCAGTTTGCAATTTTTTCCTGAAGTTTTCATTTGCATTTTAATTTTGTTTTAAAGTATTTTAAGATAACCTGTAGTTTTTTTGTGGTTGTGGTTGTTGTTAAAATTAGTGGGACCGTTGAAACTAGAATTTCCCTTTTAGATAAAAATTTTGCATTAGTTACTTCAGGGAAACAGAAGAGTATAATAATTGTGATAGGGACTCAAGAGAAATTATACAAGTGGTGCTATTCATTATCATTGGCTTCCATTCAAATGGAGCTGGATTTGTTATTTTCCTATTTCTCTTCCTGAGTCTCCATTTGTGACAGTCTCTTGGCAGGATTTCAGTCTACTTCTAACTTTTATACTTGTGGTTGGAGCCCAGCCAGCTTCTCCTGCTTTCTGGGAGGAGCTCACTCTCATCGTACATCTATTGACTTGCATGTCTTGTAATGGTAAAGCAATACGTGGAAGGTATTCAAGTTTCCTGAGACTAAAGTGGGTCATATCTCTGTCCCAAAACTGAATCATTTGAAATCTGAAAGTGACTTTAAAGATCATCGTTTAAAAATCTCACCATGTAGATGAGTCAAATCCAGAGACACTGCTTTTGCTTGCTTTCTCAGGCACACAGACTTCACTGAAGAGTAGTAAGCTTGATTGATTCTCTGACAGCTACATTATATTGTAGAGAACTTTGTTGTTATTGATCTCATTTACACATTTAATTCCTACTCTGTATGTGGGAATATAATATTTTACTGATTTAATAAACCAGGCATGATTTCTTATTGTGTGATTTATTGTGTGGTTCTTTTTTGTCACAAACTTTGTAGGTTGAGACTTGGCAAGTAACCTACCCTTGAGGGTTTTTTTTTTTTTTTCTCCCAGATGATGGTATGTGTGGTAGTCTCTCTAAGGCATTATTATGAAGACATTTATTAAATCTCGGTCTATTTGAGTGCCACCTAACGTCTAGATCTCTCAACAGTTTTGCCTAGCCATCATTTCTCAGCTTGGGATGGTGTAGAGAAACATATTATTCCCACCTGAGCTTATAGAACTGTAGCTAACATCATCAGATATCAGGGCTTTGAGCAAGCCTGCTTGTGGGTGGTTTATCTTTTCCAGTGATTTGAGACTTGTGTTGCATTGAATATACTTTGAATTTCACGTGTATCTCTGCTCTATTAGTCTGTATTTGGGTTGTTTTGAAGGATTTTTATTTTAATATGTAGACTGATACATTTTTGTATATGTTGCTGGAGGCGCTTTTGCACTGCTATGTTTTAGAAATCAAAATAATAAATAATGCATATGGTGTTCATTGTTTTTCTCCTCTGTCTTTTGATGACTATTAAGTTTCATTGGAAGTGTTAGTAACATTTCTTTATTTTTATTTTTACTATTTTAAAAATAATAGTAATAATAATAATAAACGTTTAGCTTTTTAGCCAGGTGTAGCATTTCCTAATTTGAAAATGTGCTATTCATTTTTTAAATAGACTATTTTGTAGAGCAGTTTTAGGCTTACAGAAAAAATTATGCAGAAATCTCAGAGTTCCCATATAATTTTCCTCTCCTTCAGAATTTCTCACATTATTAATATCTTGCATTAGGGTAGTACATTTTTTACTGTTGATGAAACAATATTAATAAATTATTATCCTTAAAGTCCATAGTTTATATCATGATTCAGCCTTTGTGTTATACAGTTTTATGGGTTTTAACAAATGTCTTGTCTACTATATACTGATATTTGACTTATCCTTTGATGACAGTGTAATCATTCCTTACATGGTTCATTCATTCATTTCCTCATTTCATATATTTTTTCCTGTAACTATTTATTGAGTACTTCTTGTGGTAGGCATTCTGACAGATGCTAAAGGAAATTGCCAACCTACGCACACCCGATGATGATGTTGAGGTCATTTGTGAGAAAAGGCTTTAAAAGGGAATAACCTTTGCTGACAGAATGGTATGATAATCAGAATGGTACTGATTACTGGCTTAAAATTTCTACTTGTGAAGTGTTTCAATTAAAATAGGAGTAGCATGTTCCAATTATGCTTCAGACATTTATTTGCAGAGAAGTGCAGTGTGGGAGCTATGTTAACTGGTGGCTGTACTGGGTATTTCTTTATCTCTTCCCTATTTTTTGTTTGTGATGAATATTTCTTTATATCTTCCCTGTTAGAAGCTGTCAGCGGTATTCAAAAAAAGCAGTATTTTTCCTTGGAACTAACTATTCTGGGACAGTGTAAGCCAATGGGAAATTTTGACTTAATGAATTTCCCATTGTAAACTTTCGGCATTAAATCTGTTGATAGGTGCAAAAAAATTGTAATATTTACATATCTTTGATGGGGAAAACAGGGTTGATTTCTTTTTACCTAAACCAAGCATTCCAAATAAATAAATACCAGTAGAAATGAAGAGTATAAATAGAAAACAATAGGAAGACTTAATAAGACTTAATTGAGTTAATTCATCTTTCTTTCTGGTTCTGTCATTCCTTTTCTCTTTAGTTGTAAGATTATACATTGACTAGCTAGCAGTGATGCCTTCAGGCTAGACATTAGTATACGTTTTTGGTAGGTTCTTATATAATCTGCCAACTATTACTCTTGCAGAGGTTATTTATTATTATTTTTTGTAACAGTTTAATTGAGAGTATATTATTTGAAGCTAGACTATCGGAGTTTAAATCCTGGCTGCCATGCCACCAGGGGCAGGTGTCTTAACCTCTCTAAATCTCAGTTTCATCTGTCATTATAATAATACTTTTTTAACATGGATGTTAGTATGATTAAATTGATGTACATGCAAACCAGTTCCATTAATCACTGCTTAGAATTTGTTGTGATGATTATATTGTAAGAGACCAAGTTGAAGTTCTTCTTGATCTATAAATGTATTTCTAATGTTTCTTAGATGAATTTGTTGAACATTAAAGAGATTTCCTTTCATGGCTAATGGCTGTGCTTTGAAAATTTTCATATTAAATGTAGAACTATAATCCTCTTTCTGTGTAGATTGTGAAGCTAGTACTTTATTTTCTTTCTCTCAGGCTTCTGATTTATGTTTTCATTGAGTGAATATCAGACCATTGCTAATGTCATAAAATAAAATCCAGAAAATAGATGAGTCACTCATTGAAAATAAAATCTGATCAGAAATCCTTTGACTGTGTTACATTTTAAGATAATGAATGCTTGGTTTTTGAGTTTTACTATCATACCAACTTTTCCCATGTGTGCATGTGTGTATACATGTGTATGCATATCAGAAAAACTGAAATACTATTTCTGCTCAATTCTATTTTGTGAAGTCAATCCAACTTTTATAGTCCCATAAATATCAAATAAATGAAATAATTATTGTCACTAAAGTGGAGAAACTATTGCTTCTTCTTATCTTGTTTATTTTGTTTGCTACTTAAATTGACATTGAGGCAAATTTTAAGTGAGTTTATGTTGTGAAACCCTGCTAAAATTTAGAACTCACTGTAGTTTGTTAAAATATGTAAAAATCCATTTTAAGTAAGTATGAAATCCATTGAAGATACTTTTATTTTTTAAGCAACCTTGGAGTGTAGATTTTAAAGAATACTTGTCTGGCAATATCCATAGCTTAAAATATGTAGACATGAATACCGATAGTTGAAAATTAACTTATTTAACCATTTGAAAATGAGATTTATTTTGTTTTATCCAGTGAAAAATACAAAACCAAGTAGACATTGTTTTTTGGTTAAAAAGGTCACAAATTTATGACTGTATATGTTACTGGGATTAGAAGTGTTTTCCCTATTGGTAGTTTATCAAGTGAGTGAATACCTTTCTGTGAATGTGAACAAGCTTCACCAATTTTAGCAGTTCAATTTTAGAGAAGCTGTGATGAGTTATTTTGCACAAAAGGCTTTATCTTTCAAACTGCTTTGCTATCTTTGCTTGACAGAGAGAGGATTTGATGACTTTTTCAAAACTCCCCTTTACTGCTTCACCTGAGTAATGTTTTAGTTGCCGTGTAATAAAAATGGAGCTGAGAATTGAAAGGCCAAAGCAGAGGGAGTTTTATAGCTTGGGATCTTTTAAGTTTCATGGATTTATTTTGTATTTATATCCTGGGGGGGATGTACATTCTGATATTGCTCAGTTTTTGTCTGTTGGGGAAGTCAGTTGTCCAAAATAGCACTGTATTTTCTAATATAAAAAGAGTAATGATTTGCCTTTTGTGAGGGATAATTTTAATGGTACATTGCAGAGATTTAGTTGGGGAGAAATTATAGGCATTATTTTAATATTTATAAAGTATTTTGAGGGCCATGCAAGAAGGCTGCATGTAAGTACACTACCAATAAAGTAACACCACTAATACAATTGAGATACTAAAAAAAGAAAAAATATATACTTACCATCTAGTGAGCAGAGACTTTCTTTCCCTAATTTGCATTTAGAAAGCTCTAAATTAAAATGCTAAAAGGAAGACAAACAATTTCAGCACATGCTGCTGGTTTTGTAAATACAACTTGCTGACTTGATATAATTTTAAATGAATACTCTTGACATTAAGACATCATGCTTTCTGATCATGTATTGGTAAGCCACAGAACAACAGAAATAAGCTTGAAATGGGCATAGTTTTTACCATAGTGTAACTTTAATTGCATGCTTTTATATCTTCAAATTAATTTTTGACATCGCTATACAGAAATAGACTTGTACAAAGAAAAATGAATAACTTGCTTATCTACAAGAGTGTCATTTTACTTGTGAACCATTGTAACAGGTTTTTTGTTTGAGCATACAACAAACAAAATATGTAATGTTGTTTTATCTTCCAAAAATACATTGCTGTATAATAAGAAATTGTCATTTTGCAATAAAAGAAAAATCCACCAAACTGGTATATATGTGATTTATTTTTTTTTTGGTCAAACCCTGTAAGTGACAAATTTGACATTTAATGCTATATTGTAAACTATCAGGTATCTTTTTTTCTTGCTTGTTAACATAGCTATTTCTCACGTTTTCTCTTCTTCAACTTCTTTCATGCCTCACCTCTAAATCCCCAAAGTACACACCACACAAACACTTAGAGAAACATAAACATGCACATGTTTGATGACCTACCTCATAATTCATTAACAAATCTAGAAGCACTCCATCAAGAGCCCCTTCATATTCCCTTGCAAAATCTATCAAATTGTCCTGTATCTTTATTGATATTATTTCCTGTTACCATGGACAGAAAGAGTCCCTGTACCTATGGAAGAGCAATCTGTCCACTTGTGCCCTGGTTCCCATTCCTCAGTGATTTAGCTCCTTTCTCCATGCCATATTTATTTTCTCCTTCTCAACTGGGGATCATTTTCAGCAGCATACTAACATGCTCTAGTGTCTCTTCTCTTGATAGAAAGAACCACTCTCGACCTCATAGCTCACTCCAACTATTCCCTATCTCTCTGCTTCTCAGAGAGCAAAGCCCCTTGAAAAATTTCTCTATTATTCTATTAGTCACTGTCTTACATTGTCATCTCACTCTCAGTCCCTTCCGATTGAACTTTCATGTTCATCATTCCACAGAGTCTACTCTTCTTAAGAACTCCAGTGACCTTCCATGTTTGTGGCTCAATTATTATTTTAACCTCTCAGCAGCATTTTATATATTTGACCATTCCCTCTTTCTTAAAGGAAACTATGATATTGGTTCTCATGACTTCATACTCTCCTGGGTTTCCTCCCTCACTAGCCCACTCTTTCTCAATTTGCTTTGTTCACTGCTTTAATTGGTTTTCACATATGTTTTGGAGATGGAACCAATAATACTTGCTGATGAATTGGATTTGTGCGATAAAAGACAAAAAGGAAGCAAGAAAGACTCCTAATTATTTGGCCTAAGCAACTAGTTGATGGTACCATTTATTGAGAAAGGAAAAACTTGGGTGGTGTCAGGGTCAGGGGTCAAGAATAGAGAGTTATGCCTTGGCCATCTTACATTTGAGATTTTTTTTCTAGACTGAAATCATGTTGGAAATGTTGTTTGGTAAGTAGTAACTAGTTAGAGTTGGAGTCTAGAATTCCAGGGATTAGTTATAGCTAGAGGTATCAATTTGAGATCATTAGCACATCGATGGTATTCACATAATACATCGGGTTGAAATTACTTTGTGAAAGAGTATACATGGAGAAGAGAAAAAATTACAGGATAGAAGCCCTGATGCATTCTATCATTTACAGGCCTAAGAAAGGAGGAAGATCCAGCAAAGCAAATTGAGGAAAGTATGACCAAAGAAAGTAGAACACTGTGAGTCATAGAACCAAAATAAGAAAATGTTCTCAGAAGGAGAGTACGATCAAATGAATCAAATGCTACTAAGAGTTTGAACTAGATGCCATGTTGGTGTGAGTTGAAGAATACAGTTGGAGGTGAGAGAGTATAAGCAGTTTGGCTAGACAATTCTTGAAAAGCTTGGCTCTGGAGGAGCATGGAGAAGGTGGTATGTGGGAAGGGTATGGTATTAGGGTATTTTAGGATTTTTTTTTTTTTTTTTTTTTTTGAGACAGAGTCTCTATAGGCCAGGCTGGATGGAGTGCAGTGGTGCAATCTTGGCTTACTGCAACCTCCACCTCCCGGGTTCAAGCGATTCTCGTGCCTCAGCCTCCTAAGTAGCTGGGACTACTACAGGTGCACACCCCCATTCCTGGCTAAATTTTGTATTTTTTGGAAGAGACAGGGTTTTGTCATGTTAGCCAAGCGGTCTCGAACTCCTGACCTCAGTTGATCTGCCTGCCTCGGCCTCCCAAAGTATTGGGATTACAGGCATGAGCCACCGTGCCCAGCCTATTTTATGTGGTTTTTTTTTTTTAATGGGAAATATGGAAGCATCTTTGAATGCTAATGAGAATAATAGTGTTGGAAAGAAAAAGTTGAAGTTGTAGGAGAGAGAGAAAATAAAAAGTGAAAGAAATAAAAGGGAGGAGTCCTAGATCTACAAGTGGAAGAACTTACCTTTGATAGGAGGATCCTTTTCTCCTTTGTAATGGGAAAGATGAAGATGGTGTAAATGCAAGTTTATTTGCTGGTGGCATGATTATGGGTGGGGAGGTGCCATTTGATAGTTTCTATTTTCTCATTAGTTAGGCAGCAGTGTCATCACCTAACAGTTTAGCAACAGTGTAGTATGGATTGATGTGAAGTGAATCATTTGAAAAAATGTGAAGTAATTATCGGTATAGTGTTGCTGTCATTGCTGGATAATAGAAAGTGTTCCCTTGAAATTGATTATTATTACTTTAGAGTGATATTACTCTTCCCAATTATGCTATTTTCTAAGAATGCCATACAAATGCAGGCCTGCAAAAACATATAGAAGCATTAAGGGGAAAGTGCATTAGATAATGATTACTAATGTCAAGGAATACATCTTGGACCATGGAATTTAAACTAGACAGGGAGGCAAGTGAGGACAGGAGAGGAATGATGGATGGTGGGTCAAAGAGCTGGTGGCTTCATTGACATTTAATAATTGGTTCAGCAGGGTTACTTGATCAACTAAACTGGACCTATAGAAAAAAAGATCATCAGTTATGGTGATTGAATTGAGATTTGGGAGGTTGTGTTACTTTCGGTGGTCGGGGTGTGATGATCACAGGATTGAATGGCAGAGGCTGAATTCAGGAAAAGATGGAGAAGTTAAACTGAGAGACTAGAATAGGTCTGATGCAGATGATGAAGTCACTGAAAACAACAGAAGTTAGAGTGAACAAAAAGACTGAGTCAGTTGCTACAGTCTTTAGTAAATGACAGGGGAGTGACTAGGAGATCTGAAGATTAAATGGAAAAGATGGAGTAGCTGAATTATGCTACCTAATACTTATTTCTGTCAACAGGATCATATGAAAATGAAATATTGGCAAACCAATTACTTTATAGAACGATGACTGAATGAAAATCACTTCATGCATTGTTAGAGATAGCCCAATGAAAATGGATTCCGTTGTGTTTATCTAGTTCAGATAGTACATTTAATGAGAACAGTTTAAGTGGAATGACATTTATGGTGGTTAGCCATGATTATAATGAATTTTTGAAGCGTAGTCAGTTAGGCATATATAGTACCCTTTATCTATAAATTCATGTTTTAAAATAAATATATATATATATAATTATAATCTGTGTTAAACACTTCAGATATACAAGTTAAAACAGCTTAAGGGATAAAATAGGCTTTTTTTTTTTTTTTTTTTTTTTTTTTGCTGTGTTCATAGTAACACTATATAAAGGATTTACTTGAAACATTTCAGTTTGCTCAAGTTAGCCAAGTATATACTTTGGCAGGTGACAAGGCTCAATAGGAGTCCTTGTGTTTTAAGTCTTGGTTCTCTGTGACCGTGTGACCTCAGTTCCATAAACCAAAAAATCAAATGGTTGTATTAGGTACTTTTAAGGGATCCTCTGACTTTGTTCTATGATTCTAACAAAAAGAAATTTGAAATATTTGTGTGGAAATTGTATCTTAGCTTTTATCATTGACATCATAATATTATGTGGTATATATCTCTGTACCCCCTTTATATAAGATTCTAAGCTATTGGTGATGGTGTGATTTAATACTTCCGGTTTTCCTTTTATTCTGTAATATAATTTAAATAGGTATTAAATAGGTATTCAAATGATTTCCTTTCAAGCAAGACCAGGAAAACAGCATAATATAGTACACTGAGAAACACCAAGAAAGACCAGTTATACATTACCTTGTATTTGTAAATCATTTCAAACCTACAGAAATTGCAAGATTAAGAATACTACAAAGAACACTTGTATATATCCTTTACCCTACTCAACTACTGTTAAGCTCCTTTTTCTCCTTCTCTCTTTCCCTCTTCCTTAACCCTCTTCCCTCTCTTTTCCTGCCTTCTTTCCTTCCAATCTCCATCTCCATCTCTATTTCTTCTTCAGCCTCATTTAATGTGGAACATTTCCACAGCCATTCTTTGTCTTTTATGACATCAACAATTTGAGAAATATAAATCTCCTTTTTAGAAACATAGCATTCCTTATGATTAGATTCAGGATATATGTTCTTAGCCAGAATTCAGCATAGGTGATACTATATGAGGTATACACCTGGAGGTACTCACTATCTGTCCACCTCTCATTGGAGAAGTCAGTTTTCGATTAAGGTATTATGTAATTTCTCTAGTGTCTAATTAACTCTTTTTTTCCTTGGAATTAATAAGCAGTCTGTAGGAAGACACTTTAAGACCATGCACATATCTTGCTCCTCATCAAAATGTTCCCCTAGGTTATCTAACATTTATCATAATGGTTGTAAAATGATACGTGGCCAATTACAGTACTCCTTCCACAAATAGCGGTTGGCACTCAGCATTCTACTGTAAGCAAGACCTCTCCTTTCTCATCTATTATTTTTACTTATTGATAGATTTATTATTAGTATGAACTTATAAATTCCCATTTTTCAATGGTTTATAGTTCGTTACTGCAATGCATTACTTGGTGCTAAATTTTTGCCAGATTTAGCCAGTGAGAGCTCCCTCAAGCTGTTCCTGTGAAATGCCTACATTTTTTTTTTTTAGCACTACCTTACTTTTTGACATACAAAGACATTTTAGTTTCATCTTGTAGCTACTCTCGCACAATCTTCTTTTTTAGTGGGAAATTGTACCTGGATGCTAGGTGTGTGCTCATTGCTACTGGAATGCAAGGAAAGGCAAGTTACTTTTAAGTTAACAGACAACAAACATTAAAAATGTAATTAGGGCATGACTTTTTAGCCATATCATAGGATTGTACTTTTATATATGTCTCATCGGTTTGATGCAGGTGAGAGGTAATTTTGAGCCCATATATAGTAGCCTAATTATAATTAATAATTTTAATTTTTTAAAGTAATAATGTGTGAGGTGAAGGAGTAGCAAATACTTACTTTCCCTAACATAAGAAAAATACCATTAATTGATCTAACGGCCATATATTCATACTCTAGTTGAGTTGCCTCAGTGACTCACTTAATAAAATAAGAAATTAAAATGTCAAATAGAATTCGACAAGAGATTTTAAGGAGAAAACAGAGTCTGTTTCTACCTCAGAAAGTTAGTTAAACAGTAGCTTCAATCATCTGCTATGGAGTACTACAGGTGAAGAAAACAATTCTTGATATTTGTTTATATTTTCAACTTTAAAAATCAGATTATGGGGTTTCATAGAGTTTACTCAAGGTGTGGTAGTTCTTTGATGTTTTTAAAAATATATCTTTATTGTAGTTGGGACATAATATTGAAGAAACTAATTTCTACATGTTCAATGAATTGAATAATTCAAAATTCAATTCAGAACTCATACACTCAGTGTTCTCCTTTATTTTGATATCACTCATGTTTATTTTAAATCCTTTTCTCTTCCTAAGCATCTAATTTTTTCCCTTCATTCTTGTATTACTTTATAAGTGATCTTATTACAAATAAGCATACACTGAGTCATTGCAACAGAAAAGTGCTTCATATACTGAGTTGCTTTCTGTTGCACTTGATATATTAATTGTGCACTTACTATATATGCAAGCACTGTGCAGGCAGCTCTATTTCTTTAAAAGTTACTTAAATTACTGGTGCTTCCAATGAAGCTGGTGGTAGGGTCTGTTCCCTATCTCCAAACTATTAGACCAGCTTGTCAGATGTATTACTCATTAGGTTGCTAAGGCGTAAAGTCAGAATTTCAGATTTATAACATGGTGACATTTGATGTTTTTCTTTTGTTTATTATCAGTGCTGTATCTGATGGTGGAAACAACTATACTTTTAAATCTTCTGTCTCAAAATGTATTCTTCCTAAAATTTCATATTTTTAACCATTAAATTTTCTCTAAAATATATCTTAGAATTGATGGTATACCTTTCCCCCCTTTATCATGACAGTGATGATCAAATCCTTGCTTTGTGAAATATTTTCTTGACATATTTGAACTGGGTAGTTTTTTTAAATAAGTGCTGTTTTTTGAGTCATCTTTTCCTTTTGTTGCCTTTTGCTTTATGAATAATCATGTATTCTCACTTGGTTCATTAAGTAGTAGTAGCATAATGATGAGAGTATATTAAAAGAATTTATTTTAGATTGACCCAATCTATGTGAGACATCAACAACACACAAATAATAGAACCACGTTTTTTTGTTTTTTTTTTTTTTTCCTCTTCTGGAAAGAAACTACTCTTACTACTAACATTGAAACTAGAGTCATCCTTGGACTTTATTCAAATGTGTCAGTTTTGGAAACCATACAAAGATGTTCGCTTTAGCTTAAGGGAACAGAAGAACTTTGTTATGCTCTTTGAGTGTTACATTAAACTAGATCATTGCCTGAGGAGCCTATTTAATATGTCCATCTGATTTATGATTTTTTTTGTAGTCCTTTTTCCTTTGATTTGTCTTATCTTTGGAAAAGTTGGCATTTATTTCTCTTTTATTTTTTACATGCTCTCAATGAATATCTATACATTCATTACTTTCAGAAATATTGCTTGCTGAACTTAAATTATTTGGAATATTGTGTTTTGAGTTTGCAATCACGGAGTGAAGGTGGTAACATTGTTTCTAGGTTTACAGAATGATTTTGTTAAAAGTATCACTTTCTGTAAATACCTTAGATACCATATAGAATTTAGCTTTTGGTCTTATATAATAGTTAGAACACTATAAATGTAAGTAAGTTTTTATTCTCATTGTTATTATTGATTCAAAGAGACTTTAAATTTCTACAGCAAATCACATTTTATCCCTTTCTGGACATCTACTATCATTAAGGTGATATCAAAGACTGAATAAAATATTTAAGTCATTAAGATTTTAATTCTTAATTATGCAATCTCCCTTGCCAGGGCTATTAACTTTTATAATACAGGGAGGGTAGAAATTCAGCAGAGACATTCATTTATTTTCTTTTATGAACAAGGCTGTATAGTTTGCATTTTTTCCAGGTGGTTTGGGGAATATTTAAATAGATCACACAGCTGCTGGCTTGGTGGGTTTGGGGGGTGTGTTTAGCAGATGCTTCCAGAATCTGGAATTTGAAGTATTCTTAATTTTATCTAGAGATGCAGATATCTATTCTCTGGTTTAATTTGTCAGGGGATGACTACTTCTTTGATGTCTTAGTGATATATAACTGTCTTGCTTTGTTTTTTTTTCTTTTTTTTTTTAATTGGCCACTCACCTCAAGCAATTTTAACAGCTCAGAGGATATATTTACTATAGCCTTTAATAATTAGATGGCTATTCCTATTAAATAGCTGAATGTATTTTTAAGGATAATGTGGGGTTCTTTAATTAGCTTGATAGTTTACCTATAAGAAGGAAAATGAAAACTGCAGCCAGCTGCATTTCCACAGCTCATTTCTGTGTAAGAAGCACGTATCTGGGCTAAAGAAGTATCACTTTCTTCATTTAATCTGAGATGAGACAACATGTGAAGAACTTGGAGCAATCTGATTTTTTGAAAATCTTTTCTCTCATTAGCTGTTTTGCTCAAAAATAAAAGCTGTCAAACAGCAGGAATTTGAGATGCTCATGATTGTGTTTATAGGCCTTCAATATAGTATTTACTGAATATAAGTGCTTGTTAAAGCCAATTTATCTGTTAATTCAAACAATTTATTGAACACCTATTATACAAAAGATACTTTGCTAAGTATTTTTGAGGACTATAGATGACTAAGCTAGACTTGGACCCTTACATGTAGGAGCTTAATGTTCAAGAATAAGACGTGTTCAACTATACCAAACATGAAAGTCCTAAAAGTGAAATAGAGATGAAGTGATACTGATTTACAAGGAATGAGAGCAGGGAAGACAAGGAGAGACATGGGCGTCATCATGGAAGCAGAGGTAATTGAGCTGTGCCTTTACAGCTGAGTAGATTTAGACATTTAATACTATGTTTGAGGGTGGGGGAAAGATATTTTCAGCAGAATAAATTGTATATTGAAAACCCTGGTGCTTCTAATGTCATATTCCCAGGCAATAGTAGGTATATAACATGTGGGTAGACTACAAGGTTCGTGTTGGAGATGGGGGAAGCAGGGGTACCTTTAGGGGAAATGGCAGAAAATGGTGTTAAAAAGGCAAGATTGAGCTGGATTATGAGGTCCCTTAAATGCTAGTCTAAGAAATTCAGACTTTAATTGTTAAGAAATTTGGAAGCATTGAGGGATCTTAGAAGCCAGACAGGAGCAGAGCTGTATTTAAGGAAGTCAAATGGAAGAGTATAAGATGAGAGGGCCTGAGAGTCTGAATAGGCATAATGCCTTTGGGAATGAAGATGAGAAGAATAAGAGCACAAATGCTGAGTTAGAATCTCTAGGAGTAGGGAATTTATTATTGTTGTGCAATAGGGTATAGGGAAGAGTTAAATATGATTTTATATTAAACATGCTTATTATTTCTTGTACATTTATCTGTGGGACTATTTTAGGGCCTAGCATGAGGGTTGATATCCTTCAGAGGAGATTTATGTTTGCTTTTGCTGGGTTGCAAAACCAACCTAGGCTGATGTTAATATTTTTGGCTTAAGGTTTTCTTTTTTTTAAAGACTCTTGAGGAGCTATGAATTCAGGCTGCATGAAGGCTGGCTTTGGACTAGGAAATTATCAGAGAAGATTTTTACTTTCTCCATCCAGCACCAAGGTTTGTTATGGGCAATTTTCTTTTCAGGCCCCATGAGAGATGAGCAAGTTTATTTCTAATTTACTGTTAAACTGAGGTGTGATCCTCTGGGGTTTGTAGGACCATTACCTATTACTCTTTCCACTTTGATTAGGCCCTAGGCTTGGTTTCTATTGCCCCATACTTGAGGCCTTGAAAACTGATGCTCAAGTTCATCTGGGTTCAGAATATTCACTCAAGGTCAAAGCTGACTCCACTGATATTTATCTCTCTAAGTTTATCTTTCACTTAGTTTTTGGCCTCCAGGTATTCCTTACTTTCTTGCCAGGTTATCTGTACGTTTTAAATTATTTTTTTAAATATTCATCATGTTCAGTTCTCTTCACAGGTAGTTGATATCAGGGTACATATTCTATCATACTTTCAGGAACAGAAATTAAGGTGACCCCTTCTTACATGGACATGTGACATCTCAGAATGACTTTATTCTTGTTATAGTTTCCTAAACATGAGATATTGGTACTAGAATACAGAAATTATGGTACCTGGCCTTTTCTGATGTAACTTAGTTTTTTATTAATACTCATTTTTAGAATAGGGAAACACGCTATTATAACTACCTATTGAAGAATCAGAGTGATTCAGGAGGTGATTTCATGGGCAAGAACTATGTTCTGTCGATAGTTCAAGTTTCCAGTCCCTCTTTCACACAATTCTTCCCTTCTCCATTCACAAAAGAAATACCTTAAAAGAGAAAAGTCTAAGAAAAAAATCAATACAGTCTACACAGATCATTATCTTATTAATGGACCTTTAGTAATGAATGTACATGTGCTTTGTGTGGATATATGTGATTTTTGATTTTTCAGTTCAGGACTAGAGGGCATTGAATGAAAGCTGCCTGCATGCAGTCACTTCAGGCTCTAGGATCACCCACAGTGGCTCTGCTTATCATATAGAGTGACTTGACATTGTAGGATTTTGCCATAGGAAAATCTGTCTTAGTTTTATCTGCCACCAGTAATGGGTTTTACCAGGGAAACACATATGTCAGCTGTTAAGTTTCATAGTAGTGATGGAAATTGAAAACATAATCATAGATTAGCCATTTTTAAGTGTAATATGCACCAATGAATGACTGTGACATCTTAAATGCATTTTGTTTATAGATATAGAGGTTGAAGGTCAATAACTGGAAAGGCTGGCCTTTAATTTGTTAGATTAGGATACAATTTAGTTTCTAACATGTATAATTTAAGAATTTTTACAGTTTGGCAATATAGTTCTTTCACTGAATTCAATAAGCTTTATTTTCATTGTCTACTATGTGTCAAATTGGTACTACTTTCTAGTGATATAACGATGATCAAGATATTGCTGATGGCTTTGAGTGACTCACACTTAATGGAGGAGCCAGATATCTAAACTAATGATAGTGCAGTATATTAAGTGCTACATCCAAGATAGGGAGAAAACTCTGTAGAGGCCCAGAGGAGGGAATAATTAATTCTGCTTGGAAGAGTTCAGGAAGGCATCTCAAAGGAGATGGCATTTTAGCCTAGCCAAATGTGTTCAGGTTGAGAAGGAATGGAATATAAAAAACATTCAACAAAGGTATTCCGCAAAGGTATACAGCCTTGGGATGTCCTGATTTTGTCTAATAGTGAGTAATCTGGTTTGGGTAGAGCATTGGGACACCAGGGTGCTATTAAGTTAATTTGGAGCCAGATTTTAAAAGGTACTAAATTCCCTACTTATTACTTAAGCTTTATCATCTACATAGGGAGAAAAAATAAGGATAAGTAATAATATCTTAACATTTTAAAAAGATAACCCCAGTAATGAATGTGTAGAAGAAATTGGAGTAAAGGGGAGGAAAAAAATGCAAAACAAAACAAAAATCGGAGTGACTACTGTAATTTCATAGCTCTTCTATACACCCTAATACATTGTTATAGCTGTTCATTTGTCCATCTGAAAGCAAAGACTGTGCTTTAATCTTTTCTTTCTTTTTAATTTTATTTATTTATTTATTTATTTATTTGTTTATTTTAGCGACAGGGTCTTATTCCGTCACCCAGGCCGCCATACCTGGCTAGTTTAATTTTTTTTTTTTTCACTTTTGTAAACATGAGGTCTTATTCTGTTGTCTGGGCTCAAAGGATCCTCCCGCCTCGGCCTCCCAAAGCGCTGGGATTACAGGTGTGAGCCACCACACCTGGCATTTAATCATTTTTGCATTTACATTGCTTGTATATGATCATGCGTGTTATAACTGTAGAATAAGTGAATTAATGAATGAAAGATCTAAGCAATAATTATTGAGGGCTCTAAACAGGGCAGTAGAAATTTAGGCAGAATTTTGCAGGTAGAGGGCAGGCTTAGGGAGAGAAGATTCAAAAATGGCTTGAACATTTCTTATTTCTATGCTATATATTTTGTTATGATGCCTTTCACTGGAGTAGGGAACAGACACAACACTTCTCAGGTAACTGAGAATGAGTTCATGTTGGAGCATATTTATTTGGAGGTCCTGTGGAAGAGATAAGAGTTGGATTTATGGGTCTGCAACCCAGAGGGAAAAACCTGGGCTGAAGATACAGATGCAAGAAACATAAGCACATAGATTAATGATTGAAGTCAGGGTAGTGGATTGCACAGGGCAAAAAATATAAAGTAAAAAGGCTAGAGCATGGGGACTTTGGGGTCACTAATATATAAGGAGTAGGTAGAAGTAGAGAATACAATATGGAAAACAGACTAGTCAGAAGCATAGGATTGTTTATCAGAGAAGTCTGGTCTTTGAAGTCATTGAGAAGAAAGTTTCAAGAAAAAAACTATTAGTAATTTAATAAATTCAGTAGCTTCCTATATCGATGTATATACATATAGGTAAATATGTAACATACTTATATTAATACAGAGTTGAATGATAGCAAGGTCACTCCTATCTGTTGTTATCAAATTTCAGATCTTAAACCAGTAGGACAATTTCTAGGAAGAACACTTCATGATTCATTTCTCAACTAAGAGAATAGTGCTCTTATTTTTCTAGTGATCAGCTTGAAGTAGTTTTTTTCATTATGTGTGTTTATGCCTTGCAGTTTCATTGATTACATACTTTAAAAGGTTTTAATGTGGCCAAGTATTGAGGATGTAGCTGTAAAAGCCTTTATGTGGTGGTAAACTCCAGCATTTAATAACTGCTAGAAATGCAACATCTTCTCTCTTATTGTATTTGACAGTTTTTTTGTTATTATTTTGATACTCTTTATTTTGCCAAGAGTTAACTCATTCCTAAAGGTATTTTATGCCAGGGAAATTTCATTCCACTTTGTATAGTAGGCTAGGTTTTATATTAACCTTTGAGTGTGCATTTTTACTGTGGATTATACATTACTGGAATTACTTAAGCAAAATTCATACTGAGATTCTTTATTTTAAAACTGATAATGACCATACGTATTAAAGGGCTAGCTCAGAAAACTGCCAGCAAATAATCATCTTTGCCTTTGGGAAATAATGAAGTCATTGCATCGTGCTTGAATTACCATAGACTATATCAGCAGATACACTCATTGATTCATTTCTGTTCTTTTTGTTAAACCAAATTTTTCTTTCATCGTTTTTAGTAATGTAATTTTCTATGTCTGGTATGCTTACCTGTAATTTGACAGAACCCCATTTCTTTGTATATCTCACTCTATTAGACTACATGTAGTGCAGTGTTTGTAGAGGGGGCCATTAACTAGGAATTGATATTTACAAAGGTGCCTATTAAGTGCCAGTCACTCTGCTTTGTTTTAAACATAGTTCACTTAATGAAATGATAGGCAAATATACTAAGGGAGGGAATTTGTTGTAGTGGAATGAATATGCATTGAAAGCATAGGTTTGATCTAGGTTTGAATCCCAGATCTAATAGTCATTTGGTGGACGAAGTCACTTCACGGGTCTGAGCCGAAGCTTTTGTATGGTAAAAATGGGATCCTATCTTGAAGAGTTATTATGATAATTAAATTGTTGAGAGATACAATCTAAGATATTCATTAAATAGAAGATATATAATAACATCATTGATAATTACTATTAGAAAGGAAATTAGACGTTTGCTTTGCTTTGAGTGCTATTACTAAATGATGAGTCGTATGTGGCAAAAGGAGATGTGGAACGTACAGGCAATCGCCTTTTAAATAAAACCTGAAACAAAAATTATTTGAAATGTTAGTTTGGCAGTTATGTTGGATTATATACGTTTCTTAAGGCTAGTGACTTGTTTCCTGGAATTCTTTCACTTCATAGGGTAACACCTTGCCCCCTACTAGGAACTTAACTATTTCTTTAATTTTATTACATTGAAGCTGCTTGAGGAAGCATGCTTTTTTCACTAAAAGGACCCAGCAAATTTCATTCTTTCATTGGAATATTTTCTCTTAATATGACTGCAAATGCAGTTAGTAAGTTGAAAAAGCCACCTGTTGTCGTATTGGCAGGCCACCTAACTGGTCTGTCTGTACTTGGTGTGCAGGGAAGCTTGAATAACTACCATTAGGCCTGCACAGTGTCAGATTTCACATACTCATGACACCGTAGGTAATTGGGTGACAGCCAGTTTATTTCAATCAGCTAATGTTATAGATAAATACTTCATATTTTAGGTTAGCCCTGATATCACAGAATGGAATAATGTTCTAATCCTCATTAGCAGTTTGTTATGCAGCAACTTTTTGTATGCCAATAAAAATGGCATAGGCTGCTGCTTCGGTGGCATTTCCCCTTGAACATGCCATTTTATTCATTTGTTGACTCAGATAGATGGAGTTGTCATGTTTCTTTGTTGGAAATGTTGACAGAACCTTGTGGGCTGTGCTTGTATAAACGTTTGGTTCTCTAAACAATAATTTTCAGTTTAGCTCTGTTGCTACTGCTACATGCTATTTTTCTCTTTCTGTCACATTGGGAAATTCTATTTTGTTGTCAGTAAAAAAAAAAAAGGTGTGGTACTTGCTTACTGTCTATGTAGACTTTATTTTGCTAGTTGATTTCATTAAAGAGTGATTCCAGGAAGCTTTGGGTCATTGTATCACCTTGTCTCATTCCATTATATGTATTGATGCAACATGGATCGTTGAACAGTATAATCTCTTTTGCACAGTTCCTATTGATTTTATCCAGTAAATCATTGTCTGCTGGGTTTGTTCTGAAATCATTTTGTGCATAAAAACTATTCGTGAATTTGACAATCAGGTGCCTTCTTGTAATAGATAAACTTACACAAAACTGGAATCCAGTCACTTTTTGTCTCCTTCACACTATATAGTTATCTTTCCTACTAAACTGATCAAGTGAGTGATCTCTATTCAGCAAATGTTTCTATTCCCTTTCTCATTTCTTGTAATATGGCTTCTCTTATCATTGCTCTTTTGAAATTGCTCTGTATGATCTGAAATGGCCTATTTTCTTCTGGTCTTTTTTTTTTTTTTTTTAAGTATTTAGACTATGCTTGACCTTCCTGCTACTTTTGACACTGTTGATTACTTTCTCTTATTGAAACATTTTCCTTTCTCACTTCTGGGACAATGAACTCCCCTGTTTCTCATACCTTTTTATTGTTCTTTTTGTCCTCTTAATTGGCTGTTCTGTCTTCTCTGGGCTCAACACTTCAGGCATCCTCACTACTTAGGCTTTAGTTACACCTTGAAGACAGAAGATCATCACTTTCACATTTATATTCCTGTACCCTCATTTTTCCACTCTAAAATTTCACATATTTTATTCTCATAATATTTCCTGAGCATCATTTTCTACATACCATGAGAGGAGGGATTGATGTGGGAGATAAAGTTGTACCGTGAATGTTCTCTTCCCTACAAGTTTATAACTTAGATAAGTCAATAAGATGCATACATGAAAATTAATTAAGTAGGGCAGCATGTGGAAAATACCTTTTCAGTGCTAAAGGTAGATGAAGAATGTAGTGGTAATTAGAGAAGATTTCATAGAGAAAGTGACATTTGACTTCGGTCTTAATGGATAGATAAAGGTTTGACAGCAAAAATGTGAAGGGAGATGAACTGAAAATATTTTACAGTCATTCAGGAGTCCTGTCATACTTTTGCTATCTTAGCTACTCTTGTCCTAGTAGACTATAGGCAAAAATCACTTAAAATTAGAAACTGTAATCTCTCCATCTATATTAGGCACACAGAATAACAGTGTACACAATAGCTCATGTCATATCCATAAGATGTTAAAAATGTGTATATTTTGGAGGCGGGACTTCAAGGATGATGCTACCTAGAAGTAACTATTTTATTTTCTGTACTCACTTATACCTATTACATCTTATGTGCTTCAGTTTTCTTTAAATAGTGCACCTGGTATCAGATATAATCTCTGCCTTTTTGAGTGTCTTATCAGATTCAGTTCCACGAAATCTAAGTGGAAAGCTAGATATATAGTTGACCCTTGAGTAACATGGAGATTGGGGTGCCGACCGCCCGCCATGCAGTTGAAAACTCGAGAATAACTTTTGACTCCCAAAAAACTTTACTAATAGTCTACTATTGACCAAAAGTCTTACAGGTAACATAAACAGTGGATTAACACGTTTTTGTACTTTATATTGTATTTTACATGTGTTACATACTGTATTCTTACAATAAAGTAGGACAGAGATGAAAACGTTGTGAAGAAAATTTTAAGACAGAGAAAATATATTTACTGTTCATTAAGTGGAAGTGGATCACCATAAAAGTCTTCATTCTTGTCATCTTCATGTTGAGTAGGCTGAGAAGGAAGGGGAAGAGGAGAGATTGGTCTTGCTGTCTAGGGTGGCAGAAGAGGAAGAAAATTTGTATAAGTGGACCCTTGGCTGTTCAAACCTATGATGTTCAAGGGTCAGCTGTATTCTGCCCTTTTTCATTCTTCTTCATGGATTGTCACAGCCAACTCTGGAATCTATGTTTTTTAACTGATATTTTAGTAAAATTTTCCATTAAGAAACAGGAATTTATTGTATCTTATAAGCCAGTTTGAATTTTTAATTTGATTTTATTACAACACTTTTGTTCCAAATTTTACGTATTTACTTCCTGCTCTGTCTCTGTAGTTATAACCAGTTCTTAAGTTCAGATTCAAAGCATTCTGCGCTAAAAGCAGAGGCACACTTTGGTGGCAGCCATGAGGGAAGCAACAATGATCCCCCACAGTGATAGGACTGAAGTGGCTGGGGTGAAGTAAAGGCCAGCCTAATGGCGAGCACAGCAGGTTTGAAATAGTTTGCTAGGAAAAAGAGTCAGCAGGTTGCTGTCCTGATCCAGTCAAATACATATGCTGTCTGCGACTATTAGCAGTTGCTTCTTACCTGGCTATTATCTTCAATAAGTTTCTAGTAAAACCTTCAATTTGTAGGATTTCTGATTTTTTTTTTTTAACATAAGGCAGATTTCATTCTATTCTTTATGAGATGTTTTTTATTTTGTATGGTAATAGCTCTATCCGCAGTCTACAGATTTCAGAAAACTAGTAAGAATCTTAGGGGCCATATATTGAGGATCCACCGTACATTTGAGTTTTGCTTTGCCTTCAGATTTAGTGTTTAATCTTAAACATTGCATTCATCTTATATATGCCTTTATAAACAGTATAGGACCCTCTATTATCTAACTCTTGGCTACAAAATTAATAAGAGGTGCACAGTGGGCAATTACCCATTATTTTACTATAAATGACTAGTCTTATGTTTTTGTTCTATATTGTTTGCAGTAATGTTATGAATGCTCTACAGCACTGAATATAGTATTAAACGGTAGTTCTCACAGAAGACGGAGTTTGTCATAGCTGAGCTGTTATCCAACAATTTTTTTTTTAAGTTCTTAAAAGCTTACAGTCCAAACTGTTTCTGGCATTTAGTTGAATAAATACCTCATGGAAATTCACTGTTAAACTGAAACTACCTAAGTATAATATATTTCATGATACACAAACGCACACGTGCGCATGCACACACACACACACGCAACAGTTGTGATTGTCAATATTAAAAGTAAACTCAATATTAAACTGAGTTTACTTTTTGGATAGGTTTCATAACAAGTTGACTCCATTTACTTTGATAAATAGGTTACATGTTAAAATCAGGTTTATTTTCATAGATAGTATCAACATGCTACTTGCTAACTGAAACGGACCTTGACGTAAAGCAGAGTATTAGACTCAGGAATGTGCACTTTCAGTAGAATATGGTTTCTGAGATCTGTTGCTCTAAGGCCCACAAGCTTTAAAATGACTACATGGTGTCCAAAAGCAATGAAACTAAGCTATGATGTGCTTGCTTAACATTTTGTCTAGCTCAGTTCTGGACTTTTATTAGATTGAATTTTCTCTCTTTTGAAGACTCCAGTTTTTAATTGAATAAAAATTTTTTTCACTTCCTATTTTGCATATTCCAAGTCTTTGCCTGCCTTGATTGTTTTCAGTGACCTGGCAGAATAGGTGTGTGTGTATAGCAAGCAAGAATACACTCATTTTTGGGCTGGACACAGTGGCTTACGCCTGTAATCCCAGCACTTTGGGAGGCTGAGGCAGGTGGATCACGAGGCCAGGAGTTCGAGACCAGCTTGACCAACATGGTGAAACCCCATCTCTACTAAAAAAAAAAAATACAAAAATTAGCTGGGCATGGTGGAGCACGCCTGTAATCCCAGCTACTCAGGAGGCTGACACAAGAGAATTGCTTGAACCCAGGAGGCAGAGGTTGCAGTAGGCCGAGATCGCACCACTGCACTCCAGCCTGGGCAACAGATTGAGACTCCGTCTCAAAAAAAAAAAAAAAAAAAAAACGCTCATTTTTAACTGCTTTTGATTTCCTTTTCAACAGCAGATTATTATTATTTTTTCTTTTCCCGTCTTCTCTACCCCTGTGACACCTGTACCTATAAAAGGGGAGAGAGGCAGTGGTATCTTATATTCATTTTAGTATTTATTATTTACATAAATAGTTTTAATTAATGCATTTTATGCATTCTTATTCTAACTTATTCTAAGAACTTATATATCCCTAGCACAGTGATAGATTTTACAAATATGTGCAAGATCCTTGCCCTCAATGATATATCTAGTTTGTAATTGATTTAAAAATTAACGGAGTGTACCTTGAGGATCCTTTGTTCTTTCATAAAATCTCATTATTTGTCATTCCTATGAGACCAATGGTTGACCAAGTATTGCCTTCAGTGTTAGATTCCAAGATTTGGAAGATATTATAAAGAGGGCTTTCATGGGTTACTGTTAACAATATTTGCACTTTTCTATTTGGGAAGTATTTATTGAGCTATTATAGAGTGTTGTGTTATGTACTACAGAGCAGATTTTCTAAACCTTGCTAATATTTGGAATTACCTGAGGAGCTCTTAAGAGGTACAGGTCCTGAGGCCCTACCTGCAGAGATTTCAGCATGCTAATTCAGTAGGTATGAGTGTGTTAGAATTCAGATCACAAGTAAATGAGAGAATAGGAGGGAAGGACAGGGAGATGGTGTCAGGCATTCTTCTGAGATGCTTGGTAGTATAACAGGATAATAGATTGAGGAGGAAGAGGGTAGTGAGTCTGTTCAGGAAACAAGAGAACTTAAAGCTTATTTGAATTTTATTCTCGTATGTCTTTTTACATTTCCAAAATGGTCTCAAATATTACTTTTCTGCTTTCAAATAGAATGTCACCAACAGACTAAACTTGACTTAAAAAAAGAAACAAGGAGCCAGGTGTGGTGGCTCATGCCTGTAATCCCAGCACTTTGGGAGGCTGAGGTGGGTGGATTACTTGAGGTCAGGAGTTCGAGACCAGCCTGGCCAACATGGTGAAACCCAGTCTCTACCAAAAATGAAAAAAAATAGCCAGGCATGGTGGCAGGCGCCTGTAATCCCAGCTACTCGGGAGGCTGAGGCAGGAGAATGGCTTGAACCTGGGAGGCAGGGGTTGCAGTGAGCTGAGATCATGCCACTCCTCTCCAGCCTGAGCAATAGAGGGAAACTCTGTCTCAAAAAAAAAAAAAAAAAAAGAAGGAAATGAAATCTTCAGGTCCTCCCTATCTTACTCTTCTCAGAATTATTCTAATGTTTTGATCACCTGCAACAGTATACACTGATGTGGTTTCTGAACTAAAGAAAATTACTGCTGAAAGATAAAATTGAAACCAGTTGGAATCCAAATGGGGAAAACAGGGACAGTCTAACTTGATGTTTCCCATTGAGCTCAGCCAGCAACAAACAAATTGAGAGACTCAGTAATATTTTTATGTGCATAGAATAAGAACTGTATTATATGAAATACAAAAGTCTGATTTATGTGTGTGTGTTTGTTTTTACAGAACTTGCTCTTCATTTTATTATAAACCAGTATGTCCCAAGTGAAACATTACCGAACACTGTAGCTGCTTATGAGCTCTCATTCAACCCCAATAAGGATGGGATGGTAGAAACTAATTTTTTAATTTTATTAAAGTTGAGCTGCGTTTTCAGTCATTTTACATGAAAACGTATGTGAGACTATATGGGGAATAAAATAAAGGACAGTTACAGTTTTTGATGAGATAATTGATCCCTGTAGGAATGACACATTCAAAAACCATGAGGAGTATAAATGTGTTTGATTATGTGTATCCTACTTGAAAAACAGAATGTCAACAATTATAGCAAGGAGCTTCTAGATCCTAATTTGCAGGGGTAGTGTTGAACATTTTCTCATATTTGCAAAAGTGGAAGCAAGTATAAATTGACCTCAGTTGCAGAAGGAAGGGGATAAGGAATCAGACATTTATTGAACATCTTGTTATGTCAGGGGTTTGGAAACTATGGTCTGCAGGCCAAATCTAGCTGACCAACTATTTTTGTAAACAAGATGTTATTGGAACACTTCCATCCTTATTTGTTTACTTAGTGTTTCTGGCTGCCTTCACAATACAATAGCAGAGTTGAGTTGTTGCAACAAACATGGTATAACTTGCAAAGCCTGAAATATTCACTATCTAGCCTTATAGAAAAAGTTCGCTGACCTTCTTTATGTTACTGGAGCTTTTACATGTATGTGCCATTTCTTTCTCACAACATTCCTATGAAGCAGGTGTCATCAGCACATGGTATAAATAATCTAAATTTCCTATACTTCAAACCTGACGAATACATTTTTAATACCCACATTTTCAAAGTCCTGAATCCCTACTTACATGATATCTAAAATTTGTCTCAACTGCTTTTCAAAGACTCTCCTGGTTGATTCTGGGAGTCTTTGGGAATGGAGGTGATCAGAAACTAATCAGCTAATGTTCTTTGGCTTTGGATTCTTCCTCTTGCCTATGCCTTCTGTGAGCATATAGCTCCACTCTACACAACCATTTTTTTTCATCTGGCAACTCCTCTGAGCCCTTGGATTCCTGACATAATCTCCAACCCTCTCACTCCAGTTCTTTGTACATAAGTTATATGGCTGGACTAGATAAGTATGGAACACATACCCCACCCCCCTCAACACCATTGTTCCATCTCTCGTCTCTAGTCTTTATCTTCCCCTGCAACCATAAAAAATTAATAACACCCAGCACCTCCTGCAGCAATCACCAACCATCAAATTCAGAATTATATTTCAGGCAAATAAGGATACCAAGCCATGTATAATGAGAAGAAACCACAGCTTTGAGTTAATATTCAGGAAGGCACAGCAAAACACTTTGATTAGGGCCACAAGGAAGAACTCTATGAGGAATATTAAAGTGCGGGGTTATGCTCAGCATCTCCACGGAAGTTTTTTATCTCAAATTATTTAGTAATAATATGTAGGAGGCAACTGTGAGTCTCCTAGTCTGAAAAGTCCTACATTGTCAATTTGAGATTATGGCTACAAATATTTCAGGGTGTTACTTTGTTGAGTCTTACTCAGCAAGGTTAATGTACGTAGCATTAAACTGAATTGTGTGTAGGATCTGCACCAAGCTGAGATGGACCATATCAAATCAGAAAAGCCTGTGTGTGATGAATGCCCAGACTGTATTCTCAACAAGAATTGTCCTATTGGCCTAGTGATACTGGTTTTTGTAGCATCGCAATTCCTACAGATATGCCTTTCTTAGTACTTTGTTTGATGCACTTAGCTCTTGGAGTTGATTGCTGGACTCACTGATTCGTGACAGGAATTCTGACATTTAAAATAACAGGAAGTTCTCTGAATAAATGGGATAGCCAGAAAAATGTCAGTTCGTACTTAGAAAGCCAGAGACAACCAGTGGGTAAAGTGACTGACTTGAGCTTGAATAAGGTAATTCATATAGGTTAAAGGTTAACAGGAAACCACCTTGACAACCTCATTTGTCAAATATAGTCATGTACCACAAAACGATGTTTTGGTCAACAATGGACCGCTTATATGATGATGATTCCATAAGATTATAATGGAGCTGAAAAATCCCAACTGCCTAGTGACATGTAGCCATTGTAACATTCTAGTGCAATGCATTACTCACATGTTTGTGGTGATGTTGTTGCAAACATACTGTGCTGCCAGTAATATATAAGTATAGCACGTACAATTGTGTACAGTACATAATACTTGGTAATAATAAACAACCATGTTACTGGTTTATGTATTTACCGTATTTTTCATTGTTATTTTAGAGTGTACTCTTGTTAAAAAAAAAAAAAGTTAACAGTAAAACAGCCTCAGGCAGGTCTTTCACATGGTATTCCAAAAGAAGTCATTGTTATCATAGGAGGTGACAGCTCCATGTGTGTTATTGCCCCTTGAAGACCTTCCAGTGGGACAAGATGTAGAGGTGGACGACAGTGATATTGATGATCTTGACCCTGTACAGGCCTAGGCTAATGTGTGTGTTTGTGTCTTAGTTTTTAACAGAAAGGTTTAAAAAGTAAAAATTTTAAAAAAGTTGAAACAGGAAAACGCTTACAGAATAAGGATATAGAGAAAATATTTTTGTACAGCTTTGCAATGTGTTTGTATTTTAAGTGTGATTACAAGAGTCAAAAGTTTAAAAAAAACAAAAAGTTTATAATTACTATAAGCTAAGTTTAAGTTATTATTGAAGAAAGAACATTTCTGTGAATTTGGTGTAGCCTATGTGTACAGCCTATGTCTATAGTGGTGTACAGTAATGTCTTAGGCCTTCACATTCATTCACCACTTACTCACTGACTCACCCAGAGTACTGTCCAGTTTTGTAAGCTACCTTCATGCTAAGTGCTGTATGCAGCTAAACCATTTTTTATCTTTTATATCATAATTTTACTGTACCATTTCTATGTTTAAATATGTTTAGATATACAAATACCATTTTGTTACAATTGCCTACAATATTCAGTACAGTAACATGCTGTACAGGTTTGTAGCCTAGGAGCAATAGGCTACTAACCTGTGAAGTAGGCTATACCATGTAGGTTTGTGTAAGTGAACCGTATAATGTTCGCATAATGACAAAATCATCTAAAGAAGAACTTCTCAGAATGTATCCACATCATTAAACAAGATGTAAGTGTACTACTTTGAGGTAAAGACCATACTTCAGTTTTGGTATTTAAGTTACCACTTCAAACAAGGGAAATTCTTCCCTAAAACCTCTAAGACAACTTTATTTGTCCTTCCTAAAATATGCATTACCTGCTGAGTTATTGAGGCCCATTTGAAAATACACAACATTAGCTATGCACGCTGTTAAACATAATGTTCTGGTGACATTTAGCAGTGTTCAGTAATTGGCTTAATGAACAGGTGTGCAAGTATATTAGTTATGCAGATGTTAATTTGCAGTAACATGTGCTTCCTGATTTGGGGTGTTCTTGTATAAACTACAACCAGTAAGATTTGTTCCTTAATTAGGAAATCACTACAAAGTATGTCTGTGTTATCCCTACCATTACAACCATTAGTCTTGTTTAATGTGCTCTGAACTTCAGAAACATTCTTAGTAATGCCATTCCTATTGCTTCAGGTACTATGCAGGTGTCAGAATGAAATCTACCTTTCTGTGGGATGCCTTGGTTAGTGTGCAGCTGTAGGCAACATGGAGAGGGGAAGCTTCGCAGCTGTAATATGTAGCATGTGCAAGGAGACAGAAATGGAATCTCTTCCTGCCTATTGCATCAGCTTTCCCTCCTAAGGTTTGGTGAACACATGTGTTATTCCTCACAAAACAGACTCGATAACAATTGAACACAAAATAGTGGTTCCTTACAAACAGATTCATCTTTACCAGCATTTTTAATTATTCTTTTCCATATTGTTTGTAATTCCTGTCTACACTTGGCCCTTGGGATTTCCAAGGTTAACAGTTTGTAAACTATAAAAATGGATAGGAATGTTTGTGAGATTTATTCATATGATTTTTATTTTTATGTCAAAAAATAGGAAATTACAAAGGCTAATTTAGCAAACGCCCATCTACCAGCCACCCAAAATGAACACATGTTAACATTTAGTCATATTTACTCCAGGTCTTTGCTTTTAAGGAAATAAAACATTAAAGTTAAAATGGAAGTTTCCAAGGTTCTACCTATTCCAGCATTAGATTCCTCCTCTTAGGCAACCACTGTCATTAACTGGTGAATATCTAGTCTATGTTTTTATAATTTTGCTACATATATACTCATCCATCAACAATACGCAAGATTAGTCTCCGTTTTATTTTTAATTTAGATGAAAATTATACTGCATGTACCATTTTCCATAGCTTTAATTTTTCCACTCAGCATTGTATTTGGCATCAATCCTTGTTGAAATATATAGCTGTAATACAATCACTGTAAATGCTGTGTGATATTACATTGTATTAATATGCCACAATTTATCCATTTCATAACCCCTGGGCACATGGGCTGTTTATAACTTTTCTACTGTTATAAACACTGTTGAAGTGAACATTTTTGTCTCCTTGACCACTTGACCTACAAGCAGAAATGTTGGGCTATGTTTATGACAAGCATACCTTCAAATATATTAGATGTTGATGCATGCGTTTTTTAAGTCATTGCTGAATATTTACTGTCAACCATTGGCATAATCAAATTCTTCTTCGTATCTTCATCAATACTTGGTATTGTGAGACTTAAAAAATTTTTCAATTTGATGACTGTTAATGGTATTTCTTCAGTTATTTTCATTTGCATTTCCCTGATCACTAGTGAAGTTGAGCATGTTTTCATTACTAGCTATATGACCTTGGGCATATGATCAAGTTTGTCCTTGATTTCCTCATTTGTAAAATGACAGTGGTTAATACCTATCATATAAAGTGGTATAAAAATTAATGCCAGATACAGAGCAGATATGTAATAAAAATTTGATTTTTGTGGTGCTTGTGAAGATTGTATTGGTGGTTACCAGTAGTAAAACTACTACTACTGCTGTTATTTTTGTTTTTTAATACTCTCATCTGTTGTGTATTGCATATGTATTTATCTATTGATCTAATCTTCTTTGCCCTTTTTTTCCATCAGGTTCATGTGATATTTCCAGAAATGCATAGATAAAGGTGATTCAGAATACAGTAGAAAATAACAAAAAAAATCATTAAACCTGTCACATGCAAAAACCAGAGTAGATTTCCCGTACCTTTCATTGCCATTCTTGCACTCATTTTAATATTATCAAGTCATTAATTGAAATTAAAATATTGTATATTTCAACCAATATGTTAAAAAATTATTTCCATGTAGCTGGAATCACCTCTGGAATTGTATCCACATGGATAAAATATGTATTTAAGTATATATGGATCACAATTCTTATATTTGTATGTTATATGTAAAAGAACAATTGGCATTTACTTGTTAAATATACAAATATGTATGCGTGAAGTTACATAAATATACAAATATGTATGCATGAAGTTACATAAATTTTCAGTGTGTTTGTTGACACTACTATTATTAGCTTTATTTACCCTGGCTTTGTATATAGTGTACTTTTTTGTTAGTTTGTTTTCCTGAGACGGAGTTTCTCTCTTGTTGTCCAGGCTGGAATGCAGTGGCGCAATCTTGGCACACTGCAACCTCCGCCTCCCGGGTTCAAGTGATTCTCCTGCCTCAGCCTCCTGAGTAGCTGGGATTACAGGCGCCCACCACCACGCCCGGCTAATTTTGTATTTTTTAGTAGAGACAGGATTTCACCATATTGGCCAGGCTGGTCTCGAACTCCTGACGTCAGGTGATCTGCCCGCCTCAGCCTCCCAAAGTGTTGAGATTACACCCAGCCTGTATGTAGTGTACTTAATAGGAAGGGACATCCTTTTAATTCTCCTCATATTTCTTATAATATGATGCAACACATAATGTGATGCTGATTCAAAGGTATGATGTTCCCTATATAGAACTATGCTTGCACTAAGAAAATGAGAATTTACTGAGTGGTATACATGTATTCATCTAAGCTATATTTTGTGGATATTTTATGGTACCTAAGCTATATATTTTATGGATTCTTTATAACATTTATAAAGAAAATTATAAATGTTAGGTACCTTTTGGGGATACTTCCATAATTAGTGGTTTACATATGACCATGCAGTATGAGTAGATATTTATGTGTTGTGTACCATTGTATGCTCATGCTAAGCTAATTCATAGTAGGTGCTCAAGAAATATTTGGTAGATTAATGAATGTGATTCTGGCCATAGAAATCAGTCTTTCTCACTGAAATTTTAAGATAAAGTAGTTATACAAATTTTACTGTGATTCATGGTTAGTTATCACTATGTAAATCATGCAATGTTGCCTATTTAAAATATCTTAATACTTGCTACAAATTATAATAACTTGTCACATGTTCTGTGTATCCACTGGGATATCAGAAATTAATAGGAGATTCCTGAACATTGCCTATATTAAATTGGGGAAAGAATATAACCATGTTTACTTTATTTATGCTGATGAGCATTTCTCAGTTGTAAAGGAATACATTTATAGTACAATTGCTTGTAAAAATCCATGTATTAAAGGAAATATAAGAATACTCAGTGGGCATTTTATCTTAGATAATGAGTATCTTGATGTTAACATATCTTTAATAATAATATAAATGTCTTCATTATTAGGATTATCTTCCTACAGACAGTATTTTATAATGTTTCATTATTATTCTATTAGCAGTGCCAATTTACACACTCAAATTAATTCAATATATTGGATTCAAACCCATTTGCAATATGTTTTTTCATTTGTACGGGGAAGGTCTCGTTTGACTGTGGGCCTCATTATGAACCTGAGGACCATAGGGCAATTGATGATAAAATCAATTCATGAAGTTTTTGTATCAAAACTTAAAAAAACTTTTTAGTTTCATCCAAGTAACTTCAAATAATTATAGAATTGCTATTTATTTAATGTTTTGTAACCATTAGAAACATACAGAATAAAAGTATCCTAGGATAAGTGACATTTTGAGGTCACTATGAAAGCAGGCAATTTTTAACATATGATGTGTTGAACACTATAGGGATATTTGATGTCTCATTGCTGTTCTTTGAATTCTCTATTTATCTAAGCCTGTGGTCATGATCCCTAAGGAATGCTTTTAAAACAAGAAGGCCAAAGGCAATAATAGCCACTGGTCTGTAATTATTTATCATGGCAAAAATATGATTAGTTCTGAAAGCCTGTCTAGTTAGAGAACTGTTCTAAACTTGTTTTTCTCTAGTGATTCTCAGAAAAGCAGTGCCCACTCATGGAACTCTTATCACTTTTCGAACCCAGGATTTAAGCCAAGTTATATAACACAAGGAAAATATGTTGAGATTCAAGAAAGAAAACTATGAACTATAGATATTTAGGGCATCTAATCTTAATTTTAAACAATTTGTTCACTTGAAAAGGGGAGAGGCTAGACCATATTTTAATTAAAAAATGCAAAAATATAAAGTCATTAAATGAGCATTATCTATTCCTGGGTTAGTCAGGATCCTGTTAGTTTGCAGAACCATCTTTATAGGTCCTTCATGGCACAACATGTTTTTCTTATATGTACTTGGCTAATTAGTCTCCCATAGTGAATTTTAAGGCATATTGAGATATTAGGAAAATTTTCTTGACTATTTCCTTGACTGGGTTCAAATTAGTGAATGATTCTAGAAGTAATTTCAATATGATTCAGATATTTCACATTTTATAGACAAAGGGAATGACTATTGGACTGTCATTTTCTTGTATACAATTGTCTTAAGCTGGAACTGGCTTGACAATTAGAATAAATTAAAATGTTGATTATTGCATATGAAAGACTCTATGCTCTTAGAAAGATCCTTTGAAGAATATTTGAGATATGTTTTAATGTATTTTAAAACATATTTGGAAATATATACAGATAAATATCAACATAAAATATATTCTTTTAATATATTTTAAGAGAAATACATTAAAAGTCACTTTTCTTCCAGTAGTAGCAGTGACTATTATGTTGAATCCACATGGCAAACTGCTTGCCATGTCTCATAAGATCATAATTTCTAAGTATAATTATCCATTCTCCTTAGACTGCACATAACTTTAGATTGGCCAGTCTGGTAAAATTTAGCACTGTTAGGAGTTTAGTTATCCAGGTAATTTATTTTATTAATATCTGGTATTTCTGTAGCATGCTCATTTAATTTTTCTGTATTTTGTACCATTAAAACAAAGGAAGTCTTAACGGACTTCCAGTATTTTGATGAATTCTGTAGAATGTTGCTTCCAAGATGGTAACATCTATGAACATATTGCCTAAGTAAAAGTGTACTGTGGTTTTATGTTGCTTTTTCTCTAAAAAAGAAAATCAATAATGCATTTGTGGTCTTTTTAACAAAGATTAGGTGAATTAAAATAATATCATTATTGCCTCAAAATGAAGTTATCTTTTTAACATTGATAAAGCAGCAGCATGATTATGGTCATATATGAACCAGTGATGTAATTTAGCAGCATGAATTTGGGGGCAAGGACCTAACACTCTACTTGACTGAAAAAGTACTAGCTTTACTTTTCTTATATTTTCTGATGGCCCCATTACTTACAACCCTGTTTTTATATTGGAAAAGGTAAACTGCCAACACTTGAGTACAATGGTAGCTGTAAAATTTCTATACCGGAGGGGTTTGGGGATTTAACTTAATGCTTTATTTTCATAGCAGACAGCCACATTGTTTTTTGGGCCGGCCTACTTGGGGAGTTGGCTGATGGAGGTTATGGAAGGCTAAAGCCACTCCTTGGCACTGCTACTCCTTACCCTTTCAGTCCTTTAAACTGTTTTTAATTATACTGTTACCTTCTAAAGAAAGCAAAGTAAATCTTCTGTTCTAAGGAAGCAAATAGTATTTTTCAAATAGCGAGGGATACAAAGCTAAATTACTCAAAAGAACACATTGCTGAGTCTGTTTAATTACATGTATGCAAATGGTGCTACTGTTGTACAAATTGCAAATGGTTCATAACTATTCTTCAAAACAGTCTCAGCAGGAATTTGTATATGGCAACCTGTTTAGCAGTTAAACTTACCTTAGGTGCTTTAAAGCAATTTCACTGAATTGTTTAAATTTTAGCATATTTTGAGAGAAATGCATGTCTTCCTTTTCCCTCAATTAGTTCAGATTAGTGAGGTTGTACTATATATTTAATTCCAGTACTGCTGTAGGTACCTGGTAAAGGAGTAATTAATGTTGCGTATTAGGTAAGAAGGAGCAATTGATTTTTGGTTCATTTGGCTTATCTTTTCTGCTTAAGTGCTGATATTTAATTTGTAGTGAAAACTCTAAACAACTCTGTATTTTTATGTTTATCCTCTTCCTTGAGCTAATGAAATCAACACATTTATTGATTTCAGAATGAGCTTTATTAATGTAGTTAATATGCCTTACTAATGTTATTCCGTGTACTTGGATTAGTACCCTTATTGTTTATGAATCAACATTTTTTCTTTCAGTTCAAAAGAACGCAGAAGCATTAGAAGAAAAGAAGACTGGGCCTACAAAGAAGAAAGTGAAAGAACTGAGAATTTTGGATCCCAAAACAGCTCAGAATCTGTGTATGTAATATTTTCTTCGTAGGATTGGTATAGGTAACGGTGAGAGGGGTGGGAGCTGTTTAATGTATTTAATGAAAGTTGTAACCTTTTTAAACAGGCATATTTAGCATCTTCTAGAAACAAAATCCTGTGTAAACATGATTTGGTTGCCTTTTTGTCACTTAGCCAGTAAGGAGAAAATTCTAATTCAACCTCTGTCAGGCCAGATGAAACTTGGGAATAGTAAAGATTTGGAAAGTAATGATAATAAAACACTGTTGGAGGACATAGTGAAACATAAGGCAGAATTGACAAAAAGTGATTTTTTTTTCCTTCTCTCTAGACCTGGGATTGATAGTTTTAGAGTATTCACTAGTTACATTGGAAAAATCCTTCTACTGCTATTCCTTTATGTCTGAAGTAATTGCGATGTGAGCTACTTAAATTGTTAACCTTAACTGCATTTAAAAACTGGTTAGTGAATCTTGAAGCCTTTAACAAACCAGTCAGCCATTAAGTATACCTTTTCTAAAGCAGATGGACAGTTAAACCCATCTTCATTTATGTAAGCCTTTAAGTTTTAACATACTCTTCCCTCTGTCTTGAAATCAGAATTTTTGGTCTGTCACTACAGTAGACTGTGTTTAGATTTTGCTGATACAAAAACACTATGCATCAGAGATTTCCACACATCAAGCATGTCTAATTGCACAAAGTAATACCATGGGAGCTTATTTTGTTAAGGAATGTGGTATAGGGAATCATTACAATAAACAAAACATCATTCTCATGTCAGTAGAAATGTTGCTTTCAGAGAAGCAGTTTATCAGTAGCTGTTGTGAATGTGTACATTGCTTATTTGATAGTACATTTTCAAAGTTGACGTTCAGTACTTTTCTTTAAAACACAGTAGGATCTCAATTGCTGGTTGATTTCTGTCAACATTATTCTTTTAGATTGTGGAGATCTCATTTGGTCTTATGTATAAGGTAATCATTTGTCTATAGAGTGAGGATTTTGTTTTCTTTTGGTATGGCTGAAGGCATATAGACCTTTTCATGAAAAAAAGAAAACAAAATTCTTAGAAGTGTTCAAGTTCTGCGTGCCGGGCGCGGTGGCTCACGCCTATAATCTCAGCACTTTGGGAGGCCGAGGCAGGTGGATCACCTGAGGTCAGGAATTCAAGACCAGCCTGGACAACATGGTGAAACCCCGCCTCTACTAAAAATACAAAATTAGCCGGGCGTGATGGCTCATGCCTGTAATCCCAGCTACTTGGGAGGCTGAGGCACGAGAATTTCTTGAACCCGGGAGGCAAAGTTTGCAGTGAGCCGAGATCGCACCATTGCACTACAGACTGGGCAACAAGAACGAAACTGTCTCAAAAAAAGAAAAAAAAGAAAAAAGAAATGTTCAAGTTCTGGTGATAAGAACACATCTGTGTTCTTTAAAAAATATGTTTAATGGAACATGTTGTTGCAAGTACCTTCTGAATAATTGTTAGCTATTCTAGGTTTAATTTGCTGAATTATTCCAATATGATATCATAGATTTCCATTTAAGAAAAAGTTGGCAGGGGAAATTGTGAGTCAATATATAAAGTAAGTAATAGTGTACCACAGGAATATAAGCAGGAATGCAGAGCACACTGATGATTTAGGCACTTTAATTTTTTTCTTATGTGGGAGAATTGCAGAGTAGATGGATATGATTTTTTATTTGGTTATTTTATTGTCTTTCCTGAGAAATACTGTGTTGGGTGCATCTGACAATCTCCACACTAAGTTCTTCATTGAATAAAAAGGTCAACTTGAAATAAAATCTCTTAAGTTTTCATGGGTCATTTTGTGTTATCATCCTAATCTAAAAGGCATAAGCATGTAGTCATGAATGCTATTAGTAGGAATTTTATTTTGTGTGTAAATATGCACTAGCTATAAACATTACAGCCCGAGAAAATATGCCATTTTGTCTAGATGGATAGAGTGAGTAGTCCATCAAATGGAACAACTTTTGTTTGTTCATAATTCTGTATATTAGTGACAAATTTCATATTTTGAGTCTATGAAATGAAAATCAGACGTTTATTAGGACTTTAACATGTTGATGCTGTTATACTTTTAATAAAATCAAATTTTATTTTAGCCATCTTTCTGGGATCATATCGCATGCCATATGAAGACATAAGAAACGTTATTCTGGAGGTTAATGAAGACATGCTGAGTGAGGCTTTAATTCAGGTAACTTGGATATTTTCCTTTTGAAATTCATTTTCACAGATTTTTTTGGACTATTCTCTTCTCAATGGAGTTGTAAGAAAATTCTCTTCTATAATTAGATTTTTAAAAAGACATTGAATAGTTTAATAAAATCAGGAATATCTAGCTGTGTTGATAGTAAGGGGACTCAGTATAGAAAATCTAGGTTCTAATTCTGTTTCTGCCACTTATAAGCTATATATCCGTTTCAGTATAAGCATATGCATATATAGACATATCATTGTCCATTATTCACTGTACATACAATTACATGTACTTCATCACCAAAATGGCTGCATTAAGTGTATATTGTTCTTACCATTTTATGGGTGAAAAACCTGAGGGGTCAAGAGGTTAAATAGCTTGCTGAAAATTAGTGGGTATTTAACATACCCATTGTTAAGTTGAGTATCTAACTTTTACCCAACTCTGTTTGGGTACATAACATGTATTGCTGATTATGGCTAGCACTTTCTGTATTTTTTATTTCATTGAATCCTACAGTAATCCTATGAGATAAGCACTATTATTCTCATTTTACAAATAAGGAAACTGAGGTTTAGAGAGATTGCCCAATTTCACAAAGCTTGTAAGTGGTGTAAGTTGCAAAGTACCAGAACTAGGATTCAAAACAATGTCTGTCTTGACTCTAAAGCTGTTATATTATTCTGCTTTCCATGAACAAACTGTTTAATCTTTCTAAACCTCTATTTTCTCATTTGAAATTACAGGGTCATTGTGAGGTTTTAACCAAATAAAGTGCTTTGTATGATAAAGGACTATACAGAGCTGACACATTATTTGAATTCTTGGTATGTCTGGCCCTGTCTGGTTTAATTTTTGAAAGGAATAACTGTAAAGATTTCTGTGGAAGGGTATAGTCATTGTAGTTTTTTCTGTTTTTCTTTATTTTGTTGTTTTTTGTTTTTGAGCCATGAGTTGGTTTTGAGTTTTAGAAAACATCAAATAGGGCCAGGCATGGTGACTCACGCCTGTAATCCCAACACTGTGGGAGGCTGAGGCAGGCAGATCACGAGGTCAGGAGATCGAGGCCATCCTGGCCAACATGGTGAAACCCCGTCTCTACTCAAAATACAGAAAAATTAGCTGAGTGTGGTGGTGCGCATCTGTAATCCCAGCTACTCAGGAGGCTGAGGCAGGAGAATCACTTGAACCTGGGAGGTGGAGAATGCACTCAGCCGAGCCCATGCCACTGCACTCTAGCCTGGAGACAGAGCGAGACTCTGTCTCAAAAAAAAATGAAACAAAACAAAACAAAACAAAAACATCAAATAGTTAAATAGCTTATGCTATAACTTTAACAATTTTGCCATATTCCCTGCAAACTCTAAATCTCAGAGAACCTGCATATATAATTTGAGCAAGTGATGTCTCTGTGGAAGCTCTTCTATTTTGGATTGTAGGCTTACATTAAAGTTTACCTCATATATATGTCTTAAATCTAGGCGTGATTTTTAAAAATAGGACTCAGGTGTAATAAGATGACCTATGTCATCTCTTCCTTGTTTTTAGACCTCCATTCCCTTTTCTAAGCCTTTATCTCTTTATCTTTTTCATGTATCTGTATATTTTACCCATATCCTGCTTTACCCACCAATTTTGTGCCTTCTGTTTGCTGAGGACTTTTTTAAAGCCAACTTGCTTTCCTTCTCAGTACCAGATACTCTGAAGTTTCTTCTCAATCCTTACCCTGTTTGATCAAAACCCATTTTCTTAGTTTTGCTTGTGGGAAGAAAACAGTTTAACATGTAGTATAATGTACATAATTGGAATTGTGCTACTTGGGTACGGGTGTAGGGCCTAAGTGGCGAGTAACTTACCTGAGTTATTAAGGTTAGTATTGCTTTTATCTAGACAAATCAAATGTCTGAGTATCTTCTGGTAAGGAGGATGGATGCTCCTGGGTAGAAATAATTACATGATTTTCTAGTCCCCAAGAGAGATGACTTCCCTCTGTCAGGAGAAAAGACTATAATCACTAGCACCTTTTTCTACCCCCAATTCCAGAACATTTGTTTCAGTGATGGAAAAGTAACATCAATTTGCCATTCATTTGAGCTGTTTACCATTTATGTCTAATTACCATGTAGCACATCGATAATGCATGGCATTAAATGTGTATCATCAGATTAACTTTGTTGTAAGTTCTATTTGATTACAGTGCTAAACTCCATCCATGCATAATTATTGTTTTTTGCTCATGTAGCATGGTTGTCTCCTCATAGCAACAAAAACAACAAACAACAATTAAGGATACATCACTTCCCAGAACTTGAATTAACAGTAGTAGTATTTTCTCTTCCAGTATGGGTCAATAGGCTCTTGCTGGGCAGACAACTGATAGAATTTAGTTAGTTGGCAGGATAATTGTCTTACTTAAAAAACAAAAAACAAAAAACAGAAAAACTTTTATTTAATCAGCAAGATCCAGCTCTAAGTTGAAGCTTATTAATAAATATCAATTTTCATTTTATTTCAAAATATCTAAATTTAAGCTAGAAAATGAGTTCTCTATGTGGGAAAAATTGAAATGGCCTAAAATACTTGCAGTAGCACGTAGAAACATTTAAAAGTACACCATATCCTGAGGTTGTTGAGGAGTTTTTAATACATGTAATTATGAGTTACTGTCAAATAATGTGTACTAAATTTTGGTGACTTTTAGAATCATTATTCTAGCCTTCAAAATTTGTTTCAGTATAATTGAATTTGATCTATTGAGAGAAAAATCTAAGACCAATCAGTCAGTGCTTTTTAGGATATCAGTGGTAAAACAGAAATATGTATAGACACACATATAGAGCATTGACAGAGTAATGAAACGAGCGGTTTGAAAAAAGTGATGCATGTGTGAAGGGAAAAATAAAAGTATGTTCTATTTGAGATCCTTAGTGCATGCAAATGATTCTAGGTAGGGAGTTTATACTTATATTCTTAAGGAATATGTGAAAAAAAGATGATCAACATAAAAGATAGTGTATTATTACTGCAGAATAATTTGTAAAGATATGATAAAGCATAGGTTGGTAACCTGGAGTTCAAAGCCCTCTTTGGGGACCCATGGAGAGAATTCAGGGGGTCCTGAACTTGTATGCGAAGAATATTACATCTTTATTTTCATTATCTTCTAATTAATATTTAGCATATTATTTAAGAGTATAGGCAACAGACCAAAGTAGTATTAACAGTACCTCTAAGTTTTTCACTAATAGAAATAATAAATATTTTCATATCACATTATAGTTGTGGCAGAGATCTTAAAATACTGTTACAGTCATTAATGCTTCAAAATTACAGTACTTATTAGAGCTGCGACTAGAAATTATTTTTAATGCTTTAATCAAGCACTTCTATCATTATATCACTATTTTGGTAAATATGTTGATAACTATTTAAATGTAATTGGTATTTTATATAATCCTATTTATTTTATTTTATCCTGATATAGAGGTTCACAGAAGGTGAACTGTAGGGTAGGGTGGGCTGTGGTTAAGGTAGTCTTCCTGGAAGAAGTGTTCTAGACTTTGAAACACTAGTAGGATTCAGTTAGAGAGGGCTAGGATAGGAGAATGGTGGCCAAAGGCTTGAGGTATATAAAGGATACTGTCTTTATTTTTCTGGTATAGATAAGCCGTCATATAGGGTAGCAATGAGAAAGAGCGCATAAAAGATTAGTAGCTTGGTGGTGGTCATATTTTAGGGGCACACAGATAGCAAATTGGTGACTCACAGGCATTCACGCTCTCTACCTCTCACTTTCTCTCCCTCACTTCTGTTTTATTTGGCCTTTCTAGTGCCTAATCAGTGAAATTTTAATGTCACACACTCTCCGGTTTGCCACAGGTGCCACCACTCCCTATTGCATTTTACTTACTCTGACTCATTCCTAACCCCTATATACACCAGAAGTTTTGATCCCTGGTAGACAACATGAATGCTGAGCTATTGAGTTTGGTCATGGTCAAATTGTGTGCTTAGGAAAGGTACTCTTAGCTGCAGTACATCAGATGGCTTGATGTAAAGAGACTTGACATAGGGAGATCATTGCAGTTTCAAGCATAAGGTGTAATAAAGCCCTGAATATTTCAGAAGTAGGAGAAAAGGGAATTTGGGTAAATAAGGAATTTTTAAAAAAATTATTAATTGAAAAATCCTGGTGGTAGAGACAGTGGTTGTAGCCCTGACACAAACAGGCAAATCGGGTAGGGGAGAAAATACTTTCAGGGCAAGGGAGAAAAATTTTACAAAAAACATTACATTGGAAAATGTATTGGAGGTCAGAATAGAGGCTGAGACTGAAAATAAGGATTTTTGGAGTCATTTACAAAGAAGTGATTGTTAGAATATCAGGACCAATGGAGTTCTTAAGTTTCCTCATGAAAAAAGTAACAAATGGAAAGTTAAGGACTGCATATCTGGGGACTATACATGTCAAGGGGATGGGAGCTATTAGAGAAATCAGAGCAAAAGGAGTCAGCATATCAGAGAGATGGCCAGGATGCTATAGTGTATCATCAAAGCCAACACAAGAGGCTTTTAAGGAGTGATGAATAAGAGAATGAGATTGGGAGAAGAGATATTTCCTTCGATATGTCAGATTATAATGACTTATTTAGTTTAAATAGTTATTTTTCTATAGTTTTTTCTTGAAACAATCTACACTATATACCAGACACCTGTATTCCTTAAGCAACTGTTCTGTTTATTCATGGTATTTTGGTCTCTGTCTCCCTTATAAGGGACATCTGCATTCCTACTGGGCATGCAACTGTCTGGTGTCCTATCTATTGTTCTTCTTCCACTTGTATTGTTTTTTGTTTGTTTGTTTGTTTTGTTTTTGACATTTCCTTCCTTCCTTTCTTCCTTCTCTCCCTCCCTCCTTCTTTCCTCTCTTCCTGCTACTTTCTCTTACATTCTTTTCATTCCCTTCCTCCCTCATTCCCTTCTTCCTTCCCTCCCTTCCTCCTCTCCTCCCTCCCTTCTTTTCTTCCTTCCTTCCTAAGTAAATTCTTTCTTTGATGAAAGACCTTAATTTTCCTTAATAATACCTAAGGTGAAATACAGCTCCTGGATGCCTCCATACCTGGAAACTACAGAAATACCTCCATAGATGTTTCTCTACGATGCATACATGGGACTATGCCAGCTTGCTTCTATCCCCCACAATCCCCCTCCCCCGCCCCACCAATAATTTCTACATATATTGGCTGTTTTACTTTTCTGAAGCCCATTTGAGTAACCAGCACTGTACTCAATGTGTGGTATTTATAGGTTGCTACACGATTATGTTTTCTCAAATGTGATTTTTATCTCAAAACAGATTATATGATCTATATAACTTATTATTGGATACCGACAGAATAATCAGAATGACACGAAGATCATCTAGTCCATTCCCCTGATTCCAGGCAATGCTACACCTAAGTCATCAAAGATAGATGGGTATCTATTGATTCTGCAGGGAAAAAAGATTCTTCAACTTCCCTCAATTAACCAGTTCTAGAGTATAATTATTCTTATAGTCAGGAAGCTCATGCATGTGTAATAGTAGAGCTCGTTTTTGTCTCCTCAATCCATCTTTGTAATCATTGATCTATTTACGTGGCTATCGACCATCTGTATTTTATGCAGGCTTGTGAGTCTGCATGTGTGCGTGCACTTTACGAGGGTTGATGACTTTAGAAGACTACAAGTATGTCAATTAAGGCTATAATGGCATTAGTATTGTAGAATTTGAAAACATTTTTCTCTTAAATAACAACTTGTATTCACCATGTTCATTTTCATAATTCTTTAGGGAAAATGAAACAGTAGCAATGACAGTAACAATCATAAAACATTTCTTTCTTATTTCTCATCATGGTGGAATAATTATGGCATGCTTTTGCAGTCTGAAAATTCTTTTATCTATAAGCTGCTCTTCTTTCACATCTTTGGCTCTTAAATAGGTGATTAAAAATTTTTTTTTGTTTTTTTCTTTTATTGACGTTTCCTTTGACCCTTGTTTGCTACTTTCAGTCTATTATTATAATTACACATATTCCAAGCAAATGTTATCGCTGCTTATTTTTATTCTCTCTATGTCTATTATTGATTAATGCCAGTATTTTCATTTGTCACCATCACCAGCTGTGTTGTTGTTCACAGAGAAAGAAAAGGTAGCTTTAAACAATTAATTTTTTCTTGTACTAATTGGATTGTGCAAAATGTTTTTAAAATATAAAAAATTGAGCCTATGGCCGGGCATGGTGGCTCACGCCTGTAATCCCAGCACTTTGGGAGGCTGAAGCGGGTGGATCACATGAGGTCAAGGAGTTTGAGACCAGCCTGCCAACATGGTGAAACCCCGTCTCTACTAATAATACAAAAATTAGCCGGGTGTGGTGGTGCACGCCTGTAATCCCAGCTACTCAGGAGGCTGAGGCGGGAGAATCACTTGAACCCAGGAGGCAGAGGTTGCAGTGAGCCGAGATCGTGCCATTACACTCCAGCCTGGGCAACAAGAGGGAAACTCCATCTCCAAAAAAAGAAAAAAAAAATTGGCCGGGCGTGGTGGCTCATGCCTGTAATCCCAGCACTTTTGGAGGCTGAGGCGGGCGGATCACGAAGTCAGGAGATTGAGACCATCCTGGCTAACACGGTGAAACCCTGTCTCTACTAAAAATACAAAAAATCAGCCGGGCACCTGTAGTCCCAGCTACTCGGGAGGGTGAGGCAGGAGAATGGCTTAAACCCGGGAGGCGGAGCTTGCAGTGAGCCGAGATCGCGCCACTGCACTCCAGCCTGGGTGACAGAGACTGTCTCAAAAAAAAAAAAAAAAAAATTGAGCCTATTTACATTTTTAGCAAAACGTAAGTCTCACTAACAGTTCAGTAAGATGCGATCTCAGAAATCATATTTTATGCTGCCTTGGACACTTTAAACCATGGTAGAACTTCATTAGAATTTTGATTCTTTCATACTATATCCATTGGGTCTATTGAAATTAGACGATGGTCAGGGTAGAACAGGAATTTCCTCATAAGTGTAAAACTAGGGGCCAGGTGCAGTGGCTCATGCTTGTAATCCCAGCACGTTGGGAGGCCGAGGAGGGAATATCACTTGAGGTCAGGAGTTTGAAACCAGCCTGACCAACGTAATGAAACCCCGACTCTACTAAAAAAAAAAAAAAAAATACAAAAATTAGTCAGGTGTGGGGGCGCACGCCTATAGTACCAGCTACTCGGGAGGCTGAGGCAGGAGAATCGCTTGAACCTGGGAGGTGGAGGTTGCAGTGAGCCAAAATCACACCACTGCACTCCAGCCTGGGCGACAGAGCGAGACTCCATCTCAAAAACAAACAAACAAACAAACAAACAAAAACAAGTGTAAAACTTGGTAAGTGGCCTCTTTTTCCTTATATAAACTTCCAAAATCTGAACTGGGAAATGAAAAGCAAGGTTATACCATAACCCCTCCTCTAAGTACTAGCTGTGAGGCTACTTCCAGACAAAAAGCATTAGACACTTAGCCTAAGAGATTCAGGGTACAGGAGTCAAGGCTATAATGTCCTTGATGGAATTATCAGAGAGATAGAGAACAATCATGATTTCCTCCCCCAGCTAGCTCCCTATTCATTTTTTGTAGCATACAAATTTGTTTTAAATCCAAAGCTTATTGGCTAGTCATATATTTAACAAATTATACACTTTTGTAATTGATCATATCTATAAAACCACTTTCTCTTATGTACTAAAGAGGTAATCAAAACCTTTCCTTCTATACATAAGGAATAAATCTTTACATTCTTTTTGCAAGGTTCTATTATAATTCTAGATATCCTCCTATGTAAAATAGAAATGTACCTAGTTATTAAATCTTTTAAAGACTTGTGATAGTTATAGTATAATCTAACATAATATAAAATTTAACATGCTATGGCACACTTTAACATAGTATAATAACGGGTATAACGTAATGGTATTTTAACTAATCTCTTTAAAATATTTTAGGAAGGCAGGAAGGAATACACAAGGGAAATTTAAGTCTTTTAATTTCTTAAACTCAGTGGTAGACACGTAGATTCATTGTCTTTGTATCCATCTTCGTGTCTTAAATATTACACAATGAATAAATTTAAAAGTATTTAGCAAGTGCTGAAAGCGTATGCTTAAATCAGGTTTCCTCTACTTTGGCACTACTGATGTTTTGGGCCCATTTTTCTCTCTCTCTCTTCTTTTATTTTTGACTACTGTCCTGTACATTATAGGATGTTTAGCAGTATCTGTGGCTCTACCCACTGGATACCAGTAGCAGCTCCACCACCAGTTGTGACAACCCAAATTGCCTCTAGACTTTGAAAAATCTCTGGGGTGCAAAATTTTCCCTGGCTGAGAACCATTGTCTTAAGAATTACTTTTATTTCTGAAGTATATGTAGTAAAGTTTCAGAATTTAATACGTTCCCAATCATTTGCTTTTATTTTCCGTGTTTATTATAAACTTCGTGACAGGTTTTGGACATTTAATTAGTATAGGTCCAAACAAAATGATACCATACATTTACAAATTCTATATCCCAGGAATGGAAAGTACTCATGTTAAGCTCTGATTCTGACAGAATGCATTCCTGTTACGTTGCAAATACCACTAGTCAAGCATTGCTTAAAGTACAGGTCATAATTGTTTTCCACCTGTGAATACAGGCAATCATATCAGTGTGAATAGGCTTTTTTTTTTCCTTTACCACATAGTATTTACATTTATAGTTTAATAGTGCTGAGCAATTCACTTTACACCATTTTTAAAAGCTTATTTGTTTTTGTTTTGTTTTTTTTAAATATGTCATTTAGATAAATCAAATAATATCATGGTAACGACTTCTTCTCTGAAGTGAAGAGAGCTGGGTCTGAATCCCAGCTCTGCCACTCACCAGCCATATGAATGGGAGAAAGTTACCTAACCTCTCTGAGTCCATTTTCTTTTATCTTTTAAATAGCTAGTAAGTTTATTGAACGGATCAAATTAAATAACACATGAAAAAGTCCCCTAGCACATTGCTGGTTACATGATAGGCGCACAAAGAATGTCTTTTCCAGTGAGTAGGAACAGTACAGTTACAATTGGTATTTTGAAATATTTTCCTTCAAAACTTACAATTGAATAGTCAGCCCTCAGTTTTCTATGTTAATGGAAAGAATTATCAGCAGGGTGATAATTCTCCTGGGGCTTCTTCCTTTCTCTGTACTGTCTGAATCCCAGAAATAGAGATATCAAATAGGGACAAAGGAAGTATCCAGGAGTAGTGTACTATTTTTGAGGGGACTATTCAGAAACCTCACTTTAACCCCTTTGATCTTTATTTTTCATGCTTTATGTTGTATTTTAGTTCATTTGCATGCTGACAAGAGAAACGTAGTCTTCAGAGTAGACAAATATAATTGAATGACAATAAACTAGTAAGGGGCCTCTAGATAAAGAAATCAAAGGAATGTGAAAGCAAGAGCTGCTTTGGGGGGACTGCAGTAGGTGAGAATGAGGACTCCAGAATGCCATCAAAACCTTTTAATATTTATACATATTCTATAGATTTTTAAATATTCCACTTAAATAAATGAAACAAAAGTTTATCCATCAATTGTTTCCAACAGCTTTAATGTGTTGTTGGATTTATATTACTGTAAATTATTCATGTCTTTGGTGTTGTAAAATTTAGCTTTCAATGCTTGTATTATTATTAAAAACTGAGATGAGGCTATCATAATTTGAGGTCCTTAAGGCAAGTGATCTGAAAATGTTTTAGGAACCTGGTGTTTTTGTAGTTGCATATTTTTTGTTTAGATTTTGTTTTATTTTAGTATACTGAGTGATATTAGAATCATATATTCTATATTTAGAATCATTTAGAATATATGAGAATATTTGAAATCATAGCTATATAAAATTATCAATATCTAATATGAATGAAATTGTGTTTGTTTAGTTTGAGTATTGCTAGAAAACATTTTGTAGAAAACGAAGTACCTAAAAAGTAACAACATGACCTTTTCTGAAGTTTTGGCAGTAGAAGAATATAGAAATCAAAGTACCTAAAAGTAGAAACATGACCTTTTCCAAAGGTTTGGCAGTAGAATAATTTTTGTTTGTTTGTTTGTTTGTTTTTTTGAGATGGAGCCTCGTTTAGTTGCCCAGGCTGGAGTGCAGCAGCACAGTCTTAGCTCACTGCAACCTCTGCCTTCTGGGCTCAAGTGATTCTCCTTCCTCAGCCTCCTGAGTAGCTGGGACTACAGACCACCGCCCGGCTAATTTTTGTATTTTTAGTAGAGATGGGGTTTCGCCATGTTAGCCAGGCTGGTCTCAAACTCCTGACCTCAGGTGATCCGCCTGCCTCGGCCTCCCAAAGTGCTAGGATTACAGGCCTGAGCCACCGCGGCCGGCCAAGAATTTGTCATATTAAATAATTAATCAGGAATGGTGTGACCCATTCAGAATAACTAGTTAGGATTTAATATCAACTTTGAGTATTTGTTCTAATAAAGAATTGCAAAATATACTAAATACTTGGGGACTAACAAAGCTAGATGGCAGTGCTAAAATGTGGCTTCAAGAGTGTTTTCAGTTGATCAGAAGTAGGAGAATGGGATTAGTATATGACAGCAGGCAAAGGGGAGAGTTGTTAGATGGGAGTAACCTATAGAGGTATCACTTTACAGGAAAGACCGTAAGCAGGATTCCCTCCTAGGAATGTCTAGAAAGCATATGGGTGAAAGCCAATATGATAGGGAGAATTCTACCTGATGGAATGCTTAAAATATCTTTTTTTTTCTTCTCTTCAAATTGTGGAACCTTTCATCTATGAAGTACTTACTAAGGTGTGACCATTCCCTTCAGCCTTATACACATTGTGCTCAAATTCATAGTATGTACATGTTGGAACACTATTCACCCTTTAAAAAGAAGGAAATCTTTGAACCTGCAGGACATTGTGCTAAGTGACATAAGGCAGACATGGAAAGACATATACTGTGTGATCTCATTTATACAGTATATAGAACCTAAAAAAGTCAAACTCATAGAAGCACAGAGTAGAGTGGTGGTTACCAGGGACTAGAGGTGGGAGTGGGGATTGGGAGATATTGATCAAAGAATATGAAATTTCAGATAGGAGGAATAGTTCAGGAAATTTATTTTAGAACATGGTGATGATAGCTAATAACAGTGTATTGCAGCTTTGAAAATTGCTAAGGTCTATTTTAAATGTTCTCATCACAAAAAATTAAGTTCGTGAAATAATGGATATGTTAATTAGCTTGATTTAGTCATTCCACAGTGTATACATATATCAAAACATCATTTTGTACACCATAAATATATCCTTTTTGTCAATTAAAAATTATTTGCCTTTGTATCTCTGTCAGAATCAGAGGCCACCAAAATTAAAACTAAAGTAAGCTTTATAAATTATTCATTTCCCTTATTTCGCGGGAGGAGAAACCAAGGCTCAGAGAGGTTTACATCACATAGTCAATCTGGGATCACAACTTGGTTCATAAGATGCTCAATTTATTGATTTTTTTAAAGCCCATTGTTTGACCTGTTTTTCCTTGCTGTGGTATGCAGGTGGGCGAGCGGGTTGGGGAGTTTACTGCTGGACAGCAATAAAAAGTAGTAACAGAAAGTTTACTAATTAAAAACACTTAGTGCAATCTCTGTCATTGGAAGTCAGAGTAGAAATTAAATTATCCCTTGAAACATCTTCTTCCAGTATTAGATGACATTATAAATGTCTTCATTGACATTCATTATTGTTTGTGTTGTGAAATATATAATTAGGTGCCAAAAAATACTTAATTTTACTTAATGCAGTATAAGGGGCATTGGATTCCGTTTCTGCATTAATAAGCAGCATTTTAGTAAAATGAAAGGGTAGCTCAATTACTAATAAGACCATCATTTATTTTATCCCATATGAAGGATTCAGAGTGACAGAACCATTTAATGAAGTCTTTCAGCTTTGTGAGAAAAATAAGAGTACATATTTTGGCCTTCATTTCATAATTTTTCTTCAGTGTATATAGCTGAATAGTGTTGAAAAATTAGTTGCTTCTTGGGAAAAGCAAAGAAGGTGTCTGCTTTTCTTCCTTGAGTGCTATGACTAATTGCTACATTGTCTCTTTGGAGTTTCTACTCTTCGGCGGTTTATACTTAAAATACCACTCTCAGTGTAGTGGAAAAAAAATTCTTTTGGGTTTCAGTCCTGTATTCTGTATATGACCTTGGGCAAGTCACTTTTCTTCTTTTAGCCATATAGTTTTTGCCTTTAGAAGGGGGGAAATGTATACTTATAAAAATTGGTTATTATACAAATTAAATATGAGCATATGTTAAAAACCCTTGCAAACTATAAAATACTACACAAATTGAACACACATAGAGATTAGTATCTTAGACATTTATTTAGCTGTAACCTGTCACTCTTTCTGGCCATTTATCTAAAGAGAATTAACACTTAAACATTCAACTATTACTTGAAAGAGTATCCCAAAAAGAACTCATAGTCTTCATCCTTCCCCCAAATGAAGGCCTATATCTCCTGGAATTTTTTTCATCCCCTCTCTCTTCTTTGATCCCAGCTCATCATGCATTCTTACTGATTGAAGATTTTCTCACCTCCCATGCCCATAGGACTAGACTACTATTGTTTTCTAGTTGGTCTTTGTCTCTAGACTTCCTCCAGTCTAGCACATCACATTACTTGATTCGACTAGGCATTCTTTTTCCTCCATCAATTCATTTTCATTCTTAAGAAGTGATTGCAATGATTGCCACCTGTTTTCTTCTGTTTTTAAATGCTGTAATGGATCTCTAGAAATTGGAGAGTTTCTCAGAGTCTTGATTTTGAATAATCTGTGCATTACGTTACTTACATTTGCTCTTCTCCATGCCTTTGCACCTGTCCTTCCATCCTTTAGGTGTCTTTTTTATCTTTTAAAATATGACTTAAAACCTACTTTCTCTTGGAAATACTCCCTATTCTGTAAACTAGACTGAACATTCTCTCCATTCTTCATCTGCTCATTTCTACTGTGTTATTCTTAATCTTTTGAAGTGATTTTTGAAAAAGATGTTTGCATGTGATGCAGACATTCTGAGCTGTATCATAAGCATTCTTTGTATTGGTCATTCTTTTTACTTGTTTTCGAATCAGATGCATGATACAGAGTTTTCTTTATATGATAATGTTATATCATGTGATTTGGTGATATTTTCAATTAGATATTTTGAGCCTGTTAGGCTAGTCCCCTCTACAAGGCTATATTGAATGGGTGAGCACTCTATATTAAACTGACTTTCAGATTTACAGATTTCCCTTTCTTGAATATTTAGGGCTGCTTTATCTCTCAAAGATTTCTGAGAATTATAAGAACCACCCAATGTCCTTTATTGAATAAAAGGTCTTCATGAAAGTAAACATAAAAATTCCATACAATATCAAATAAATATTTACATAAGGTTTTGATTAACGCTTCGTTCTAAATATTTCTGTCATAGATGACTTTGAAATTTCTTGTGCATTGAGAGATGAAACCTATCCTCATCTACACAGTTTCCCGGGTTTCATCTGCCTATTTTGGGGGCTTTGGTTCACCCAAGAGAATACTGATGGTCTTCATTAGCCTAAGTGCATGCAGTCAGTGTGTTCGGTACACTAGATCCAAACAGAACAGCCACTTGGTTCTGTTTATGTAGGTTCCATGTTGTATATAATTTTAAAAATGAAAGCGTGACTACTTCCAGATGAAGAGATTTTCCGTCAGTGATGAGTAGCATCGTAAATAGGGAAGCTTTGTTTTTGGCTGCCCTAAATCCATGAGGAAGATTTGAAGTATTACAAAGACAACAGATGCTAAAACAGTATGCTTCTCATGTGAAGTTGTGCTTCCCCTTTGGACCGGAGGTGTCACAGGTCTAGAGAAGAGTTGAGCTTCCCTAAAGGAGAGCTTGGGAATGTTAGGCATCCTCCTTAGATCCTGAAAGCATGGGCTTATCTGATCTTAGGGCCAAGTCTCCTCAGAAGAGCCAACAGGTTAAATGTCATCAAGAGGGTGGACTTTCAGAGGATGAGTAACTAGTTGGTGGCACAGTAAGCAGTCATATAGAAGTGACTGCTTAGAGTGGGACTACATCTGAATAAAGCCAGGATAAACTCTGCTCAACCAACATAAAGCCAGTCATTGGAAAACAAATGTATTGGGTCACCATATATTGTCATATATGCTACTTAATCATTTTATTTTTATGGAATGTGGCATATGTTCTAGATCATCTTTACATATGATCTATCTCATTGCATTTCATTTGATGGTAGAGTGGTGGTAGAGTTTGCCTGATGAATGTTTATAAATAAACACGAACACATATTGCTAGTTGGGAAAATAATCAATTATTTTATTTTATTTTTTTTTTGGAGACAGAGTCTTGCTCTGTTGCCCAGGCTGGAGTGCAGTGGTGCCATCTCGGCTCAGTGCAAGCTCTGCCTCCTGGGTTCACGCCATTCTCCTGCCTCAGCCTCCCGAGTAGCTGGGACTACAGGTGCCCGCCACCATGCCCGGCTAATTTTTTTGTATTTTTAGTAGAGATGGAGTTTCACCGTGTTCGGCAAGATGGTCTCGAACTCCTGACCTTGTGATCTGCCCGCTTCAGCCTCCCAAAGTGCTGGGATTACAGGCGTGAGCCACCGGGCCCAGCCCGAAAATAATCAATTCTTAAGCATTGGAGTGAAGACTGTTATTTGCTTTATATCTGTTAGAAACAGTGTCCCAGGCCAAATACACTTATATAGGTTATATGTATAGATAATTTGAATACTGCTTCAAGGGGAAAATATTTCAAACAAAACTAGATTTGTAATTGTTGTAGGATTTCTTTGATTTCTACTTGACTAGCTCCCCTCAGTTCATGGTACAAATGAATGACTAAGAGTAAGAATTGTTCGTGATCCTCTGATTGTCTCTGATCCCTTTTTTTTTTTTTTTTTTTTTTTTTTTTTTTTTTTTGAGAAAGAGCTCTGGGGCAGTGGGCTAGAAAGGGGTGCTCCCCTAGGAAACCCCCAGGCCACCGCTGCCCGCCACGCCCGGGCCTAATGCCCAGGTGCCCCAGGGCTCACCGCCTCTCCAGTCCCTGTCCCCCTGATCTCATTCTTTCTACACTCAGTTGATGATTCTCTTTGTGAAAATGTATGGGATGTTTGGAAAGGGTCCCCAAAAAGCCAAAGCAAACCCAGGAGTGTGTCTATACATTACAAAAGTGAAGGGTCAGTATCTAGATGATGGTGACCAGCTGAAAAATGTCCCTGAATGGCTCATCAAAAGAAATCCATATTGAATTGGATCAGATTAAAGGAAGGCTAAGTCCCAAATTGTAAAATTTTAAGGCAACAATGTAAACTCTCCCAGAGTAATCAAAGACTATCTGAGAACAGAAGGTTGAATTAAGATTAAGAAAAGGGTCATTTGAGATACGTCTCTAATATTTAGGCTGTGTGTGTACAGTTCAAAGCATAGTATTAATAAAATGTAACCATGGGTGTGCACGTTACCATTACTGTGAAGCCATTGTTTACCCTTCTCCCCAGAAGAAACCACTATTCTGAATCTGAGGCTCATCAACCCCATGCCTTTCTTTTGCCATATATGGATGTGCCCCAAAATATATGTTATTTAGTTTTTTCCTTTGTTTTTGTTTTGAGACAGGATATTCGCTCTGTTGCCCAGGCTGGAGTGCAGTGGCACAATCTTGGCTCACTGCAGCCTTGACCTCCCAGGCTCAAGCGATTCTCCTATCTCAGCAACCCCACAACTCCCTGCTTTCCACCTCCTGTTCCCCACTTAGATTTACTCACATATTTAACTTTTTTGTATACCTTTCTTCTTATATGACAAAACTTCCTTCTAGGATCATTTTACTTCTCCCCAAAACAAGTCTGTTTATTTTATTTATTTTAATTTATTATAATTATTTTTAGAGACAGGGTCTCACTCAGTTGCCTAGCCTGGAGTGCAGTGGTCCAATCCTACGTCGCTGCAGCATCAGTCTTCTGAGATCTTCTCACCTTGGCTTCCCGAGCAGCTGGGAATACAAGCTTACTACCATGACCAGCAAATTTTTAAAAGCTATTTTAGCGATGGGGGTCTTGCTGTGTTGCCCAGGCTTGTCTCAATCTCCTGGACTCAAGCAGTCCCCTATCTCAGACTCCCTAATAGCTGGAACCGAAACAAGTCTTTTTGAAAGACTTTTAGTGAGATTCTGGTCATAGCAAACACTGCTTTTGTTTCTCTAATTATTTTTTTTCACCCTTGTTCTGAAAATATATTTTCACTGGGTATATAATTCTAGCTTGTCAATTATTTTTTCTCAGCACTATGAAGAGATTATTTCACCATATTCTGGGTTCAGTTGTTAACTGAGCTGTAGTCTAAATTGACATTCCCTGGGAGGTAATCTTTCTATTCTACCTAGGAGTACTACCAAAGAATAATCACTTTAAATATAAATTATCAGCATATATTTTTACAACTAGGTAGTTTAAATTCTAACCCAAAACTTGCATGGTGGAGGGCGGGGGTGTTGCCTTGTGTTTAGAAGTTTCCAGCAGAGAAGCCCCTTATCTCCAATCCCAGAGTCAAGGCAAAACCAGACACAATTCTTTACTGTTTTCTTCTCTAGGCGGGCTTTGTTTTTTCTCCAAAATAACCCCTTTTCTGGAGGTATTACCTTTTGGGGTTCTGTAAAAGCTCTAGACCAGTAGAGTTTGGTAGATGTTCCTACGATAGTCTTGGACTTCAGTGTCTGGTTATGTGTCTGGATTAGTGCTTTCTTTTTATTTTTTTTCCCATTGGGGAGTTTGGGGGGCAAGTAATGAGAACTTTTTAAAAATGTCTTGCCAAGTTAGCTTTTCATCTGAAGATATTTTTAAAGAAGTCTATTCAGCATTTTAGGTGTTCTGTAAATTGACAGTTCCTCTGGGTAACTAATCAGCTATATTGCTGGAAGCAGAAGTCTATTCTAAAGTATCTCTATGACTCTGTTATTGGGAAGTTGAGAGAAACATTAGATATTGATAATCTGCCACCATGTTCAGGTTAGTGTATTTAAAGTTCTGCAGATGACAAGCGTTGTTTCTGCTTAAAGAAAAAAGTGTTAGCTTGCCAGATGTGTCAAAATGTCCAGGGTATTATGGATGCTCCATTTTGACTTTGTATTTCTTTAGTCTAATGGATAACTTATACTTTGTTTTCGATACAGGCACCTTTAACTAGTACTTAAATGAAAACAGAGAACTAAATAATGATAGCCGATCATCATGTATGGCAGTTTCTATTATAAATATTTTGAACTAATTGAAGTGATTTATTTGGTGCTGTAATGATAGGGGTCTTGAATATGAGGATAGAATTCAGCTTTGGAAGCATCTGCATGTACTATTTTATAATAATGAATCCTAGCATTGGTTTGTGGCAGTTTGTCATGGCCGTGATAGGATGATATCTAATGAAAGCAGAATATAGCGTTAACAGGGTATCATATATCTGTCAACCTATTTTGTCTGTTAAAAATCTATTCTAGGCCAGGCACAGTGGCTTACACCTATAATCCCAGTGCCTTGGGAGGTGGAGGCAGGAGAATTGCTTGAGCCCAGGAGTTCGAGACCAGCCTGGGCAACATAGTGACACCCTGTCACTATAAAGAGTTTTTTAAAAATCAGCCAGGCCTGGTGGCATAAGCCTGTAGTCCCAACTGCTCGGGAGGCTGAGTTGGGAGGATTGTTTGAGCCCAGGAGATTGAGACTGCTGTAGGTAGTGATTGTGCTACTGCACTCCAGCCTGGGCAACAGAGTGAGACTGTGAAAAAAAGAAAAAGAAAGAACGAAAGAGAGAGAGAGAGGGAGGGAGGGAGGGGGGGAAAAAGAAAACCAGTAAACCAGTTAGGAAAGGGTAGGTATATGTAAAATAGGTGAAGGATGGATATCAATCAGAGGAAAGCACGCCAAACAGAAAGACAAGTTCTCAATCCTGCCCAAGGATTTAATTTGCAGCTTGGCTTTCAAGCTATAAACTGTCTTCGGCCTGGAGTTGGGGAATTGGGGTTTCACCAGGTACCCACCCGCGTCTGCCTAAGCATTTGGCTGCCTCCTGTTGCTATCATTACATTTAGACATGGGCATACATACTTTGGATGCTGCTATTCAATACTCATAGTCATTAATTTATTCTATATGTCCTACTTTTTAATGCTTAATATCACTTTTTATGTTTAATATGGTTTATAATTTTTATTTTAGAGTACAAAATAGGACATAAACAAAATAAAAGGTAAATAGCATCAAAGGAGTACTTTTCATAATTATCCTTTATACTGTAAATCATAAATTATGTAGAAAGCAATACATGTATTTTGCAAATAGGATCATGACATTAGTGGGAGTAGAATTTTTTACATATAATCACTATTTTTTCTATTATAGTAGTAAATATATCTGTGATCTTCACTGATCTACTTAGTACAGGGCTAGAACCCCTTGAATAGTTTAATTGAATTTAAAATAGGAAATGTTTAGCTACCGTGTAATTTCCCTAGCCCAGATTTTTGGCTGTGGAATGGAAAGGAAGGGTTGAACCTGAAAGAGATTTTTTTTAGGAAAAATTGTCAGAAGTGTGACTGAAAGGTAATTGCCAGTTTGAAAGCTTAGAAGATGAAAAGGATGCCAGTTCTGTTGGCAGAATGAAGCCATTAGGAGACGCTGATAAGGTGTAGGGATGGGTCAGAGTGAGGATGAGTTCTCCTTTAGATTTGTTCAGTTTGAGTTAATGATGGGACATCTGGGTGGGAATGTCAGTTAGAAACATGGAGCTTGAGGATGCCTAAGAGTAGTCAGGGCTGGAGACGTTCATTTGGCATTATCAGCAGTGAGGTGATATTGATCATGGGAAAGTCAATGCGCCTTCTAGGGAACTGAGTATAATCTGAATGTTAAATGTCAGAGTTTCAAATCATTTCTTTAGGATATGTTTCTCTGCCTGGGCTAGATTAAAGATTAGATAGGAAACCTTTAAATCCCCGATTATTTCTAAGACACACTTGTTACTTCAAGGTCAGGAATTTTCTCATCGATTTTCAATGCTTGTGTGTTATTTTATTAACTAATGTGTTTTTGAAAATAGTGACTGCATGTTGAGGGATTGAAATGCTCCACCCCCAAATACTTTAGTGGTAATCAGCATTTTAACATACTTCAGTATGTATGTCGATTCTTGGAGTCAAATGCAAGAGTTTTGGAAATGTTAGGAATTTTATATCAAAAGGAGAAGATTGTACCATCACCACCTGACAGAAAATGTATTTTGGATCAAATGGAAGGCAAATTACTCAGTCATATGTTGATTGTGTTCCATTGTGTAAACAAGAACATACACAGCCCTTTTGGCCCTGTCATCTTTATGAGGGCAGAATCTCCAGAGGTTAATGTGGTGGTAGTCACGTGGTAGACATCCAGTATATATTGGCAGAATGGATGAATAAAACAGAAAATAAGTATAGAACCAAGTACTGGCATGAAACTGTCATTTCATTTGAAGAAAAGTAAAGGAACACATGATTTAAGAACAGTAAACACATACACAGTGATTTAAGCCATATACCATAAAAAAGTTCTGAAAAACATGGGTAAGGAATTGTGTTTTCTGACCAAGCAAAATGGGGAAAAGATGTGTTATGATGATAGAGATTTAGCCAAGGGACTTTTAGGGAAATGTTTCTTTTTCTTTTTTTTTTTTTTTTTTTTTTTTTTTTTTTTTTTTGAGATGGAGTCTCGCTCTTTCACCCAGGCTGGAGTGCAGTGGCGCTATCTTGGCTCACTGCAAGCTCTGCCTCCCGGGTTCACGCCATTCTCCTGCCTCAGCCTCCCGATTAGCTGGGACTACAGGTGCCCGCCACCGTGCCTGGCTAATTTTTTGTATTTTTAGTAGAGACGGGGTTTCACCGTGTTAGCCAGGATGGTCTCGATCTCCTGACCTCGTGATCCACCTGCCTCGGCCTCCCAAAGTGCTGGGATTACAGGCGTGAGCCACCGCGCCCGGCCAAGGAGAACGTTTCTTATCTAGATTTTTAAAAATACACAATTGTCAACATAAGTTAAAGTAAGACATTACATATATATATAATATATATATAAATACATTTTTTATAAAGAAATATTAGCCCCAATCCGTTTATGTGGAAAATGATAGTCTTAATCAAAATGAACCTAACGCAGTTCTTCTACTAGTAAAGTGACTTAATGAGATAGAAGACAAAAAAGAAAGGTTATGTTTTGGCAAGAAGGAAAGGGCATTATGGTTCAATACCTTTACTTAACTAACCTTTAAGTGTTCAATTAACATTTAAAGGAAATAAAGTTTTGGAAGTATTACAGAATAATTGCAGAAATGTAAAAAGTAGTTAAAAGCGTGTGGTCTATTCGTAGAAATTCCTTCACTTAACACTGACAATCATCAGAATGTAAATTTGTGATGCGTAAAAGATGAAGAAAACTCTGCTCAATCAATGACATAGTTGCTGCTTTCTCTTTTGCTGTTTTCTTTGTGAACTTCAGTTCATTGACATTTTCTAGGATAAAACCTTCATACTTATCCAGAATTGATCTTTTAAACACAAATCCTGAAATATTTGAAAAAAAAATATGCACAGTAGTAAGCAGCAGCAGGTGGGGTTGGGGGACGGCGGAGAAATTGAAGGGCTTGTGCCTTGAAACTTTCCAGGATATTTGCCTATCAACTCACAGTTTGTAAGAATCTGTTGTACTTAAAAATTTATCACTTCTAGCCTTTACTACTATGAACAGTTTTTCACTTATAGCGAGCATAGAGGGTAGTCTTCGACTATTAACTCACCTTTGCAGTTTATTTAGAGAACAGAAGCAATTGTAGTATCAAGGAAGCATTAAATTCAAAAGCTATTTTAATTTTTTTTAAGTACAGAGTTTTGGGGCAATATGAATCTAACAATTTTATTGCCTAGCCTGATCTGTGTCACTTCACCTGTATTTTTCTTGCTCTTGCTCATAGCTGCTGTTGCAGGACCCTGATTCTTATCAAAAGTCTCAACATTAGATGTTTCTAGAGGTCTCAGGAAATAGCTTACACATTCTCTGAATTAATTTTGCCAGCTTCCATGTGGCAACTGTGGGTTCTTGTTTTGATCCTCTCCCCTGGGGACAACTGTGTGTGGGAAGAGGGGAGGAGTTTCCCACGGGGCACAGCTGGTGGTGTATTGAAGCCTTCTAGGTGCCAAGGGTGTGGGGTGTTCTCTGGCAAAGTATGGGAACATGTATTTTTTCCCTGCTTTCCTTTTTAAATGTACTTGATTAGAGGAGTACCAAAGCAGTGCTCTTCACACAGTTCTCCTCTCCACAGTACTCAGACATCTGACCACGTTGGGGATGAATAGTCTGGGCCTGGAATCACATCCAAAAAACAACTACAGTGCACTCAGAATCACCCTAACTCTTTCCAAATTGCAGGTTTTCTCACTGGACTAATCTTGTCTGCTTGCTGCTTGACTTCTCTCCCTTTACAAAATGTCTTTCCTGGGAGCCCCCTTAGTCCACTACACAAACAGACTTCAGGCTGATTCCGAGGACTCTGTATATCAGTGTCAAGCTGTGCCTTGAACCCCTGCCTTTTTTCCATATTCTCTGTTGGTATGCTTTTGATGAGTAGGTGAAGTGGAGGTAAATGAGTACCATTACATCTCTCTCTCCTCTGTATTATCTTCCTTCCTCTTTTATTTAGGAATTTATGGGAATGAAAAAATACTCCTATCCAACCTTATACTACATCTTTGTCTACAACGTTTAGTATGTACATATATAAAAAATCAGATATGTTTAGGCATTGACTACAAGGACCACTTGCAACATGAGATCCTACAGGTAGGTGACTCATAAGAGCAATATGTACTATTGTAGTAGTCTGCATCTGCCGCACATTTGAGAGTGAGTTTTATTCTAATTCGCAAGTACAACTTACTAAACAGTGGCAGTTACATAAGCTTAAAACTCATAAGATGATATTCAGAGTCAGAATACATCCAAGGCCACTAAATGTGTTAAATATTTCATACAGCTGAATAGAGAAAAGATATGTCACCTCCCACTGTGGCGCCTTCATTCTGAAAATAACAGGTTACCTATAGCTAGGAGAAAAATAAAATAACAAAAGTTTCACATTCCAAGCTAAAATTATATTTTAGGCTTGATTCATTCCACAATACTTATTTTCCCAGTTACAGCTTAAAATTGAGGTGGAGATTTTTAAATATGCAGAATTGATTTTAAATAATTTTGATTATCTTAATCTTTCTAATTTAGTTTCACTGTGGTGAAAATTATTCAAGTTACCAAACTGAGTCTTTGTTTTTCTTAATAACATACATACTTCACACAAAAAAAAATCAATAGAAACAGTTTTTAAAAACAATTGAGTAATTTCCATGCATCAAAAATATTTGAAAAAATGGAAATAATACCTTGGTATTTACTTACCTTCTTATTCTATAAAAGAAAATAATACTAATGGAGCAAAATAGTGGATTCTCTTGATTTCATTTCAGTATTCATATATGTGGTTATATCCATATTTATATTTTAGTCAAAGGGTGCGATATTTTAAAACTTGGGTCTCATTAATTAGATGATAGGTGCCATTGCAGGCCCAGAGTTTAATGGAAAGGCAAAATTGAGTGGGAGGAGGGAAGAGACAAATGGGGAGAACAAAAGGGTACTTATAGTAGGGGTATAGTACAGTTGTTTTCCATGAGACTTATGTTCTGTGTACCCTACCCTAGTTATCTTTTCATTGTGGAAAAATAGGTAACATAAAACTAACCATTTTACCCTTTTTACGTGTATAATAAAGAAGCATTCATTACATTTATGTTGTTGTACAACCATTACCACTATTTCCAGAACTTTGTCATCATCCCAAACAGAAACTCTAAACCTATTAAGCAATAACTCCCCATACCCTTCTACCCCCAGCTTCCGGTAACCTCAATTCTACTTTTTGTCTCTAAAAATTTGCCTGTTGTTGATACTTCATATCAGTGGAATCATACAATATTTGTTCTTTTGTATCTATTTTGTTTTACTAAGTGAAATATTTACACATATTGTTATCTATGTTATGACATGTCAAAACTTCATTCCTTTATGACTAGTAGCTGGGATTACAGGCATGTGCCACCACGCCCGGCTAATTTTTGTATTTTTAGTAGAGATGGGGTTTCTCCATGTTGGTCAGGCTGGTCTCGAACTCCTGACCTCAGGTGATCCACCTGCCTCGGCCTCCCAAAGTGCTGGGATTACAGGCATGAACCACTGCACCCGGCCACTGGCCTCTTCTTAAGAGGGAACTAATCATATTCGTGAGGGCTCCACTCTTATGACCTAATTGCCCCTCAAAGGCGCTGCCTTTAAGGATAATCACGTTGAGGATTAGATTTCAGCATAAGGATTTTGGAGGGACACAAACATTCAATTCATAAGAATCATCAAATTTGAGCATGCATCAGACTTCATCACTTTTGCTTGATTCTCCATTAAAAATAGGATTGTATTGTGTACTTAAATATAGACATTGTAGATAATGGGAGATGTTGTACAAGCCAGGTGTAATTTATAAGATTGAAGATTATTCCAGGTTTTGAAAAATTATGAATGGTAGAGTTGATACTTTCTTTTTTAGTATTATTGTACCTAAGCAAATTCTACATAGTATTTTTCTGTTTTTAGTTTAGATTGACTAATTATTGTGACTGGAAATAAAGCTTAAAAATTATTCTAAACACGGTGAAACCCCGTCTCTACTAAAAATACAAAAAATTAGCCCGGCATGGTGGCGGGCGCCTGTTATCCCAGCTACTCGTGAGGCTGAGGCAGGAGAATGGCATGAACCTGGGAGGCGGAGCTTGCAGTGAGCCGAGATCGCGCCACTGCACTCCAGCCAGGGCGACAGAGCGAGACTCGTCTCCAAAAAAAAAAGAAAATTATTCTATATGTTTAAGTCCCAGAATTTTACTCGGTTTTGGAATACGATTTATTCTTATGTGATCTTTTATTCAATATGTATATACTATATTGTACAAAAACCAAACAAGTTTATACGTTTTATTCACAATTTATTGTAGTTCATTTTTAGGTCAAATTTTGGAGGGGCGGGGAAGGGCGGATACTCTGGTACCATAACAGAACCACAGTCAGAAATGTACTGTCCTAGTTAATCACTTTCATAATTGTTAATGCATGTTTAAAAATTCTAATACTAAAACACTAAACTTTTATACTTTTATTTCTTTTTAGAACCTTGTGAAACATCTTCCTGAGCAGAAGATACTCAACGAATTAGCAGAGCTTAAGAATGAATATGATGACCTCTGTGAGCCTGAACAATTTGGAGTTGTGGTATGTATCCAACATGAGGGACCACAAACTCAGCTGGGAGGTTAACACTTGCCAGAAACAGTGAAAAGACAAACATTTCAGTTGTCAATTATTTTTTCATTACTGTATTGCTACATAATTTAATATAATATTGGCTGTCAGAAAAAAATACTTTTTTACCTATTATTATTTGTCATGGCATTGAAAAATAATAAAATATTCGCATTCATAAAATACTTCAAAATATCTCAGGGGATCTTTTGAATAACAGTGCCAATTTTTAATTCTATTAATATATGCAAACAGTATACATTATTATTATATGGGCTATTTTTCTTTCCATTTAGATCTTAATGTTAGAATTTGGCCTCCAAAAAGTAGGTTAAAATAAAAGGATAATTACTAGATAATTAGCAAAGTACTAGAGACTCTTTTTCTAGGGTATATGTCGTGTCAGAAAAAGCAAAAGGATTTTCAGATTTCATATAGAGTGTCATTAATTGATTTAAAGCTTAAAATGTGCTGTTTTAGCTGGGAAGAAAATCTTATACATCATGTCTTTAAATCATCATGTAGTTAAATTATTATTGGAATGAATTATTTTTTCTTATTCCACCCTTCATATTAAGGGGTACAAAGGATGAATAAGTATAAATTTTGAATTCAAGATTATAGTTATATTTTAAGTATTCCCCAAACTGACTATTCAAATAGTTGACAAAAAACAAAAACAAAAAAATGGCAGGAAAGAGGGCATTATGATTTATTTAATTTCTTGGAGAAAAAGCTATTTTTTACTTAGGTGGTCAGTGCAAGTTTGTTTGCTGTATGAATAAATAGTTCCATTATGGTCACCAACTTTACCCTGGCTCCCTGAACATTTTCCATTTGCATACTAAAATTTTAAAATTACCATTGAACCTAATAGTCAAACATTTTCAGCGTTATCCAAAATATTCTATAAGCTTTTAAATAGTATAATATGTTAGAACTGATCCAATTTGATACCTTGCAGTTTAAAAATCCTGTTTAAAGTCAAACTGTGCTAGATGGGACTGAGCATGTTCCTTTTGAACATGTGCAATAAATGCTCACCCATATTTAGAGTTTATTAATTTTGAGACATGGCATTGACTGCACTTATATAGAAGGATTCTGTCAAATTCTTGCAAAGAAAATCAGGAATGTATGTTTGGGATCAGATAGAGCATATAATGGTATCTGAGAAAGGTATTTCTCTTATTTTTGAACAAGGTGAATTAATCAACTAAATTCGATAGATATCATTTGTTAACTAAAAGCAATTTAGCACAACATTGAGTAATACAGTTATTTAGATCAAAGTCCACACTTGAAGCCTAAGCTGCTTGGATTCATATTATAATTGAAGCAAGGGTATATACCCTCTGAGAATTCAGCTGTGTCATGATGGTTATGAGTTTTACAGTAGGTATACTACACAATTTCTCTGAAGCCATTTTTTTTTTTCTGAATGCAGTTTATCTTGGAAGATGTATTAGTTTGCCAAGCAAGTCCTTTCAAGAGGCATATCCTTGGTACCACACTGAGGAAATGAAGTTTGGGGACGTAAAAAGCAATATACCTTCTGAACTAAAAGCAAAATAGAAAATGGAAGAGATTTCTTGTTTATGCACATAACCATAAATAATTCTGAGGCTGTGCATACATGAAGTAACCTAGTCCCCGTATTTACTTTCACCATTCTTAGCTACATGTCTGGGGGTGGGGGGCGGAAAGTCAAGGACATTACAAACTAGTTTACACTATGTAAATTACCTAAGATAGTATCAATCAGGATTTGCCCAATAAAGTTTAGCTGCATTCACATCAAGGAAATATTTTTTAAACAATGATATACTTTAGTTTGTTAAACGTGTACTTTGCAGTGTTTAGAACAATATCATGTATTAAATAGACAGTAAATAAATGTTTATGGAATTGAATTACAGGACAATTATTAAGCCTAAGTCCGAGCCTGAAATTAGAAAGTAGTATGATTTAAATCTGTAACAATAGAAATTTTGCTAAAACATATTTCTCTAGGTGTATGCTGAAATTCAATTCACTTCTGTGTGTATACATCCAAACACTTTTTAACCCTTAAACATATATCAACAGCCTAATGTGAGGACAGTTTTGGAAATTGTTTAATAGAATCATCTGCAGTAATGAGAGAGGCTCCAAACTGGAAAGGCTCATTGCCTCTGCTCACTTCTCTTGTTAACATTATTAGTGTATTTATCACATGATTTCTATATGGAAAACCTCCGGTGTCTCCCTGAATTTACAGAATGAAGCTCCTTCGCATTCTCACTGTATCTCTGACTGTCTTGCTTTCTTCCTTTCTGCTCCCTTTGGTGAAGTGAGTCAATTGGTATCTTTTTGACATTTTAGCCTTTATTTCAATCAGACTCTCACTGCCGTTTTAACAGCTATTTCACTCGCTCCCTATTCTGCGTCCTTTCATTTTTCCATAGTGGCCATACCATACCTTTCCTTCTCTCCTCAAGTCTTCTGTCTCCTCCCCATTCTTTTAACTTACCACGAACATCCTAACCTGTTACTTGCCAGAGAAAAAAGAAAGCAGTTTGACTTCAAAACCTCCAATATTTCTTCTACCTACAAAGTTTTCTCTAGCTATATACCTTTTACTTATTCTCTGTCAAGCCTCAGAAAAAGAGGAGCTCCATTATCATTAACATTATTGTTGTTGCTATTAGTATGGATAGAAACAAAATAAATATTGAGGACTTAATTTGTCAGATTCTATGAGAAGCATGTTTACTTCCACCAACTTATGTATTCCTCATGACAAACCCTACGAGTTTGGCACTATTAATGGCTCCATATTAAGGATGAGGATGCCGGGCGCGTTGGCTCATGCCTGTAATCCCAGCACTTTGGGAAGCCGAGGCGGGAGGATCACCTGAGGTCAGGAGTTCCAGACCAGCCTGGCCAACATGGTGAAACTCCATCTCTACTAAAAATACAAAAATTAGCTGGGCATGGTGGCGCACGCCTGTAGTCCCAGCTACACAGGAGGCTGAGGCAGGAGAATCGCTTGAACCTGGGAGGTGGAGGCTGCAGTGAGCTGACATCAGGCCACTGCACTCCAGCCTGGGCCACAGAGCAAGACTCCGCCTCAAAAAAAAAGAAGGATGAGGAAACTGGGCCCAAGGAAGACTAGTTTACTTGTCCAAGGTTACATAGTAACTAGTAGTCACAGAATTCAAATGTTAGCAGTCTGAATTTGTAGCCAGTGCTTTAACCACTGTGCTCCTGGGTTGTGGGTATGTGGGTGTGTATGTGATGCTCTACCACATGCTAATCTTCTCACTTCAGTTTTGGGCATTGTTATGCACTGCCTACTTTAGGTGGTAGTATCTCTTGCCTGCTTTCCTTCTGTTAGTTATTTTATTACTTCCTCAATTTGTCAGTTTCCACTCTGCCCTGCTCTTCAGAAAAAAAGAAAATCTTCAGTCATTTGCTGCCTGGAAAGGAGTGGATAGATGGGTGGATGGATGAATAAAAATCCTTCCTGACTGAGGTTTCTGCTTGCTACTGCCTTCTCTCCATTTCCTAGCATCAGTTTTTTTCAAAGATCAGTCTCCTTTTTCTCTCTGCTTCCTTAACTCTCATTCACTGTTCAACCAATGGTGATCAGAATTCTGCCTTAAATAATGCATTGAAATTGAAATAAGAAAGGCCCTTAAATCCTGTTCACATCCAAAATACACATCAAATATACTCACTTCTCTGTCTCCATCACCACCACCTTAGCCCAAGCCAGAATCATCGTTTCAATTAACCATTACAATATACATTTATCTTGTTTTTCCCGCTACCACTTTTGCCCTTCTCCAAATCCGTCTCGGCACAACCCTTAGTAGGATGTTTCTAGAGTGTATCTGTATTGCATCATAATTTTTATCTGCTTAAAATACCAGTGCTGTTCTATAGCACTAAAGCTACAGCATTAACTTCTTACCATGACCTAGAAGATACTATCTGGTCTGGCACCTGCCCACCTCTCCTACTTTCATCACCTGCTATTTGGCCTCTTGCTCATTATGCCTCAGCCACATTTTATTTTTGAACTTACCATGTTCTTTCCTGCTTAGGACCATTGCACATGCTGCTCCTTTACTCCTGCTTGCTGCCTCCCTCTCTTGTTTATACTTCAAGTCATAGCTTAATTTTTGCTTTCCCAGTGGTACCTTCATTTGCCTTTCAGTCAGAAATAGATCTTCCTACTAAACTCTCCCAGATTACCTTTTTTCTTTTCCTTTCTAGAAATCATCCTGGATTTTAATTAAATGTTTATATATGAGGTTACTTCTTGACTGTCTATAATCCCAACTATATTGCAAGTTCTATAAATGGATGAACTATGTTGATTTTATTCACGTGTGCTTAACAAATATTTCTTGAATGCATTTGCATGAATGGAAAATCAAGTGGACTCTTTCAGTCCCATCTTATTCTGTATCTATATGGCATTTGATAACATAAAAGAATTTAAGCTCCTTTTTGAAACCTTTCCTCTCCTTCTTAAATAATAAATAGTATTTCCTGATTTTTTTTTTTTAAGAGCTGCCTCTTAAAGCTCTTAAAGAAAGTTCTCTCTGTGTCCCCCAGGGTGGAGTGCAGTGGCGAGATCATACCTCACTGCAGCCTCGAACTCCTAGGCTCTAGTGATCCTCCCACCTCAACCTCCTGAGTAGCAAGTTCCACCATGCCCGGCTAATTTTTTTAAAAATTTTTCTGTACACATGGAGTCCCACTGTTTTGCCCAGGTTGGTGTTGAACTCCTGGCCTCTAGCAATCCTCCTGCTTCAGCCTCCCAAAATACTGGGATTATAGGTGTGTGCCACCATACCTGGCCTTATTTCCTGATTTTAATACTCTAACCCTGTGTAGTGCCCTATAGAGTTTCCTTGATTATATAACTTCTTAGATGATAAAAACAAAATCTCATCAGTTAGGGGTGTAAATATGCCAGAAATTAGATTACTCTTGCAGTATTCATTAAAATAATGATAATGAATAATTAACAAATTGGCTGGTCATGGTGGCTCACGTCTGAATCCCAGCACTTTGGGAGGCCAATGCAGGCAGATCGCTTGAGCCCAGGAATTCGAGACCTGCCTGGCCAACATGGCAAAACCCCGTCTCTACAAAAAATACAAAAATTAGCCAAGCATGGTGCTGTGCTTGTCCAGCTACTTGGGAGGCTGAGGTGGGAGAATAGCTTGAGCTCGGGAGGCAGAGGTTACAGTGAGCCGAGATTGCACCACTGCACTCCAGCCTGGGCAACAGAACCAGAACCTGTCTCAGGAACAAAACCAACAACAAAAAAACACAATAAAATTGACAAAACTGGGGGAAATTGTGAAAGAAAGAAACTTATCTAAGGCAGTGACTGGGACACTAAGCTTTCTCTAACCTTTTGGGTTTTTTTAGCAGCCACATCATTAGGTTTGCTTATAATCATGTGCAACCAGTTGGAAAAAAGAGAAAAAAAAAGAAATAGAAAAACCCAGAGACTTTTCCTCTGTCTAGAGACAGATCCTGGTAAGGGGGACATGCTCGCTCCCACATATTGTATGATCAATAATCTTGTTTAGGGGGTAGATTGGCTGCATAGCTTCCCACTGACTTGTCCTCCAACCTACCTCCCACAGAATTGAATTTGGTACATCATTGTAATTATGTGCTGTACCTTTACTAGGGAAAAAAGCACAGATTTTTGAAAGCTCTGGCAGTTAGAACCCTCAGCAGGAGCTTTTAGACTCTTCTGAGTGTCTTTGCAGCTCAGCTGTTCTCAAACCTCAGAGCAATGGAAGTTCCCACTTGTCTTGCACAGGGGATGGAGACCCATACTGTGTGTATCTATTAAACTAACACATCTTCTGAGGAAAAGAAGGCAATAATTAATTCTCTTAGTAATCGTACTTTGTTTTTCTGACTTCAAAATTATCCATATTTTTCAATTAAAAACATCCTAAAGCTATAATCTAACAAAAAATGTTGAAATTGGCTTGGGCGTAGAAATCTTCATAATAGGAAGCACAGATGATGTGATATTGCGGACAGCACATTTAAATTTTTTTTACACAAATATATGAAGTTGGGAGGAGAGGATTTATGCATATAGTTGGAAGTACAACTATAAATTTACTGTGCTTTTTAATTTTTTTAAAGCCTCATAAGAGCTTATGAGCTATAAAGATAGCTTAACCAGGTGAAAAGAAAATTCTTAAAAGCTTTTTTTTTCCTTCCACATATCATCAAAGGCAATTAGTTTGGATAGAAAATTGTAAGTCCTCTGTTCCATTAATATCAAATCATTTTTCACTTTTGCATATTCAGTGTGAAAATTGCATTTTTCTTTATTTTATATGCCTGCATTTGGAGTATTAAGTGTTTTGATTTGTAATGCCCTGATTGTTTCTATTTTCATTACTTTTGTAAATATTAGTGCTAGTTCTTACTTCTAGATATATATTCATTTTATCTGAGGAAAAAGCTGGTTTAATAATTTTGAGATCAGGTAAAAGAAAACTCACCATGACTCATTCTCAAATACATGTATTTATATTCTTATCCCTCTTACTAACTTCTTATAATCATTTTTTTGTGACAGAATTTCTTATTTCCATCAGCTTTTGCAATAAAACAAGGTAAAATAAAACCACCTGAAAATTGAATATTCAAATTAGGTCAGTAGGTGTCAATTAATTTTGCTATTGATTGGTTTTCATTAAATTTTTTAAAAATCAAAAGTTAACCCTTTCATTTTTCCCCTCCACATATCACTAATTCCTAACACCACCATAGAAATTTTTATGGCTGTGTCCAGGCATGGTGGCTCATGCCTGTAATCCCAACACTTTGAGAGGCTGAGGCGGGTGGATCACGAGATCAGGAGTTCGAGACCAGCCTTACCAACATGGTGAAGCCCCGTCTCTACTAAAAATACAAAAATTAGCCAGGCATGGTGGCGGGTGCCTGTAATTCCAGTTACTCAGGAGGCTGAGGCAGGAGAATCGTTTGAACGTGAGAGGCGGAGGGTGCAGTGAGCCAAGATTGTGCCACTGCACTCCAACCTGGATGACAGAGCAAGACTCCATCTCAAAAAAAAAGAAATGTTGATGGCTGTTCTTGGCCTCAAACATGTTTTCAGAAAGGTGTTTTAAAATTCTTGCCTAACTTTTTAGTGTGATTCTTCTGAGTTTATAGTGCCTTTTGGGACACACAATGTTATTGTATTCTGTTCTAGACTAAAGACAAGTGAATGGTTGTTGATGGGTAGTTTCCACATATTTTTATCTTTGGGGAAATATTCTCTACCAGTACATCATTATTTTTCTTTTTTCTTTTTCTTTTTCTTTTTTTTCTGAGATGGAGTCTTGCTCTGTCTCGGCCTCCCAAAGTGCTGGGATTACAGGCGTGAGCCACTGCACCCAGCCTACATCATTATTTTTCTGATGTAGAATCAGTTTTCAACACTCAATTTTTTCAAGGCTTCAATTCACAGATTAAGTATGGCCCTTTTCTCTCATGACATCTAATGTACGAACATTTGGCATTGACTCCATATAGTTGGTACACTTGTATTGATTATTTTTTCCAGGCCTGGTACTGGATTTGCTACAGAAAGTATTAGAATGAGTATAAGTAGGAGAGGTTCTGCCCTGGAGGAGGTTGTTGTCTCAAAGAAGATAACAGTCTTTACTTTATAAGGTGTCATAAATGCCCCTGCCTTATTTCCACAACTCCAGGCAGAAATCTGGTCAGTATTGACTCAATCTCATTTCTGTAGGCAGTTCTGCCTTCTATTAAACTTAAGTCCATTCTCCTTTAATGTGGTTTCATGATCATTCTTTTTGTTATAGTCACAGATACAAAAGGATTCTGTATATTCAATGGGCAATGGATCAAAAGAGTAACTATTTGGAAAAAATACCTTGTAGCAAATATATATTTGTTACAAATTTTTCTGTTAATTCTAATGAATTCTTAACATTATATTTTGAAGAGACGGGGGGATCAGTTTTTCTCCCATATGTTAGGCCTTAATGGAATATGTCTTAGAAGTGAAAAGGAAAGATGATAGAAATAACCCTAAAGGCCACACCTGACCATAGGAGTGCCATGTGGCCATCTCCTTTTCCGTCACATATGATTTTTACATTTGTGCTCTTTTCCTTTCTCGGTGGATTCGTAGGTTAGTTGGGTAGTAGATCAATATTCATGAGCTGCGTAGGTACTGAAGTGTGTAAAATTCAAATTATATAAACAAAACTGTGTCTAACTCTTTGGGGAAATAACCCACTTGTAGTTGCTCTCACTAAAGCTGTCAATGCACTTCTTTTATTTTTTTTTAATATAGTGAAGATCAGCTAAAGAAATGAGAGCCACTTGATGTGATTTGATAGACAAGTACATCGTAACACAAATAAATCCCCTACATAATACAATACCCTGGTCAGCATCCCACAGCACTTCAAGGAATGAATTATAAAACAAAGGATGCCAGTCAACTAAAATGCTGCAAGGGACCACAACTAAATACAAACACAAATTTCAGCAGAGTTTTTATTTTATTTACTTATATCACTTAGGTGCACTCAAGTGCCTTTATGAGACATGAGCCTTTTAATAATTGTATCTGTGGCTGGGGATGTTGCTCAGTGCTTCCTACTATTTCTAAGCTTAGTTATCTAGGACATTTCCTTCCATATCCAAATCCTCTGATGGAGTTGCAACTGTTTCTATCAGTGTACACTGGTCTGATCGTAAAAATTCACACTTATGGTTGCAAAAATTCTGTGGTTATGATCAATATGTACTGGTTTGTGGCTTTTGTTAAGAGATGCACATGTATAGCTTGCCTCCTACATCATCTCTTGATTTTGTAATAATACAATTTTAATAATGACATTTCTAATAGTAGATGTATATTATGAATTAAAAATAGCTAAATAAAGCATGATATTTACAGTGGATAATGAGAGCTGTTCTTCACTGAGCCCTGGAAATATATTTCTTAATTTTGAATGAGAGAAATTTTACGTTGGGTTTGGGGGAAAAGATAAGGACCCCGGTTTCTTCATACTGACAATTTCTGAAGATGAATAAAGAATGTAATAACAACAAGAACTATTGTTTTAGGGTGTTTACATCATGTCAGTTACTATGACAGGAGTGATACACATAGTATCACATTTAAGTTCTAATGCATCGTGTATAGATGATTTAATGAATACATTTTCATGATGAGGAAGTAACTTAGAAACTCCAGGTAACTTGCAGTAGGTCATACAACTAGAAAGTGAGGCCCAGTGAGGTCACTTACATCTGAAATCCCAGCACTTTGGAAGGCCCAGGTGGGCAGATCGCTTGAGCCCCAGGAGTTCAAGACCAGCCTGGGCAACATGGCACAACCCCATCTCTGCAAAAAAATACAAAACTTAGCCAGGCATGGTGACATGTGCCTGTAGTCCTGGCTACTCGGGAGGCTGAGGTGGGAAGATCGCCTGAGCCCCGGGAAGTCAAGGTTGCAGTGAGCTGTGATCACCCTACAGCACTCCAGCTTGGGCAACAGAGTGAGACCCTGTCTCTAAAAAGTAAAGTGACAGAAGTGTGGCTCAAACCTATGTCTGTGTAACTACAGTGTCGCTGTTTCTCCTACTGCAGCTTACAGTATGGGTCTGGAGAATGCAGATAATTGTTTCCCCCTCTTTCCTGGGTTTAGAGAAAAAAATTCTCCTAAATCCTATTCTTTAAGAAAAAGCTGTATGGGGCTCTGAATTTGGGCTAAGATTGGGCCTTGGCGGTATTGTTGGGGTGACCTACCTGGAAGCTAATGAATGACCTTACATGTACTTCCTCTTTCCCCACATCAGCCTGCTGTTATACCTCTTGAAACTATATGTCCTCTTCTTGACCCAGCATTTTACTGAATATTATGTTTCCTATTTATATGAATGAAGCCATTCATTCATTTTACGATGGTTTATTTTCAAAATCACTTTTCATCTTTATCATCTGCCATGTATCAAACCTTGTTGTAGGAGATGAATCAATGAAGAATTTTTGCCAGATCAAAGGGCAACTTTGAACCCCTTACAGTATACAACTTCTTCTGAAAAGCAGGCTGACTCATGATAGATTAATATCTAGTAATACTGGTTCAACAAAGTTAATTCCCTAACATTTCTGGTTTGACATTATAACTGAAGACATTATTTTGTAGAAGTAAAATATTACTGTCAGCTATTAATTTTGTTGAATAGACAATTGTCCTACTTGGGAAAAGATCTGGAAAATAGTCAGCTAAGGAGTGCTTTAAAAATCAATCAGCACATATTGATATACTCAAGACTCTGTGCTAGGTGCTCCACAAGATGCAGCTTTTGACTCCTTTCTCCTTTTTTTTCTCTATGCAGTCTCTGTATCAATGACCTTACCTCCCATAGCATCTATTCAGATAACTCCCAAATCTGCCAACTCCAATACTTCTAACCCCTAGAACTATAGTTTCAAATCCTAGCAGATATCATAATAATAACAAAAACTCAACATGTCAATAAAGCAATTTTATTATTTCCCTATCATGGAGGTATCATTTTATTATTTTTTAGAGGATTTGAGAGGGATCAAGGAGAACATTTAGTCTATGTTAGTAATCCAAGCTTGAAGTACATAAAATTATGAGTTTCTATATGGTGAGCATGGAAAATAAGGGACGACTCTCAGAAATTCTGCAGGTTAAAATATTGGTAAGGATTGGTATTATTATAAATAACATTGTGTTTACTGTGACTTGAATATCACTTCAAGATTTGGGGTCTTGAATGGGAAAATAAGAGCATCATTGTTAGAAGTAAGATGCCCTATTTGCCGGGTGCAGTGGCTCATGCCTGTAATCCCAGCACTTTGGGAGGCTGAGGCGGGTGGATCACAAGGTCAGGAGATCGAGACCATCTTGGCTAACACGGTGAAACCCCGTCTCTACTAAAAATATAAAAAATTAGCCGGGCATGGTGGCGGCTGCCTGTAGTCCCAGCTACTCGGGAGGCTGAGGCAGGAAAATGGCGTGAAGCCAGGAGACAGAGGTTGCAGTGAGCCAGGATTGTGCCACTGCACTGTAGCCTGGGCGACAGAACGAGACTCCGTCTCAAAAAAAACAAACAAAAAAAAAAAGATGCCCTATTTGATGTCTGAGAAGATGGTCAGCTGAATTTACTTAAATGCTAATACAAATTTTTCGTAGCAGCCAAGCAATACTTTTCCTTTATGGAACTAGTGCTTTTTACTCTACCTTCCCACAGCTGTAGAGGCAGAGCCTAAAAAAGAAGAAAGTAAACGTATGGATCATTTATTTTGACTCCCTTCTTTTCATCAAAACAAGACCGCTTTACAGGAATTTCTCCCACTTTACGATGGGGAAACTAAGACCAGAAAATTAGGCAGACTGTTTTCACACAGTCAGCTCACATGACAGTTTCTAAATTCAGTCTCATTTGACTTAGTTGCTGCTAAGCTACACCTACCTGCCCCTGCTGCCTTAGTCCCTGATTGGCTTACTGGAATTTAAGTAGCAGCAGGTCAGGGAAAGCAAATCCATCTACTCTCATTCTCTGAAACAAGCAAACAACCAGGTGACAAACTGTACCAAATTAGCACATCCTTCTACCTTCATTATTGCCGGCAGACTTCAAACTTTGGAGCCATCTTTGACTTTCTCCTGCTATAACTGGTCGGTTACTAAGTCCCATTTATTCTTCCTTAATTCTATCTTTTATATCCATTGTTTTCTTTATCTTCCTACTGTCAACATGCTACCTCATTACCTGTTTCTTACACCATTTTGCTAACTTCCTGATGGTCTCCCTGCCATTAATCTCTCCTTCAACCAATCATACTTACTGCTCCTAATAAGACTCAAGAGGCAGTGTGGGGTAGCGGTTGAGAGTCTGGGGTCTGTAGCCCAAAGGCCTGCATTCAAATCTTCAGGTTTCCAACATAAAATTTGATTTTGTGCAAGTTACTTACTATTTGTTTCACTTTTCTCATCTTTGGAATGAAAATAACGATAACCGTTTCCTAGGATTGTTTTGAGAATCAAATCAGTTAATATATAAAGCAAATGTTGAAAAATGTCTGGCACAAAGTACTTAATAAGTGTTAATTGCTGTTAGCATTGTTACCATCATTATCAAAGCATACTTTGGTTATGTAATTTCAATTGGAGCTGATATTTTTATAAAAATATCAAATCCATGTTCTCTGAGTTTGTAGGCCAAACATTGTAGGTTAATACAAAACATGGAAAGGATAAGAATATGATTGCAGGCACATGATATTGGGACCAAAGAAGACTAAAAGCCCACATATGCCTAAGGGTTTTGTTCCTTGTCCATCTGGGACCAAGGGCACCCTGGTGAACATGGCCCCTATAAGCTCTGCAAAGTATGGCCAGGAGAGCAAGTGCATGGTCACTAGTAGCTGCTCAAAGTAGCTCTATAGCTTTTTTAGTCATCAGGGAGACTAAAAAACTACTCCCTAAACGTAAAATGATAGAAAACCTGCTTCAGTGCTAGTGATGGCCAGTTACCAGTAAAAGGAAAGGAAAAATAAAGTGGGGAGGGATTTGGAGACAGAGGTAGAGGCAGAAATGAAGGCAGAAAAATATATAGAGAAACTCAGAGTGATTCCCACACAAACATACACAAAGAGACCTGCAAATTCACGGAGACATAGACTTTGATGCGATTAGCTTCCACTTCTGCGGCCTTTACCTGGACTCTTTAGATACATTGTTTCCAATTCTACCCCTAGGTATGTATGTCATATATACCTAGCCTATAAACCTTTTCTCACACCATTCTCTCTCTCTTTACTTTTCTCACACCATTCTCTCTCTTTACTCCCTCCTTCCTTCCTTCTTTCCCTTTCTTTCTTTTTTTTTTTTTTTTTTTTTTTTTTTTTTGAGACAGGGTCTCACTCTGTCGCCCAGGCTGGAGTGCAGTGGCACAATCTCGGCTCACTGCAACCTCCGCCTACCAGGCTCAAGCGATTCTCCTGCCTCAGCCTCCTGGGTAGCTGGGATTACAGGCACTGTGCCACCACCACCATGCTAATTTTTGTATTTTTAGTAGAGACAGGGTTTCGCCACGTTGGCCAGGCTGGTCTCAAACTCCTGACCTCAAGTGATCCTCCTGCCTCTGCCTCCCAAAGTGCTAGGTTTACAGGCCTCAGCCACCGCGCCCGGCCACTTTTTCCTTTTAGTGTCAGTTCTATGTGTGCTTAAATTTACACATGCATGCACACACCTATACATATATTTTTTCATGTGTATTTCCTCTACTGTGAAGCCTTCATTAATCACTGTAATCATAAGAGTTTAAAGTTTTTTCTTCTTCCAGTGAACACCTCCAGAACTTAATTTCTTTTTACCTATCTAAAATCATGTGCTGGCTTTTTCACCAGCAATAGTTTTCAAGGTTCTATGTTGAGTTTCAGACTATATTGTAAGCTTTTTGTGAATAGGTGGCGTGTTTTATAGTTGCCATGTGAGTACTGAAGAAATAGCAGTACAATTTGTATAATAATACCCTGACCAGATAAAAAAAAGTGAGTCATAAGTGATGAGACCTACAAAAATACAGTAACAGGTAGATATTTCATCATACTTTTGTATATCTGCCTGTGAAAAGCATGAAAGCATATAGGAGGATTAGTAGAAGGCAGAGGTTCATATTTGGAGAGGCAGATGTTCATGGTTAATGGGCAAATTCGAAGAAGAAAAATAATGGGCTATGTCTTGATTCTGTATTAGAGTAGATATGGTCTGCCCAACAGCTCATCTGCTGCTTTTGAAAGGTACTTTGTGGTTTAAAAACTTTTGTTTATGTCGTCAAATTCTCTTCATGTTATCTGCAGATATGTTGGTGTCTAATCTGTACTTGGCATTTGTATTTAAGGAAGTAGGCTATATATACAAAACCAAATATAATTAGGAATGTTAATAATTTATTTTCACTGTGTGCATGTGTCTGTGTGCGTTCATGTGTGTCTACCTCTCCCCGACCTCCCTCCCAGAATTCATTTTGTGAAGGAAAACTAGTTGAGTAACTTGGAGCTATAGGAAATTAAAAACTAAAACAATTATTATCATAGTAACTATACCAAGTGGAATATTTAATGTGCACCAGTGCTATGAAACAAGTAATTAAAACCAAAGTTGAACTGTATTGAAGAAAACCAATGTAGAATTCTTGCATAATGTACTTGAAAGTAAGTTCATGTGATTTTACTATCATCTAATTACTTAACAGCAGCATCTGTCAAGTAGGTGAAATTCTTTAGAAATTCTTTAGAGTATATATAAATAGTATATTTTATGAATAGAAATCATAAGTTTAAAAATTATTAAATGCTCAATCAGAGCTAGTCTTCTGATTTCAAACAGCATAGTAATAGGTAATTTCTTAGGAAATGTTCCAGTTATATTTTCTGTCATCATGTACATCTTTTATCTGCGGCCCAACTATTCACTCAACTCAATTTCATGTTTATAAATTTTCCTAGTTCACCTCAGGGACAGATTTTGGCAGTTTGAATGCTATTGATGGCTAATGATTATGCAATTAACATATAGCAACTGTTCAGCTTCTATAATATTTTATTAATGCCATAAGGATGATTTATTTTTTTAAAAACCTGTATAGCCAACTGCTTTTTAAACTTTGATAAACTATTTCTTTGGAATGTTTAAAACAAAAAAGATTTTTAAAATCCCAGAGCAAACTGACTTTATGCAGAAATGTTACAGTGTTGTCTATGAAATTATCCCCACTAAAGAGATAAAATAAGAGGCATTAAATGTATATTCTCATAGGGTATTTCTTATCTTACAGATGAGCTCTGTGAAAATGTTACAGCCTCGTCTCAGTAGTATCCTGTTCAAGCTCACATTTGAAGAACACATAAACAACATCAAACCAAGCATCATAGCAGTAACTCTTGCCTGTGAAGAACTGAAGAAAAGTGAAAGCTTTAACAGACTTTTAGAGTTAGTTCTTCTTGTTGGAAACTACATGAACTCAGGCTCAAGAAATGCCCAGTCTTTGGGATTTAAGATCAACTTCCTTTGTAAGGTAAGATGACATTTTATAATGCTAATTTACAACAATAATCTTCTTGTCTATGAAAGGTGATACTGCAAATAGCAATCGTACATAAACCACAAAATTGTATGCTTAAAAAGGGTGAATTTTCTGGGATGCGAATTATATCTCAATTCAAACAAATAATTTTTTAAAATTTTAGTAAAATCTAAAAGACTTGAATATTCTTTTGGAATACAGTACTTAACATTTGCTGATTACATTTTACTGAAGTTTATAGACAAAAAAATCCCACTTTTATAAACTAGATGCAGTATTGGCCAGGCGCGGTGGCTCACACCTGTAATCCCAGCACTTTGAGAGGCTGAGGCGGGTGGATAACCTGAGGTCAGGAGTTCGAGAACAGCCTGGCCAGCATGGTGAAACCCCGTCTCTACTAAAATTACAAAAATTAGTGGGGCGCGGTGACGGGTACCTGTAATCCCAGCTACTCTGGAGGCTGAGGCAGGAGAGTCGCTTGAACACGGGAGGCGGGGGTTGGAGTGAGCCGAGATCATGCCACTGTACTCCAGCCTAAGCAACAGAGCAAGACTCTGTCTCAAAAAATAAAATATAAAATAAAATAGATGCAGTATTATATTTCCTTTACATTATTACTTATATCGTTCTAAAAAGTATCTGACAAGCTAAATTTAATGAGATAAATAGCCAGAAATTTATTTTTGAATATAGTTTGCTTATTCTACTCTAAGATAATAATACTCTTCAATGTCAAGTAGTGTTGTACACTGGTATCTGGTGCATTAACTAAGAGGTAAAAAAGAAAATTGAATAACAATCATCTTGTTTTGATTGGATCATTTAATAATATTTTTGAGACTTATGAAAAGCAAACAAAGAAACAGAGAAGCCCAAAAGTGCTTGTATATGTCCATTTTTAGGCTAGAGCAAACCACCTTATTCAAAGAAAAGATCTGTCTGTTATAGAAGCCTGAAAACACTCTGAGGTGAAGGCCTGTAAGAAAGCTAGAGACGAAAATAAATCTGAAAACAAGCAATCTGTCTTTGACAACTCACCATTCTTTCACTCTTTTTTTTCTCTCACATCTGAAAATATTGCAGAACTTTGGTTAGTTCTTGAAGTATATTATAATGAGAATCCCAAATCTAGCAATGGATATGAATTTCTTTTCTATACATGCATTAAATTGATGTTCATTACATATACATGGACTAGCACTTTGATATGTATCAAAAATGATTTGATCTTGGTAGTTCTAACCCAAATAGACATAAAGAATAACACTTATAGATAATAATAGGATGTACAATAGAATTGTGAACATCTGTTTACTCCTGATATATTTTTGAGGGCTGTAAGGAAAGAGAACAAGGAAAATACAGAAGATTATCTGGAAATGCTGGATTTTGTGAAGAAAACATTTTTACCCCCATCTTCTTGTGATATTTGGGGACATGTAAAATCATTTCATAATGCCAGAGGGAATAAGGCAGTGCTTGTAATAAACTGTACTAAATCATGCCAGATTTATAGGATGAAATAAAGTATTTAGGACTTCAGCATTGTATTGCATACCATATCCCCAATGTTAATAGAGTCATCTCTACCATGGTGCTACTTGCCTAGAGTATATGCTATATGCACACTGAGTGAATCTAAAAGTGTTCTTGCTTGACAATTATAAAGAGATTATAAGTTAAAATATCATCAGAAATTTGTATTAGATACCTATTTTGCATTTAATTCATATAAAAATATTTAAAACCATTCTAATTTGAAGAAATATGTACCTTATAAGTGTCTTAATTTCACACTATTCAAATTAATTACATGAACTGATTTCTTTGAAGCAAGAATGAATAAGTCATTTATACATAGGAACAAAAGGTTACGTTAATCTCACCGAAGGATTTTACAGTTACATCTTATATTTTGGAGAGAGGCTTCTTTCTGTCATCTACCTGTCAAATAAAAGTTCTTCTACACAACGCTGATCTGACATCTATCACTAGAGGTATGCTCAAAGGATTCAGCACAAAGATTTTTGCCAACTTCAAATAAAATAAAAAATAATCTTGCGGGAAATACTATCATGTAGCAATAGGTGTTCCAAAAGTGAAAGAAGTGAAGGTTTTAAAATCTGTCCCCCAACTCACCCCCCACTTTTCAGTAAGATTTTTATCTTCTGGGAAATTTTCTAGGAAAACAGTTGTCATTTAGAAAGAGAAATATCATACACATGCATGATATTCCCATAATGTATAGGATTCGAAGGATGTTCCTGGAATACAAAGGATTGTGAGTAAATGTAAATGTCTAAAATGACAGAAATTTTCTGAAGCACGTAGAAATAGTTAGCTTAGTTCTGTATTATGTTTGAAATAGAATTAACTAGCTACTGATGTATGATTAGCTAGAATTGCTGTTTAATTTCAGTTGTATTATGAAAGATTACTTCATTGATTTTTCTTAGTGATTGCCTTCTTAAAGAAAATAGCAGGGGGAATTTCCCTCATAGAACACTGATTATGGTTTTAAAATGATACCATTTACTCTCCTAAATTTTTCTAATGATAATTTCTTTTCTCAGTGATTTTAAAACTAATCCAGTGCTTTTAACAAGAAGCTATAGAGTATGTTAAAATATTCACCTAGGTAAAAAGGAGGCATGTGGTTAAACTTATCAGATGTATCTTGTAGTAAGGTAATATAAAAATTTCAGATGGTCACAGTTGGCTGTTATGGTATTTGGGAAGAAAAGGAAAACAGATGGATTAACCAAAATGTCAACACTAAAGGGTATCATTATTGTAATTACTACCTTCACCACAAAATGCTTTGTTAATTTGCAGCAGTGAATTATCACTTTGTGAGTCACCAAACCAGTGTGCTGAACTGTAATAAAAATCATTTCAATGAAGATGAGCTCCCAATGTTAGCTTAGCCTGTTGGTTATTAAAATTCTAACCAATAGAAATGCTACACTTCAAGGCCATTTGTTTGTTGTTTTTTTTTTCAGTACGAAATAGCATATATAATCTGCATAAGGACAAAACATTTTAAAATACTTAGCATTCCCTATATACTAAGCTTTGTGGGTTTATCAAATAAGGATCTTTGTTTGTAAGTATCAGAACGTGACTCTGCCTGATTCAAGCAAAAAGTGAAACTTGCTGGAAGGATATGAAGTAACTAAGCCAGAAACTGAGGAAAGACTAAAGAACTTGCCCTTTAAAAGAACAGCAACTGTGACAGCTTTGAGAATTCAGGTAGCAGGAATGAATGAAAAGTCTTTTTAGGATGTTGCCTTTGGGATATATCAGCTCCAACCATTTTCCTTCTCCTTTCCCTATGTTTGATTCAAATTCAAATTATGAAGAGAGCCTAATGAGCCCGGTGTGGATTATAAGAACACCCCTTGTTCAAGGGAGAGCAAAAAACCCTGATTGACAGTGCTACCAAAACTACCTGCCATGGAAGATTGGTTATGCCCTAAAGGGTGCTGTTACCAAAGATAGGGCTACCAAAGGTTAGGAGCAGGTAAAGGGATATCAGGCAGCTCTAAACAAATACAAAATAAAACAGATGATCTATTCATCAGAGGCCTACCAACAATAGAGAAGATACACAGAAACCTCAAGAAGCTTGTGGTACAGTTGAGCAGCCAGGAAATATACATACACAATATTATGTAATGTCACAAGGTACACTGTCAATGAGGGCAAAAATAAATGGCCACTGAGATTAGCAGTAGTTCAGGGGAGGAAGGAATCTTTGGTGATTGGGCAGTGCTGGTAAATTGAAAAAGAAGAATCTTGAAGGATAGGTAGGATTAAGAATCTATAACTTTACAAAAGGGGAGAACATTGTGGCTTGGAACCTACGTTTTAACTTACACTTTTGTCAATTACTAGCCAAATTTTCCTGACTAAGTCACTTACCTTCTCTAAATCTCAATTTGAGATTGAATATTTCTTGAATATTTCTCCCTTCACTTCTTGTATCTTTTTTTGGATTTCCTTGCATTGGGCTTCACCTTTCTCTGGTGCCTCCCTGATTAGCGTAATAACCAACATCCTGAATTCTTTTTCAGGTAAATCAGGGATTTTTTTTCTTGGTTTGGATCTCTTGCTGGTGAGCTAGTGTGATTTTTGGGGGGGTGTTAAGGAACCTTGTTTGGTCCTATTACCAGAGTTGGTTTTCTGGTTCCTTCTCATTTGGGTAGGCTCTGTCAGAGGGAAAATCTAGGGCTGAAGGCTGTTGTTCAGATTCTTTTGTCCCATGGGGTATTCTCTTGATGTAGTACTCTCCTCCTTTTCCTATGGATGTGGCTTCCTGAGAGCCGAGCTGCAGGAGCTGCAGTGATTGTTGTCTCTCTTCTGGGGTCTAGGCACCTGGCTCTGGGCTGGTACTGGGGGTTATCTGCACAAAGGCCTGTGATGTGAACCATCTATGGGCCTCTCAGCTGTAGATACCAGCACCTGTTCTGGTGGAGGTGGCAGGGGGGTGAAATGGACTCTGTAAGGGTTCTTAGCTTTGGTGGTTTAATGTTCTATTTTTGTGCTGGTTGGCCTCCTGCCGGGAGGTGGTGATTTCCATAGAGCATCAGCTGTGGTAGTATGGAGAGGAACCGGCGGTGGGCAGGGCCCTAGAACTCCCAAGAGTATGTCCCCTTTGTCTTCAGCTACCAGCATGGGTAGGGAAGGGCCATCAGGTGGGGCAGGTCTAGGCATGTCTGACCTCAGACTCTCCTTGGGTGGGTCTTGTTGCGGCTGCTGAGCGTGAGATTCCCAGCTCAATGGAGTTGTGTACCTACCGTGGATTATGGTTGCCTCTGCTGAGTCATGCAGGTTGTCAGGAAAGTGGGGGAAAGCCGGCAGTCACAGGCCTCACCCAGCTCCCACGCAATCCAAAGGGCTGGCCCCACTCCCACCATGCCCCCACTAACAGCAACGAGTCTGTTTCCAGGCAGTGGGCAAACAGGGCTGAGAACTTGCCCCAGGCTACCCACCTCCGAGCTGTGAAAGAAAAGGGCTTTAGTTCTTCCCCTGCCTGTAGAGTCTACACAGCGGATTCACGCCCTCCACTGAGTTCTGGCCAGGAGGCTTCTTGACCACTTCAAGTTGTTACAAAGATCAGCTGGAGACTTTCTTCTCCTTGTGGCTTTTCCCCTTGTGCCTCTGGCTGCCCTCCGGAAGGATCCCTATGGTGCCAGGCAGGAATAGCCTGCTTGGGGACCCAGCGAACTCCCAGGGCCTTTCCTGCTGCTTCCTCTACCCCTGTATTTTGCTTGGCTCTCTAAATTGACTCAGCTCCAGGTAAGGTTGGAAACTTCTCCCTCAAACTAGACCTTCGGTTTCCCCAGTAGGGGTGTGTGTTCGGTGGTGGAGGATCTCCCTTTCCCACTTCGCAATTTGGGCACTCACAGTATTTGGGTCCTGCAGCAGCAGTCCCCTTCCTTCAGAGGGTCTGTGGGTCCTCTCGGGATTCCTGGTTTATCCCTGCAGTCGTTTTGGAGCTAAAATTCACAACGCAAGCCTCCGCACGCTTCTCTGTCCATCCGAGTTGGAGCTGCAATCTAGTCCTGCTTCCCGTCTGCCATGATCCTCCCACAAATTCATAAACTTTCTTAAAACATTATGAGAGTTTTTTGTGGGTTTTTTTTTTTTTTTTTTTTTTTAGCTCATCAGCTATCATTAGTGATAGTATATACTATATATAGCCCAAGACAATTCTCCTTCTTCTAATGTGGCCCAGGGAAGCCAAAAGATTGGACACCCATGATCTAGAATATCTATAACATGTAAAGCCTCATCTAGAGGCCATTACATGGTATTAGTGACAAAGTATCATACCAACTATACAAAGGAAACATCCATCTCCATCCATTTCCCCCATAGAAGTTGTTAGAAGGAAAGTAAAATAGGTTCAGCTTTATTGTGAAATAGAAAATTACTGCAGAAAATATGCTTTGTAAAGAAAAGTGACTGCTGTCTATGGTAGTAAAATTTGGAAATCTGTAATCCACACACACAAAAGAATCTACAAAAGACCTTAGAAAAAAGTCATATGTAAGTACACGCAAAGTTTTGCAGTGTCTAATCATTTCTAGCTAAAATAATGTGGACTATGTCCATATAAACTCAGAATGTCAGCATATGAATACATCCAGTCTAACCTCTTCAGTCCACAAGTGAGAAAACTGATGCTTGTAGAAGCAAAATACTTTAGTCAGTGTATTGTTCAGCTTGGACTGACATAACAGAAACCAAAGGCTGAGTGGCTTAAAGAGGAGAAATTTATTTTTTCACAGTTATAGGACTGAAAGCCTAAGATCAAGATGCCAGCAGGGTTGGTTTCTGGTGAGGTCTCTCTCCTTGGGTTACCATATGGCCACCTTTTCACCGTGTCTTTACTTGACATTTAATTTACTGTTTTCTTCCCCTTTGTCCTTCACAAGACTCAGAACTCGTCAAATTTGGATGTATATTTTATTCTGCATTATATCTCCAGTGTCTATTATATGTGAAGCTCTCAATATATTACTACAGATTGAAAGTCAGACAATTTGATTAAATAGAGGATTTGTTATTAATACTCAGCATGTGTTAACTTGTTTTTTAAGTTAGAACATTTTGTTCCTCACAGATACAAAGGGCATATTTTTGCCAGCAAAACTGTTGAATATGTAACTGTAAGATTTTTTATGCTTTATTTGTAAAGACGCAAAAATGTGTTGTTTGCTGTAAATCTAAATCAGCAACTCATTATTAAATATGGGTTATTAAATAAATTAACATGAGACTATTAATTTAAAACCAAAGATATTTTAGAAAATAATCACTATAGGATGTACTGAAAGGGAACCTAGCAACGATCAATAAATCCTGGTCAACAGTCCATGCATTTGTTTGCCTGTGTTTTTATAGTTTATAAAGTGTTTTCCTTGTGATTCAGGGAGGTTAAGTATTATTGACCCCATTTTGCAAATTAGAAAACTAAAGCCCAGTGAGGTTATATAATTTGTCCAAGATTCAAAAACTAGTAAAGGTACAAGTTGGGGCTTACATACAGGTTTTCTGTTTACAAAATTGTGTAGCACCCTGCCTCTTATTGCATTGTAACAATGTTTGGTTATACTTGGCTCATTTCAAGGAAGCATTATAGAACCAACTCTGGCACTTACAGTATTCTGAAAATGGGGAAAACCTCATGTGAATTTTCTTGGCTCTCTGGCATGAAACTTGGAATCCATCTTTTTTATTTTAATTCAGCTTGGTGTAACTGTAGGCCTATCAATAGGAAGTTTCTCATCTTGTAATAGATTTTAATGTATCCAAGCAGCAGAGCCTATATATTTGTAATAAAATAGCATCTAATAATTTGAATAATTGTGGAGCTATCCCTTGGTGTTGTATAGACTGTCAGAGTATTTTAGTTTTGTGTAGGCAAGGTTGACTGCTGTTTTCAATATTTTACAAATGAGGATCTGCTCTCCAGAGAGATGATCTTTACCCAAGATCACTTAGTGATGAAGGCAGAGTTAGGATCCAGCTTTTCCTGGGACTCAAACAAATGATTTCAGTGGATCATGCTATTTTCAGAATTTTCATTGACTCTTTTGCTTCACTGAAATATACTTTTTCCTATCAGACAATATTTAGCATTAATTGAATTTGAGGGAGATGTGGTTGATAATTTGCTGAGAAGAAAATGACTTTGTGGGTTATAATTTGTCTTGAAAAAAATTATGTGAAAGGGAAGATTAGACTCTCGATCATTTATGGAGGGGGATGAAATGTTAAGCCCTATTTCCAAACTTTTATTTTTCTCCTTGGGGGTCCTTTAAACTTTCCTTTCTGTGGAGCTATTTGTGGGAAAGAGTTTTCATTTGGTGATCTCTCCTAGTCACTGGTTGCTAATCAGTGATGCAAGATTCTATGCTACACCAAATGCAAAGGAACATATTCATGGTATTTGCATTTAAAAATGTCATCATATAATATAGTGACATGCTGTACCATTTGTTCATAATTCATTACCAGTGGATACAAACATTTCAATTTAAGGGTCTGTCTGTGCCTCATTATATTACGTTGAAGCAAGAATATTCGCTATAGTTTAGACCTCTGAAATAACTAAGCACCATGGAATGACACAAGAACAGGATATCATTCTTAATTTTAAATAGTTTCCTTTGTTCAGCTTATGTGATGGTTGACCTTTATTTAAGTCCATTGTGTTTCATTGTACTGTGCTTACTGAGCTCTCATCATTGAGAACCACTGAATAGTTTCTTGAGCTTAAAGATGAATGTTACACTGTTGTGATACTATGTCAGTGGTGACATTCTGGATTCAGTTTTTATAGTTGTGTCATGGGTTTTTGTTTCCTACACTTTTTCATGTAAATCAATACACCAAAATATGTAATTTTTCAAAGGCAACCATTAATACTACTTAAGTTAGTAAATCTAGAAGTATTTAAATGTATAGAACACTAAATTTTTTAAAGGAAAGAATTCTCCATAAGGTCTTTTAATTGCTGTATGTTATTCATTGTGTATTCTAATGCACATGCCGTTGATCTGTGCATATGGACTTGTGCACGTAGGCAAATGGTAATAGTAGAAGATTGCTTCAGTCATCTGATTTCTCCACTAAATCAAGATACTTGGATACCAGCTCAGAAATCCAATCCAAAGTCCTCACCTCTAATGCCCTTCATTGCCATTTAAAATCTGAACCAAACACAGGCCACTTCTTTTGAGTTTATCTTCTTTAAAATGCAGCCCTCTAAGAGTTGGAAACAGACTATCATGGCTCCTTGATTTTGTAATCCTATGAATACGCTACTGTGTGCTTTGAAGATTGTCCTTCAATTAGCAAGTCAGTGCTTTATCCCACTTCTAAGATGTCAGCTACCTGGTCTCCTTGTGTGTCTATATAGTATAGTGGTGCACATACAGATTGACTACTTAAGTAGAAAGAAAACTTGATGAAGGTAATATGTGTCTCTGTCTTATGAGGTGCCATCTTCTAAAATGATAGCCTCAATTTTTCCAAATGGTCATACATCTTCTAGATTTATATTAATGTGGAGATGCATGATATCTTTCTTGTTCTCTGTAGCCTACATTAAGAAATTGAAATGAGACAAAACACTAACTTTGTGGTAAGCTAATTACAGCAGAGGGAAAAATATATGATCATGTCAGGCATAGGAATTAACAAAGTTTATAGATGTATTTTAAAAATTGCTATAGTTCTAAAAGCTTATGTGTCTCAAAATATCTTTTTGAAAACTTGAGCTCTGAGTGAAAGAAACTAACTCACACCTTTATTCTCCTCCTTGCCTCTTAAAATATAGAGGTCCCGTGAGCTTATTTAAAGATCTTTTTCTCTAAGTTGAAATATTCATTAATTTACATTCATTGCTGCAAATTAGCTAGTACTTTAAGTGTAACACTTGTTTGTTTTCTCAGAATTTGATTACATCTGTTTAGACAAAATCATCACATTTACAATACTATAGGTTGTGTGAAAACTTGATTATACTCCAAAATTTTCAGTTTGTTAAATTCTCTAGAGAACAATAGTTTGTAAATGTAATTTGTCTGATGCAGACTTGATTAGTATTCCTTGTCAATACTGACTGCTTTGGAGACTCATGGGATTTTTTTCTATTATTCTTATGTATGTTAAAATTTTCTGTTGCCTATTACACACACACACACCTCCCTTTACCTGTGATTATTAATATCGTGAAGCCTATGCTGCTATCTCTGATTTTAACTTATATGTTACAGTTATGTCTGCCTCCTAGATATCTAGATAACTTGCTGTGAGGTGTATATATGTATATACATGGGACATACTTGCCTTGAGTACTAGTAATGCCTCGTTATTATACACCCCTCTGCAAACACATGACCTTTTTGTTATGGAAGAGTTTTCAACTTTTGAAAGTTTTGTATTAGGGGAAGGACCAAGGAAAATAAAATAAGAGCCAGATGAAGCCAAAAAGGGTGTGTGTGCATATGGGTGTTGAGTAAGAGAGACAGGGAGATAGACAGAGACAGAGAGATTGAGACACAGAATGAGAGAAAGATAATGAAAGAGTGAGAAGGGTTGGGGTGATTTTCACAATTGGATAATCAGAGAGAAACAGGATTGAGTTAAATGTTCCTTTGTATACATCAATTGACTCATAAAGAGCATTGAAAAATGCAAACTGGCCGGGCGCGGTGGCTCACGCCTGTAATCCCAGCACTTTGGGAGGCCGAGGCGGGTGGATCACGAGGTCAGGAGTTCAAGACCAGCCTGGCCAAGATGGTGAAATCCCGTCTTTACTAAAAATACAAAAATTAGCCGGGCGTGGTGGCGGGCACCTGTAATCCCAGCTACTTGGCAGGCTGAGGCAGAGAATTGCTTGAACCCGGGAGGCAGAGGTTGCAGTGAGCCAAGATCATGCCACTGCACTCCAGCCTGGGTGACAGAGAGTGACTCCGTCTCAAAAAAAAAAAAAAAAAAAAAAAAAAAAGAATGCAAACTAAGAATTACCAAATTATATTCCTTATCTTCTACCAATAATAAGCATTAAAAAGTCAACCATATATATTTGTGTATAGAACTGTAATGAAGGGTATAATTTGTTTTCTGTAGAGAACTCACCTGTGGCTTAGTTTTTGACTCATTAAATACAGATACATTTTCAGGAAATAAGAAAATTAATGCATCTGTATTTTCTTTCATTTTAAAAAAATTATCCTTATAGAGTAATACAAAAAAAGTAATCAAATTAATGCTGTGTCACAGCTATACTTGTTGAAGTCGTTGTGACTAAACAATAATAGATACAGTTAATGGTTGAATAGTATAACTGGCAGAGATGAATACTCCTCTAGTTAACAAAAATACATTTTTTTTGTTCTTGATGAATACCCCATATATCAGGAGCAGCAATAAGCATTTTCAGCGCTAGAGCAGACAAAAAATGATGATTTATGGAACTAGCTGTAGGTCTTACTTAGTTCGCCATGAAGACTGTTTTCATAGAGGATTTAAATGAACCCAGCTGGCTTCGTATTCTGTGAATTGCTATAGTCGTTTTCTGAGTATAATCTTATGACTGATTTTGTAATTCTCACAGTAGGGGAAAGTTGACAACATGAATGGCATTTAGTGAATATAATTAGTAAGTCTGAAAACAAAGGCTTTTTTATTCTATAAAAGCTCTGTTCGAAGGAGATTTTGACCCTGTATGAGACTGTTCCAAAAACATAGCTACCATGACTAAGTTTGACCAGTCATCTTACAAGCTGATTTTCCTGTTAAATGAAGCCTTCCTAGTGAAGGCATTGCACAACCTTAACAAGGAGAGCTCATGTCCATGGAAGGAAGTTTATAAAGTAGCAGTTGATACTAAAATAAAGCTCTGTGATAATTTTAGAGAATCTAAGGATTATTTATATACATTTAACGACTTTTTAGTGAGTACTTGTGCAGCAAGTTGGCCACATTTATTGAGCCTTTACCCTCTGTGGAACCTTGTGCTAGATGCTTTGTGGGGATAAAGAGAAGTAAAACATACATCTCCAGTCCTTGAGGAGCTTATGAGCTAGATGCCAGATATAGAACATTGTAATGCTAAAGCAAGAGACAGGGAGAAGTGTGTGTGGGGACAGGCAAATGGATTTTATATAATAGCACACATGAAAAATAAATTATGTTGCTCATAAACACTGGCTAACTAACCACAAGACAAGAAAGCGCATACTCTGTTAGATGATATCTATACTGTAAAGCTGCTCCACTTCTTTGGAAAGGAAGGAAAAAACAATTCCAGCCCCATTTCCAAGATGTACTTTTCTTCTCTTCCCCAAACAATGTCTTCAGTTTTGCTTTTCCTGCCTTCCGTCATGGGGACAAGCACAAAGCCTTGCCATTCATTATTTTCTTATCTTTTAGTCTTTTTTGAATTTTAAATCTGAATTATCAGAATGCTCTCTTCCCTTTTATGCTACAATAAAAGTATCTTTAAAACTGCTTCTCAAGTTCCTAACATCTTTCTACATATAGTTAAATATTAGTATTTTAAATTTTTTGGATAAAATCAATACCTGTTCAAAAACAATAGTATAATGGTACTACTTATAACTATTGTATGTCTGTACCCCTCCCAATTCACTAATTAGTCACAAAAGTCAAATAATTTCCTTTTGCCAGAGGATATCATGAGATTGTCTAGATAAATAAGAATGAAGAAACTTGTTATTTAATGTTCAGTATGAGGGATCACTCCAGGATGCAAGTAACCTACTATGAGGAAATATAAGCTTTTCAGAGGCTATTTAGGGAAAGGATCTCAATATTTCAGATTTAAGCAACTAGCTAGATACACATATTAAAACAGAATCCTCTACTTAGAAACCTGTGCTGAGGGAAGTGGAAAAGTATTGTAAGTTATATTCAAAGACTTGGGGACAGATGAACATGCTTGATTCCAAGGATATTTCATCAATCACAGCCTGGCCCATTCAGATCACTTTATGCTTCCAAATTTCAGCTTTCAAAAAGTGTACGAGAAAGGCTAGGGTTACTCGTTGATTTCTTAAAGCATCTTCTTAGGACTTTGTTTGTTGTATTGTTATTTTGTTAGAAGTAAAATGTATTCATGGCCAAGAGAGACTTGAACCTAACCTATAATTTCTTGTAGTAACTTTACTGAGGTTTTTAACTGACATACTATAAAATTTACTCATTTTAGGCCAGGTGCGGTGGCTCACGCCAATAATCCCAGAACTTTGGGAGGCTAAGTCAGGCAGATCACTTGAGCTCAGGAGTTCGAGACTGGCCTAGGCAACATGGCGAAACCCCATCTCTACCAAAAATAGAAAAGATTAGCTGAGTGGGGTGGTGCGTGCTTGTGGTCCCAGCTACTTGGGAGGCTGAGGTGGGAGGATTGCTTGAGCTTGGGAGGTGGAGGTTGCAGTGAGCCAAGATCGCGCCACTACACTCCGCCTCAGAGACAGAGTGAGACTGTTACAAGAAAGGGGTCCTGATCCAGACCCCAAGAGAGGGTTCTTGGATCTCGCACAAGAAAGAATTCAGGGTGAGTCTGCAGTGCAAAGTGAAAGAAAGTTTATTAAGAAAGTAAAAGAATAAAAAATGGCTACTCCATAGACAGAACAGCCCTGAGGGCTGCTGGTTGCCCATTTTTATGGTTATTTCCCGATGATATGCTGAACAAGGGGTGGATTATTCATGCATCCCCTTTTTAGACCGTATAGGATAACTTCCTGACATTGCCATGACATTTGTAAATTGTCATGGCGCTGGTGGGAGTGTAGCAGTGAGGACAACCAAAAGTCACTCTCATCGCCATTTTGGTTTTGGTGGGTTTTGGCCGGCTCCTTTACTGCAACCTGCTTTATCAGCAAGGTCCTTATGACCTGTATTTTGTGCTCACCTCCTATCTCACCTGTGATTTCGAATGCCTTAACCATCTGGGAATGCAACCCAGTAGGTTTCAGCCTAATTTTACCCAGCTCCTATTTAAGATGGAGTTGCTCTGGTTCACATGCCTCTGACAAGACCCCATCTTAACAAAAAATTTACTCACTTTAGGCATACAGTTAGATGAACTTTGTTGTTTGTATACAGCTTTGGAACCTCCACTGCAATCAACCAGTGTGGTTTCCTCATGCCCCTGTGCAGTGGATCCCCACTCCTAGCTCGAGACAACTGCTGATTTGTTTTAAATCACCATGGTTTCGCCTTCTTCTAGAATTTCATATGAATGGAATCATACAGTAATAGAGCCTTTGTGTTACTTTGTGTTGTTAGTGACTTTTTTCACTTAGTGTAAAGTTGTGGCATGTATTGGTAGTTCATTTTTATTTTGAGGTAGTATTCCATTGTATGGCTGTGCCACATTTTGTTCATCTGTTCATCAGCTGATGGACAGTTGGGTTGTTTCTAAATTTTCTATTATACTTGTTGCTATCATCATTTATGTATAAGACATAAATTCATTTATCTTGGGTAAATACCTAGGAGTGGGAATCCTGGGTCATATGGAAAGTATAGTTTTAATTTTAAGAGAGACTGTTTTTCAAAGTGTCTATACCATCTTTTCTTTTCTTTTCTTTTCTTTTCTTTTCTTTTCTTTTCTTTTCTTTTCTTTTCTTTCTTTTCTTTTCTTTTCTTTCTTTTCTTTTCTTTCCTCTTTCTTGTCTTGCTCTGTCACCCAGGCTAGAGTGTAGTGGTGCAATCTGAGCTCACTGCATCCTCTGCCTCCTGGGTTCAAGCAATTATCCTGCCTCAGCCTCCCGAGTAGCTGAGACTACAGGTGCACACCACCGTGCCCAGCTAATTTTTGTATTTTTAGTAGAGATGAGGTTTCACCATATAGGGCAGGGTGGTCTCGAACTCCTGACCGCGTGATCCACCCACCTCGGCCTCCCAGAGTGCTGGGATTACAGGCATGAGCCGCTGTGCCTGGCCATCTACCATTTTTCATTCATACTTATGATTAAATTAAACCACAATGATGGATTTCATATTTGGAATATATGAATATATATGAAAAGATATCTCATATTCATGAGACTGGCAAAAAATGTTAAATTCTGTTAATATAAAGTAGAGGTAAGAATAAGGGGCAAAGAGAACTAATGGTGAGAGTATAACTTGCTAAATTCATTTTGGAAAACAATTTGGTACTATCAAGAAATGTTAAACCATGCACAGAAATGCCCCTTCTAGTGTATACACTAGATAAACTCTTAGGTAAGGACCCTGGAGACATATACAAGAATGATCACATAATCAAATAACACTATCAACAGAGTGAAAAAAAGGCAACCCACAGAATGGGAGAATGTATTCGTAAATAATATATTTGATAAGTGATTGATATCCGTAATATATAAAGAACTCCCACAACTCAACCACAACAAAACAACTCAGTTCAAAAATGGGTAAACAAATTGAATAAATATTTCTCCAGAGAAGATAAACAGATGGCCAATAAACACAGGAAAAGATACTTAACACCACTAATCATTAGGAAATTGCAAATCAAAACCACAATGAAATACCACTTCAAACATACTATAATGGCTACTATCAAGAAAACAGAAAGCAACAAGTGTTGGCAAGGATGTGGAGAAATTTGAACCCTTATGCATTGCTGGTGGGAATGTAAAATGGTGCAGCCAATGTAGGAAATAGCATGGCAGTTACTACAAAAATTAAATGGAATTACCATATGATCCAGCAATTCCACTTCTGGGCATATACATAAAAGAATCGGAAGCAGGGACTACAGATGATTGCATACCAAATTCATAGCAGCATTATTCATAGTAGCCAAAACATGGAAACAACCCAAATGTCCATTGAGTGATGAATGGATAAACAAAGTGTGGCATATATACAATGGAATACTGTTCAGCCTTTAAAAGGAATGAAACTCTGGTATATGTTATATTATAATATGAATGAATCTCCGTGATGTTATGCTACATGAAATAAGCCATATGAAGAAGGACAAATACTATATATTCCACTTATATGAGGTACCTAGAATAGTCAAATTTGTAGAGACAAAAAGTCTTTGTTTACCAAGGGTTGGGGGATAAGGCAGATGGGGAGTTAATGTTTAATGGGTAACAGTTTCAGTATAGGATGATTAAAACGTCCTGGAGATGGATAGTGGTGATGGTTGCACAACAGTGTGAATGCACTTAACCTCACTGAACTGTGTGCTTAAACATGGTTAAAGGCAAGCATGGTAGCCCACACCTATAATCCCAGGGCTTTAGGAGACTGAGGCAGGATTGCTTGAAGCCAGGAGTTTGATAGCAGCCCAGATAATATAGCCTGTAATCTCAGCACTTTGAGAGGCCGAGGTGGGCGAATCACTTGAGCCCAGGATTTTGAGACCAGCCTGAGCAACATGGCAAAACCCCATCTCTACAGAAAAATACAAAAATTAGCACGGTATGGTCGTGGGTGCCTGTAGTCACAGCTACTCGGGAGGCTGAGGTACAAGGATTACCTGAGCCTGGGAGGTTGAGGCTGCAGTGAGCTGTGATCATGCCACTGCACTCCAGCCTAGGTTACAGTAAAATCCTCTCTCAAAAAAATAAATAAATAAATAAAAAAGTGTTCACAGCAGCATTATCTGTAATTATATCCAAAACAGTGATTCCCTCACAAAAAAAAATGGAAACCAGATATTGAAAATGTTCGATGAGATAATATGCCTAAAATTTATAATATTTATATGGTCAACTAATATACAGCATGGATGAATATAGCTAGAAACATCAACATGGTTAAATACCTCACTCTTAAACAGCTGCTCTTCAGTGCTGAATTCTAATTACGCTTTTGTAATATTCTGTGTCTTAGACCTTCAAAGTTTTTCATAAATAGCTAAAATCACTAATGTTAAGTGCCATTTAATGCCATTTATTAAAGGTTAAAACCTTTAAATGCGATTTATTATTTATCTACAGTGTATAGACAGAGCGAATGAGTCCTATGGACTCTTTTGGTGCTAGTGACAATCTGAAGCTATGTACATAAAAAAAAATATTCCATCTACTCTCAAACCTCATACATATAAAACAATTTAAGTAAAATGCTCATGACAATAAAAGTTAAAAGTTTTAGTTACGTGCTTAACCCATGTCTGAGAAGAAACCATCTAACACCAACAAACATTCATACTTGTAAACTATTTCTATACCAATTTAAATAATTTGATTTTTATTAAAACTATTCTCAGAAGAATTTTTATTTGGTAAGCCAACTATAGACAGGATGATTAAAAGCATATGAAAGTACCAGAACAGCTTTTCTTTGCATAGATATATTTCATTAATTCATTCTGGCCTTTCCTAAAACCAGTGAGTACAAATGATGGTTAATTTGCCACTGGTCCTGGCAATGCAGGCTAATGCACATGCAGGTCATTCTCCTTGGATAAGTGGGGCTAGAAGGGAAAATGCTGAGAAGGGGAGCAGGAAGGACAGGAAACAGAATTTGTCTTGTCTAAGAAACTTAGCAGCACAAATGCCCTGCTGGTCCGGAAGGTGGCAATTGAGATGAATCCTTATTCCATTTAATGTTGTTACGGTTTCAAGTTTCAGCTCTCCTTTCACAGATTGCTACCATAAATTAGGCTAACAAGTGTGAAACTTTTAATTTGCTTGACTATACAATTGATATTATCTGTTTCCTTTTGGTTGGAAATATCATTATAATACCAAACTAAAGGGTGTAAAAAAGGGACTATCAGGCCTACATAAAGGATGAAGACCTCTTTCCACCGTAAATTACATTTGGCTGAATTAGTGTCAGCCCTAGTCATGTAGTGCCCAGAAAAGCATTTTTGGTGACAGATTTAGAAATAAAGCTGGGAAAACATGTATTAAACCTGTCCGGTCATAGCTACAGAACTAATGTCTTTATGGTAATTGCAATCTTTAAAAATACATTATCTTTTTCAATGTTACTGCAGTGTGTGGTGGTATTAAAGAAAGCAATAATTTGTAAACAACCCTTGGCAGAGGGCACAGAACTTAATTTTGTTTAAATAAAGGAGACTAACATTAGAATTCTTGTGCTGTATCAAGACTGACAAGCAGTAGTAGCTGTTTTGATATGTGCACTGGAGCATTCATGATTGCTTAAATATTAACTGTTCCATGAATATACAAATATAATAGGGAAAAAGGAAGCCATGATTAATGAAAATTTTCACTAAAAGAAATAAAGTTGAATTATATGACTGTACTGGTGGTTTAGATGGTTTTATTCCATTGACTCAACCAGATCTCTTCACTGAGTTTCAGTATTTCTTTTCAAGGACAATTATATATGTGTATTGTGTGATGTTGCTATGTGTTAGGAATGTTTCCTTGACACAGAAGGATTAGGCAATTTTTTTTTTTCCTGAGTACAGCACCTGTTGATAAGTTTGCTGAAGTTCATGTGGCCATTCATGTAAATCCAAAAGGAAAGGGGGGAGATCCAAAAGGGCTTCCTTCAGATACTCTAGAGATTTGAACTTTTATCTCACATTTAAGTTTTAATATGCTTTAAAGATAGTCTTCCGTTAATGTGTGCAGAAACATTTCCTTTAGTGATATCCACGCTGCTTTACTACTTCATTTCTTATACTCTTTATGCAAAAATCAGTTTTTGTCTCAGAGCAGTTTACACTCTACAGCAATTCATGCAAGAAAACCAGGTGCTCCTCCCACACATTCTTGCATGTTTCCAGAAGAGAACTAACTGTTTTGTTTTTTCTTTTTTCTTTTTTTTTTCTTTGAGACGGAGTTTCGCTCTTGTTGCCCAGGCTGGAGTGCAGTGGCAGGATCTTGGCTCACTGCAACCTCCACCTCCCGGGTTCAAGTGATTCTCCTGCCTCGGCCTCCCAAGTTGCCAGGATTACAGGCATGTGCCACCACGCCTAGCTAATTTTGTATTTTTAGCGGAGATGGGGTTTCACCAAGTTGGTCAGGCTGGTCTCAAACTCCTGACCTCAAGTGATCCACCCAACTTGGCCTCCCAAACTGCTGAGATTATAGGCGTGAGCCACTACGTCCGGCCAAGAGAACTGTTTTCTGTGCCACTCTGCAACTGAGGTCAGGATTGCTTTGGGACAGGGAGCCAAGGTCCGCTGCTTTGTTCCTATATAATGTATGGTAACATATGAACCTAGCCCCATTCTCACTCTTGGTCTTCAACCCGAAATGAGTATGATGACAAATGAAATGCAGTATCAGCATATGCCAGGGCCATGGAGCAGGAATGAAGCTTCCTTCCTTGATTGTCTTCTTTACATACACCCACCATAGTCTGATTTCATACATGTAAACTGTTTGGCATAGAGGTCAAGCAAGGCATTAGGTTATTTAGATACAAGAACTTTTATGGCAAGCACTGAAACCCGATGTCTGCAACTTACAATTTCAGAATCTGATTCAAACTTTCTGAGTAAATATCTAAGCAACAATGCAGATTTGCTTGAGCAGGAGTTGGAAGGCATGAATAATCTGCTAGGTTATCTAGTCCATCACTCTGATGATACGTAGTAGACAAGACATACTATAGCAGCATTTAAGTATTTTTTCAATACAGTTTTAGGTGAAGGATGAAGGACAGTTTAGAACACTGAAGAGCAATGTATCTGGAATCTTCACAGCATGGAGCATACTGTTTGTCTCATCTACTTTTGGATAGGTAGCTGATAGGTTATGATACCAATCAGTCTTATTTTTATGTGAATTAATCAAGAACACTTAGAGCAATTCTGTCCTTCAGATGCCACAAATTGCTAGATAATTTCTCTCTTATTTTAAATTGACACTAAGCATTGAAAACACGTTGACACTTCAACTTTTTATATGTAAAAGCAGTTGTGAGAGGACCTAGGCAAGCTGTAGACAATTGCCAAGCATCTTCTCCCCTGGAAATTTATTTGAAAGTAGCCTAGTGTCTCCCTAGTGGCATGCATCAGAATCACCTAGAGGTGATATCAGAAGTTTTCCCCTAGTATATTCAAACTCAAATTGCTGGACCAAACCCTCAGAGTTTCTGATTTAGTTGATTTGGGGTTGGGCCCCCAAATTTGCATTTCTAACAAGTTCCCAGGTGATACTGATATTGCTGGTCCAGGGACCAGGGATTGAGAACCAATAAAGTAGCAAATGCTCATGAATTCTTGATTTTTCATTCTTATTTCTTCCGTTGCCTGATCCCTTCAAGCCTAATTATGCTGAACTTATTCGGGACAATAATTAGAATAATTTTTGTCACTAACCTCACCATTTTCCAGCTGCCAGCTCTGCTACCTCCTGTATTATCTGGTTATTATCCACAGTCAATATTTGGAATAAATTATTCGTTCACATTACCTCTTTTTTCTGACTACCCATTCCTTTTAATTTTGAATCCTTTGCACTGTATTCTAACAGTGCTTGAAGGTCACCAAAGATTAACATCAAGTCAGCCCTAATTATTTTTGGCCTGTCTAAAGAATTTATTCATTCAACATTTACTGAATAAAATTGATATAGTCCTCATTTTTAAGCAGTTCACAATCTGGTGGGTGAGACTAGTTGTGTACACAAAATTATATATTGTGGAATAAGTGCTATAACTAGAGTATATAGAAACCGCTATAGGAGAACAAAGACAGAATTTAGTAGTTTTGCTTTGTTTTGTTTTGTTTTGTTTTGAGACAGAGTCTTGCTCTGTCACCCAGGCTGGAGTGCAGTGGCGCAATCTCGGCTCACTGCAACCTCCACCTCCTGGGTTCAAGCAATTCTCCTGCCCCAGCCTCCTGAGTAGCTGGGATTACAGGCATGTGCCACCATGCCCGGCTAATTTTTGTTTTGTTTTGTTTTTTTGTAGAGATGGGATATCACCATGTTGGCCAGGCTGGTCTCAAACTCCTGACCTCAGGTGATCCGCCCCAACTCCTTGACCTCCCAAAGTGCTGGGATTAGAGGCGTGAACCACCACACTTGGCCTAGAATTTATTAATTCTATTCAGGGAAGTTGAGAAAGGCTTATTACTAGTAACTACGACTCTCCTCCCTTTCCACACGCATACCATCTTCATCACCCATGACAGTTCAATCCAGTAAGTATATCTTAAATTCCAAGTGTGCATAAATTGCCGTGCTTTGTTCTGGCACCAACACCTATTGAGTGTGGGAACTAGATCAAACAACTTATGAGCTCTATCTTATCTATAAAAGTGGCATATTCGTAACTAACTCACTGAATTGATTTTAGGATTTAAAAAAAAGCACTTATGAAAGTGCCTGAGTTATAGGCACATGATAGATAGGCAACAAATGTTGGTTCTCCTACCCCTTAAAAGAGGAATAGGATATTATCACCTGATGAAGGAAGAACAGTATGCCGAGGTCAGGAGGAACATAAGTAAATGGGTAGAAATCTTCACCCATTTGTGCAGTCAGGAGGAACATAAGTAAATGGGTAGAAATCTTCACCCATTTGTGCAGTCAACAAATACAGATAGAGTGCCTATTGTATGCTACCCACTTTTCTAGATGCTGAGTATATAAAAGTGAACAAAGAAGACAAGAAAACTCTGTACTTGTGTCCAGCATAGCTGAAGTGAGTGTGGGAACTTGAGAGAGGATAATAGCTAGAGATAAGATCACAACAGAGTAGGAGCCAGAGGGATTTTTAGTTTATAGTGATGGGAAGCTAAGGTAGGCTCTCAACACTTCTTATCTGGATGATGATGGTACCCATGATAACATGCTATCTTATTCAATTCTGCAAACATGTCTGTGAACATAGGTGCTTATCTAATGCTCATTTTATAGATAACAAACCTGAGACATGGAGTATTCATGTAACTTGCCCAAGGTCATACAAGTAGTAAATGGTAGGGTCAAGGTTCGGACCTGGTTCTGTCTGAATCCAAAATCTATGCTTAATAATTATTCTGATTAGAAATTTGAATTTTATTACATGAGTTGTAAAGAACCATTTACTTTTTTTAAGGAAGGGAGTGACATGATCATATATATGTTTAAGAACCATAATTAGGCTAAATCATATAGGATAAAATGAAGCAAAGAGAATGGAATGGTTATGACCATCTTTTCATAGTGTATTTTCACATAGCTAACACTTCTGTTTAAAATTTGAGCTGCCATCCTTTTCCTAATGCCAGTTCACTCTAGAGTTATTTCCCTCATTCTGGACATGATACAACATTCTTTTAATCATCGGGACTTAAAGCTTTTGGAGTCTTTGATTTTTCCCTTTCCCTCATCTTAATATTCACTGACTAAATCCTGTTTTTCCTTACAATCTCTCTTGAATTTGCCCTTTTTTTGTCTTTTCTACACATACCCTAGTTATCATTTTAAGTATATCAGTCTTTGACATTTGCCACCAAATTATTCTCCTATGTCGTTTCTTTTCTATATCATTTTGTATTTTCTACTAAATTCTAAGCTTAAGGCCTTAAAAGTACCATGCATCATTTATCTCTTATCCCTGGTGTTCAGCATAGTCCTCAACTCACGGTGGATTAAAGAATGTACTTCTCCATTCATATTTGCTTTGCTCCTAACCTGCCTCCCCTAAAAAAATGTACAGTGCTACATTTCCTGAGTGACAAATTATAACTTTATTCTGGCATTCACTTGCACCTAACTCTAGCAAATGTGTGTTCTGGAAAAGTTTGGCCTTTGTAGTCAACCTCTGTGTGTGTGGTGGGGTCATATATAAACGCAGTTATACATATATATATATATATATATATATATATATATGTATAGAATTAAATTTAGGAGTATTGCTCTATAGCCCAGAAAAGTTGGAGTTTAGAGAAGAATCTGCATTCGGAAACATTTATTGACTATCTAGTATTTTCTAACATCCTCCTAGGCACCATGGATTCAAAAATATTACCAAAGCAAAGTCTCTAGCCATGTAAGAGCTCATATTGAGTGTGAGAGACTACTATGTTGAAATGTTTACAGTGAATGAAGATGGCCAAAAAAAGTTATTAATTGCTTCTAAGATAGAGAAGTCTTCAGAAATGACATGGGAGTTGAGTAGTCTGAAATGTGAGTAGGTATTTTCTTGGCGGATAAAAAGGAACAAAAAGGAAGGGCGTCCACACAGAGAGAGCTGTTGGTGCAAAAGCACAGTGGCATGAAACTGCATGGTATGTTTAAGCAGTTGTAATCAGGCAGACAGCAGCAGGAGGCAGGTTAGAAAGGTAGACAAGGGTCAGCTCAAGGGAGTGTCTTGTATGCAAAATCAAGAACTTTTCTTTTCCAGCAGATGACAGGAGCCTTTGCAATGGATCTTTTGAATGGACTCTAATTACCATTGAGAAATTAAACATTTGAAGAATAACATCTATGCGGTTAGGTTAAATTAACTGCAGTTGTTTATTTGGAGAACAGGACGGGAATGAGAAGGGAACTTTCACTCTGTGAGAGGTTGTTACGTACAGCATAGTGACCAGTTATTTTCAGTTCCCACTGAGGACAAAGCAAGAAGAAATAGGCTTACATCTCATCAGAAGGGAAAATTACCTACAGAAGGGGTCCTTCACAGAAAGATTGAATGTGACTGACGTAGGTCATTAAAATGTTGTCTGAGGCTCTCTGGCTGTGTGCTGGTTTCTGTGTACTCAAACAGCCCAATTTCAAAGACATGGCAAGACTGAAGGTTTTGAAGCTTGAATGAGGATATTTGGAATAAAGAAATTTCTTATGTGTCAATTAGTTATTGAGAAATTTTGCTATATACCTAACTAAATTTTGGAGATGTACTTGAACATATAAAATATATGTAGTATCTTTCATAATATAACGTTTGTGTGTACTAGGAAAAAGAAATGATCAAAATCAGCTGTAGAAACACGTGTCCTATTAAAGGTATTTTGTATTCATGTACCATTTTAGAAAGTTATTAAAGATTAGGTAGATAGAATTCAATTAAATTCAGTTATTAATCTTTATGTGTAACATTTATTGGTCAGATGATTAAATTAAAATTGCTGTATATGGTTTATTAACTGATGATTGCACCTGATCAGTTAATACAGTGACTCACTCTTGTCTTATTTTCATTATCATCCAGTGATAACTGCGCTTATTAAAATAATATAAAACTTATTTTAGCTTTTTCAAATATTTCCCATTTCTAGAACTGCTGTTTGTGTTATTGTTTGAAGATATATAAAAGAAGATTGTAGAGTGACCATTTTGTTCATCCTTTTGCATCTTATAAAAATAAGTCATATATGTCTCTCCCTACCTGTCATGGCTGGAGAGAGGAAAAACACATACAGGGATGCAAAAAGGCACTTTGCTTCTGGCTAGAGCAAACCTTGAAATGCATACAATATAACCACCACTAAGACTTAGGCAATCTAGGCAACTATTAATTGGATATTTCATGTTAATGTAAAATTTTAATATGATTTCATATTAAACAGCTATCAAATGGAAATCAATTCTATTTCTTAATAAACTAACTCAAACATTTTGGAAATGACTTGTACATAATCAGATTAGATTACTCTTGTTCTACCCCAAGAGATGTGTATATCCAACTAGTACACTTAGAAAAGCAAATTATTGGATAAATGTCTTTAACCAGTAGAACTGATGTTCTTAGTTGCCTTCTGTGCTGACATTGAACAACACGATAGGGCCTGAGAGAGATACAATGGCTAATGTGTGAATGGCATAGACTTGGTAAGAGAGACTGAAGGCATGATATAAAGTAATTAAGCTTCAATAAGTAAAAAATATTTTCCATTATATTTTAATATTATATATATATATATTTTAAATAATTGGTCTAAGGCCTCTCACACATAGAGAAAGGTTTAAAAGACCACCCATTTGTCGTGATTTCCTGCCAGTTTGAACCATTAAAATGGTCTCTGTGTGTTTTTTTTTTTAAAAAAAAACAACAAATATTGCAATACATTAAGCAGCTTGTCTCCCAGACCAACTAAGATACTTCTCAACTTGACAAGACAAACATTTGGCCATGTTTGCCCATGCTTTGAAGGGAATATTATGATTCTAAAAGAAATACATGCATAGTCTGTCTAAAAGTCTTTTATCATTTCATCAAAGATACTAATACATTTAACTGATGTTGTGCTTTATTTATCTTTTTAAAATGTAACCATTAACTCTTCTAAATTTTGTAACAAATTAAATTGTTAGTGGACCAGATACTGAATAAATATTTATTAATAAATACAATTTTTGAAAATTAAGCACTTATAAGTATGCATGCCAAAAACTGAAATGTTTTTTAATACAAAACAATCTAACACATGTGACAAAGAAAAAAAATCACCCATAAAATTGACATATGAGCACAGTGCTATTTTTCTGTTTTTATATTTCCTTTCCAGTGTTAGCCATGTGCGTTTTATTGTAAACTATAATGTACTTGTACAATTTGATGTCCTAAAAAACTAGGTGGGTTTTTGTTGTTTTGAATTGTGTTCTTTTTTAAAAAAAAAAATTGTTTTTGTCTCCATTTATGTTATGACTCCAAAGAGTCCATAAAATACATAGGAATTTCCTTTCCTTTGGGAAGATGTACCTGCAATTTTTTCTAAGCACTTAATGTTTCCAGAATTTTAGGATTTAGGTAGTTAGTGAACTTCTAAGGAAAAAGAAAATGTTAATTTCCTTTTTATTTGGAATATCCGGCATACTCTTAAAAACGATGCACTTTGTAAACACATCACACAGTAATCCCAGGTAAAGACCTCTCTTTAGGAATGTGAGCTTCCCATTGATTCCTCTACAGCTGCTATCCTTACTTAAGGAAAATTGCCCTTGAGGTTTGTGTTGCTTTTTGTTCTTTCAGCTTGTCCTTGAGTTGTGTCATTTCTACCTTAAAGTACTTAAAAGTGTTTAGTGGATCAGCATGATAATGTAAAATTTTAAATATTTTTCCTATGTGGGATAAAGTAATCCCCGAAATTTTGAAAGAAATCATTGTGACCTCTTGAACTATCAACATTATGCCTCCTGTGGCTGTTTGGTTGTTTGGAACCTTGAGACTAATATTTCTTCTAAGTTGTTTACATCACATTGAGATGCAAATGGTTGTTAAAAACCTGTAGAACAAAACAGATCCAGTGTGGGCCTGATTTATTAAATGCTATGTTTTTCTTTCTTAGTCACTCAAACAATAAGGATTAATTTACTCTGTTACCTAAATATCCTGTACAGCCTTTTCATAAACCTGTTTGTGAAAAATACTCATTTATTCTAAACAGAGTAATCCTTAAAGCTAAAAATTCCAAATCAGTATGAACATCAGTGGACAAACCCATCATCTAAGGATTATAGAATTATAACATCCAATAGAATGAGAAAACTTGATACTTTATGCTGTATTTATGCTTTGTTTCTAAGTAAATCCTTGATTTTATTTGCAGCTTAGTCTAGTATGAGAATTATATTGCAGCACTAGATTTTCTTTTTTTGTGTGTCCTATGCTTTAAAGATTTTTACCATTCTAACTGTGGCATCTCTTTTGTTGTGTGTCTGAAAAGGAAATACAATATGTAAGCAAATAAAATTTTTCATATTATCAGGATTGTATGGTGAGATTTTTTTTAATAACTCAGTATAAGCACAACCTTGAGAATTATTTTCTGATGGTCCATGCAAGTAGAGGAGGATAAAATGTGCTTGCTCCTTTACATTAATTTACATCAACAATGGCTAGAAATAAATATAATCTCACAAATGAATCTAACTTTTAAGAACATATTTTTGTAATAAAGCAAAGAACAGAATGATGATAAAATAAGCACACAGTAACTTGGGCTATTATCAATACTTAAATGGATGTTCTTCTCTCATGAAAAGAATAGTTCATTTTGCCACAATAATTTAGACATTTTTGAAAATACAGATTAAGGTTTAATTTGGCACTTTTACTGGTCATCTTACTTGCTTTTAAAATATGGAGCTCCTTTTAAAATCTAGAGCACCGCTACTAGACCACATTAAGAACCTACCCCAAAGTTTTAAAAACATTTTAAATGGGTTATAATAAATTCATTCATTTCACTTGTTTAAAAAAGTATTTACTAAAAAATTACTAAAAAATGTGTTGTTGTTTTCTCCCAGATCAGAGATACTAAATCAGCGGATCAAAAAACAACCCTTTTGCATTTTATTGCCGACATTTGTGAGGAAAAATATCGAGATATCCTAAAATTTCCTGAAGAACTGGAACACGTAGAAAGTGCAAGCAAAGGTAATTGATTTATAACTACTTTGAGATTATCTCTTGCCTATATGGTTTAAATGGAACAATTAAAGAATCTGTAAACATTATTCATAAAAGTATTTTTTGTTTGTTTACTGATAAAAGAAAAGCAGGAAAATAGTTTCCATTAGCTTATATTTGACAGCATACTACATTTTAATAACCTATTTTGTCTTACATCATTTTTTTTACCACTGCTACGTTATTAAAGCTTTCATTTCTCTGATCAGATAATATGTTTGTACTTTCATTTGATAAACATTTAAGTGGATATTGTTTGCAAAGGAACCATACTATAGGGCTCTTGGTTATATGACAATGATTGTGAGAGTTTTTGATTGAGTGTGGTTAAAATATAGTAAATGAGAAAAATGTGTGTATATATACATACACACAAATGTGTTATAAAATAAGGATGCATGTGAGAAATGCTGCAGGAAAAGATAATGTCCTATAGTTGAGATGAGGAGGAAAGTACTCTTGAATGGGTGGGTAAGAGAAGGCTTCATGGAAGAGGTCAAAGGTGAAATATGAGGTTAGGGTTTTACAGACATGGAAAAGAGGTTTGCTTTCCAGAGAGAAAACAACATGAGCAAGGCAAAGTGGCAGAATGTTTTAGGACAAGTGAAGGGAATGGTTGACTCTGAGGCTGGAGCAGTAAGGTAGGTATCTCTGAGACTTCAGTGTCAGGCTAAGGAGTCTAGTCTTGATGTGGTAAGCAGTACAGCATCATTGAAGGGATAGAATAGACAAGCCATGGCTCCTGTGAGGAACAGGATGTTTGAAACAAAAATGTCTCTGAGATTTTAATTCAGGGTAATTAGCTTTGTCAGTAAGTATTATCTACTTTTGCAAGAGGTTGAAAAGTGAAAGAAAAGAAGATTAAGGAAACATTTGCTGAAGGTGAGATTATGTGCGAGAAGAAGTGCATTTTCCCTCTTAGATAAGAGAAGTACACCATAAATCTTATACTTGAAATTACGCTGAAGTAATTTCATTCTGTAACTCTGAGGACTTTTGGTAAGGACTTCATATATGTTTCTCAAGTTTATTACAAACCATATAAACCTGTTAGTTTCCTTTTAAGTTAAAAATAGTGAATCTATAAAACCCAGAATATTCTTTGAATAACATTGTGCAGTGGTCATCTCAGCCAGTTGGGTATTGTCAATCAAATCCTCAACATATTTCTTTAATTTTACCGAGTTTGTATCGTTTTGTGGTCCAAGGAGCAAACTAACACAAAAAGACAAACTATGATTGTATTGTATTATTTATTTTCTTTCGTTGTTTTCAAAAAATTGTGAAATATGATGGAAAATTACACAAATTACAACTATAATGGCAACTTTCTGGTAATAGCTCTTCTAAAGAATTTATCTTTGGATTTAAAAATACAGCTTTCTGACTAGAAGCATATTTACTAACATGTGGCTAATGTGAAATAATAACATTTTAAACATTTGTGTTGTAATTTGAAATGTATATATATATATAGCACAAAAAAGACCAGTTATTAAATTAGCTCATTTTGTTGCTATTAATACTTTTTGATTGCCTTCTACCAGAATTTTTTTCTAAGTTTTCTTTGTTCAACATGTATAATCAATTTTTACAACATTTTGGAAAGAAGTATGTCAATAATATATCTATATATACACACACAGTGCCACACATGAAAATATATATATTTATATGTAATATATTTACTATACATAAATAAATATGTACCACACACTTATATCAATCAACAGGTATTTATATAAACCTCAATCAACAGTTATATATATGTTATATATAACCATAGGTATTTACATGTGATCCAGCAGTTCCACTACTAGGTATTTATCCAAAGAAAAAGAAATCAGCATATCAAAGGGATACCTGTACCCCATGTTTATTGCAACACTGTTCACAATAGGTAAGATATGAAATCAGCCTAGATGTCTATCAATGGATTAATGGATAAAGAAAATGTGGTGTATATACACAATGGAATACTATTCATCTGTAAAAAAGAAATAAATCCTCTCATTTGAAGTAACATGGATGGAACTGGAGGTAATTAAGTGAAATAAGCCAGGCACAGATAGACAGATATTGCATGTTTTTACTCATATGCAGGAGCTAAGAAGGTTGGTCTCATAGAGATAGAGCGTAGATTGATGCTTACCACAGGCTGGGAAAGGTGAAGGGTAGGGGGATGAAGAGTGGTTGGTTAATGTGTACGAACATACAGTTAGGTGGAAGAAATAAGTTCTGGCCTGGTGCAATGGCTCACACCTGTAATTTCAGCTAGTTGGGAGGCTGAGGTGGGAGGAACACTTGAGGCCAGGAGTTTGAGACCAGCCTGGGCAGCATAGTGAGACCACCCCCATCAGAAAATTTTAAAAATTAGCCAGTTTCATGCTACTTGCAGGGGCTGAGGCAAGAGCATTCCTCGAGCCCAGGAGGCTACAGTGAGCTATGATCACACCATTGCACTCTAGCCTGGGCGACAGAGCAAGACCCTGTCTCTTAAAAAAAATTAAAGAAAGAAATAATACGTCCTAATGTTTGATAGCAGAATAGATTGACTGTGGGTAGGAATGATATATTGCATATTTCAAAATAGCTAGAAGAGAAGATTTGAAATATTCCCAACACAAAGAAATGATAAATGTTCAAGGTGGTAGATACGCTAAACACCCCAATTTAGTCATTACACATTCTATGCATGTAGCAATATATCATATGTACCCCATAAGTATACAAATATTATGTATCAATAAAAAACTTAAGAATATATAGATATTTATATATGTGTATATAGCGTGTATATATATATATATATTTTATATAGTTATGTAGTGAGACATTCAATAATCTTGTACACTTTAGCCACTACTGCTACTGACAAAAGTAGATTGTAGAGCCCAGCCTTTTGGGTTAGACACTATAAATTTCTTTCTTTCTTTCTTTCTTTCTTTCTTTTTTGAGACGAAGTCTTGCTCTTTCGCCCAGGCTGGAGTGCAGTGGCACAATCTTAGCTCACTGCAACATCTGCCTCCCGCGCTCAAGCAATTCTCCTACCTCAGCCTCCCAAGTAGCTGGGATTACAGGCGCACGCCACCATGCCCAGCTAATTTTTGTACTTTTTTAGTACAGATGGGGTTTCACCATGTTGGCCAGGCTGTTCTCAAACTCCTGACCTTGTGATCCACCCGCCTTGGCCTCCCAAAGTGCTGGGATTACAGGCGTGAGCCACCGCACCAGGCCTGACACTATAACTTTCTAATCCTAGCTCTACTACCTATTAGTTCTATAATTTGAGCTAATAATTTAAACTTCTAAGATTTTGTTTACTCATCTGTAAAATGAGAATAATAACAGTGAGATTAAATTAGTTAACATAGGCATTGCATCCAGTAAAATGGTATAGTTTATAGTATATGCTTGACACATAGTAAGTATGCGGCTGTTGCTGAACTACTACCAGTAGTAGTAGTAGTAGTAGTAGTAGTAGTAGTAGTAGTAGTGGTAGTAGTAGTAGTATTGATATACCACTAAGGATATTATAGTTCTTTCTTTTGTCTTATTAGAAGGGAACAATCATAAAATATCTTATAGTTCCTCCAGTCTCAGTAAGTATGTATTATATTCAATTCTATTTGTTTGTTTCCTATTCCTGGGCTTTTGGTAAATCCTTTTATATATTTTTTTCTTTATTTTATTTTTCCTTTTTAATTTTTTGTATATCACCAACTTCCTTTTTCCAATCCATTTCAAGAGCGAAATCTCTCTGCTCTATTTTGATCATTCCTGATTTTGTGCATTCTTCCTGCCAGTGTATTCAAAAGACTGTTGCCAAAAATCCTCTTCTTATATCACTGTTTGGGCCATATCAATCCCTACTCTCAAATTATTTTGACTAGTTATTTTTCTTTCCCTATGAAATTCAGACTGAGAATTCTCAACTCAAAAAGATCTTACGCACATTCTGCCTGCTTGCATCCCTCTTTCATTTCCTCCTAGTTCTCATTTCAGTATACCCAGACATATAGTCTCCTGAGCCATTTTTATTCCTTTATAATAATCCTGTCTCTGTGTACGATTTCATGCTGCATCCTCTGGCTGGAAATTTCACCTGCCCTGTACTCTAAGACAACTGACTGTCATTTGCCAAATCTCTGTTCAGAATCTATTTCCTTTTTCTTCTTCCTTTTTTTTTTTTTTTTTTTTTTTTTTACTAAAGCCTTAGGAGAAAATACTTTTTGTATTAGTCTGCAGGAAGAAACAAAGCATTGTAAAAGGTCAAGCCAATTACCTCTTATTTATATTTAAATACTTTTCCTTGGTATTTGAGTCTAACTTGTCTTGTTTACTTAATGTACATTTCAGCCCTGTTTGAATCACACTTTATCACATTCAGGACTGTGTATAACATAGCAAAAAACAAAAATAGGTCAACACTATATAATTCATTTTATTTGATGATGGACTATCTCTTTGTAAAATGATCCCGTTCTCTTCAAAAACAAAAACAAAAGATTGTCTTTTTTTTTTTAAACTGGAGTGATATAGATAAGAAAAAACTAATTCAGTTAATGAATTATATAGCTAATATTGAAAGAACAACTTGATTACTACCAATATCTTTTTTCATATTTTTGTGTTATTAGAACGCACATACCTACTTTGATAGAGTAAGATCTTTTCTGTGTGGTATAGCAAATACCAAATTTATTTTAGTTCAGTACTAAAATTCCAGGCATCAACATTACTGGCAAAGGGGAAAAAAATCACCTTGAAGTGAAAGGCAAACAAAAAGAAAGAAGTATGTGGGTTCCATGGAAAAAATCATCATAATTACATTTATTCCTTGTAAAGCTAAGCTGCTAAAATTGTGTGCTTCTTGGAAAATGCAAAACTATGGTATAAACTTGGCATATTTTTCTAGACCTCTGTAGCTCAAAGATAGTGGGGAAAAACACATCATTTTTACATTAAAACAGATATGTATTATGGAGTAGAATTCAAAATCCACATTAATTTTAAAAATAAAACAGATGACTTCAAAGAAATTTCCCACTTGTAGCAGATCCCTACAGGATTATTTTCAGTCTTCTCTTCCATTAGGGGTACTTTGGTGGGAAAAGTTTATGAAGCATTGCCTGAAGAATTAGAGAGCAGTTTTGTTTTGGGTTAAGTTTACGTATTTATTTATTTAGTTTGTTATTCAGTTAGTTAGTGACTATTGCAGGGAAAAGGGAGGAAAGTAGGCAAGGTGAGGGAAGAGAGAGTATATCACTTCCTTTTAAACATTGTCATAGGCCGTATGAAGTTCAGAAGCAAATTGTATAATGTAACTTTATTACCAGTAAAGTTAATAAAATAACATTGCTCTTGTCATTTTATTCTTGGTTAAATTATAAATCTGTGGGTCATTTCATTCAAGATTGGCATACCAATTAGTCTTTAGAGAAAGAAAATGGTTGTTACAGAGACTTTGATGCCTTTAAAACATTGAATTTTTTTTTTCTTTTGGTGAACCACAATTATTTTTTTCCCCAATGATTAATTTTAAAGTTTATATATATGTATGTATATGTACATATGTAAACTTATATCTAATAGATATATATTGTATAAAACATTGCTGGTTTACTAGACATATTTGATGTCTTTTTTTCCCCCTGTGGCTATCACTTTAATTTTCAGCTTTAAGGATTTTTTACTGTTTGATTTAAAACCACTCCTGTTTTATAGGTTGACTCCAGGTTTTAAACCAAATGGTTAGTAAAGTTTAATTAAAGCTATTTTATTCAAAAGGGGGAAATTATATTAATGTATTTGAAGGTATTATTTATCCTGAGGTTTGCATAAATCCAAAATGGGTTTCACTTCAGTTAAATTGGTGCCATCCTACAAGATAAAAGCTAGTTAAGTTTCTTCTGAACAGTGCTAACTTTTTTATGAATTAAATAAATTATTATAATTTTAACAATCAACTATACCTTTTGATATCTGCCATGTTTCCATGTCATGTTAGTTACCGATTAGCTGTTTATCCACTCTGACTTTTTCACGGGATTAATAACAATGGAAGTTCTGATTAAAGGCAATGTTATAGGGGAAAATCTATGGATTCATTCCATAGTAGTATTTCTTTTTTATATAAAAGAAAAAAGTAAAATAATAGCAAAGTTAAAAAGTTTGGGGGGAAGAAGAAAGATGAAACAATTCCAGAAACTCCACAGCTGGTTGAAGCTTTAGAGATTATCTAGTCCCTGCTAAAAGGGACCCAAGATGACATTTCATCCAAACTTATTTTATAGTTGAAGAAACTGAGATGCAGAATGATAAAGGACTTGCCCACGATCACATAGCTGGGCAGTAGAGTCCATGTACATTTGGAGACCTTGTTTAGAGTTATTACATATATTTCATCCACATTTTTACCTCCTTTGTGGTCGAAAATATGCAACAAAGACTCATGCTCACATACTGGAAAACATATAGAAAGTAGATGCTGACCAAATAAAAAACTTACTGGAAGTATAAATGCTACTTTCTCTGTAGTTGTCCATAATCTTTCTAGCTCCATTTTGACAGAATTAACCATTCCTTTCTCTGTGTCACAGCAGCCCTTTAGCGTTATTGGTAATAGAGCACATACCACATTTGCACTTTTTATTTAATTATTTGCTTCTATCTGTACCTCCTCTTGAGTTTCTTAGTAACAAAGACTGTATTCTTTTTGTCCTTACAATCTCGGTGCTATCATAGCACCTCAGTCGGAGGGGCTCAATCTATGGCCATACCAACCTGAATGCACCTGATATTGGAAGCTAAACAGGGTCCTGCCTGGTCAGTTCTTGGAAGGGAGGTAGAAGTGCTTAATAAATGCTTATTAAATTAATTGCATATCATTTTAGTACAGCAGTCATATTTCAAAATAAGACATTGTGGGAAGTTGACAAATAGAGAGTAACAGTCTGAAAATTACTGTTCACTGTAAATTTGAGAGGAGAAACAAGGTAAATTAGAATAAGGAGGACACCGGTATTTAACAATATTTCCCAGTCCACACTTTGCTTCTTCAAGGGAAATGGTGAAATTGGAAACAATTTGTTAATAATGGAGAGGACCTAAACTTATGGACGCCACCAAACCACAAAGGTTTATGGTGAACAGTAAGGACCAAGTCATAGGACCTAATGGGAGTGACTGTCTCAATGTGAAATGTAACTAACTGCTGAAACATCTATGTTTAATACCTGAAAAAAAAAATTGCATATTGTCTGCTATTAGTTTCATTGAAAAATCTTTGAGTTTTTTAGTAATCTATTAAAGAAAAATCTGTGGAACAAAATCCTGTTTTTAGAGTGTTTAACTTTTACTTATAGTGACTTATAGGACCTAAGATGCAAGAAAGTATTAAACTAAGGTTTCCTAACAGATTTAAACTTTGAGTTATAATCTAACTTTTTAGAAGCACAGAATGATAATATACCAATGTGACAAAATGTTAGTAGAATTGACCTTACTTAAATCTTAGCAGCCTGAGTAAAACTGAGTATACATATTACTACATTATTTTAATAAAAATGTTAACTTGTTTGTTCAGCTTGGTTTGGATTTTTTTCATATATAGGATTTCAGGCCGGGCGCGGTGGCTCACGCCTGTAATCCCAGCACTTTGGGAGGCCGAGATGGGCGGATCACGAGGTCAGGAGATCGAGACCATCCTGGCTAACACGGTGAAACCCCATCTCTACTAAAAATACAAAAAAGTAGCCAGGCGTGGTCGCGGGCACCTGTAGTCCCAGCTACTCAGGAGGCTGAGGCAGGAGAATGGCGTGAACCCAGGAGGTAGAGGCTGCAGTGAGCCGAGATCGCGCCACCGCACTCCAGCCTGGGCCACAAAGCAAGACTCCATCTCAAAAAAAAAAAAAAAAAAAAGGACTTCAAGTAACTTAAACAATTTTTGCTGAACGAATTGTACTCTATCAATAGCAACACCATAAATATGTTATAAAATTTAGGGGAACGTTGTTAAATGTTAGGGAATCAAATACATATTTATCTACATAAATTTTCCAGTCTGTAAGACTTCTTTCTTCCTCACTCTCACCAAGTCAGTCCTAATTTTTCTAAACAAATGACTGTCTTTAAAATAAGAGAAAAAATAAGAGGTCTAAAACAGTCACAGAATTTTTTTTTATTATTATTTTTATTTTTGGTAAGAACACTTAACATGAGATCTACCCTCTTAAATTTTTAAGTGTGTAATACATTATTATTGACTATAATTACAGTGTTGTACAGCAGATCTCTAGAGCTTATTCATCAGTTAAGGAAGATAAGCTCAGGAAAATGTATTTTTAATGTGAAATGTCAAAAGGACTTAGGAAAGAAAGTCATGTTTTCTTCTTGCTGTTCAGTAATCTAGTCATTACCAAACAATGTTATCAATGCATAACATATAAACATTTCATAATTCATTTTCATTTCTAGAGGAAACTAGTGAGTAAAAACAATATCTTCAGGTAGCAGTGAAAGGAAGCAGAGATCATGGCCGTTTGGATTTGAGTGAATTCTTTCAACACAAATCAATGATTTTATAGACATATATAGGTTTTTGTCAGGGTTCCTTAGCTTTTGCATCTCAAAATCTATTTTTGCTAGGGAACTGTATAATAGCTCATCTGTCTTACCCTCCTTGTCTCAGAGCCCAGGCTTCTGTGCCTTTTCCAATCTGAAAAGCCTCCTCCTTGTCTCTGTCCTTTTGAGCCTCATGTATCTTTTTAAAGGCCCACTTTAAATTCCACCACTCTATAAAAAGCTTCTCCAACTATTCTACCTTTCAATGGCTTCTCAGTTTCCTCCATAATACTTTGAACCTTTTAGCTGATCCTGTACTCTCTTGCACTACAGTGTAAAGGTTTCTGTATTTATGGCTGCATACTGGCATGATGCTTTCTCAGTTATGTATGATATCATTAGTCTGCTTTTTCAGGACAAAATCTGTGTCACAGTGTTACAGACAAAATCTATAACACAGTGTCGGCATAATAAATTCAGCTCAGTGAATGCTTATTAAACATTAACGTAATCCTTGTTGCTTTCTTTATTCAACCCTACAGTGAAATTTTCTGGGTGCTTGGAGTAACTAAAATATATTTGCAGATATTTAATTTCAACTTCTTACACATTAAACAAGTAGAAAACCATGTCTTCAAAAACATATTCTTTAAAAGTGATTGCTTAGGGCAAAAGTAGTCTATGATTTTAGAATTCATTATAATAGTTATTCTTAGGGTGGGTTCATGATTGGAATGGAATATGTAGGGGCTTCTGGGGTGTTGGTCATGTTCTGTTTCTTAATCTTGATGCTAGTTACATGGGTGTGTTTAGTTTCTGCAGATTGATTCAGGTGGCCACTTATATGCACTTTTCTTAATGTATGTTTTACTTCAACCAAGCGGTTTTTAAAAGCCAGTCATTCAGATTTTTAATATGTGTAATATGAATAGTGAGGATGGTACTACATTTTAATTCAGAAGGTCCTCTTGCTTTTACCCATGCTTAGTTATAGTGATCACATGCATTGTATAAGTGTAAATAGGCAGCTGCTGTCAGAGTTAATCTGATGTTATTCTAAATAATTATTGTTAGGAAGTTGTATGTCTCCTAAAGATTTTATCCAAACACCTTTTTTTTTTAGTCTAAGAGTGGATAGGTGTACTTTATTTTAAAAAAAGAAAGAAAAAGAGCCACCAACCACATTATGTACCACGTGAAGATCATGGTAATCTATATCATACTTGTCAATATTATGCTGTCTTATATGTCATTGAATCCTTGGCACTTACTGACCTAAAATATTCACCAATAACCTGTCGCTGCTGTCATTTTTATTATTTTATCTTTGCTTCAATGTCAGTAAAAAGAATATATAGGAATATTAGTCAGCTTTAGCTCATTGTGGATTTAAGCTTGTTAGTTAAAAAGTGAATATTCGTATATCAAATGTTCTAATTTGATTGACTCCTGAAGTAAAACACAGGGACATACTTGATACAAGAGGTTGAAGTACTGATACTGAGTAGTATTGTCAAGGGGGGAGATGTGAGAGTAAGGGAAGAAGGAAGAAAGACAAATGAAGAAAGAACTAGCTTTCTGCTGCCACAGCAGAATCATAAGAAAAGCTGGATCATGCCCTGAATGGAGACTCCCTTGTACTACTATGGAAATAGGTGGAATCCAGGAATCAACTTGGTTACCATTATTGTAGTTTTCATCACCACCAGTCCCTCTGATATATTCATCAATAAGGATGAGCCTGCTTAAGAGATGTAGGGCTTAGGGATTGGGGAGGTTACCAAACAGTATCAGAGCTACCTGAGCAACACCCCACATTTTCCACTTTTTACACGTTTTGAGTGTAGCTTGAACACAACCAAGTCATGGGCAGTACCATTGCTGTTGTGATTTCTTGAAATTAACTGGCATCTTTTGCTGGAATTTGGATTCTACAAGTTGATGAGACAAATTTAGCAAATATAACATTTCCTTGTGCCAAAGTTATATGACTCAAACTCCTTAACAGTATTTTCATGTAAAACGATCAGAGGGGAGGTGGCAGTTGTAGCCAGTTTTGCATTGCCATAATAAAATACCACAGATTAGGTAATTTCTAAAGAAAAAAATTTATTTCTTACAGTTCTGGAGGCTGGGAAGTCCAATATCAAGGTGCTAGTACCTAGCAAGTGCCTTCTTGCTCTGTCATCCCATGGCGGAAGGGTGGAGGGGTAGAAGGGTCAATGAGCATGGATGAGAGAGAAACAAGAGAGAGTACAACTCGCTTTTATAACAAATCTAATCCTGTGATAACAAATCCACTCCTGTGATAACCATATTAATCCATTTTTGAGGGCAGAGCCCTCATGACATAATCACCTCTTAAAGGCCCTATTTCTCAACACCTCCATGGTAGGGATTAATTTTCCAACTCATGAACTTTGGGGGACACATTCAAACAACAGCACTGGCATTTTAAGTTTAAGATTCATTGAAGTAGTGAGGAGAAAACCCTGACTTCTACTGGAAACTAGTAGCTCTGTGGCAAAAGATTCTGGTATAGTCATAATCTGAAAGATGTATTCACTGGAAATAATATGTCCAGGGATGAGAATCAGGACACACACATTTGAGTTCCAGCTTTGTTACCAGCTACTTTTTTGGACATAGTTTGGCCATATAACCTCTCAGTGCCTATTTCCTCATTTGTACAAAAATTTTCTTAATTTGAAAAATAGCAATGGTAATATCTAGGCTACTTATCCCTCAAGGTGGTTATGCAAGTAAAATTAGATATGCAATATGAAAATGCCATATGAAAAAGGTGTTACATATAAAAAATTATTATTCAAGCTAGTATGAGGATATTAATTCCAGTTGATTTTGATTAGATTTTGTTTATTCAGTCCAGTTTAAAAAATGAAGGTCAGACCAGGCGCTGTGGCTCACACCTGTAATCCCAGCACTTTGGGAGGCCGAGGCGGGTGGATTCCCTGAGGTCAGGAGTTCAAGACGAGCCTGGCCAACATGGTGAAACCTCGTCTCTACTAAAAATACAAAAAAATTAGCCGGGCGAGGTGGCAGGCGCCTGTAATCCCAGCTACTTGGGAGGTTGAGGCAGGAGAATCACTTGAACCCGGGAGGTGGAGGTTGCAATGAGCCGAGATTACACCACTGCACTCCAGCCTGGGCAACAAGAACGAAACTCTGTCTCAAAAAAACAAAACAAACAAACAAAAAAATGAAGGTTAGAATTCACAAGTTAAAATATAAAGCTTTCTGAAATGATGTATGATTTTATTAATTTTAGTTTTTCTACATATTCTTTTACTCTTTTCCATTTTGGACACTTTTAAAAATAAGACTAAAAACATAATCATGAAGGCTCATGTTATTTTAAATGACATCTCTAAGCTTTCATGGAAGAATCATTGTCCCCCATTTAAAGGTTGATCATAAAATTTCCAATATCCTATTTTGTTAGGATATCTTTTTCCTTAGCATGTATAAACATGGAAGAAAAGATAAAGCATATAGTATTAACTGAATAGCCTAAGTAATTGATAGTAAAAGTTTAGGGGCAAATAAAAAAGGTATGAATATAAAAGATTATTATAATAACTAATAAAGATGATAAATAAGTAGAAAGCCAGGTCTTCAAAAAAATTTTCTTTTATGTGCATTTTAAAGGAGTAGATTCTGCTTGAATTTGTAGCAGAAAACCTGAAGCTAATGTTTATGCTCGGCACTGTTTCTTAATTATGCATTTGCTGATACCTAATAGTGATTATAGTAACCACTATCATTTATAAAGGGCTAAGTGCCAGGAATTATATTAAGCATGGTTTTATAGAAAAGGAGACTGAGGCTCAGAAACGTGAAGTAAAGTGCACAAGATCACACAATGAATAAGAGCGAATATTTTTTCTACTTCCGTGTCTCTTGTTCTTTCCACTATAACATGGACAATAATATCAAAAACATAATTCAAAAGGATATAAAATATGAAAATTTTAGTTATAAATTTAATATAAACTGATAAAGCAGTATAAACCTTGGTAATGTCCATATTTTAATGGGAAGGTCAATTATTATAATTAGAAATATCTAATCACATCATATAAATACTGCTTTGTTCTAAAACTTCAGTAAACTCTTAAATATATAAAAGTGCTATCTTTAGAATTTAGGGTTTTACTCAATTGATTTTTCCTTCTACGTGTCCACAGAGAATAGTAACATACATTATGATGAGGAGAAAGAATAATCATCTCTGTTGCACACCCTTTTTGAGGGGTGTGGTCCTCAACTAACCACATCTTTATTTAACGCTATTCGTATGAGGAACTGCGGCTGCTAAATTGTTCATTTGTATCCCTTGGTTTAAATGTGTCAGTTTTCTTCAGTTATCTATTCTCTGGAAGTAAGTGTATGCTTTAAATTAATCTGTGCACTTATTCATGTATCTTTTACCATTAGAAAACACACTGAATAGATATTCTTCGGAGGAAAATGAATTGTTGATATCTCAGCTTACTCAGAAATTCAGTAGAAATGATTCTTAACTCTTAAATGGGAAAATGGCACATGGATAGAACATTTTCGTAGGAAAAACATTCCAAACGTATTTAGCCTCACCAGTAATGGAAGAAGTGCACATGAAACAATAAAATATAAGTTTCAGCTATCAATTTGGTAAAGGTTAAAAAAATCAAACTATATCGTATTCTCAGCAGTAGTACAGGTGGTATAGGTGAGATGCTTATGTATTAATTATTTGCTTCTCTATATAAATTATTGATTATCACAAAATCCCATACATAACTATTTGGAGATTAACATGTGAAATAGGCCGGGCTTGGTGGCTCACGCCTGTAATCCAGCACTTTGGGAGGGTGAGGCGGGTGGATCACGAGGTCAGGAGTTCAAGACCAGCCTGACCAACATGGTAAAACCCCGTCTCTACGAAAAATACAAAAATTAGCCGGGTGTGGTGGCACCCACCTGTAATCCCAGCTACTCAGGAGGCTGAGGCAGGAGAATCACTTGAACCCGGGAGGCAGAGGTTGCAGTGAGCCGAGATTGCACCACTGCACTCCAGTCTGGGTGACAGAGAAAGACTCTGTCTCAAAAAAGAAAAAAAAAAAAAATGTGGAATATTATACAGTGTTCCAGGATTTAGAGGACCTGGAAGTATGCAAAGATTTATCACCTTGAAATTTATGTGTTTTTGAATGTATGTTATTATTTTTATTATTTACCTTGTGAATCTTTGCTACAATAACTTGTAGTCAGAAGTCTGAGAATATTGGCATCCTTATGAAAAATGCACTGAGGAAAACAGACACCATTTTTGCAGCTTTGAGACTCTGCTATGTGCGTCTCACCATACTTCTTGGTAATAAAAGTCTCTTTAAAACACACTCAAAATACCTACTTGTAACTAGCAGCTTTTTTTTAAAGAAGGAAGACTGATGTATATGGCTGTATTTTTATTATATTTGCATGCACTGAAATATAATTATTCTGAAGGGAATTAAAACAGGCAAGTGATTTCAGGAAGTGGATAGAGTTTAAACATGGGACAGATCAAATGTATAGGAAACAAGTGGTTTGTGGTAATGATTGGTGTTACATCTTTCAAGGCCTGATACCATTGACATGTGGCGGTGAGCAGCATATCTCTGACACTTTTGCACAGTTAGCAATGATGTTAGACAGCAGTTCTTCCTGAAATAAGTGAGCCAAATGCCAGTGCAGCTAATTGGTTTACTTGGGAAATGCTATTCACCAATATAAAGCCTAGAAAAGTGAAATTTCAGTATGCACCTTATAAACTCCATCGGCATGTAGATAACCAACTAATTTTGAGTTACAGTTGGTCCAGTACCAGAAGTATTGTATGGTTTATCTGAAGGGACTATACAGAATTCATCACTGATATTTAAATTTTTCTCTATGATTGTTTTATGAAAGCAGCAAGGCAGGTTATAGAATTCTCCGTATTGACAGATCTTTAATAAATAAACTTTAATAAATGAATCAATAATTGGCATAGAATTAACCTCCAGAAAGACACATATTGCTTAGCCTTAAAAGACATTTTTGAAAAAATGATTTACGGATACAATTTTAACTCTTTCATTGTACTGTCAAACCTTATTTTATAATTAAAATCCTCCATGATCTGGAATCTCCCTTTTATTAACAGTGGCTAAGGAGCCATAGCAGTGAGACTAGAAAGGAGAGAAAAGATTCTGGAAAATGTGGGACTTAAATATGTGTGCATTGTGACATAAGTAGTGGATGAGGGAACCACCGATGGGGAGAAAAATTGCAAAAACAAGAGTAATATTTGTATGCAGATATCCACCTATACAATATATGTGATAATTTGAAATTACCTATATCTTTTTTTTTAACCACACATGATTCCCTGAGTAGATTTCATTTCTAGTATCAGCAGTGTCATACTATGAACGCTCAAAAGTAAAAGTTTTAGAATAAGCTGTAATTTCAGATCCAATAATCTCAGTTAAATTTGGAAGAAAGTGTCAGAGGTATTTGAACCAGAGCAACTCCATTTTGAATGAGGGCTAGGAAAATGAGGCTGAGACTTGCTGGGCTGCATGGTTAAGGGAACAAATTAATAATGTTTACTGGCCGGGCGCGGTGGCTCACGCCTGTAATCCCAGCACTTTGGGAGACCGAGGTGGGCAGATCACTTGAGGTTGAGACTTCAAGACCAGCCTGTCCAACATGGAGAAACCCCATCTCTACTAAAAATACAAAATTAGCTGGGCATGGTGACGCATGCCTGTAATCCCAGCTACTCGGGAGGTTGAGGCAGGAGAACTGCTTGAACCTAGAAGGCAGAGGTTGCGGTGAGCCAAGATCGTGCCATTGCACTCCAGCCTGGGCAACAAGAGCGAAACTCCATCTCAAAATAATAATAATAATAATATAATAATAATAATAATAATGATTATAATAATATTTACTAAACAGACCCAGACTTGGGAGTGTCCAGATGTCCTGATATCTGGAGAACAAAGGCATTCCTAATTTTGCTTTAAAGATAATAATATCAATTCTTGCAAAATATAGTAATTAAGAAAGTTAATCCTGTATCACAAACCCTTGTAGCAAAGCACATCTCCCCATATATATAAGCGTTGTACCTACGGTAGATGCATTCCTCCTCTTTTGGGAATGTCCTACTCTGTCTATGGAGTAGCTGTTCTTTCACCACTTTACTTTCTTGATAAACTTGCTTTAACTTTGGACTGCGGACTCACCTTGAATTCTTTCTTGCGCAAGATCCAAGAACCCTCTTTTGGGGTCTGCATCGGGACCCCTTTCCTGGAACAGAAGTACATAGAAAGGAAATGTTTATTCTGTCAGTCCAGATTTCAAAACAAAGTGTCTAGCAGAATCAAACCATTATCATATTTGTATTTTGTGTTCTGTCTATATTTCTGTTCTCAAAACTAATTATGGCATTTGATATAGTTAGCGCAGAAAAGTATACGCCGAGCCTTACTCTGATGTTAAATGCTTGTGGAGTTCAAATATTTTGTAAAATACTATTTACCTTTCTACAGATATTAATCAAGGTAGAATTACCTCTCTCTAAATACAGTCTTGTCTGAAGTAAAATCCCAGTCAGTTTATTATATATCAAAAGAAGTAAACAGCTTTTTTGCTTGCTTCTCTAAGAACCATAATCAGTTAGTCATCTTCATTCTATTGCCTTAGTCTGGTCTTCCATGATCTTAAAAAATGGGAAATGACTGTGATTAATGAAGCTATTTGGACGATGATATTTAAGATGATAATTGCATTTAAATGTTATATTGTTTAAATTATATGCAAATATCTGAGATCAAAGGAAACATAAAGAGCTCTATTGTCCCATAAGTAGTTTCCAAATTCTGCTAGAAACAGTTAATATGTTTGATCGGTTCTATTGTCTTGTCCAGATTCTTGAATTCTGTTTGTGCAAACTGGACTTGAGGGGAGTATCTACAGACAGAGCAGCATTTCTATCACTCCTCGGCAGTGTTCTCTTCAACAGTGCTTATTGCCAGCTATCGAAATGTGCAGTGTGTGTATGACTAAGAGTGGATGAGTACTGTAACACCTTAATTACAAAATAAATAGTGACTGTCACTGTTGCTTTTTATAGAGCTTTCTGACTCAAGTGCTTGGTTTCCTCTGATTTTTTAATTATTTGCATGAAAGAAAAAAGAAATCACTCCTTTGACATTCGATGGAGGGAAAAGGAAGAGCTAATTAAACTGTTGTGGAACATTATTATCCTCTTTAGTTTTACACTGACAATTCTAATGCAGAGTCACTTTAAATGGCTTTGCAAATCGGAATTTGCTGGGCCCTTTATTATTTCTCCAAATTCACTGAACAAGTCCATTCACAGGGATATTGAAAATGCAAAGTAAGTCCAGACTGAAATATCATTTATTTCATGAAACATTCATTAGCACTTTCAGTAGCTGAAGATAAAGGAAAAAATGTTTCACAGGGAGTCATGAGAGATTAATATATACAGATTTTTAAAAACAAAACACAGAAGTTTGAAAAACCATCAGGTATTGCTTTGAAAGGAATATAGAGTTATATGGATTTTGAATGTGTTGAAAAATGGCTTAAATGTACTGAGCTATTCACAGCCCTTGGCTTTTACTTTTTATGTGAGTTATATCTGAACAAAAATTTTATTATAGTCAGTGTTGTTCATGCTGCTATAGTTAAGGTTGTCAGCATTTCCATTACAAACCCACTATTTCAGTTGGGGTTCATAACTCAGCTTTAGAAGTCACCCTGGGCTAAAGGTTGGCAAATGCCTTTTCAACCTGTGGTGGTAATGATGGGTATGAGTGTGGTTAAATATGTAGTAAACATTTAAATTAACATATATTACTTCTTATGTTATGAAATATTTTAATTGAATAATATATTATGGTTCTCTGATTATAGAAACTGTCTGAGGAATGTTAGCTTTGTCAGTATAATTGATTCAGGGTTAAAGAAAACTTTTTTTCAATCTAATTAGTCCTTGTAGCCAAGAAACTCTGAACATATCTTGGAGCCATTAGCCAAACACTTCCTGCTACCAATGAGCGATGGCTTGTAAAAGGCACTCAGTAATATACTAACATTACTGCCAAACAACTGGTTAATTCTGTCCAAAGATTAGTGTGTGCCACGAGGATTGAAAAGTTAAACTGACAAGTTTGAGATTTTGCATACAACCATAGCCACATACGCAGGTAGGTAACAGATTTTTTAAAATGAAAATCGGTTTCTTTTGAATTAATCTCATTTTTCTGGTTATAAAATTAATTATTTTTCCTAGTTATGAAAATTAAAATATTTTAGATTACTTAGTAAAAACGGAAAAATTAAAACAGAGTAAAGAATAAAATAAATTACCTATAATTTCTCAAACCAGTAATAACGACTGGTAACATGTTGATGAATGTCCTTCTGATCTTTATATTATACATAAACACAGATATGCTACAGGACTGCCAGCTTCATATGCCCACTGTGCAGCAGCAGACCAATACACTGACTGCAGGGTTGCAGCAGAGGAGTTTAATCACAAGGCGCCAAGCAAGGAAATGGGAGGAATTCTCAAGCCTTGAATTTGTTTCCTTGAGGGATTCTGGGCAAGGGTGTTTAAGGGGATTCATAAAAGACGGGGGCGGGGCGGGGTGGGGGCTGGAAAATTTGGTGTTGTGATCAGTGGGGGCAGGGAGGATGAAATCATAAGGATGTGTAACTGCTTTTCTCCAAGAGTCAGCTTCTTACTGGGTCCACCAGACCAGCTTGATTCCCTAGTTTTGTTGATATGCAGAACCTCCTAAAGAAGCATCTCAGACAAAAGGCTTATCTTCTCACAATGTCTGAGATTTTATCTATAGAACCGGAAGAGAACAGAGAATCTTGTGACAAAGGCTATGTTATCCTGGGGTGGTAAGTAGAAACCAGTTACAAGGAAGTGGGCCAAAGGGCAAGCTGGCTTAATGATTGCTGCTGCAAACCTAGTTGGATTTTATTTTATTTTATCTTATTATTTTATTTTATTTTTCTTAAACAATTTCATTAAATTATCTTGGGAACAGTGTCAGATATATATATATTGCTAAGGCATACTTTCTCTGGCTGCCCAGTATCCCACTGTATGAAATGTTTAACTTATCACCTACTGTCGTGGATTTCGAAATCTGGTTAATGATTTATCTTAGTTAATCTTAGTTACTTTGGAATAAAAATCTGATGAAACCTTTCAGCAGCTAGAGTTTGCTCAGGATCTTGGTCTTAAGTCTGGTTTTAGCCATTTTTAGGTATGCTAGTTACTGTATCCTCCAAATGTTAATAATTTATAATTTTGATTCCAAAAATAGATTAAACACATAGAATTTATTATATATTGATCACAGAGAGATACCATATACCAAACACTTAAATTCCATTGGCATGGTTACATATTGAAGCTTTTAGTGTAAATGGAGCAGACTTTAAAAATTAATAAATTTGGAACATATGGAATGATCATTTCCTTTGAATTCTTCTTATTTTAACTTGAAGAGCAAGGGAAAAACTTTCTTGCAAACCACATTTTTCCCTTTAAGGTTTTTGTTTTTTGTTTTTTTGTTTTTTTTTTTTTTTTCCTCCCTAGGGAGGATATAGTGGCGGGATGCAGCCGGGGACTCTCTGTAGGAACAGAATATTATTTAATACAGAATTCCATGATCCGAAAGACCTGGATTTCAATCTCAACTCTGCTTTCTAGTTATGTATGTGATTTTAGGGAAGGTACATGACTTATGTGAGCCTTACTTTTCTCTTCCTTATGATGTAGATAATACTTGGGTCAATGGTGTTATAAATATTAGATGGATTATATATAAAAATTTACTTATTTGTTGATTGGCATATAGCTGGTTCCAATTAGGTAAAAATGATGAAACTATGTTATACTGGACTTCAAAAGTTTTTTGTGGGTTTTTTGTTTTTTTTTCTTGAGAAGTCTCACTCTGTCACCCAGGCTGGAGTGCAATGGCACGATATTGGCTCACTGCAACCTTCACCTCCTGGGCTCAAGCAATACTCCTACCTCACCCTCCCAAGTAGCTGGACCCACAGGTACATGATGCCACACCTGGCTAATTTTTTTGTATTTTTGGTGGAGAAGGGGGTTTCGCCACCCAGACTGGGAAAAGTTAAATTGAGTTTAGATTCATGCGTTAAGGCTGGGAAGCCATTGCCTACTCCTGAGCAGGAGAGTGATTTAATGAAAGTGCTATTCTAGGAAAATTATTCCAGCACTGATATCAAAATATCTTTAAAAGGCAAGCAGTAGCTGGGGGTACATTGCTTTTGTCTTTCTCTAAAATTCATGATTATCAATAAAAGAAGACTGTCTCATTACCTCTGTTTTAGTTAAGAAGCTGCCAGGGTTTTACCATTATGTTGCAGTTTTTAATCTTTAGGACTCATGTTATTCTTTACTTCTGTAACATTATAGTCTCTTCATCTGTAATTTTTATAAGAGATATTTGGAACCTTCTCATTCTGTCCTCCGAAGTTTAACTTTTCCTTCTTGTATGCATCTCTTAGTATCTCTTTATTATTGCTTTTTATATGACTTCTTAATAGCTCTTCTTAGTATTTCTTCTTAATATCTCTTAATATTACCTTAATATTATCAATTTCTTGAGAATTATCTTCCAATGCACTAATTCTCTTTTTTTCTCCCCACTAATTCTCTCTTTACCTGTATCTAGCAATCTTTTCGAATCATCTATTAAGAAGCAGTATAGTGTGGTGGTTAAAAGCAAAGACTTCGAAGCCAGACTTCCTAGATTCAAGTCATTTCTCTGCCACTTACTAGCTGGGTAATGCTGGTCTAGTTTCTTAACCTCTCTGTGCCACAATTTCTTCATTGTCAAAATGGATATAAGAGTAGCATCTGCCTCATAGGTTTATTTTAGTATTAAATGAGTGATGAATGAGTTTAGAATAGTACCTGTCATATAGTAAATTTTGAATTTTTCTGTTTTTATTGAGGTTTTATTATTGTAGTATCTATATTTTTCCTCTCATCCCCTCCCCCTCTCTTCTTCTCACAGAATCTCCCTCTGTTACCCAGGCTGGAGTGCAGTGGTGCAGTCACTGCTCATTGCAGCCTTGACCTCCCAGGCTCAAGTGATCCTCCCTGCTTTCGCCTACTGAGTAGCTGAGACTACAGGCGTGTGCCACCACACCCAGCTAATTTTTGTTTTTTGTTTGTTTTTGGTAGAGACAGGATTTCGCCATGTTGCCCAAACTGGTCTCAAACTCCTGGGCTCAGGTGATCCACCCGCCTCAGCCTCCCAAAGTGATGGTATTACAGACATGAGCCACCGTGTTCCTTTTATTGATCTATTCATTCTTTTTTTTCCCCGTCTATTTCTTGCTTTATGGTGCCCCTTTCTTTCTTCATTTCTTAGATCCTTATGAACATATTTAAAATATTGTTGTTCTGATATTTATTGTTTCTAAGGTATGAATTTCACCCTTTGTTATTTCTGCTGACTTTGTATCATAGTGGTTTTTAATGTTCATCTGATTCGCAATTTCTTCACTGAGAGCTCACCTTTAGCAGAAGTTTTCTTTGGAAGTTTCAGATGCTCTGGGTTGTAGAGGTACCATATGGGATGGTTTCAATTTTTCTGTCTTTCCTAAATTTTACCAGTTTTTACATTAATTTTTATCTTTCTATTCTTTTCCTTTCTTTTCTTTTTCTTTGAGACAGGGTCTCGCTCTGCCACCCAGGCTGGAGTACATTGGTGCAATCATGGCTCACTGCAGCCTCGAACCCCCCTGGTCTCAAGAGATCCTCTACCCTTCAGCAACTGCCCCCACCCCTACCTCGCCATAGTGGGGGCTACAAGCACATGGCACCACGCCTGGCTGATTTTTGTATTTTTTTCAGAGCTGGGGTTTTGCCATCTTGCCCAGGCTAGTCTCGAACTTCTGGGATCAAGCAAACTGCCCACCTTGTCCTCCCAAAGTGCTAGGATTATAGGTGTGAGCCACCAGGCCTGGCCTAAGTTTTCAATACATGGTCTCCACACAGGTTGGTAAGGCATTGAAGTTTCACCTTTATACCCATAGACTGATGTGGCTAACTTTTTCCCTGCTATCTTTCAGGAAGTGACTGAAGCTTTTCTAGACTTAGTTTTCCAGATGAGACCACCCTTCCAGGCTCTTAGCTTTGTGCAGGGATCTCAGTTCCAGCTCCTCATGTACAAGAAGCTTGTGACATAAATTCTCTTCCCTATGCAGATATTAAAACTCTAGTCTCTATGCTTATATTTAGTTCCTTATTCCTCTTAGCCTGTTGCCTTTAGCTCCCTAACAGAGCTTTGACTTTGAATTGCTACTTTCTGTCTGGCCCCTAGGAATTTGCCATTCTTAATTTTGAGCTTGGCTTTTTTCTTTAAGTTTTATACAGAACAATTTGACTAGTAGTAGCTTTTCACATTAACTTATTCACCATTGTGTTTGGTAGAATATTGTCAGGAATAACAATGTAAATTTACCAGAGATATTTCTTTAATGAGTAAATTGGCTCAATGTATGCATTAATTGATTCATAAGTCTTTGAGGATCTCTGATATCAAACAAATAAGCAAGAGTCACTAAAATCAAGAATTTATTGAGAACCTACTTTAACCCATTTTTAAGGTCACTACTGTGTCAGTTCCATTTCAAAGCTAGTCTCAACCTTTAAAATACTTATACTCTAGTTAGAGGCAAGGAATAAATACATGAAGTACAATGAAAAGAGCTAAGTGACAATGCAAAACAACCAATCCATAAAACTGTAGATCAGAGTCATCTGGGCTGAAGTACCTTGTTCTGACAGGTCATACAACTGTACTTATCCCTATAAATACCTAAGGCAAAAATACCTATTTCTTACTTCCTGCAAAGAAATTATATAAAATTATCTTTCCCCCAATCTTTACTGTCTGTCGGCAAAAGTGAGGCAGACTTATGGTTCTGAGTGAGCACTACCATTTAAAAGAAAAAAAGAAAAGAAAAAAAGAGTGTGAATTGCCTTAGGTAAACTGAAATTGTCAACTCTGAGCCAAAACAATGCATCAAATTTAGAAATGTATGTCTTCTTATACATTGACTTTACTATTTTCACATGTGTGACTTTTAACTTTTCAGATAATGTATACCTATTATCAGCTTTCTCAGTAAATTGTTTACATCACTGACCATTAATTCTTAGAAGTCCTTATTGCTACTTTTTTTGGTGTTCAGAAATAAATTAAAATTCTCTTCTTTGTTCTTTTACCTAGTAGTGTTTTACAACTTTTTGAAACATGAACGATGGGTTAGGATTTTATACAATGAATGATATGAAAGTTGGCTTGAATATATACACCACAAGGTTTGCCGTATGGTCCTCTGTCAAATATCTGTTCTCAAGATGCCCCAAGGCATCATAAAAACAAAATGGAAAACTGCAACAGAAGACCAAGAAAGAAATATTTTCAGGTAAATGGTAAAGCAGGGAGATGACACATTTCGTGCATTGTATTTCACTCTTTCAACAACTATGGATTGAATGCTGAATTTGTGCCAGGTATTTTATAAACTGGGCACTTGTCATACAGTGGTGATCAAAGTGGATGTGATCACTACCCCTTGTCACAGTCTCATAGGAGAGACAGACAATTAATTATATAGCTCTAGACTTAATATGCTAGGAAAGAAACAGAGTGGATACAATAATGGGTAATAATACTATATGGTGGGTGCAGGGAGAGGGCTCCTTCTGATAGTGTGTTCAGAGATAGCTTCTCTGAAGAGTGGCCATTTAGGTGGGGACCTAAAGGCTGAGTAAGAGGTTGAAGTATTTTCTGTTGGCAGGGTTAGAGTTTCTTGGGAGACATAAAATAGTTTCAAAAGAAGCATTACCAAAATAAGAGTTTTTATACCTTCACCTGTGAATTATACGCTTTTGTTTGTTTGTAAACATTTTATTTTACAACTCTACATACTCTGATGCAATTCTGTATTTTGGAGTTTTGTTTGTTTGTTTGTTTGTTTTTGAGACAGAGTCTCGCTCTGTCACCTAGGCTGGAGTGCAGTGGCGCCATCTCGGCTCACTGCAACCTCTGTCCCCCGGGCTCAAGGGATTCTCCTGCCTCAGCCTCCCAAGTAGCTGGGACTACAGGCACGTGCCACCATGCCCAGCAATTTTTTTTTTTTTTTGTATTGTTAGTAGAGACGCATTTTCATTATGTTGGCCAGGCTGGTCTCAAACTCCTGACCTCAAGTGATCCTCCCGCCTCGGCCTGAGATTACAGGCATGAGCCACCATGCTCAGCCCTCTGATGCAATTTGAGAATAAACAAGTATAGCAAGTATAAGCAAAAGGCACAAGGTATTCTGCATAGTTAAAAGTGCAGCTGCTTAAAAACCATCCCGTCTTCTCTACTCTCTCTCTCTCTCTGTCCTCCTCCTCCTCTTTTTTTCTTTCTCTCATATTCGTCTTACAGAATATTAAATCTGTTTCCATATTGCTTGGTCCCTTCCTTCATCTTAAGAGAGATGTTAATACTGTGCGTTCATTGAGAATAACCAAATGGATGTTAGCATTGTTCTTTATTTAATCTTAAGTAAAATATTGTTTTTTTCTTAAAAAAAATACATTTATCAAAATTTATCTTACCCTTATCAATCTCAATACAGTTGTCTTTACATTAACTTCTATTAGTTGGCTATTGTCCTATGTTTTATATATTCAGTAATTATATAATATGGAACAAAAGTAAGATATCATTGCTGAATGCTGTTTTATGGAAAAAGAAAAGCCTTTGGCATTAATGTAATATATACTCCTGTTGATTAATACTTTGAATGTCTTTCTGTGAGATATATACAATAATGCCCATAAAATGATCAATTTTGATACCATTCTGATGCATTAAAGATGGTGAAATAAATGTTTTAAAAAGACTGGGAGATGCGAATACCTATTTTTTGAAAGCAGGTTAGAATGTAATGCATAAATGGGCAAATGAAAATAAAAGCATAAACACATAGAACTACCAGGGCTGTTGAATAGTACCTGACTCAGGTCTCTTCCCTCCAGAAAGACTATAAAAAAACTTCTAGGCAAAACAGTTGTGTTTCATATTTTTTAAGTGCTGGTTAGTAAAGACTTTAAAAAACTCATTACAAAGTATTTCATGATTACAGAAGAACATGTAATAGATAGTATGTAAGGTATAAAGAATAGTGATAATTTAAAATCCCACGAACTTAGCACCCAGCTAAAGAAATACAACTTTATCAGTGCTCTTTAATGCCCTGTCTGTTCTGAGATCCTGTATTCCTCCCCCTGCTCCAAACGGAACTACTATCCTGAACTCTGTGTCTGTTGTCCCTTTGTTTTTCTTTATAGTTTTACTGTATATTATGTATACATAAATAATCTATTGTCTACTTTTCCTCAGTTTTGAATCTTTACATAAACAGAATTGTAAAATATGCCTTATTCTGCAATTAGTTTTTATTTTTCACTAAATCTTGTGTTTCTGAGATTAACTAATATTGGTGCATGTATCTGAATCCAATTCCTCTGCCACATAGCGTTTCATTGGATGACTATACCACAATTTACTTAGCCATTCTCCTGTCAATGTACTTGTGGTCGCCCCCTCCACCAAGTCTTTTGTTAATATAAACAAAGCTGACGAGAACAATGTTTTATTTTGCTTCCTGATGCAAATATGCAAGAGTTTCCTCTAGGGCGCTATTCTGAAACTTTTTTTTTTATCTTAGAACCTCTTTACTCACCTAAGAATTGAGGATACCAGGAACTTTTGTTTACATCTGTTAAATGTATCAGTATTTATTCAATTAGAAATCAAAACAGATCATGTTAAAGCATCAGAATATATAAGCACACATTCCATTAACCATCAAAGCAGCGGTGGGCACTTGAAACATGAGTGGCATTGGAAAGTTTTGAGATAGAGACTCTGGAAACTACTGTACACTCTTTCAAGAATGAGAGTACAAAAGGCAGATTTCTTAGTACTATTATGAATGTAGTTTTGACCTCATGGACCTGCTGAAGGGACCTCAGAGACCTGTAGCTTTCATAGACCACACATTGAGAACTATTGTTCCAATACAAATCTAAGGTTAGAATCATTAGGTCATTATGTCTCTTCAATTACTAGATAACATCAAATATTTTTCTAAAGCAGTTGTACTGTACCAATTTATAATATCAATAGCAGAATATATAAGTACTTCCTTTGGTACACATTCTAGCCAACATTTGGTCCTGTCAAACTTTTCCATTTTTGACAATCTAGTGGTTTAAGATGGTGTCTCACTGTGGTTTCATGTTACATTTCTGTGATCACTAATGAGCCTCAAAATTTGTATTGGCCATTAAAAAGACTGTTAGGTCTTTTTCTGATCTTTCTTTTGGGTTGTTTATCCTCTTTAAAGAAAATTCTTTCAATTAGTTATTGAAATATTACAGATACAAACCCCTTGTCACTTATATGTCCTGCAGATATTTAGAAACAGTTGTGGCTAGTAGTAGTATTACTTTTAAAAATGTGCCTTTTAATGAACAAATGAACAGAATTTTAAAATTAGACAGTCTTTTTTTTTTTTTTTGATGGAATCTCACTCTGTCACTCATGTTGGAGTGTAGTGGCATGATCTTGGCTCACTGCAACCTCTGCTTCCTGGTTTCAAGCGATTCTCCTACCTCAGCCTCCCGCTGTAGCTGGGATTACAGGCGGGTGCCACCACTCCCAGCTAATTTTTTTGTATTTTTAGTAGTGACGGGGTTTTACCATGTTGGCCAGGCTGGTCTCGAACTCCTGACCTCAAATGATCCGCCCGCCTCAACCTCCCAAAGCGCTGGATTACAGGTGTAAGCCACCACGCCCAGCCTATATAGTCATTTTTATCAGTCATTTCCTTTAGCACTTAGACTTTTTGTATTTTAAGTAACCCTTTCTACCTTCAGTTCATGAAGATATTTTTCTGTATTTTCTTTTATTCATTAAAACAACACTTTTTGATTACCTACTACTATCAGACACAGTTCTAGGTAGTGTGGATATGGCAGTGAAAAAAATACATTTAAAAAAAAACCCTAGACTCTTAGAGCTTACATTCTCGAAGTGGGGAGGAAAACAATAAACACATATGCAAGTATCTCTTAGTCTCTTCAGACTACTGTTACAGAATACTATAGACTGGGTGGCTTAAACAACAGAAATTTATTTCTCAGAGATCTGGAAGTTGGGAAGCTGCAGATCAGGGTGCCAGCATGGTCTGGTTTTGGAGAAGGCCCTCTTCCTGTTTTATGCATGGCCGCTTCTTACTGTGTCTTCACATGTCAGAGAGAGCAGACAGGAAGCAAGTGCTTTCATGTCTTTTTATAAAAGGCTTGCATCAGGTGGTTGGCAATAATGAAAAATGTCCAGATTCTTAACGTGAAGTTAAAAATTCACAAATTGATTAGAATCCACCCTTATGATCTAATTATTTCCCAAAGGCCCTATCCCCAAATACCATCACACTAGGGACTAGGGTTTCAACATTGGAATTTTGACAGGACATTCAGTCCATAGCAGCATGATTTTGTATGAAGGATAGTGATAAATATTATGTAGAATAATAACGTCAGTGAGAGTGCCAAGTGGTCAGAGGTGGGGTTCTGTAGGACAGAACAGCAAAGCACAAACTTCCCAAGGCAATTAATGTACTTGGAGAGTTTGAGGAAAAGGATGAAGTCCAGATAACTAGAATGGAGTTAGCAAGAGGAAGCGTATTAGGAGATCTGGTTGATAACAGAAACCCAGATCACCTAGGGCCTCCTAGGCCATTTTAAAGGCTTGAGCTTTTACTTTGAGATGGTAAGGCGATGGAAAGTTTTGAGAAAAGAAATGGCAGGTTTTTAAAAGATCACTCTGTCTCCTGGTTTGAGATAGTCTATATGCAAGCAAGGGACAAAACTAGGGGAACATGTAGGAGGTTGTTTCAGTAATTGAGGCAGAAATGATGGTGGCTTGCATCAGGTGGTGGCAGTAGTGAAAAAATGACCAAATTCTTGATATATTTTGAAGCTTTTATTTGCAATTGGCCAGTCACAGTGGCTCCCACCTGTAATCCCAGCACTTTGAGAGCCAAGGTAGGCAAATTGCTTGAGCTCAGGAGTTTGAGACTAGGCTGAGCAACATGGTGAGACCTCCTCTTTACAAATAATTTTTTAAGAAACGAACAGGGAGTGGTGGCACATGCCTGTGGTCCCAGCCACTTGGGAGGTTGAAGTGGGAGGATCACCTGAGCCTGGGAGGTCGAGGCAGCAATGAGCCGTGATCGTGCCACTGCATTTCAGCCTGAGTGACAGAATGAGACTCTGTCTCAAAAAAAATAAGACAAAAGTACCCAAAACAAACAAACAAAGATTTGCAAATTGATTAAATATGGTTTGTGAGAAAAACAGAGTCAAAAATGAGTAATTCCTTTTTTTGTTGTTTTTTGTTATTTTTTGACATGAGTAACTAGAAAGACAAAGTTGTCATTTAGAGAGATGAGGAAGATTGTAGGTGGAACAAGTTTAGGTACAAGAGTAAGAAGTTATTTTTGAACATGGTAATTTTCTTATGTCCATGTTCACCACATAGGGACACCAAGAAAGCAGTTAGATATATGAGTCTGGACTTATGGGGAGAAGTCCAACCTGGACATGTAAATCTGTGAGGCATTAGTGCACATAGTCTTTGAAGCCATTAGACTGGATGAGATTACCAAAGGATTGATTATAGATAGAAAAGGGAAGGGGCCTGGTGTGTGATCCATGACATACTATAATGTTTAGAGTTCTAGAAGATGAAAAGGAACCAACAGAGGGGACTAAGCAATGACCGGAGAAATAAAATGGTATTTAAATCATATCCTGCAAGCCATCTGATAAAAGTCTTTTGTAAAGAGAGTGATGAAATTTCTTAAATAAAATGAAGTCAAGTGAAATGAAGACAGATAATTAAACATGAGGTCTGACAACATGAGCCTGACAAGTCCTGTTTGGATATAGTGTTGGGGCAAAGAACAAGATTGGAGGAGATTGAAGAGAGAAGGGAGGAATTGGTAATAAGAAGTATTTTCTTCTAAAGCTCTTAAATTTTCAACATGTTCTTTAAATACATTGCTTTTTACCTGTTACAAAAGTAATAGTGTTCATTGTAGATAATTTAGGAAAAACTTAAGAAAATATTTTATATGGTCCAAAAAACTAACTATAACCACTGTAGATATTTTGGTTTATAGCATTGGAGTCCATTTTTTTCTGTGCATTTTTATAAATTCATTTTCTAAACAAAAAATACATTATAGACATATTTACATGATTTTCTTTTTTAAAAAATTATTTATTTATTTATTTATTTTTTTGAGATGGAGTCTCGCTCTGTTATTTAAGCTGGAGTGCAGTGGTGCGATCTTAGCTCACTGCAACCTCTGCCTCCCCGGTTCAAGCAATTCTCCTGCCTCAGCCCCACGAGTAGCTGGAATTACAGGCACGCACCACCACACCCGGCTAATTGTATTTTCAGCAGAGCCCGGGTTTCACCATATTGGCCAAGCTGGTCTTGAACTGCTGACCTCAGGCAATCCACCCGCCTCGGCCTCCCAAAGTGCTGGGATTACAGGCGTAAGCCACCGTACCTGGCCTATTTACATGATTTTCTCACGTAAGAATGTACCATGTTTGTCTTTCCTTAGTATTTTTAATGGTAGTGTAGCGTTATATTATGTATTACGGTTTATATGTAGCCAATATCCTATTATTAGGCACTTTTCAACATTTTCTTTTAGAAACATTGCAGTGAGCATTTCAATATGTAATTATAGTCTTTCATTAGCATATTCTTAAAGATTTTGACAATTAGCCCACTGGGATATGTCCAGAAGAGAAATACTCTGATAATGGTCGGTCTGCAAACCTTATCATACATACAGAGGGCTTAGGAATAGTTGTCCACGTTGCAAAAATTGTAAGGGTTCAGTGGAAGAGGAAAGCTGCCCAGCAGCAGAAGGTAGTCCTTATAGGGAAGGGCAGTTCTCTGACAGAAGAGGCCTTGTCCATAGAAAAGATATGGGTAGAATTGCAGCAGTTGTTTGTATGTGCAGCAGTTTTTTAAATAAGAAACTTTCCGGGCTGGGCGCGGTGGCTCACACCTGTAATCCCAGCACTTTGGGAGGCCGCGACGGGCGGATCACAAGGTCAGGAGATCGAGACCATCCTGGCTAACACAGTGAAACCCCGTCTCTACTAAAAATACAAAAAATCAGCCAGGCGTTGGGGCGGGCGCCTGTAGTCCCAGCTACTCGGGAGGCTGAGGCAGGAGAATGGCGTGAACCCGGGAGGCGGAGCTTGCAGTGAGCCGAGATCGCGCCACTGCACTCCAGCCCGGGCAACAGAGCAAGACTCCGTCTCAAAAAAAAAAAAAGAGTAACTTTCCATATTTTATTGAATTGTAGGTCATGTAACGAAGGTTTTCCATATATCTCATAGGCACAAATATAAACATTGTATGCATTCTAAAATCAAATAAACACAATCTCATTTATATATGTCTATGCATGTCTGTGTTGTAGTTGAGGAACTTTAGTTTATATGTTATACTAATAGTTTACTGAATATAAGTTTGAAATATTTTTCTAGAATTAAGGAGTATTTTTAAATCAACTTAGAATTCTATTTTCTGCAATAGGAATATGACAAACATTTTCTCTTTTTTGACCATAAACTACTTGAACCCTGTAGTTTTCCATTTAGCTTACTATTTTAAGGAATGTGATAAATCAATTGCGAACCTTTTTGTTTTCTTTTTCTTGAGGCTTCTGTTGTGATTTCCAGCAAAAAGGTCGATGTAGACGGCATTTTACCTGATGTTGATGTTGCTTGGGATCAGAATTGACAATCAGGAGTAGTCTCTCAGTTTAGATTTACAAAAGGCCAGATAACTTGGATATCACTACTGCTTATAGAAACATCTCTATCTCTCTTCTTCCTTTTCAAATATTATACTCACTAGATCATTAATAAGTAAGATAAAATGTTCTTTACACTTTCACATAGCCTCTGAATTTTTCCCATTTAAAATGCACTGCTTGAAAAATCAAGGGGAAAACAAAGGTTTAAATTTTCTTTACATTTTAGATAATGAAAAGAGGGCTCAAATGAAGAGTTTAACAGAGGCACCTGATGGGACTCTTTTTATTGCATATAAATAGAACTATTCGTGCTGCTATTTAACAATCAAAATCTAAATACTTCAGACTGAAGATCAAGTCCCCTACTTTCAAACTATCTCCCAAAACTTCCCATTAAGGACTGTATACTCTAGGTGAACTGAATTACCTTCCGTTCACTATGCCCAGAATACAGTTTTCTAGAAACTCTCTGTCTCTGTGATATTCACGTCATGTAGGTTTCCTATGTCCACGACTTTGAAATTCTAAATCTAATCCATAATTTAAGGTTCAGTTAAGTTGCCACCCTCTTCAAATAGGCTTCCTGGAATACCACAACTAAAAGTAAAATCTCTGCCATTGAACTTTATTTTCATATACCAAGATTCTACTACAGTGCTAAAACATAATTATGACTATGGGCTAGTCACAGGGGCTTATGCCTATAATCCCAGCCCTTTGGGAGGCCAAGGTGGGCGGATCATTTGAGTTCAAGAGTTTGAGACCAGCCTGGGCAACACGACAAAACCCCATCTTGACAAAAAATTAGCCAGCTGTGGTGGCGTGGGCCGGTAGTCCCAGCTACTTGGGAACTCAGAAGGTTGAGATGGGAGGATTGCTTGAGCCCAGGAGGCAGAGGTTACAGTGAGCTGAAATGGTACCACTGCCCTGTAGCCTAGATGACACAGAGAGACCCAGTCTCAAAATAATAATAATAATATTTATGATTATGTTTAATTTTGATTTGTTCTGTTGCACTCTTATGATGCATGACATATATAACAAACAATTCCTAAATATGAGTGTTCCTCATGAAAATCACTAGCATATGTGGATGCATACTTATATGTATTTTTGGCCTTTTGATTGAGTATTCACAAATCATAAGTGTTCCGCTTAGGAGTACTTTTAAAAAGTGAAAAAAGGGCTGGACCTGGTGGCTCAGACCTGTAATCTCAGTACTCTGGGAGGCCAAGGTAGGCAAATTACTTCAGCCCAGGAGTTTGAGAGCAGCCTAGGCAACATGGCGAAATGCCATATCTACAGAAAAAATACAAAAATTAGCTGAGTGTGGTGGCATGCTCCTACAGTCCCAGCTACTCAGGAGGCTGAGGTGTGAGGATCACTTGACCCTGGGAGAAGCTGAGGCTGCAGTGAGTCATGATTGCTACTGCACTCCAGCCTGAGTGACAGAATGAGACCCTATCTCAAAAAAAAAAAACAGTGAAAAAAGGAGTTAAATAGAATAGTATCTAATGGTATCTAAAGTAGCAGTTAAGCAGTAGAGTAACAGTTGCATTTATTAAGGATTTAGTATATAATAATTTTTATTATATAAAATTATTATATAATAAAAATATATAATAATTATATTATATAATTATAATATATAAAATTGTTATATAATAAAATATATAATAATTGCATATGCGCATGATAATTTTTATATGCACTCATCTCCTCTGTACTTCACATAAATCCTGATAGGTAAGGTACTATTATTATTCTTACTTTACAAATGAAGAAGCTGGAACTTGGGGAAATTATGTAACTTGCCTAAGTTCTCATATATAGTCAAAGACCCCCAAGCCTTTTAACCACTTTACTATGCTGAAAAAAGTCAGAAGACGTAGCAAGAATGTAAAGTTTTGAAATTAAGTCTTAGGACACAGAAATTATGTTAGAAATTATACTTGGGTTTCAGGATTACATTCTCGTGTGTTGGCAAGGAGGACGCTACTAGCTGAGTAAGAAATGATGTGTGTGCTTTATGACTTTATTATGTGAAAGGGTACTAACCATAGTAGAGGGTTACATTAATGTATCTTTAGTTGTTGTAGATATTAATGGGAGAAAAGGATTTATAAGAGCTTTCATAAAACAATTTGATTCCTTTATGCCTCTAAAGCTGTTTTCCCAGGAAACATTAAAATTGTAAATAATGATTTATCCTACTGTGGGGTTCTTCGGAAACTTAACTCTTGGGGTTAGATTTCTACTGGTGTGTGTGTGTTTAAAAGAGCTATTAATAAAACTGCATATACATTATTCCATTGTGGTGTTTTAATTATTTTTGATTGATCCTGCTTTCTAAGCTCCAAATTAGAACAACCCCTTTAAACATTTATTAGGAAGAAATATCTGAACCAGTCTGACCTGACATTTGTAGACATCATCTTAGGGCTGTTCTCCCCTTAGAGGATAGTAACTTAGGACTATATCAGTTACGTCTGGTAACGATATGCCATGTCTGTGATACTAGCATGCATTTCTATAAGGAAGGAAGAGATGGAGGGAGAGAGGAATTTGTTTTGAATACTCTGAAAATGTCTAGCCAGTGGATTATAATTACCATAATCACAGTTTTTGGCCATTTGGATGAAAGAATGTTGTTCATGCCCATACTGCTAGCTAAGACAGTCATGTGCATACTGCATTATGAACCTATTTCCAATAGATTAGGAAAATAGTTACAACAGGTTTGAGGCTTCTGTTTTGCAAAAACCTTTTATAGCGTTATGGTCTCAGAAGGAACCATTGAAGAAAATAATCATTAACATTTTCTCGAACACTAAATCCTCCGTTCTGCTCCTCCAATATCTCATAGGCTGTCATCTGATATCAGCACTTATGTAATGTCACGATAGGTGGTGCCATAGTTCTATACTGCCTTACATTATAGGAAAATATAAAGTGTTATTTGACCAATTGAATAAAAAGAAGAAAAAATGTAAAAAGTTTTCTGAACCCTGGTTTTAAGAAATTTATGAACAACTAAAAATTTCTCAAAGGACTGCATTTTTCCATTCTCTGTTAGTAAAATATCTCAGCTGCCTTTTGATTCTGCTAGCTGCGAGAATGGCAGAATGGGGCCTGAATGGCAAACTATATTATTTGTAACATTAATGCCAGCCTGTTTGGAGATTAATTACTATCTTTGTATTAAAGTACTGGTTGTGTTGGAATTGCTGCCTTTTTAAACTTCCCCCCAACCCTTGGTCATTTCTACTGATGATTTGCAGTAAAATAGCTGACAACTGCCTATGATTAGTTTAGCCAGATGCTACTTGCTCTGGTAAATTCATTTTAAGCATTTGACAAGACTGCAAAGATTAGTGCCAGCTGAGCTTAAAATATTTTTACAGACGAATGATACGTGAAAAGTCAGTTACTTTTCAGGTATATGATGACTATGTAAATTAACTGACAACATATCTTCTTTGGTGTTTATTTGTGAATCATTTATCTACTTTATAGAACAATTGGTAGAGTTATCCTTCACAGGTATATTCAGAAGATGTCACCAAATGGAGTGCTTTCAAGTTTTTGTATGTTATTATGTTGTCCTATGAATTGCCTGTGCTCCAAGACTTATAGAATTGCAGGGTAAAGTTGGGAATCTCTGGATTAGAGAATGAAAATAAAAGTGAGAAGTCTTTTCTTTAGCTACTTCTACCATTCAACATCAAGAAAGAGGCTCTTACTCTCAAAACATTGTTCTTAGGAATGGCCATCAAATAAATGCCTTAGTTACAGATAACATTGAACAATGATGAGTAGTTTATTGGTTTTTCACCTTTCTTCATTCTTTGCCCTCTTTTATTATTATATCTTTACTCTTTCTCTTATGCCCTTTTTAAAAAGCATGTATTATACTATAGAAATGTTTCCTATTAGTGATTAATGTGATAAATTTGATTAGTTGAATAAAAGCAAACTTTGATTCTAGATTTTATCTATTTCTTGGTATCCGGCACTGTCAAATACAGTTGTCCCTCAGTATCCATGAAGGATTGGTGTTTTTTTGTTTGTTTTGTTTTGTTTTGTTTTGTTTTGTTTTGTTTTTTGAGACGGAGTCTTGCTTTGTCGCCCAGGCTGGAGTGCAGTGGCGAGATCTCGGCTCCCTGCAAGCTCCGCCTCCTGGGTTCACGCCATTGTCCTGCCTCAGCCTCCCGAGTAGCTGGGACTACAGGCACCTGCCACCATGCCCGGCTAATTTTTTGTATTTTTAGTAGAGTCAGGGTTTCACCGTGTTGGCCAGGATGGTCTTGATCTCCTGACCTCGTGATCCGCCTGCCTCGGCCTCCCAAAGTGCTGGGATTACAGGCGTGAGCCACCGCGCCTGGCCGAAGTATTGGTTTTAAGACCTCTGCAGATTCCGAAATTCGTGGATGCTCAAGTTCTTTATTTAAAATGGTATAGTATTTGCATATAACCTATGCACATCCTCCCATATACTTTAAATCATCTCTAAACCACTTATAATACCTAATACAATGTCAATACTATGTAAAGAGTTGTTGTACTTTATTGTTTAGGGAATAATGACAAGAAAAATAGCCTGTACATGTTCAGTACAGACACAACCATCCAATTTTTTTCCCAATATTTTTGATTCGTGGTTGGTTGAATTTATAGATGTAGAACCCATGGATATGGAGGGTGGAGGGCCTACTGTATAGTTATCTCTATAGGTTTTGGGTAGTTTCCTGTCCTTCACCCAGCTGAGTGTGACCTTGTCTATTAGAATCATATATACTGTTCTGGAATAAGCTTGAGATGTTATCTTTTCTAATCTCATTTTACCAATGAGGAAACTGAGGTCCTACAATTTCAATAATTAGTCAAATAGCACATGGCAAAAAAAGTGGTTTATATAGGATTGGACCCTAGTTTTCTTCACCTTCCAGTGTTCTGTCCACTTTTTGGACTTCGTACATTTGAATTTCTTTATACTTTGCTGATTTCACTCACCAAACTTACTGACTTACCTGACTTCTGAATTATACTCAGAACAAAACACCTGTATGAAAGTCTTCAGTGGCACCCCATTTTCTTTTCCAGTTTTCCTTCCCTTCTTTCATCTCTCCCTCCCATAAGGTCTTCCTTTTTCCTTCATTACTGCATTTTTTAATTCATGTAGAATCTACAATTTTCACTTGTAGTTTTATTTCAAAATTTGTTAATTTTTTCTACGTCTCTTTTTTGTTATAGCTCTGAAAAGCCTACTTAAAAAAAAAAAAAAAAACAAAAACCCTGCTAATTGGCTTTTCTTCCTGGTCTATTGAATAAAGCACTAGATAGGGAATAAGAAAACCTTGATGCATTTTCTTACCTTGACCAGTGACATGCACACTCTGTGCTCTAGTTTTCTATTAATATCAATAAAGCGGTATTTATCTGTACTGCAGAGTTATCAACCTGATTTAATTAAAAAATCTAGATATGGGCCAGGCACGGTGGTTTGCCCCTGTAATCCCAGCACTTTGGGAGACCAAGGAGAGCGGATCACTTGATCCCAGGAGTTCAAGATGAGCCTGGGCAACATGACAAAACAGTGTTTCTACAAAAATACAAAAAAAGTTAGCCAGTTGTGGTGGTGTGTGCCTTTAATCTCTATAATCCCAGCTGCTGGGGATGGGGGGCCTTGGGGGGAATGCTGATGCAGGAGGATCTCTTGAGCCCTGGAGGTCAAGGCTGCAGTGAGCTGTGATCACACCACTGCGCTCCAGCCTGGCTGATAGAACAAGACCCTGTCTCCAAAAAAATCTAGATACATTTGGGGCTTTCTCAGAGAATGGTGCACAGAAAATAGAAAACGGTATTAGCGTTTTAAGATATGGAAAAAAAGATAATTGTTTTGATATTGATGGTTATTATTACTAATTTTTAAAGACTAGTATACTCCTAGCTTTTCAAGACAATGATGAAGCAATCCTGTACCTGTGACAGGCCTATATTTCTCTTTTTTTTTTTTTTTTTTTTTTTTTTTGAGACAGAGTCTCGCTCTGTTGCCCAGGCTGGAGTGCAGTGGCACAATCTCAGCTCACTGCAAGCTCCACCTCCCGAGTTCAAGCAATTCTCCTGCCTCAGCCTCCAGAGTAGCTAGGATTACAGGCGCCCACCATCACGCCTGGCTAATTTTTGTATTTTTAGTAGAGACGAGGTTTCACCATGTTGGACGGGTTGGACAGGTCTATATTTCTTTCCGTGCTTATTTTACAACTGGTATGGTCTGAATGTTCTCCAAAATTCATGTGTTGAAATGTAATCGTCAATGTGATAGTATTAAGAGGTGAGGCCTTTAGGAGGCGATTAGGTCCTGAGGGCAGAGCCGTTAAGGATGGGATTAGGACTCATAAAATGGTTTGAGGGAGTGGGTTCATTTTCTTCCACTCTTCTGCCATGTGAGGACACAGATTTCATTCCTTCCCTAGCATACAACAATAAGCCACCATTTCTTGGAAGCAGAGTAGCCCTCACTAGATGTACAATCTGCTGGTGCCTTGATCTTTGACATCCCAGCCTCCAAAAGTGTGAGAAATGATTTTCTGTTGTTTACAAATTACGCAGTCTGTGGTATACTGTATTAGCAGCACAAAAATACTAAGACAACCATCCTATGCTTTAGATTAACCAGTATTTACCATATAACTTGTAAATCGGTGTTAGTGGTGGTAATGGGATTACTAATGTGCATGTGTTAACATGTTCATTGGTTCAATGCGAGGCTGTGATCCTGTACTCTGAGTGTGCCTTTTTTTTTTTTTTTTTTAATTACTTTAAGTTCCGGGATATATGTGCAGAACATGCAGGTTTGTTACATAGGTATACATGTGCCATGGTGGTTTGCTGCACCTATTAACCCATCATCTAGGTTCCCTCCCCTCACCTCCCCAACAAGCCCGTGTGTGATGTTCCCCTCCCTGTGTCCATGAGTTCTCATTGTTCAGCTCCCACTTATGAGTGAGAACATGTGGTGTTTGGTTTTCTGTTCCTGTGTTAGTTTGCTGAGGATGGTGGCTTCCAGCTTCATCCATGTCCCTGCAAAGGACATGACCTCATTTCTTTTTACGGCTGCATAGTATTCCATGATGTATATGTACCACATTTTCTTTATCCATTCTCTCATCGATGGGCATTTGGTTTGGTTCCTTGTCTTTGCTATTGTAAATAGTGCTGCAGTAAACATATGTGTGCATGTGTCTTTATGGTAGAATGATTTATATTCCTTTGGATATATGCCTAGTGTATTAGTACATTTTCATGCTGCTGATGAAGACATACCCAAGACTGGGAAGAAAAAGAGGTTTATTTGAACTTAGAGTTCCACATGGCTGGGGAGGCCTCAGAATCATCACAGGCACTTTCTGCATGGCAGCAGCAAGAGAAAATGAGAAAGATACAAAAGTGGAAAACCCCTGATAAAACCAACAGATCTTGTGAGACTTATTCACTACCATGAGAACAGTATGGGGGAAACCACCCCCATGATTCAAATTATCTCCCACCAGGTCCCTCCCATAATACATGGGAATTATGGGACTAGAATTCAAGATGAGATTTAGGTGGGGACACAGAGCCAAACCATATCACCCAGTATTGGGATTGCTGGGTCAAATGGTATTTCTGGTTCTAGATCCTTGAGGAATCAGCACACTGTCTTTCACAACGGTTGAACTAATTTACATTCCCACCAACAGTGTAAAAGCATTCCTATTTCTCCATAGCCTTGCCAACATCTGTTGTTTTGATTTGCATTTCTCTAATTATCAGTGGTGTTGAGCTTTTTTTCACATGTTTGTTGGCCGCATAAATGTCTTCTATTAAGAACTGTCTGTTCATATCCTTTGCCCAGTTTTTGATGGGGTTGTTTGTTTTTTTCTTGTAAATTCCTTGAAGTTTCTTGTAGATTCTGGATATCAGACCTTTGTCACATGGGTAGATTGCAAAAATTTTCTCCCGTTCTGTAGGTTACATGTTTACTCTGATGCTAGTTTCTTTTGCTGTGCAGAAGCTCTTTAGTTTAATTAGATCCCCTTTGTTCATTTTGGCTTTTGTTGCCATTGCTTTTGGTGGTTTTGTCATGAAATCTTTGCCCATGCCTATGTCCTGAATGGTATTGCCTAGGTTTTCTTCTAGGGTTTTTATGGTTTTGGGTTTCACACTTAAGTCTTTAATCCATCTTGAGTTAATTTTTGTATAAGGTGTAAGGAAGGGGTCCAATTTTAGTTTTCTGCATATGGCTAGCCAGGTTTCCCAGCACCATTTATTAAATAGGGAATCATTTCCCCATTGCTTGTTTTTGTCAGGTTTGTCGAAGATCATATCGTTGTAAATGTGTGTTGTTATTTTTGAGGTCTGTGTTCTGTTCCATTGGTGTATATGTCTGCTTTGGTACCAGTACCATGCTGTTTTGGTTACTGTAGCCTTATAGTATAGTTTGAAGTCAGGTACCATGATGCTTCCAGCTTTGTTCTTTTTGCTTAGGATTGTCTTAGCTATATGGGCTCTTTTTTGGTTCCATATGAAATTTAAAGTAGTTTTTTCTAATTCTATGAAGAATGTCAATGGCAGTTTTGTTGTTGTTGTTGTTGTTGTTGTTGTTTTTGATGGGTTCTTGCTCTGTTGCTCAGACTGGAGTGCAGTGGTGTGATCTCGGCTCACCACGTCCTCTGCCTCCTGGGTTCAAGTGATTCTCTTGTTTCAGCCTCCCGAGTGGGGATTACAGGCATGTGCCACCATGCCTGGGTAATTTTTGTATTTTTAGTAGAGATGGATTTTTGACATGTTGGCCAGGCTAGTTAGTCTCGAACTCCTGACCTCAAGTGATCTGCTGGCCTCGGCCTCCCAACATACTGTGATTACAGGCATGAACCACTGTGCTAAATATGTATCTAAGGTGGCATGAGTATATGTGTTGTTGTTGTTGTTGTTGTTTTGTTTCTTTGAGACGGAGTTTTGCTCTTGTTGCCCAGGCTGGAGTGCAATGGTACAATCTTGGCTCACCGCAACCTCCGTCTCCCAGGTTCAAGCCATTCTCCTGCCTCAGCCTCCGGAGTAGCTGGGATTACAGGCATGCGCCACCACCCCAGCTAATTTTGTATTTTTAGTAGAGATGGGGTTTTGCCATGTTGGTCAGGCTGGTCTTGAACTCCCGACCTCAGGTGATCCACCCGCCTCGGCCTCCCAAAGTGCTGGGATTACAGGCGTGAGCCACCACGCCCGGCCTAGAGTGTGTGTTTTTAACAAAGGCCTTCCTTGCCACATCCTCATTCCAGTCCTAGTTTAGTTAATGTGACAATAGTAGTCTTTTGCAAGATAAAGATTATAAGTAGGTAACCATTTTAGCATTTGATGCACTTTACAGATTGCAAGCAATAATATGCTATAAATTTAGTTTTTATAATAAGATCATGGTGTGTTAATAGATCATATTCTGTAGGATAGTTATAGAAAGTTTTTAAGTACTCTTTTAAGGCCAAGATTCATCAACCATTTGCTTATCCTCTCACTATTTGCTGTAATTTGTCAGTATCCTTCACAATAAAAATAGATTATGACATACCTTGGGGGTTCAGTGAAGGTTAGGACAAGTTAGGGATCCAGGTAAAGCTTCAGAGAGGTGATGTAATCCCCTTGATGAGATTCCAGTAGATTAAGATCTTAGTATGGCTTGTGGGGGCTAGGCATGATAGGAGGAAGAGAAGAGGTTGGAATTCTAGGTAGAAAAAAACAATTAAACTGAGATATAAGGTAAAGAAAGTACAGAGTAAAGTACAGAGTAAATTTGAGGAGCAATAAGTAGTCCATCTTGGCTGAAGCATAGGATATGTGTATAGTACTGAGAGAAATCCTGTGGTGGAAGAAGTTTGAGACTATATCATAATGGCCTCGAATGCCATGTTAAGGATTTTCAATTTTATTTAGAAGGCTGAGGGGAGAGGATTGAAGAATTTTGAGTAGCAGAGGAATTTTATCAAGAGGTTGTTTTGTGATGATTGATAGGAATCATCATCATCATGATATGAATAAAATGGATAGAGTAAAAATTGAAGGTGGACCCCACTTATTATTAGGTTACTGCAGTAGTCCATGAAAGAAGAACCTAAACCAGAGTAGATGCAACTGACATTAGGAAGAAAGACTCAACAGTAATTTATATTTTTATGTGGCCAGGATATGATCAAAGACAATTCTGAGCCTGAATAACTTGCTGAATAGGGATGCATTTTTTGCCTTTTTTAAAAAGAGGAGAGCAGTAGATTCAGAGAAAGGTTCCTGGCTTGGGGAGAAATTATTTTTGAACTTCTCTGGTTTGAAGTATACATTGAGTATATAGCTAGAGTTGCTTAATAGGGAGATGAACATATGGTACTAGAATTAGAAGAAGGGTGGGTATCAGTAATTACCTATTTTTGCAACTGTATCTACAAAGATAATAATTAAAATGATGAGATTAAAAGAGATCACTAGGGCAGAGAGTATAAGAAAGGAAGAAAGATAAGGAAAGAACTTTGGTGAATACCTCATTTAAATATAGAAATAAGAGTTATCAGAGAAGCTGGGTGGGGTATTTATGCCGAAGCAGTGTTTAGAAAACTTATGGAAGAGAAAATTTCAGGAAAGAAAGGGTTAATCAGCAATCTAAGTTTTTAAAAACTTTTGCGAATTTGTTTTTATTGGGGTATAAGACATGGGTTGGAAAATGTCAGTTTGGGGTATGCACTTGTCTCCAGGAAATATCTATCCTCATCTTCCCGGGATGATTTTTGGAACTTTTTCTCTTTAATGGAGCTGCTCTTGCTGCCAGCACAAGTTCACTGCTGGCTGGCTCCTCCTTGGAAGATAATTTTCTCCTTTGTTTTGGAGACACTTAACAAGTGGATTAAGGATTTAAAAGTAGGTTATTTGATTTGTTGGCCTAGGTTATATTGCTGATGCTGCAAGAATAATTTTAATAAAGTGGAAAGGACAAAGTTCATATTGTAAGGGGTTAAGTAGTTCCTAGGTGATAATTAAATGTAGTCAAATTTGTATAGATTGCAGTCTTTTCAAAAGTTTAACATTGCTTATTTTTGTCTTCATAATATTAAACCAGGTCTATCTAAAATTTTAATATCACATGCAAGAAGCATTATCATTTTGTAGCAGATTTTTAAAGCTGTTATTTCAGATTTTGAACTGATCAGCATGAGACAGATTTTCTTTAGAACCATTTTTGTTCTGGACAAAATTCAAGCTGGATATTACTGATTACTCTGAAATGCAAATAGTGCTATTTTGTTTTACAGCTATCATTTAAAAAGCCATGTACTCATTAAGATAAATATGTGCAGCATGAACAACAAAAAAATGAGAAAGAAAATGGACATTATTTGTATTTTGTAGGCTCTCTGATATGGAACTGAATGCACTAATCTTCAAATACTAATGAGCAGCAAAAAGCAATTTGCCAGTGCACAATTAACTTCTGACTGGCTTCTGTTGATATGTAGTGCTATAACCCCACACCAGGTGAACTTCCCATTTTTTGAGATTTTATTTGACCAGTATTTATAATTGTGGCCAAATAATGAGATGATTATTATGAAATAATGTTATGTTGGAGTAAATCATACTTACATGGAGCTCTTATTATAGTTTCTCTATTTAATTGTCTGCCACCAGGGCCTTGAGCTTTTATTTTCCTCTTTCCCCTTCTGCTCTTCTTGCCTTTTCCCATCATTGAAGAAACAAGGGCCTCCCTCTCAATTCTCAATTTGGAAACCTGCTAGTGGCATGTCTTAGTTACAAACACTGTGTTTTATATCATGTGGTTATGTTCGTCACTTATCTCTTCTTTCTGTTAACTTTTATTCTATTACTGTGTCATGTCATTTATATGTATGTACGTGTAGATACATATACATGCATATATATTTACATTCAGATATATATGCATCCCCCATGCATGCATACATATCATACAGTAGTGGAGAGGAGGTTGTAAAGCATAAAGTTTACCTGTTTTGCTCATGGTTTATTGAGGCAGATTTTGTCCCTTAGCTCAGATGAGAAAATCCCTACTCCACAGTCATAAGCTGAAATTCTCAATCCAGCCAGATATTTTGCAAATGTGCCTCTGGTGCCTGGGGAGATTGAGTTAAAGCATATATGGCTCAGTGAGACCAATCATTGTGATTGGCAAATGAACTCAAAACACTATCTTAGTAATGTTAAGGCAGTTGGGAATTTTATTTCCACAACATGCAAACTAATACTCTGAATGAGTAGCAGATTGGAATATGGTAGGAAACTTTGAAATTGTGATTCTCAAATAATTTAGCCTAATGCTTGTTTCATAGAATTATGAAATCTTGTTTATTGTAAGGAACCTTAGAGGATCATCTAATTTAATCACTTTTTCTAATGCAGCGGCACGTTGTATAATACCCCTGAGAGGTAAATGTCCAATGACATGGAATTCCTTACTTTGTCTGGGCTCCTGCTGCATTGAAAATATATTCTTTGTACTTGGCTGGATGCGGTGGCTCACGCATGTAATCCCAGCACTTTGGGAGGCCGAGGCAGGTGGATCATTTGAGGTCAGAAATTTGAGACCAGCCTGACCAACATGGTGAAACCCTGTCTCTACTAAAAATATTTAAAAAAACAAAAAAAAAGAAAAAATGACCCAGGATTATAGGCACCCGTCACCAATCCCAGCTACTCATGAGGCTGAGGCACGAGAATCGCCTGAACCCAAGAGACAGAGATTGCAGTGAGCCAAAATTGCACCACTGCACTCTGGGAGACAGAGTGAGACCCTGTCTCAAAAAAAAAAAAATATATATATATATATATGTGTATATATATATATGTATATATATATGTGTGTATATATATATGTATATATATATGTATATATATATGTGTATATATATATATATGTATATATATATGTATATATATATGTGTATATATATATGTGTGTGTATATATATATATATACACATATATATATATATATATATATATATATATATATATATATATATATCTCACTTCTTCATACTGAATTGAGATCTGTCCTCCTGTCAGCTCTCACTCAGTTCCACCATGGGGGCAATACAGAATCTGAGATTTATCTCTTCCTCATGACAGTTATTTAAATATTTGAAGCACTTTCCATTTTGTTTACTTTTCTAAAGTACTTTTCTATGGTACCTATGCATACTTTGTTAACCATTTCTTGATTGCTGACTCCTCCAGAATGTTGGTTATTCTCTCTTACTTATTATAATTTGTCAATGCCCCTTCTAAAATGTCATATGTTATTTAACCTAATGCTTCAAATAAAGTTTTACCTTTGCATGATACAATTGAACAATGCCTTATACATTGTAGGTTCAAAGGTCAAATCTTTGAAGTATAGGTTCCCATCCTAAATTATTGATGACAGTTTTTTAGCTTTTATAGTAATTGCATCTTGCTGTGAATGCATGTTGACTCTGTGGTCAACGAAAAACCTCATTCCTTTTTTTCTTTTATTTTTATAAACACAAACTGCAGTCAAGTTAGATTATCCCAAATCCCGGACCTATATAAATGATTTAAAAAAAACTAATTGTAAGATTTTCATTTATCCCTGATAAATTTAATTTTTGTTTGGTTTCAGTTCAGCACTGCTACCCATTACAAAATTTTGAATCCTGACTCTATCATCTAGCATATTCGCAGTCCCTTTGGGTTTTGTGTCATTTGTAAATTTAACAAGTATACCTTCAAACAGCTTCTTTTAAGTCACTGATTTTTTTGAAAAAGGAACAAGAAATGCCTGCAACTAACTACCATAAACCTCCTACTGGTTGACACCAATCTAATTATTAATAGCCTTTTAATTTAATTTTTAAACCAAATTAAAATCTACCCACCTGTACTAATATCCAGTTCTTATGCGTGTTCCTTTCCCACAATGGTATCCACAGAGAATTTACCCAAAATAAAAATATGTTATGCATTTACTTTCCAGTTGATTTTCTCTAAGAAACAGTTGCCAGTAGTTTGGCATCAGTTATTTTACATAATCCATGCTACTTCTTGATTTTTAGCATGATGATTTATAAATTTATGAAGACTTTGGGCATACCCAAGCATGAGGCAGAGTTGGGAGTGCTTCATTTTCTTTAACACAATTGAGAAAAGTTGATATTTTTATCAAGACATTTGTTAAGGAAGAAACAGGGAAGGTATAAGAAATCTAAATAAACTGGCTTGCATACTACAGGATTCTAATCTCCCTCTAGCTAATGCAGCCTACAGGGCCTAGCCCATTCCACATAGAGACCTATGGAAAGTGAGGGGCTTTGCCTTGACTCCTCATTTCCACTATTTTGGTCTGCTTCCATGTTTTGAGTGTCATTTGATACACATCATCCAAGATAATCAGTCTGGATTTTATGACTGTTGAATATAGTACAAGAAAAGTTATGTCCTTTTGCCTGTTTACGTAAGGACCACTCTCTTAATTCCTGTTTCTAGAATGAAAGAAATGCCTTTTCTCAAGTTGATTGTTACCAGGAATGACTTCATATTGTTTGCGAGATTCCACTCTATCCATATGCTTGTGGCCTTTTCCCATACAGAGTCAATAGTATAGTAACTTAATACAACCTACTATCATGGAATTCATTTAGTAGGAATTATCAGTTTGTAATAACAGGGAATATGGGCACAAATTGCCACTTATTCTGGAGAAAGTGATGAGAATGTATTAGAGGAAGGAGTAGGGATTTAGGGATTGAAGACTAATTAAGTAGCCTTTTTTTTTTTTTTTTTTTTTTTGCAACTGTCTCTCTCTGTTGCCCAGGCTGGAGTGCAGTGGTGCTCACTGCAACCTCTGTCTCCCGGGTTCAAGTGATTCTCCAACCTCAACCTCCCTAGTAGCTGAGACAACAGGAGTACACCACCATGCCCAGCTAATTTTTGTATTTTTAGTAGAGACAAGGTTTCACCATGTTTGTCAGACTGGTCTTGAACTCCTGGCCTCAAGTGATCTGCCTGCCTCGGCCTCCCAAAGTGCTGGGATTACAGGCGTGAGCCACCATGCCTGGCCTAAGTACCTATATTATCTTCCATATGAAATGTGATGAGTACCTTAACTAGTTTGTAGCAATGTGATTGAATTATAGACAGTTCGCTGGTAAAAATAGGCAAATGATAAAATATAAGAGACTGGGGAATATAATAATCAATATAAGTAAGGAGTTTTTGGAAATCAAAAATTAAGAGAACTAAAGTGTTTGTGTTACACTTGGGATCATATAAACAGAATGCTAATGAATGAATTGTAGGTTTTTAAGGGTTATTTTCCAAACTTAGCAAGGTAATTAACATATCATGCTAATACAAATATTAATAGAAATATAGATATACTTTGAGCAGCCTGCAGCCTACACCTACTTTCCTAGAGCTATTGAGGTTGGAGAGCAAGGTGAAAATGATGGGTTTAGATTTAGTTCTGGATTACTCTGGGTGAAGATTTTAAGCATGTAGTTAGAAGTTTTACCTGGAGAGATATTTGGAAGTTGCCAAAAAGATAATAGGTAAATTCAAAGAAAAGTCTTTGGAGTAGAAGACGAAGATTGCAGATAAAATCTTAGAGAATAATGCCTACCTTTAGGATGGAGGTTGAAAAGAACTTGCCAAGAAAGAGTTACAAAAGAAAAGGAGGATAACCAAAATCTGTGCTTTATCTCAGGAGCCAAGAGAAGAAAGCATTTTTAGAATACTAGGGAGTAAAACAACACCATCAGTGTCCACAGAGAAATTGAGAAGAATAAGCTGCTATCAGGCCTTTAAGTTTGGTGGTGACATAGTTATGGAGATATTTCATAGAAGAGGTTGAGGAGACTGGGAAAGGTAGATTGGAAGGGCTCACTTAATAGAAGCAGTAGTGGAGGAAGCAGAAGCAATGGACCGTCCAATACGAATAGTCATGAAGGTAAGGAAAGAGCTTTACTGTTTCTTCTTCCCATTTAACTGATAGCTCAGTAGATAAAAAAGGAGAACAAGATAAACTTATTTGTTGAAAAATTACTAGAAGTTTGTTATATTGTTTAAATTGATTTCAACTTCAGACTGTTTAATAATAAGTACATAGTTTAACCACCATAGGAATGAATTTGAGTTCTTTGCTCTGTATAACTTTAATAACAGACAGATGTTAGTCTTTCAGCAAAGAAACAAAGGTTGTTCCCTAAATTACTTTAGATTTACAATGCAATAGAGCATTTTAATTACATTCATATGTGCAGACTTTTAAAAAATAATTTTTAAATGGTTTATTATGGTAATAGAAGCACATTTATGCCACATCATGCAACACGGAAAGCATATTCTCTCTGTTGAGTGGTGTAAAATGTTTGTGGCTTTTGCATCTCACATTTCTTGCTTTAGAAGTGCTACTGTCATTTACATTCTCTAGTAATCCAATTGTGAATTTTATGGATATATATGAGCATGTGAGGACAGGGTGCCAGTGGAAAGCTAAGAAAAGGAGAAAGGTAAATAACAGCCAGAGAAGTTGGCAAGATTACTTTTTCTTCACCGTGCCAAGACAGCTATTTTAGCTGAAAATGAGGAGGATGGGAGGTGCACAGGAATTTAGTTAGATATAGAAAGAGAAAAGCTGGGCAAATAATTCAGGTATGTAAGCAAGTTCAAGAGATGAATGAAGACATTATTCTGATGTCTGAAGAGCGGAGGTTAAAGGAAAGGTTGACTAACCAAAAAGCCTTATGTGAACCCAGGGTAATCAATAACTGCGCTTGATTAGAGGTCTTGTAGCAGTGGTATATAGAAGAACAGAAGAAAGATGTGGCCCCCAAGGTCGTATTTACCAGAGAGAACAGTCTGAGAAACAAGCCACAAAAGAATTGGTCTATGAAGCTTTTCTCAGAATCAGTCGTCCCCCCCCCTCCCTCCCTCCCACCCTCCCTCTTCCCTTGCTAAGTAATGGCTGGACACTACAGAAGTACTGTATATTCCTGGGTTTATCTTAGGATATGGATAGTGAATTACAAATGATATTTTAACCCATCTATTGCCATTGATATGTAAAACCATTTTCTTTATTAAAAATTGCCAATCCCTATGTCCAATATTATAAAATTAATGTCTCTACTAAATGAAGAAAAAGGTTAAAAAATAAGAAGCAATTTTTAAAAAATCCCTCTTTTTGCCTAGCCAAAAAGAAAAAGAAAACAAAAAGTGAGTAGGATTTATTGTGAGAAAATGTAACCTTTAAAGCTGGCATGCTGTTTGAGTTACCTGCCTCTGAAGGGCAAGGCCCTAGAGAGATGCTTAACTAGGCAGGTATGATGATTGCAGTGCCCTTAGGGCAAGAGCAAAGGCAGAGATTGTCAACACATAGGCAATAAAGGCTGCCTACTCAAACTCTGGGCACTCTTACTTGGCTTGTTAAGTTGTATCCTACGTGCATGAGTGTTTTGGCTCAGGAGAAAAACTCTAGTGCTATTAGAAAATGTCTCTTTCACATAGACAGTATCAAAACGGCTTTATTAGTCTTAAATAATGAAAAAGTAGCAGAAACAGATTTAGAATTTAATCTCTTGGTTTCTAGGTTTCTCGTCACTTGCTTCACCACTGATGATCTGCTCTGTTTTTCAACCAAATTCTTTGTGAATTCATGGCATTGGTAGCCCCATTCTTTGTGTTTGTACAATGCACTAGTCTCCAGAGTGTGCATTCCTTGAATGATAGAGGTTTTTAGTTATAGTGGCATGGGCCATCACTAGGGTAGATGAACAGATTTGTGATTCTAGGATATTACGCCAGTCCAGATTGGGAAAAGTTTTCAAAGGTTTAAAGGTTTTTCTGCGGGCTGCCTTTGTTTCAGCAGAGTGGAGAGAATTTAAAAACATGTACCCTTAATAGGACCAATAGAGTTTAAACTATATATTGTGTAACTTTTAGAAACTTTTCAAAGTACATATCTTAGCAACTTCAGAAGGATGACATAAGGGTCAGCCTCACTGGGGATGCTGTCCCATGTTGCTCCTTAGTTAGCAAGACATTGTAAATCGGCCAGGCATGGTGGCTCACGCCTGTAATCCCGGCACTTTGGGAGGCTGAGGTGGGTGGATCACGAGTTCAGGAGTTCAAGACCAGCCTGGCCAACATGGTGAAACCCCATCTCTACTGAAAATACAAAAATTAGCCAGGTATGGTGTCAGGCGCCTGTAATCCCTGCTGAGGCAGAGAATTTCTTGAACCCGGGAGGCGGAGGTTGCAGTGAGCTGAGATCATGCCACTGTACTCTAGCCTGGGTGACAGAGTGAGACTCCATTTCAAAAAAAAAAAAAAAAAAAAATTCATAGGTACTGGACTCTAGAAGGTGAATCACTGCCAGTCCTTCCCCCAGTTCATTATCTGAAGTCACAAGGCAAAGTTCTTTCTCCTAATCCCATAAAGTCCTCGTCCTTTCCCCACCTAATTCTGTGTGCAGTAGCCCCCTCTTTCAAATGCTAAGTGGACCTGACTCTCATACAGAGAAATAAAAACGGGCTGGGCGCAGTGGTTCACGCCTGTAATCCCAGCACTTTGAGAGGCCCAGGCAGGCGGATCACCTGAGGTCAGGAGTTCAAGACCATTCTGACCAACCTGGTGAAACCCTGTCGTTACTAAAAATACAAAATTAGCTGGGCTTGGTGGCTCATGACTGTAATCCCAGCTACTTGGGAGGCTGAGGCAGGAGAATCGCTTGAACCTGGGAGGCAGAGGTTGCCGTGAGCCAAGATCATGCCATTGCACTCCAGCCTGGGCAACAAGAGGGAAACTCTCTCAAAAAAAAAAAGAAAAAAAAAAGAAAAATGTATTGCTTCTTGGCCTTTTGGCTAAGATCAAGTGTAGAAATAAAAAATTACACATTTGTTGGATTTGTTCCTTCAGAGTTCTTCCTTTTAAAATCTCTAGTGGGATAGATACTGAGAAAGCATTTTGTATCTTCCCTGGGAAGCAGGCTTAAGGAGAGTAGTCTCACTCTTCTCTCAGCTCTAGGAAAGTAGGTGTAGGCTGCAGGCTGCTCAAAGTATATCTATATTTCTATTAATATTTGTATTAGCATGATATGTTAATTACCTTGCTAAGTTTGGAAAATAACCCTTAAAAACCTACAATGCATTCATTAGCATTCTGTTTATATGATCCAAAGTATAACACAAACAAGATACTTTTTATACTTTAGTTCGCTTAATTTTTGATTTCCATAATATCGTCAGTTTATACTTAAATCTTAGGGAGACAAGGTAGAAGAAAGAAAAGTGACTGGATAGCAGCATGAGCTTTGCTGCCCTCCAAATAAGTGCTGAAAAGATGAGTATGAGTCTACTCTAATCATCTCAAAAGGAAGCAGTGAAAAACTGAACATTAGCATGTTCATGAACCTAATAGTAAAATGGCCACACTGAAACAAGAATTTATCCCAGACAAGACTCTTTGCCTTACCACAATGAAAAATAAGTACTTTTGCTGAGTGCAGTGGCTCACACCTGTAATCCCAGCACTTTGGGAGGCCAAGGTGGGCAGATCACGAGGTCAGGAGTTTGAGACTAGCCTGGCCAACATAGTGAAACCCCTTCTCTACTAAAAATACAAAAATTACCTGGGCATGGTGGCTCGCACCTGTAGGTGCTCGCAGCTACTTGGGAGGCTGAGGCAGGAGAATCACTTGAACCCGTGAGGCAGAGGTTTTGGTGAGCCAAGATTGTGCCACTGCACTCCAGCCTGGGCAAGAGAGTGAGACTCCGTCTCAAAAAAAAAAAAAAAAAAAAAGAAAAGAAAAGAAAAGTACTTTTTCAAAAGTAGAAGTTCTCTTTATCTCTACCCCTAATGCCCAGTAATACCCTTAACACTAATACCTGCTTTTTAAATCCGTGCATATACCTATTTTGTAAAGCAAGAGAGTATCTAAATAGGAGTTGAGCCATAGAATGTAAGAGCTAGATGCGCCCTTAGATTCCATTTGCTAAAACACTGTTCTGTGAACCAGTGTTAACCTGTGAAGTTTTCATCAGCCTGTAAATGATAATTTAAAACACACAGAAATTTAAGCTCAATGTATTCAGTATAAAGAACTACTCCTTTATTCTGAGATTATTTCTTTTACATATTTTTTCATGATAAAATATCCTACTTTTATGAGATGACGGTGATGATAGATGGTAGGAATTTTCCTCTTAAAATAATAGCCTAATTTGGCAGTATAAAAAGTGCCTCCCGATTTTTTGCAGTTTCTGAAACCCTAACACCTGAGAACAACTGGTCTAGTTTGATCTCCTTATTTCATATTTGAGAAAAGTAAGGCCTAGGAGAAGTTAAGAGAGTTACTTAAGACTCACTACTAAGAAATCATGGAATTAAAACTAGAACCTACACATTCATATTCCTAGTCCACAGCTCTGAATAAAGCAACAAATTCCCTCTCTTTTTCCTAAATAATACATTATTTCTTTCTTTTTCTTTTTCTTTTCTTTTTTTTTTTTTTTTTTGAGACAGGGTCTCTCTCTGTCGCCCAGGCTGGAGTGCAGTGGTGCCATCTTGGCCCACTGCAGCCTCGACCTCCTGGGCTCAAGCGATTCTCCCACCTCAGCCTCCTTAGTAGCTGGGACCACAGGTGCTCGCCACCATGCCTGGCTAATTTTTTGCATTTTTTGTAGAGATTGGGTTTCACCATGTTGGCCAGGCTGGCCTCAAACTCCTGAGCTCAAGCAATCCTCCCGCCTCAGTCTCCCAGTATATTGGGATTACAGGCATAAGCCACCGTGCCCAGCCCACATTTCTATTCTTAAATTAACTTGAACTTTGTCAATTTTATTTTTCTTCTTTTACCAGATTTATACTTCCTATATTTTGATGTGCCAGTACTTCATTGGGTTACCTTCATTATGCAGTTAATTTAGTTTCTCAAGCACATTTTAATTATTGATTTCTCTTATTTTATTAAAGTGAATTAAAGGTACATTTGTCTTGCCAAAAATTTAAGGCCTTTTATTGTCCTTGTACTAAGACTAAGTTATCTCCCAGTTGGTATCATTTAATAAAGACATTGATTGCATTCTACTTGGTTGCATTCTACTGGTGCTGGAAAAGCGATTTCATTTTCTGGTGAAGTTTATGCTGACAAGTTGAATGGAAAATATACTTGTATAATACTTTTAATTACATGTTATATGCATTTATTTATTTTGCTCTTTAGCAGGATTTTAGCATCCTCACAAAATATTATATGACTCAAGGAACTACCTACTCACTTTGCTTTCTCTGCTGGAAGTAGGCAATCAAGCCAATTGGAAAATTTAAATCCGTGGATTATGGGTTCTAATTTCTGGCCTATAAATAAGTTAGTTTTGTCATAATATTATATATTTGTATAATACTTTATATAATAAACACTTCTTTATTTCTTTTTGGTATTCAGTGTATCTTTTACATACATTGTCAGGCTTTGTTTTTTCTGAAAACACTGTGAGGACATATTTGCTCACTCTCATTTTGTGGATGACAGACTGAAGCTCAGATGCCTTAAGTAATGTGCCCAAAACAGCAGAACTAGCTAATAAGTCGCAGAGTCAGATTTAGAACCTCAGGTCATATGACTACAAGTCTTGCATTTGCTCCATATCTCTGCTCTACGGTAATGTTTCTCTTTGCATATTAGTATTAAAAATGGCTTCTCCCTTCCCTACCAGATAATGGTATGATTCTTAGTAAAACATCCCATTTCCATTTTAATATCCTAGAAATTTTTTTTTTTTTTTTTGACGGAGTCTTGCTCTGTTGCCCAGGCTGGAGTGCAGTGGCGTGATCTTGGCTCACTGCACGCTCCGCCTCCCGGGTTCAAGCCATTCTCCTGCCTCAGCCTCCCGAGTAGCTGGGACTACAGGCACCCGCCACCAAGCCCGGCTAATTTCTTTTTGTATTTTTAGTAGAGACGGGGTTTCACTGTGTTAGCCAGGATGGTCTCGATCTCCCGACCTCGTGATCCGCCCACCTTGGCCTCCCAAAGTGCTGGGATTACAGGCGTGAACCACTGCACCCGGCCCCTAGAAATATTTTCAAATTGTTGAATTTGTTTTAGTGATTTCACCTGTCCAGATAACCTACCTTAAACATCATGATGAGAGGGGAGGGGAGAAAATAAATAGTATTGTTATAGAGTTTAAGCTAGAATTAAGTATAAAATCATAAACAATTAAATGTGATTAAATGAACCATTTTATAGCTTAACAGTATACAGGCACATATTATTTATGTCAGCAAGAGAAAGAGCCCACATTATTAGGAAAGCCTATTTTTTAGATCATTCAAAATTGTTTCCTAAACTGTATAACTACCTTCCTCAAGGATGGATTTACTTAATCAACAGTTCTGTAATAATTGGTTAAACCATTTGGTTGGGGAGTATGGTCCCAACCTTACCATATTCTAAAATAAATTTTGTAATGATTAAAAAAGCAAAAGCTAATAAAATGAATCAATAAAGGACAACAAAACCTAGGTGGCTATTGTTTAGTCTTAGGATAGGGCTGGGCTTACTGAGCATGAAAGTTTAGGAGAAAACCTCATGTAAATTTTGATAGATATGTGTCACTTGATCAATTCCGTAATTTAAAAAAAGTTATAAACAAAATTAAAAAGTAAATGATATCTTCTAGGAGATAGCTGAAATATATATAACATCAAAATATATTGTATAATCATACATTTGGGGCATCATAATGAATTTTTAATTAAATATTAAAGTGTAACTTCAGCATTGTCCCTTGAAGTATAATTGGAAATTGCCATTGACTAGTCTCACTGGTAAAATGAGAAATGATTAAAAGTGGATAGATTAGGCCAGGCGCAGTGGCTCATGCCTGTAATCCCAGCACTTTGGGAGGCTGAAGCGGGTAGATCACTTGAGGTCAGGAGTTCAAGACCAGCCTGGCCAACATGGTGAAACCCCGTCTCTACTAAAAATACAAAAATTAGCTGGGCATGGTAGTGCACACCTGTAATCTCAGCTACTCAGGAGGCTGAGACAGGAGAATCGCTTGAACCTGGGGGGTGGAGGTTGCAGTGAGCTGAGATCTCGCCACTGCACTCCAGCCTGGGCGATAGAGCAAGACTCCGTCTCAAAAAAAAAAAAAAAAAAAGTGGATAGATTGCTAATAAATGGAAAGTAATACAAAAAGTCTAAGCCCGCACTGGCCTACCATGTTACAAATTTTTAATGTTGAAATATTCTGTTCGACATATTAAAAAAATAAAAGGGAAGCAAATAACATTATGTTGTTAAAAAAAAAAAAAGAAGAGTAAGCATCCATGGGGCAGTAGTAAACGTGATTGTTCATAGAGCAGAAAAGCTTATCAGTAGCTGGGTAGTTAACTTAGAAGCAAATAAATAAAAATGTGTGTGTAAAGAGAACACAAGTTAATTATTTGACATGATGCCATTGTTTTTCAAAATAAAAGCATTCTTTGCAAGATTTAATTGCAATAAATGACTAAAATCATAACTGTATTTTCAAATATGAGAAAAATATGAAAGAATATGACAATGATATCTTCAGAAGCTACTAATTATTGGAAACACATGGGGACAATTACACAGGCTAGCAAAGCTCGGTAGCTTATCACTGGATCCAGAACTCAGAATCAGAGTTGTAGTGATACACATACACACACACATACATACACACACACACACACACACACACATGCACATACGTGTGTATAGTTTTGTTGTATTGCAGTATATAGAGAAAGAACAATAAAAAGGGATTTTTGGTATTATATCTTACCTTTGCTCATTCAGTTCCATGTTACTGCCTTCTTATCTGCTCTGAAGCCAAGCAGGATATAACAGAAGATTGTAGGCATTAGGACATCATCAGATGCTAACAGAAATTTGTTGATAGAAAATATGGTTCTAGTGGTATAAAATCCACAAAACTAATAACGGGATTTGTCATCAAATGTTAGTAAACACAGAAATGGTAGAGATACCAGGAAAGAAATAACATGAAATGCTTCAATTATGAGCTAGTACTGGAAGTTTGTTAAAGAAAAAAAGGGAAAATGTTCACTCTGACCTTTACCAACAATTTCTTTCTAGATTGAAATATAGGAAATGAGCCAGGTATCACTGTATAGTTATTTTAAACGCAATTTCTATATTGAGAGTGTATATTTGCAGCTGGTACATATCTGATTTTCGTTTGGAAAATGTAAATGAAAAAGGGTTTTTATTTCTTTTTTTTCGGTTTTTTTTTTTTTTGAGATGGAGTTTTGCTTTTGTTGCCCAGGCTGGAGTGCAGTGGTGTGATTTTGGCTCACTGCAACCTCCGCCTGCCGGGTTCAAGCGATTTTCCTGCCTCAGCCTCCCAAATAGCTGAGATTACAGACATGTGCCACCACGCCTGACTAATTTTGTATTTTTAGTGGAAATGGGGTTTCACCATGTTGGTCAGACTGGTCTTGAATTCCTGACCTCAAGTGATCCACCCGCCTCAGCCTCCCAAAATGCTGGGATTACAGGTGTTAGGAAGTTTTGAGGAAATACATAAAAAACAATAATGTGTAACTGGTAAAAGAAAATTAAATGAAAGGTAAATACAAGTGAAGGCCAGTTCTTGTTCTGCCATTGCCTGGCTGCTGTACTCACTATACTCATATACTATCTCTATTCCCTCTCATGTGCCAAAAGAAAAATGGTAACTTAATTCATAAATTTATAGTGAGGACTAATTGTGTTCCCCATGAGATGTGTTCTGAGTCACATGGAAGGTTATCTGTACATTCATGTACATAAGTATATACACATATAGACACAAATCATAAACAGAACTTCCTAATACTAAAGAAATTATGTGCTTACATTTTCTATATATGCCTCATTTTAAGAATAGTGCAAATTCGAATATCTTAGGACCATAAGAAGGAGAAACACTGTGTGATTCTTCATCTCATATAAGGTAGAGTGTAAGTTATTCTTATAAACTTCCTTCAGACATCTAACAATCGATCACATATGTAAGAAATTTAGTTAGCCTATTTTACTGGAAGATAATTCTATAGTAGTTCCTGAGCTATATCTGCATTTTAAAGTATATTTACTGTGCCTTGCTTACTATAGATGACATTTGTTTCAGTTCTCTTGTTTACCAGGGGCATGGTAGGGTGATATTTATATATTTGATTTGCAGAATTAGTAGCTTCAGCTTAACAAATGGCTGCTCTTCAGCCTTTTCCCAAGGTTAAGTTTGAAGTGTTCAGGTCATTTTATGATTTTCCTTGACCACAACCACGTTGGCTGTCAAGGGCTAAGATTTTACTAATTTGACCAGGTTGTTCTTTAAAAACCAGTTATTTTAATTCTTTTCTCTATTTCCCCAGCCTTGTGTATTTCCAGTTGAGTAAAAATAAATAGAAAATGCTATTCAGTATTCTAAAGCAAGCCAGTTATGTTTGCATCACTTAGACAGCTTTATAGGACTCAGAAAGAGAGACTGTCAGATTCATGAGAGTCAGCTGAAAACTATTTGTTTCTTTCAAAAGACAAGGGGAATGAATGATTCTGGTGCATGTCTCATGAATGTTGAGAAGCTCATCTTATGGTTAAAAAGAAAAACTCATTAGACGACTCTAGAGAGATATATAAGAAACCTAAGGATTCTGTTTTATTTACCTAAAACGTTCCTGGTCAAATCAGTGAGGTATACTAACAACAACAACAAAATACACACACACACACACACACACACACACACACACACACATATGTGTATATACATATATATATACACGCATATGTGTGTATATATATATTAATATAAGGACCATCAGATTTTAATATACCCTTTAAGCTAAACTTGTCCATTGTTACACGTGGTCACAGAAGTTTTTCTATGAAAACTTACGAAGTGGATGAAACTAGGACTTATTTAATTTGAATATGCATATTATACATATATAGGCACAAATGTATTTTAATTTGTACTTAATGTATTTGCAATTATAATAAATAAAAGTTCATTCCTATGTAAAATATTATGAATTTACAGAATTACCAACAATGCCTTAAGTATATTATTTCTTCTGATCTTTTATTCCATTAAAATTATAACATCTTTAAGCTAATGATCCATGCCAGCTACTGCATTTTTTATCAGTTAGCACAGTGCTGACTATAGACAAGTAAGTACCTGATGGGTTTAATCACATATATTGAACTTCAACTACATAGTTTAAGTAGTGTGGTCTTCTGTTATCGTAAAGTCACAGTGATTTTCCAGCACATTCATTTGATATTTTCATCCCTGTCAGCTCACAAATCCCCTCATACTTTGACAGCATTATACTTTGTTAAGAAAGGAAAGCAGGAGATATCCTTTATATTTCAAATATATTAGGTTGACATGTGAGCCATGGCCAAACTTGATTAAAGGTGAGGGGAAGTGAATGTAGAAAGAAGAATTCACAAGCAGAGAAGTAAGTGCTTTGGGAGGGTGGGGTCAGGGCAGGCAGTGGATGGGAGGAAAAGCACCTAGCCATAAGCTAAGGCATGTTTCAGAGGAAGGCAGTGCTGAGTTTTTCTCTTACCCTATTTTTTATAATCTCCCCTTATAATAGTTAGCCACCCTCAATCTAAGTAATCTTCCCATAAGGTGGTTTTTTTGAGGATTATATTAACATATGTATATGTGTGTGTGTGTGTGTACGTGTGTGTATCTGAACATAAAAACTGATAATACATTTCTTATAAAATAACTTGCTTTATCATGTTGTATAGCTTAAATTGCTTTTATTCCATATATGTGTATGGAATATGTGTATACATGCATATGTACATGTACACATGTATATGTATATGTGTGTATCTGTATCTTTTTATTAATATTTGCCAATGGCATAATTCTACACTCCAGTCTCTCAAGCAAGCATTTATGTAAAGCTTGATCCAGGGATATTTCTTTCTTTACATCATGTTCCTTGCTTCTTTGTTGAAGCAATTTCTATTTTTCCTTCTTTTCTGATCTCCCGCAATGTTCTAGTTCTTGTGAAATATTAGTTTTCTCAGCACTGAAGTTGAAAACTTTCCATATACCAACTGCTGTTTTCAGTTCTGATTTCAACCAGGGCTTGGTGGAGGAGTAGGGTAGGGAAACTTCCTGAAACCTTGTTGATATTAATAGCAACTTAATCCTTTGGCTTCTACTCAGATTTCGATGGACTGTACATTCATGCTCTTATCTTTGAATCATCTGACACTTTTTCAGCCATGAAGAAATCAGAATATTTGGTCTGTTGTATTTCCTTTCTAAGTACTTTTTAAAGGTTACCTACTTTTAAAAGAGCTAGACCAAGTATAGTAAAAGTATACACCTTTTCATTTTGGGGATGGAGGAGCCAAGATGGCCAAATAGAAACAGCTCCAGTCTGCAGCTCCCAACGAGACAAATGCAGAAGGGAGGTACCTAGTTGATCTCATTGGGACTGATTAGACAGTGGGTGCAACCCAAAGAGAGTGAGCACAAGCAGGATGGGGCGTCGCTTCTCCCAGGAAGGCCAAGGAGCCAGGGACCTCCCTCCCCCAGCCAAGGGAAGCAGTGAGGGGCTGTGCTACCCGCCCCAGATACTACGCTTTTCCCACGAATTTTTGCAATCTGCAGATCAGGAGATTCCCTCGTATGCCTGCACTACCAGGGCCCTGGGTCTCAAGCACAAAACTGGGCAGCTGTTTGGGCAGGCACCCAGCTAGCTGCGGGAGTTGTTTTTGTACCCCGGCGGTGCCTGGAACACCAGCGAAACAGGAGAACCATCTACTCCCCTGGAAATGTGGCTGAAGCCAGGGAGCCAAGTGGTCTCGCTCAGCAGGTCCCATTCCCACGGAGCTCAGCAAGCTAAGAACCATCTGGAGTCGAGCTGGGATGATCAAGCTTGGTGATAGGGAGGGTCATCCGCCATTACTGAGGTTTTAGTAGGTGGTTTTCCCCTGACAGTGCTGAGACTGACAGGTTTGGACTGGGCGGAATTCATCACAGCGTGGCAAAGCGGCTGTGGCCAGAATGCTTCTCTAGATTCCTACTCAGGGGCGGGGCCTCTCTGAAGGAAATGCCACAGCCCCAGTCAGGGGCTTACAGATAAAACTCTCATCTTCCTGGGACAGAGCACCTGTGGGGAGGGGCAGCTGCAGGCGCAGCTTCAGTGGACTTAATCTTTCCTGCCTGCCGGCTTCGAAGGCAGCAGCTGATCCTGATAAGGGGGATTCTTCCAGCACAGCGCACCAGCTCTGGTAAGGCTCAGTCTGCCTCCTCAGGTGGGTCCATGACCCCCATGCCTCCTGACTGGGAGAGACCTCCCAACAGGGCTTGACAAATATCTCATACAGGAGAGCTCCAGCTGGCATCAGGCCGGTGCCCCTCTGGGATGAAAATTCCAGAGGAAGGAGCAGATAACAGTCTTTGCTGTTCTGCAGCCTCCACTGGTGATACCCAGGTGAACAGGGTCTGGAGTGGATCTCCAGCAAACTCCAGCAGAACTGCAGAAGAGAGGCCTGTTAGAAGAAAAACTAACAGAAAGCAACAACAGCATCAACAAGAAAGACCCCCCCCCCAAAAAAAACCCCATCCAAAGGTCATCAGCCTCAAAGATCAAAGGTAGATAAATCCATGAAGATGAGGAAAAACCAGCGCAAAAACTCTGAAAATTCCAAACACCAGAATGCCTCTTCTCCTCCAAATGAACGCAACACCTCTCCAGCCAGGGCACAAAACTGGACGGAGGATGAGACTGACGAATTGACAGAAGTAGACTGCAGAAGGTGGGCAATAACAAACTTCTCTGAGCTAAAGGATCATGTTCTAACCCAATGCAAGGAAGCTAAGAACCTTGATAAAAGGTTAGAGGAACTGCTAACTAGAATAACCAGTTTAGAGATGGACATAAATGACCTGATGGAGCTGAAAAACACAGCACAAAATCTTTATGAAGCATACACAAGGATCAATAGCTGAATCGATCAAGCAGAAGAAAGGATATCAGAGATTGAAGACCACCTTGCTGAAATTAGGTGTGCAGACAAGATTGGAGAACATAGAATGAAAAGGAATGAACAAACCCTCCAAGAAATGTGGCATTATGTGAAAAGACCAACTATGATTGTTTGGTATACCTGAAAGTGATGGGGAGAATGGAACCAAGTTGGAAAACACACTTCAGGATATTATCCAGGAGAACGTCCCCAACCTAGCAAGACAGGCCAACATTCAAATTCAGGAAATACAGAGAACACCACTAAGATACTCCATGAGAAGGTCAACCCCAAGACAAATAATCATCAGATTCTCCAAGGTTGAAATGAAAGAAAAACTGTTAAGGGCAGCCAGAGAGAAAGGTTAGGTCACCTACAAAGGGAAGCCCATCAGACTAACAGCAGATCTCTCTACAGGAACCCTACAAGCCAGAAAAGAGTGGGAGCCAATATTCAACATTCTTAAAGAATTTTCATCCCAGAATTTCATATCCAGCCAAACTAAGCTTCATAAGCGAAGTGGAAATAAAATCCTTTCCAGACAAGCAAATGCTGAGGCATTTTGTCACCATCAGGCCTGCTTTTCAAGAGCTCCTGAAGGAAGCACTAAATATAGAAAGGGAAAACTGGTACCAGCCACTACAAAAACGTACCAAAATATAAAGACCAATGACACTATGAAGAAACTGCATCAACTAATGTGCAAAATAACCAGCTAGCATCATGATGACAGGATCAAATTCACACAAAACAGTATTAACCTTAAATGTAAATGGGCTAAATGCCGCAATTAAAAGACACAGACGGGCAAATTGGATAAAGAGTGAAGACACATCAGTGTGCTGTATTCAGGAGACCCATCTCACATGCAAAGACACACATAGGCTCAAAATAAAGGGATGGAGGAGTATTTACCAAGTAAATGGAAAGCAAAAAAATAAAAAATAAAAAATAAATAGCAGGGATTGCAATCCTAGTCTCTGATAAAACAGACTTTTAAACCAACAAAGGTTAAAAAAGGTAAAGGAGGGTACTACCTAATGGTATAGAGATCAATGCAACAAGAAGAGCTAACTGTCCTAAATACATATGCACTCAATACAGGAGCAACCGGACTCATCAAACAAGTTCTCAGAGACCTATAAAGAAACTTAGACTCACACACAATGATAGTGGGAGACTTTAACACCCCACTGTCAATGTTTGACAGATTAACAAGACAGAAAATTAACAAGGATATTCAGGACTCAAACTCAGCTCTGGATCAAGTGGACCTAATAGACATCTACAGAACTCTTGACACCAAATCAACAGAATATACATTCTTCTCAGCACTTATTCTAAAATGGACCACATAATTGGAAGTAAAACACTCCTCAGCAAATGCAAAACAATGGAAATCATAACAAGTCTCTCAGACCACAGTGCAATCAAATTAGAACTCAGGATTAAGAAACTCACTCAAAGTCACACGACTACGTGGAAATCGTACAACCTCCTCCTGAATGACCCCTGGGTATATAACAAAATGAAGGCAGAAATCAAGAAGTTCTTTGAAACCAATGAGAACAAGGAGACAGTGTACCAGAATCTCTGGGACACAGCTAAAGCAGTGTTAATAGGGAACTTTATAGCACTAAGTGCCCACATCAGAAAGATGGGAAGATCCCAAATCAAAACCCTAACATCACAATTAAAAGAACTAGAGAAGCAAGAGCAAACAAATTGAAAAGCTAGCAGAAGACAAGAAATAACTAAGATGAGAGCAGAAATGAAGGAGATAGAGACACGAAAAACCCTTCAAAAAAATCAATGAATCCAGGAGCTGATTTTTTGAAAAGATTAACAAAATAGATGGACTGCTAGCCAGACTAATAAAGAAGAAAAGAGAGAAGAATCAAATAGACACAATAAAAAAAGATAAAGGCGATATCACCACTGGTCCCACAGAAATACAAACTACCATCAGAGAATACTGTAAACACCTCTACACAAATAAACTAGAAAATCTAGAAGAAATAGATAAGTTCCTGGACACATACACCCTCCCAAGACTAAACCAGGAAGAAGTCGAATCCCTGAATAGACCAATACCAAGTTCTGAAATTGAGGCAGTAATTAATAGCATACCAACCAAAAAAGCCCCAAACCAGATGGATTCACAGCTGAATTCTACCAGAGGTACAAAGAGGAGCCGGTACCATTCCTTCTGAAACTATTCCAGACAACTGAAAAAGAGGGACTCCTCCCTAACTCATATTATGAGGCCAGCACGATCCTGATACCAAAATGTGGCAGAGACACAACAAAAAAAAGGAAACTTCAGGCCAATATCCCTAATGAACATCAATGCAGAAATCCTCAATAACATATTGGTAAACTGAATCCAGCAGCACATGAAAAAGCTTATCTACCACGATCAAGTTGGCTTCATCCCTGGGATGCAAGGCTGGTTCAATATATGCAAATCAATAAACATAATCCATCACAAAAATAGAACCAATGACAAAAGCCACATGATCATCTCAATAGATGCAGAAAAGGCCTTCAATAAAATTCAACGTCATTTCATGTTAAAAACTCTCAATAAACTAGGCATTGATTGAACATATCACAAAATAGTAAGAGCTAATTATGACAAACCCATAGCCAATATCATACTGAATGGGCAATAGCTGGAAGCATTCTTTTTGAAAACCTGCACAAGACAAGGATGGCCTCTCTCACCACTCCTATTCGACATAGTATTGGAAGTTCTGGCCAGGGCAATCAGGCAGGAGAAAGAAATAAAGGGTATTCACATAGGAAGAGAGGAAGTCAAATTGTCTTTGTTTGCAGATGACATGATTCTATTTAGAAAACCCCATCGTCTCAGCCCCAAAACTCCTTAAGCTGATAAACAACTTCAGCAAAGTCTCAGGATACAAAATCAATGTGCAAAAATCACAAGCATTTCTATACAGCAATAATAGACACACAGAGAGCCAAATCATGAATGAACTCATATTCACAATTGCTACAAAGATAATAAAATACCCAGGAATACAACTTACAAGGAATGTGAAAGACGTCTTCAAGGAGAACTACAAACCACTGCTCAAGGAAATGAGAGAAGACACAAACAAATGGGAAAACAGCCCATGCTCATGGATAGGAAGAATCAATATTGTCAAAATGGCCATACTGCCCAAAGTAATGTATGGATTCAGTGCTATTCCCATCAAGCTACCATTGACTTTCTTCACAGAGTTGGAAAAAAACTACTTTAAATTTCATATGGAACCAAAAAAGATCCTGTATAGCCAAGACAATCCTGAGCAAAAAGAACAAAGCTGGAGGCATCACACTACCTGACTTTAAACTATACTACAAGGCTGTAGTAACCAAAACAGCATGGTACTTGTACCAAAACAGACATATAGACCAATGGAGCAGAACAGAGACCTCACAGTGTAACCCCACACATCTAAAACCATCTGATCTTCAACAAAACTGACAAAAAAAAAGCAATGGGGAAATGATTCCCTATTTAATAAATGATGCTTGGAAAACTGGCTAGCCATATGCAGAAAACAGAAACTGGACCCCTTCCTTACACCTTATACAAAAATTAACTCAAGATGTATTAAAGACTTAAATGTAAATCCCAAAACCATAAAAACTGTAGAAGAAAACCTAAGCAATACCATTCAGGACATAGGCATGGGCAAAGACTTCCTGACTAAACTGCCAAAAGCGATGGCAACAAAAGCCAAAATTGACAAATGGGATCTAATTAAACAAAGAGCTTCTGCACAGCAAAAGAAACTAGCATCAGAGTGAATAGGCAACCTACAGAATGGAAGAATATTTTTGCATTCTACCCATCTGACAAAGGTCTAATATCCAGAATCTACAAGGAACTTAAGCATATTTACAAGAAAAAAAAAATCAAAAAGTAGGCAAAGGATATGAACAGACCTTTCTCAAAAGAAATGTGGCCAACAGATACATGAAATAAAGCTCATCATAACTGGTCATTAGAGAAATGCAAAACCACAATGAGATACCATCTCATGCCAGTCAGAATGATGATTATTTAAAAGTCAGCAAACAATAGATGCTGGTGAGGCTGTGGAGAAATAGGAATTATTTTACACTATTGGTGGGAGTGTAAATTAGTTCAACCATTGTGGAAGACAGTGTGGCGATTCCTCAAGGATCCAGAACCAGAAATACCATTTGACCCAGCAATCTCATTACTGGGTATACACCCAAAGGATTATAAATCATTCTATTATAAAGACACATGCACAGGTATGTTTATTGCAGCACTATTTACAATAGCAAAGACCTGGAACCAACCCAAATGCCCATCAATGATAGAATGGATAAAGAAAATGTGACACATTTCCACCACAGAATACTATACAGCCATAAAAAAGAATGAGATCATGTCCTTTGCAGGGACATGAATGAAGCTGTAAGCCATCATTCTCAGCAAACTAACACAGGAACAGAAAACCAAACACCACATGTTCTCACTCATAAGTGAGAGTTGAACAATGAGAACACATGGATACAGGGAGGGGACCAACACACACTAGGACCTGTCATGGGGTCGGAGTCAAGGGGAGGGAGAGCATTAGGACAAATACCTAATGCATGCAGGGCATAAAACCTAGATGATGGGTTGATGAGTGCAGCAAACCACCATGGCACATGTATACCTATGTGACAAACCTGCACATTCTGCACATGTATCCTGGAACTTAAAGTAAAAACAAAAATAAAAAAAATTAAAAATGAAAGTATACACCTTTTTATCAGCATTCTTTAACTCTGTCTCTTCCAAGCTACTTCTAAAAATGACATGTTGTAAAAAGACCAATTTATTTAAATATTGGAATGATTGTGAATATAGTTATCATGAGGTCCTAAAATGCTGTTTCATTTTGATTGTGGAGGTTAGTAGGGAAAATGGATACTTATGTCATAGGATCTTTTACGTTGAAAGACTTGGATCATACATGAAAACATATATAGAGGCATACATAATGCATATAATCAGATGATCAATTTATAATATCCTTATATCTTAGCCATATCTATTGTAATGCTGAATGATAATTAAACATTCATTTAGCATTTGACACATCTTACGCTCTGCTGAGGTTATGCTAAAAGAAATTTTTTTTAAATTGATGAAGATAGTATGTTTGACAGAAAAAAATCAATATGAGTGTACCTATCAAGGGGCAGGCAATGCTTTTAAAATGCTGTGGGTCAGGAACACTCAGGCGTATATACTTGTGACATATTAAAAGCATCCTTTCCAGTAATAATATCGTTTGGCAGAATTATTTTAATGGCCTGTGATCCTGATTCTATAATTCTATTACCAATTACCTTGACTCTGCTTTCAAAAGATGCTTTAAGTTTTAGATTCTGGTATTCTGATCTCAGTATCTCGTAGTGACCTCCTGTTATCTACTCACTTGCTACTGCCAGTGTCATGGACCATGAATTGAACCTACTGTTATCTTATGGAATTTTGGCACTCTTTCTAATCAATCCTTTGTCATGCTAACAGTATCTTTATTGTTGTTTTTGGCTAAATTAATAGCTAAACTAGGTATTTGCATGTTTTGTCTAATCGCTTATGAAGAAAGTACTTTACCAATATTGTGAAAAATGTTACCAGTCGTATAGCTTTAATGCCATGTAACAATGTTTACAGCGTTCAATTGAAGCACTTTAATATTTTAAACCCAAGTTAGATTGAAAGTACTCATTCAGCAAGCATTTTAGGGATTTTATGGACATCTTTTAAGATCGTCTGTGGGACGTTTGTAACAACAGTAATCGCAAGAATGGCGATGATGATGATGATGATGGCAGCTCACATTTATTAAGCTCATAGTATATGTCAGACTCTATTCTAAGGACTTTATATGAATTAATTCATTTAATCTTTACCAGAACCTTATGAGGTAAGAACCATCCAATTTTAGAGATGTAAATACTGAGGTACTAAGCAGTTAAGTGACACGCCCAAAGTTAGAAAACTAGGAAGTGTCAGAGCCAAAATTGGACCCCCACTTTTTTTCATGCCTCTGATTGAGATAGTAAGATTTTGTCTTACCTTCTGCCCAGTATTTGATTAATAAACCTTATGGAGCTTCACAAAAGTAATATTTTCATTAAGTGTTGCTTGTCAGTCATGATCCATATATGCAGAGGACTAAAGAGTGTGCAATGATGATTGATTTTTGTACTGAAATTCTTTCTTTTATTTTGTCAAATGAAGAAATTTGTCACAAGAGTGAACCGGGGCCAGGTGCAGCAGCTCGCGCCTATAATCCCAGCACTTTGGAATGCCATGGTGGGTGGATCACGAGGTCAGGAGTTCGAGACCAGCCTGGCCAACATGGTGAAACCCTGTCTCTACTAAAAATAGAAAAATTTCCCAGGCATGGTGGAGCACATCTCAGGAGGCTGAGGCAAGAGAGTCACTTGAACCTGGGAGGCAGAGGTTGCAGTGAGCTGAGATCATGCCATTGCACTCCAGCTTCAGTGACATAGTGAGACTCTGTCTCCCCCCTGCAAGAAAGAAAAGTGAATCAGCATGGAAATGAAAACGTTCTAGTGTCTTTTCTTGTAATTATTTTTTATATCCATCCATCCATCTGGAATTCACTGTGTGTCCAATACTGTAATAAGTGATAAGAATATAATAGTAAACAAGACATGGTCCCTTTTTCAAAAAACATAATTGAACTCAGGAAGAGAATAGAAACCCATTTATCCTTGTTGATTATATATTCACCTACCTGAAGGCAGATTAACTCTGAAGGAGTCAACCAGTTCTGCAATTTAGATTGTAAGAATAAATTTTGCTTCAAAATAGAATTTAATTTGCTTAATTTGTTTCAGTCTGTTTTCAGATTAACTTGGATCTAATTAATGCATTAGCTACTATTAGATAAGGAGTGCTTTTCTGTGTTCGCTACTTTTGCCAAAAGGGAATGACTGACAAAATCCTATATAAATTTAAGGTAGAAAATAGTCTATTTTCTGTGGCAATATATATTTAGAAAGGAATGTATAGACTTTCTGGGTGTTTTGAGATAATAAAATATTCTAACAAATGTTCTTACAAAAAATATCTTTTGAGTAGGATGCTCATTCTGTTGGCCCAGAATTAAGTGGACTATTATGTAAGCCTTTGCATTATTTCAATTTTTATCACTTATTTTTTAAACAACATTAAGGCAACAAAAGGATGTTTCTGATATCCCTCTCCCAGTAATGTAAGGCAGCGGTGAGGGGTTTTTTTTTGGTCATTATTTTAAGGTTCTTTTCCCCAGTCTTTATCAATAGGTAATGTTTATAGGTCTTCATTTGCATTTATTACCCTTAACTTTTTAAAGTATGATACTCTTTCTATGTTGCTACCCTTACTACATAATCATTTCTAATTATTATGTAATCCTGACTCAAATTGATGTACCAAAATCATCAATCAGTCTTCTATAGAGCACAGAGACCTCAAACCTTTCATTATTAAACATAACTTAACATTTTCTGTCTTCATGTATCTTTTTATCTCCTCCCTTTGATTATTTCCTTTTAGATGTACCAAGATCTGTAAACATTTTTCTACTCTTCAATTTTCTAGAAAAATTGTTTTCCAGGAAGATTGTATCAATGTATACAATCATCAGGAATAAATAAGCATATGAGTTTCATCACAGCCTCAAAAACAGTAGTTTTATGTATTTTATGTTACTTTGACTTCCAAAGAGGGATAGCAAGAACTGCTCATAAAAACAAGCAAATGCCCAAATTCAATAAAATATAAAAGTAAAAATGAGACATTTTAAAAAATTGTGCCAATACATATAAAGTGGTAAGCTTTTTGTTATAACTTAAATTCCTATGACTCTGAATGAAAAATATTTTCCTTTTTTAATTAACTTTGTCACTTCATTTGTGAATCGACTTCATATGTCCTTCGTCTATTGATTAAGATCAAATTTTAACCCTTTATGTAGCTTGAATTCTTTATATAACAAATATTTGTTGCAAATGTTTTCCTATTCTGTTTATTTTAATTACAGTTAATTATAATTATCAAGAATTATAACTATGACTTGATATGTTTGTATGTTGAAATAGTAAGGTACTTATTCTCACTTAATTTTTAAGTGAACTAATTGTTTTGGAATCATATATATTAATTGAGTCTATCGGAACTGATACTCTATACTAACTGCATTTTATTGTTAGGACCATTTATAATCCTCTTCTTAATGATTTTAACGGAAATCACTTCTTTTTTTTATATTTATAAGCATTTAGTATATTAATCTGAATGATGAATACAAATTCTTTATTATTCTGTATACCTTTTGCACATCTGAAACATAGTATTATAAAATAAAACCTTAGCTTTCAAAGTCATTGTCTCTGTTAAGGGCTTGACAATCCAAATTTGGAGGTCAACAAATAAGCATTGACTTTTCACTCTTCTTTGTAATTATACTATAATAATCTCAATTTATGTCAAGGAAGTGTGGATGACTCTAACTTTTGGAAAAACAAATTACCAGGTAGTATAAAGTGTGCAAAAGAAAAACAGATTAATGTTTCAAGATATTATTTGACCTCTTTTACACATCCCTTACTACTGTTGACACACTTGACTTTGATATATTTCTTAAATCTTTCTTTCAGAAGTAATCAAGTTATTTAAGAGGAAACCTTTCGATGATAGTGTTTGTTATCTCTGTGTTCATCTATTTATCAGGAAATCACTTCTTAATTAGTATAGCTTTTAGTATATCTTTTGGACATGTCACCTTTATTTTCATTTCTGTTATAGGAAAATGTCTTGAGTTAAGTACATACCCGAAGCTAGAAATGTCTCCATTTAAAAAATGTATTCTCTATTTTGTTTTATCCAGCATTGTATTTTCCCTGGCTTTGTTCATTCTGCTGTTTCACAAACACTGTGTGTTTTTATGTGGTTATAACAATGATGAGACATTGACTTATGGAATTAACATAGACACATGGAAAATATTTTATGGTACTGACATAAAAAGAAACCAGTTCTGGGCCATGATTGAGACCGGGAGCTACTGAGGTTCAACAGTTTCTATTCCACAGAGTGCCATTTTGTCCCAAATGATTGATGACATTCTCTTGCCCTATTCTCCACAGATTATAAGAACACTGTTGCAATCTAGAGCTTCTGTAGATACCCGCTTCATTAAGCATGATCCCAAAATGTCATTTAATTTATTTCTTAGATTGAATGTCTCATTAAACTTTGATGAGGCCAGGAGCTACTTTGGGCTGGACTTGTTATGAAGCACTCTTATCTTAAAATTTTGTTCTGTCCCTGTTGGCAAAGGAAATGGACATGACAGTGAAATCAATGCACAGTGCACTTTATCTTTGACAAACTGAAATATTGTTTTGCTAAAATAGGCCCATGGGGTAGGGAGATTAAAATCACACATAAAGTAGATCAGCATAAAGAGTAAATATACAAACTTATACAGTCTTTGGTGTAATTTTATTTTGTTTAAACTGACTTTGCCCCATTTGGACAAACATAACACATCTACTTGATTAAACAAGGTACTGATCTCCCTCAGCCTCATTTGAAAAGAAACATTTTCTTCTTTTTAGTTATAAGAAGTGAATATATATAAGATGAAGTCAGGGCATGAGTAATGTTCTATCAGTTTTTAGTAAGAGGTATGTCTCAATAGTTGTGTTACTCACCTTGTGGAATAGGTTGTGTCAAAACAAGAAAAAAAAAACTAATAGTATTTGTATTTTCCCTTTGGTGTCCATTGTAGAATCAGGAGCATAGTCATAGATTGGTATAGGCGGGAGGTGGAGAAAAGCAGGTGATTCCTTCAGTAGACCAAAGTGAAAACAACATTCCTTGCAAAAAAGGAATTTAGACATTGGCCAGCCCTAGGTCATGCTGGGCATTGGAGTATAATTTTTTGATGCTTCCTTAGGTTTGGAATCACCATCTTGCAACTGATTTTTCTCTCATGGCTCCTGCATCCTGCCATGTTGCCACACTGCACACTTAGAACATGAGTTCCACCCCTGTGTATGCTTCCCTTGATTCCACACCAGAATTTGCCAGCTCTTCTTTGATCTTTCCTGAGTCTTTATACAGCATATTAAAGAGCTGCTCTGCAGTCTAACTCTGAAAATCAGTAGTGTCATCTAGCATATTTTATACTGTTGCCTAAGATGTCTTGGGTTCGAAGGTTCTCACTTTGTTAACTGCCAGTTTGCTACCTAATCAAATTTGCAACTTTGAAGATTGCCCTTGTGTACAGGGTTAATGTCAGATTTTTAGTATTAAAAAGAAACGACTAAGAAAATCACAAAACAGATACCTATAATAAAACAATTGTCCTAAAGGATTATCAGCCTACCTCCATGTCTGATAACAGGGCAAGAAAAGAAAATCTGAGACCATTTCAATATGTATTTTGCTAATATCTTGAGATTCCACCTTTCCATGGAATGATAAATTTTAGTTCTAAAATCATTTAGAATTATTAATGTTATTTGAGACAATATGGTATGCTCTTCTTTATTGTGCCTTCTATTGAAAATAAAATATCCCTTCAGCATCTAAAATGTCACTTGAATTAACACTGTGCAATAGCAATAGGAGTAGATAAAACTGTCAGAAAATGACTGGGCAATGAGACAATTATTGCAGTTTATTTTATCAATCTTTATTTCAGAGCATGTAAAAGTAAGTAATGATTTTGAGTCTCCATTTTGTGGGTTATTTGAGAAAAAGATATGTTAGAACCTTTCGGTTTGTGTTTTTGGTATAATCATAAGCTGCATGATTTGCAATGCCTGATTTTGGTTCTACCTTGTTTAAATAGCTTAGTTTATATTATATTAATTTTAATGTAGCCTCAACCAAGATCCTATTCTTACCTTTCTCACTAAAAAACTGTATAGTATTAAATAATGTGAATCTTAGGGTTTTTTGTTTTTTTTTTTTTTTTTTCAAATTGTGGTTGCTAAAAGATACAAGCAGTGTTGGGTGAGTCAGGTCATCCATGGGATTTAGTCATAGAAGGACCTGATTTTTATTTCTTCCTCTGCAAGTAACCAGTTATGTGATATTAGACATGTTTATAACTTCTTGAGACATTAGTCTCCTCCCATAAAATAACTGTAATTGTCAAAATTGTTCTATTTAGGGTGTTGCTAAAATTAAATGAGGCAATCTGCATAAAAACCGTGCTTTTTGCATACTCAGGAGTATGTGATTTATCACATTTATGTAGCTTTTAAAATTTGTATGTAAGAAGTCATTGGTTAAATAGTTGAAGTTTTGGATATTTTTATCATTATACAATCATTATTATGGTTTAATTTTGTATATATGCTTTAAAGGAATGGATGATATGTGTAGAAAATGCAGTTTCAGTTTGTGGAACTTAGAATTGTTTTTAAAATGTGGAATTCACATGAAGATTTGATAATAGATCAATGTTCTGTTCTCTGTAGAAATTACATCATTATAGGGAAAGGAATTGCACTTGTTTTTGTTGTTTGAGTATATGAACTTTAACAAGGCAACCTGAGACTAATTTCTAAGATATGAGATGAAAATGTGTTAAAATAATAGACATATTTCAGACTCTGACTTCAGTTGAAAACATAGATCCCATTTTTATTTCTCCAAACCAGAGGAGGAAAGACTGCTTCTTTCCTATTTTTTTCCCTTTCTATGCTATTCATCATAGCCTCTTAAAAATGCTTCTGTTTTCACTTGTTCCCAGATTAAGAAATGTGTTTTCATTGAAATGTTAAAATATGCAGTGTGTCACATTTTGGGTTAATATCATCAAGACAAACAACTAAGCCAGTTCTTTATTTCCTGTCAAATTGCTGTTAGTTACCAAAGCCAACTAAATACTATTATATGTCATGTTTTAGAATTGTGCTTTGCTTTATCAGATACTAAGATGCAGCATACTGGTTTGCATCTCTTAGCAATGTTTCCAAAACCGTAACTGTATTAAATATTAGTAAAGGGCTGAATGTACTTAAGCAATATACAAATGTACTCTTGATTTACTGTAGAGAATAATTTTGTTAAAATGGTTGTATTTTCATTTTTATAGATTCAATAGATAAACAGTTATTAAGCATCTATATATCAGACACTTTGAGAGTACAGATAATTTTGTGTAGTACCTGCCATTCAGTATCCTACACATAGTAAGGGAAACAGAAATCTGAAGAAGTAAATTACCATATAGCATATTCACTCATATTAATATTAACCTCAGTGCTATGGAGTACAGTGGACATAGCAACCACCTCTGCCTGTTCAAGTCCAGGAAATCTTTACTGAGCAGCTGGTTTTAATCTTGATCTTTGAGGATGAGTAGGAAATTGCCCAGTAAAAAAGAAAGTGTAAGGGCGGGGAATTGCATGTGCAGAAAATTGGAGTAATGAAAGGACCCTAACATCCATATACTAGGGAGTAGCTAGTTATAGGGGCATAAAATCAAATCGCTGCTACTTGATAACTTGAAGACCAATCTTCTGTTCTGACATTCCATAGATCAAACTTATATAATTGTCTAATTTGAAATTGTACAATTGTATAATTTGAAAACGACATGTTTTCAGTGAAAAGTAAGAACAAAAACTATTTGTTTTATCTGTGTGTGCATGTGTGTATAGTGTTAAAAGTTGTAATGTCAACAGGTCATGGTGGCACGCACCTCTACTCCCACCTACTCAGGAGGCTAAGGCAGGAAGACTGCCTGCGCCCAGGAGTTTGAGGCCACAGTGAGCTACAATTGTGACACTGTACTCTAGCCTGGACAAGAGATCTCATCTCTAAAAATTAAAGAAAAAAAAAAAAGTTGTAATGTCTTCATATTTAAAATTTTCTTAGAAATTTCCTTTAAAAAAAAAATGGGTCCTGGCTGGGCACGGTGGCTCATGCCCTGTAATCCCAGCACTTTTGGAGGCCGAAGTGGGTGGATCACCTGAGGTCGGGAGTTCAAGACCAACCTGACCAACATGGAGAAACCCTGTCTCTACTAAAAATACAAAATTAGGCGGGCAGGGTTGCGCATGCCTGTAATCCCAGCTACTCAGGAGGCTGAGGCAGGAGAATTGCTTAAACCCAGGAAGCGGAGGTTGGGGTAAGCTGAGATCGCACCATTGTGCTCCAGCCTGGGCAACAAGAGCAAAACTCCGTCTCAAATTAAAAAAAAAAAAAAAAAAAAAAAAATCCTAAATTTTAAAATGACGATTATAAACTTGAGTATTGATTTTCTGTTTTCCTTGAGTTAGACAGAGTTTTTTTCTGACAATAATAGGTACAGTTTAGATAAGAAATGCTTAACTTAGTCAAATTTTAGTAATTTCAGTAATGAAAATGATGGAGTTGGTTTAGTCTCCTATAATCTTGCTTAAGAAAAAAATCCCCTGGTATTCAGTTTATATATAGCATGCAATCTAGATGAATAGGTTTAGGTTTTGTTTGGTTTTTAATAACAACATGCATAAAGGAAATATAATGATCTCATCAAATCTGTCTCCTTCTGAGAGACAGTAGCCTACTGGTCTGCCTCTCAGGATCCTTCTAATATAGTTTTCTTGGATATTAGGTGGTTTTGTTTCATTGAATCTCAGCAGTTTATTGCTTTAGAGGCTTTTTACTGAGTTGGGTCAACATTCCACATTGAGGAGATTTTTCTTTCTAATGCAAGAATTCAACTGTTATTAACAGTGGTATGAATCATTCATGTACACTAAGAAGGAAATAGGTTCCAGTTGTTTCAAAAACTGTTAATTTCTAGTTCTAACCATCGGTAGCTTTGTGAAGTGAATCATATCACTGTCTGTGGAAAAGAGAAATGGGAATTAAGTTATTTGCTCACCATCAGCCATGTCATTATTGAAGATGAAAGCTAAGGAGATAAATCCTCCACTCAGTTTTCTGTCATTTATCCAATAGGTCTTCATATGCCCCTTTAGCCATGAGACTGCAAGGTGGTGTGGGAACCTCCGTACTTTATATTAAAGTCTGTTAGAGAAATAATGGGAGTTTGGCTACTTGTTTGTGCCATTAAGACACTGCTACCCTCTGCTGCCTAAGTTAATTACATTCCAGTAGTGGGAAAAAAATGCATTTGCCTATATAGACACCAATGGAAATAAACATATCGTTCATACACTTACAGAGAATGTACGTGTACTGTTGAGAGTGAGGAAAAATTGTAGTTTATAGCTGACATACTTTAAAATGCTTTGTTTCTAAAGATGCAAGTGCGAAATTGATCCAATATGTTCAGCAGTCAAATATTGAGATCAAAATTGCTCTATTTCCTTTATTCGTGTGTCCGTTAACAACCCTTTCTGATAATGTCAGAGACTTATTCACCGGCCTCAACTGCCGAAAGAATTTTAAACTAACAGCCGATGTATCAGTCTAAGGACTGGTAGATTTACTTGAGAAATGTTATGTATGGTGTTTCTTAGCTATAAAAAACTATGTATCCTGTTATGTAAATACAGATACTATTGAGGCCTTTGAGGCCTCAATTAATGAATCTTCTGTGGGAAACATCTTTTAAAATGATGGTGACTGTTGAAGATATTTCTTATACAAAGGAGTGTCATATGGATTATACGTAAAATTGTTAACTCATACTACACATTTTCTTCGTTTTTATTCTTCATTATTTTTGAGACAGTGTCTCTGTCTGTTGCCCAGGCTGGAGTACAGTGGTGTGATCACAGCTCACTGTAGCCTCAACCTCCTGGACTCAAGGGATCCTCCCACCTCAACCTCCTGAGTAGCTAGGACCAGAGATGTGCACCACCATGCCTGGCTAATTTTTTTTTTTTTTTGTAGAAACTGGGTCTCCCTATGTTGCCCAGGCTGGTCTCGAGTTCCTGGGCTCAAGTGATCTTCCCGCCTTGGCCTCCCAAAGTGTTGAGATTACAGGCATGAGCCACAGCACTGGGCCATATTTTCTTTAAGAAAGCAGTATATTTTTGTTAAGAGAAGAAGGGGGTATATAGGAAAGAAGAATCAGCATGTAACATTTGTATGATCCTGACAGAAGAATTACGTGATATAGGTAAAATATACCCATCCATTAAGCCCCTTCTCAAATGCTGGCCCTTCATTGGCAATACTCCTAGTGGGGGCAACAGTATTTTCTTTTGAAATGTCAAACACTTTTATTGTAATTCTGCTGTGGCACTTATCGATTTTCCGCCTTGAACTATTTGTTTGCTTGCCTTGTCTCAACTACTGTATTAGAGTCTAATTTCAGGAAGGAGGAATGTGGAGAGATGTAGGACAGAAACTTCTGCCATACCTAACATAGTATTTCTGTCACATAGTAAACACTTAGTACTATGTATGGAATTGAATTTAATAATATTAATTGGTTTAGCATGAAAAAAATTATGCTATAGTGTGAGTTAAAGAAGCTAAGAAGGACAGAAATAAAATAGAAGGAGAAATATATTTGATGCTGGTCTTCCAAGTTGCAATAAAAAGAGCTGAAATTATGCCCATCACCATTACCTTCCCTGTGCCACTCTTGTGTTTATCAGTACAGAGGGTCAAGGCCACATTTAAAACTATGGGACTGTTGCGTCTCACTTCAAATTCATCTGGTTTCCTTGGGCCGAATGGGAAAGATTGGTAGTTTAACTCACTGTCATACAAACTCCAACCCCTACTTAATTCCGTTGGTCCCCTGCTTTGGAAGCTCACCTGCTGCAGTAAGAAAGGAAAAACTGTGCCTCTGTTCCCCAGTTTTTTGTAGATACTTAACCTGCCACCCTCATGATCACATTCTAAAGCTGTTCTGCTGGCAGTCCTCATGTTCTGCTCTGAATCTGCCAGCTTCATCACTCCCATTACACTCTCCCATGTTTCAGAAAGCCACTATTCTGTCCATGCCCTGAGGGAAGGAGAGTTTTTTTCCCATCATTTTATTCTTGTCCCCAAATAATCAAATATTTCCTCACAATTTCACATAGGTATTCATTCATACATTTTAGAAATTTAAAGGCCGGGCGTGTTGGCTCACGCCTGTAATCCCAGAACTTTGGGAGGCAGAGGCAGGCGGATCACGAGGTCAAGAGTTCAAGACCAGCCTGACCAATATAGTGAAACCCCGTCTCTACCAAAAATACAAAAATTAGCTAGGCATGGTGGCAAGCGCCTGTAGTCCCAGCTACTCGGGAGGCTGAGGCAGAAGAATCGCTTGAACCCAGGAAGCAGAGGTTGCAGTGAGCCGAGATCGTGCCACTGCATTCCAGCCTGGGCAACAGAGCGATATGCCATCTCAGAAAGAAAAAGAAAGAAAGTAACAACGCAAACTTATTTTTTGAAAAAGAAATTTAGAATTTCTTAAAATTTAAAGCCAAGACATGCTCTAGGAATACAAAGAAGAGAACTCCTAATTTCTCCTGTGAAAATTTAGGACATGCTTTTCTTTTTTTTTTTTTGAGACAAGAGTCTCGCTCTGTCACCCAGGCTGGAGTGCAATGGAGCAATCTCGTCTCACTGCAACCTCCGCCTCCCAGGTTCAAGCTATTCTCCTGCCTCAGCCTCCCAGGTGGCTGGGATTACAGGTGCCTGCCACCACACACAGCTAATATTTGTATTTTTAGTAGAGACAGGGTTTCACCATGTTGACCAGACTGGTCCCAAACTCCTGACCTCAGGTGATCTGCCTGCCTCGGCCTCCCAAAGTGCTGGGATTATAGGCATGAGCCACCGCGCCCAGCCAGGACATGCTTTTCATGTGAGATGACATTTGAGCTGGTTTTGGAAAGTAACACTATAAAATGCACATGTAATGAACACATATGTAACAAGTTATTGGAATGATCTTAGTTGTTACTGAGAAATCTCAATTATATGCATTTTATTCAACTGATTTTTATTAATTTTAGCATCTTGATCTAGTAGGAAAAATCAAATACTGCCTGCTAATACAAGAAAAAAAAAATCAAACCAAATACAGTTGTCCTTTTGTATCCTTGGAGGAACTGGTTCTATAACTGCTGGAGATACCAAAATTTGCAGATGCTCAAGTCCTGATATAAAATGGCCTAATATTTGCATACAATCTAAGCATATCCTCCTGTATACTTTCGACATCTGTAGGTTACTTATGATACCTAATGCAATGTAAATGCCATGTAAATAGTTGTTATATTGAGTTTTAAAAATGTGTATTATTTTTTATTGTTTTGTTATTTTTATTGATTTTCAAAAATATTTTTGATCTGCAGTTGTTTGAATCCATGGATATGGAACCCATGGATACAGAGGCCTGAATGTAGATATTCTAACAGTAAATTTTCTTATCTGTGAGATACTATAACTCATACTTAAAACAATAAGTTATCTGGGCCCTTACAAATACAGACCTCTGGTAGAGAGTCTTTAGAGAAATTATTAAACCTTCATATAATTTGTTGAGTGTACCATGAATATGTTTTGTGTGTATGAAATTAGCAGAGTAGCATAGGCTACGTTGTGGATGAAAAATGTTTTATGTGCTTAGCACATTCCTCTGAAAGCAAGTCATGGAGAAAGAAATATAATTATTTCAATAGAAAAAATTTAAAACTCTGCTATATTTTAATATTTTAGTGATTTATATGATATAAGCATACATGCACTTACGATTTTGCTTTTTTATTTCTTTTCACAAGATTGAGAAAATGGAGCAACACTTCACTATTTTTCTTATAGGGATAATATGGGCAAATTAAATGTAAATTGTTGACTCTGAAGTGAGGGGATTATTTTTGTTGCTGTTTCAGGGAAAACATAAATAAAAGAAAGTGAATAGATGTTATTTCCTACTTTAGAAAGTTTGAAAAGTAAAGATAAAAAAGGAAAATTGTACCTATATCCATTAAGTTTTATAAGTGCTATAATGTTGCCATTTTTTTCAGAAAATCATATTTTAAAGCCACATCTTAATTCTTAGGAATTCTCAGGTAAAATTATAATAAAATTCATTGAATAAATATGATTAAATACACTAGCTTCACATGTTCCTTTCTTCAGGACTATCAATAATAAAATAGATGGAAGTACAGCGCTGAAGAGAAACTACCCTGGCAAAAGTATATGCTTACCCATAGTTGTAGCTTTATTGTTTTCCCAAGATAGACTTTTCATATTTCTGCACCTTCATTTTTCATCTTACTCACCAATTGCATATCTTTTATAGATGTCAGAATGATTAGATTTAGCGTCTGCAAAATACTCATCGTTGAGAATTATAGACCACTTAGAAGATTGGCAAGGACAAGTTAAAACTGAAAATAGGCATCTCAACAGGCATGCAAAATCATAGCAGTGATTCAGTAAATTCTCAGAGATATTTCCCTTTTGTGATAGGAATGGGGGGATAGTTTATATTTTGAGATTCTTTGCAGAATAAACACTGGGAGCAGAAAATTACACCTATATTTATTGCCAAGCTGCATTTGTTATATAATGCATTTTCCTCCTCCCTAGATGTACCCCACCTTCTGTCAAAATGTTATTTCTTTGGCTATTCTTTGTTGCATGTAGTTCAGTTCAGGCCTGACTCCTAGGATTCTGCAGGTTTTTTTGTTTGTTTTTTTTAACTTCCCACCCAGGGAAGTGAAAGTTCTGTTTTAAAAATTCCTGAATGTGTATAAATTTCATTCTGACAAGCCCACTTTTTCAGTATGATTTTATCAGTGCTTACAAGTTTTAGAAAAAAAAAAAAAAGAAAAAGAAATCTCAGATGACCTTTAATGTCATAACTGAACTTGGGTTTTGAGGAGAGCAAAGAGAGCAACAATTTGAAGATGTAGGTTTACTAGTAAACACTTCTGTTCCACCATCTGCTCCCCCACCACCCCATCGCAGATTACAGTGGAATGAGATACCAGGGTGGGGCCAGAGGGGCCGTGGTAAAATGGGGATGAGGTGAGAGCAGGGAAGGTGATGTGGGAGCAGATGGCAGCTGGTGAAAGAGGCACTCCATGGCACTGTTGGCATGGTTACAGAGAAGTAGATGTCCTAACATGCTGTGCCAATTTTGGAATGTTTCAAACTCTACTTTGTAACTTGTGGCCTCAAACTAAACTCATTGGCTGTGTAGAGCTTCTCCTGTGACAAGCAGTTCCTATAAAAGCATTAGTTTAGTTATATTGTCTAACGGCTGCTTAAAATATATTCGTGTGTGTTTGTGCGTGTGTTGTAATTAATCTATGGAAATGTAAAAATAAAGTATTTACTGTCCTTGGTCTCCAGGTGAATAATAATTACTACATATTAACAACCCTGATAATAATATATATGTAATAATGAAACAGTTTTGCTGTACCATCTATTTGTGTAACAGGAGCAAATATTGTTAAAAACAGTTCATTGGATTTTGTTGTTGTTGTTGTTGCTTTACATCAGTTTATAAAAGTCATATGAGCATTTGCCTGTCTCATCTTTAGATGAATTTTTGTTTTCCATTAAACAAAAAAAAAACCGAAATGGCCTAATTTAAGTTGAACTAGGTCATTGACTAAAGTCTTATTTTTGTCTAAAAATGCATCCATTGCAAATGTTACTGCCATTTCTAGTGTCTACAGTGTCCTTAGAGGATATGCATAGTGAGTTGATTTGAAAAGTTTTTGGCCATATGGCATGGTTGAAGCAAAAACGTATTGTGTTAGGTCAAACCATGTGTAATTGCTGATGCCACACAATTTTTTTAAATATAAAATATAAAATAGCATTTTTTTGTGGTTCAACCTGATATATACATTTTTAAATTCCTTATTCTGAATTTGGGTAAAAATAAATAATAACTTATAAAACACGTGTATGTATATTTGGTCTTGCAGCTAAATAAGATTATATATAATTTTCCAAATCTTCGGAGAGTCCAGCTTAATTAAAAATACTATTTGCACAAATGTTGCGGTTTGTCTCTGTAGAAGCTCTGAGAGCATTCATTTAATTTATTAACCCAAGTTTCTCTTGCTAATACATTTACTCAGAAGTAACTCTGCTGTACATAAAAATAGTTGATTCAATAGAGAAGTAGCTAAACAATTTTTTGTTGTTGTTGTTAAGTAAAGGGATTAATTCATGTTAGTCACTGGAATGTCTTGCTTAAAATTTCCTCCAAAATTTTTTGTTCAAGTTTTCATTACACTTTTCCCGCAATTTAACAAAAATGATTTTGCTCCTTCTTTTTTTTTTTCCTGAAACTGTTTTTAGAATGGAATTAACTGATTCTATAAAGTACACAAATGATTGGTATTAAATGTCTGTCTCTTTAGTCCACAAGTGTTTAGTTTTTTGAACAGAGATGAAAATTGAATTGGGCTTTGTACCAAAGATTTATATTTAGATAAAGTTATTCCAATGGTATTCAAAGTGTTAATTGTATTTCTACAGCAAACTTCATCGTATTACACCAAAGCAAATACCATATTTGAGATGCATCTCTACCACATTTAGTCTTGTTCCTTCATTTTGTTTATTTCATTATTTGAAGTATAAAGGGAGGGTCTAGATGATGATGATGATGATGATGATGATGATGATGATGATGATGATGATTGAGATGGAGTTTCGCTCTTGTTGCCCAGGCTGGAGTGCAGTGGCATGATCTCAGCTCGCTGCAACCTCCGCCTCCCAGGTTCAAGCAATTCTCCTGCCTCAGCCTCCCGAGTAGCTGGGTTTACAGGCATGTGCCATCATGCCAGGCTAATTTTGTATTTTTAGTAGAGACGGGGTTTCACCATGGTGGCCAGGCTGGCCTCAAATTCCTGACCTCAGGTGATCCACCCTCCTTGGCCTCCCAAAGTGCTGGGATTACAGGCATGAGCCACCATGCCTGGCCCAAGTCTAGATTATTGAATAGAAAAACATGATCCTGAATGACAAAATGTGTCTGACCAAAGTAGATTTACCCATGCACAGAAATCGAAGTCAATTTTTAGTGATAAGACCCCATATTAAATATGAATCATGTCTTGGATTTCTCCTAAATTCGCTTTAACATATAATGTGACATAATTGTTAAAGGAAGGTCTGAAAGTCATATAATCCGTCTTTATTCATTTTCATGCTTAAACTAACACACAATGCTAGTATAATGTGACCCTTTAATTCTGAGATAATTTTCTGGAGATTATAGTTTGGTTTGTGGTTTTTGTTTTGTGTTTTATTTGTTTTGGGGATGGGATCTCACACTGTTACCAAGGCTGGCATGCAGTGGGATTATCACCACTCACTGCAGCCTCAACATGATTGGATCAAGGGATCCTCCTATCTCAGTCTCCTCAGTAGCTGGGACCATAGACCTGTGCCACCATGCCCTTAAGCTAACATTTTATTTATTTATTTGTAGAGATGGAGTCTCCCTATCTTGTCTAGGCTGGTCTCAAACTCCTTGGCTCAAGCAATCCTCCCAACCCAGCCTCCCAAATTGTTGGTATTACAGGCTTGAGCCACTGAGCCCAGCTTGTTTTGTCTTAAAGTACAAAAGGATCTCTTGTCCTTAAGTGTTCCTTAGATCTGAGTCCAAAGCAAATTTTCCTTTTTTCATAATGTTTATTTTAAATGAAGAAATTTGACTGTTATATATATGGCTCAAATTTTTACTCTAATTTCTAGATTGTTTACCTAAGTATCCTATCACTATTTGCAGATTCACTTCTAACTCTCCCTAAATTTCAGGCCACTAGTAGTGTTTTTCATGTTTTTTCAAATAGGAATGATTCAAATCGACTTATATCAGCTTATGGTTTTTTGACTGTTTTTAACCCCCCACCAGTTTTTGGGTAGAAAATGGTAGATCATTCTATACCATTTAAATTCAAACATTTTTAATTTATCTTAGTTTCTGATATGTTTTCATTTACTCGATTACATATTTCTGCAAATATAATTGAATATAAGTCAAAATATCATTTTTCATACCTTTTATACTTCCTGTCTCTATTTTTTGCCTTATATTTTCTAATTTTCTATATTTCTAATTTCTAGGGCAATTGATATTTAATAAACATTCTCTATTGTGTAGTAAAGCTTGTATTTCTACCGATTTAAATTAGTAATATCCTATTAGTTTAAACAACTTTAAACCATATCTCAACTTTTCATAGTTAGTTGTTTTGGGGTCAACTATGAATGAATAGAAGAATCTTTGTATTAGCAATTCAAGAAGCAGCAATTATGTATTTCTGAGTTTTTTGTTTTTGTTTGAGTCTAGTTCAAAGTAGAGAAAGTTATTGTTTACTGTTTTTTTAGTTTAAAATTAAATGAAAAAGATGGATATGTCTTGAATATCAAGTGGAGTAGCATGTACTCAGAAAAAGCAACCATTTCCTGACCAAATTAGACCCTTATTAACGATAGCACATGATGCTGTTTAATTTGTTTGGGGTATGCTCTTACCCCAATTGTTAATTGTCAGTTTCTGAAAATAATCAGTTTTCAACATTTCACGGTTTTTCAATTAGGCTATGGCAACAAATGCCATTGTTGCTAATTGCCAGAGTTTAGTCAGTAAAATTATGATATGGTCTTTCTTTAACTATTATCAGGTCACTTAGTATCTGCTTCATCTTTTTACGCTTTAATAAACTAAGCAGAAGATTGAGATCATTAGATATCCAACTGTAATTTAGCACTGTCAAGATTAAGGAGGGGATTATGGTCATTAGGAGCAAAATGGTTTCATTTATGGACTGAGAACAATGAGGCCCATCAATAAACCACTTTCTGCCTCTAATGATCTTACTTCTCTCTAATTGTGTGCTAATCTAACAACAAACTCATTTTCTTCTTTCATTCTTGAGGGAAAGATTGCTAAACAGAAATGCTTTGCATATATGTTGCTTTTACTTCCTTAAGTTTTGGTGTGTGTTCATGAATGCAGTAAATTATTTCTAGGTGAACAGATATGTCTCTTAAGGGAAATATGCTATGTTCTCTTCTAGTTTATCAACATATTTTTGACAGAGGAATAGATTTTCTGTGATTAGATGTGCTTTATTATTAGTACCATCTTAATCCTTATTTGAGTCATTCATTGTAGAAAGAGATCTGTCTTATAAAATTACCAACTCAAAATATCTAAGTGTGCTAAGAATCGAAAATGATCTCAGTAAAGTGGGTCATAAGGGATATATCTCTTATTGGGCTGTCTGCCATTCTATCACCTTTATGATAGAAGTTCTCTAAACCCACCTCTTTGTAGCCACATTCCTTGAGAAATCAATGCTTGCACTTCACTGAATTTAACATGTTGACTGAGGCCCAAGGCACTCTGACTGTTTGCAGCTAGTAGAGGATCCTTGAGTACACCCTGGTACTTCTGCTCTCAACATTTGAGATTTTGGCTTATCATGAATCAATTGTGCTTATTCTCCAAACCTCCCTTATGTGGCAGTTGTACTTTTTGGTGCAGTTATTTACTCTAATTAAATATTATGTGAACCAAGAAATGGTGCTTAAAAAAAAAACCTTGCCATTTATGCAAAAATGATGTTGACTGCTTGAAAAATACTTGCTAAAGTCATTTTAAATTTACTCTCTAATTAGGTGTGCGTAAACAAACTTAAATGATAGGAACTCATTCCAAAAGCCTTCTCTAATTAGATTTCTTCATGAATGTTTAAATTCTAGAAACTTAATTCTAGAAATCAATCTAGAAACTGGTTTAGAGGGTACCCTTCGTGTATGGGTTATATGCAAGGAAGGCTCTGCAGATACCCAACTGGAGCCTAACTCACATAGGATACCTCAGCTCTACATCAAAAAGGGTAGCAAGTGAATATTATTTATACTTTTTCATTTAAGATTTTAACATGTATATCATGTCTTCTGGATACCTACTTTAACTGACCTCTTTGATTAATTGACCTTGCGTGATTTTCTAATTATATTTATTAGTCATGCTTAGTGTATTAAAAACTTTACTGCTGCTCACTCATATCCACTAGAAATGTTAACTTCATGTTCTGAGTCCATCATTTCTCTCCTTTCTACAACATAGAAATGGACCTATTGGGTGTTTATATATTGAAATTTTTTTTCTCAACATGACCTCAACTCCCATAAGCTATTGTCATTTTACCCAATTAATGTATTTTTAAGAAAAAAACCTAAATAATTGAAAGCATCTGTCTTGTTTCTGTTGTAAATATTATGTTATCAATAGTACACAGACTATCTGCAAAAGAGAATCTGATGATGACCTGCACATAATTTTGTTGGCAATCTTAATTTTAACATCAGAGATAAATATGGAGGGCTTCTGGTGGTGCCTAAGCATAGTAGGTCCTATGAGAAAAAATATTACACAGCTGCTCTAGAGGAACTTACATGCTTATTGAATAGATAGGATTAACAGATAAGATGTACTTAGCAGGATAAGAGACTCAGATCCTTATGGTGCAGGGCAGACTATAGATTTTTTAGGCACTAAGAGAAAGAAGAGCTAAAACGTGTCATTATAGTACCACCTCCCAAATGTTACCCATATCTAATGAGTGAATGAAAGAATGGCCCAGGAAGACTTGGAAGTCTGTAGTTGTTATTAATGGAATGTTCCTTCCACTGTAAACTGGAGTGTAAGATTGTAAAAAATAAATACGGCATTAGGAATTACATAATATGACTTGAAACATGCCAGGACTTGTTTCTGAAGATTGAGGAATGAGTATACGTTTTTTGTTTTTTGTTTTTTGTTTTATTTTGTTTTGTTTTGTTTTGTTTTGTTTGAGATGGAGTCTCACCTTGTTGCCCAGGCTGGGTGCAATGGCGCGATCTCGGCTCACTGCAACCTCCACCTCCCAGGTTCAAGTGACTCTCCTGCCTCAGCCTCCCGAGTAGCTGGGATTACAGGTGTCTGCCACCAGGCCCGGCCAATTTTTTGTATTTCTAGTAGAGACAGGATTTCATCATGTTGGCCAGGCTGGTCTTGAACTCCTGACCTCAGGTGATCCACCCGCCTCGGCCTCCCACAGTGCTGGGATTACAAGCATGAGCCACCTCACCCAGCCGAGTATATGTTTTAAAGTATGTAATGTAAATACTCAGGCAGTCAGTGGAGTCACAGGAAAATTCCCTCAAGGACTTTAATCAGCAGAAATGTTTGTGTATTTGTGTGTGTGTATATATATGTATATATGTGTGTATATGTGTATATTCCAGTAGTTACAGTTAATGTATATGTCATAACAATACAGAAAATGTTAATATTAAAATTTATGTCACCTTTATTCATTCACCTAATATAATCAGAATTGACAAAACATGTTAGCTATTCATGGCACTGAATGGAGTATTCTGAGCACAGTAGGAAACTCACAAAATTGGCCAGGTGCGGTTGCTCATGCCTGTAATCCCAGCAGTTTGGGAGGCCGAGGCAGGTGGATTGCCTGAGGTCAGGAGTTTAAGACCAGCCTGGCCAACATGGTGAAACCCTGTCTCTACTAAAAGTATTTTTAAAAATGAGCCGGGCATGGTGGCAGGTGCTGGTAATCCCAGCTACTCGGGAGGCTGAGGCAGGAGAATTGCTTGAGCCGGGAGGCAGAGGTTACAGTGAGCCGAGATCACGCCACTGCACTCCAGCCTGGGTGACAAAGCAAGACTTCGTCTAAAAAAAAAACTCACAAAATCAATAAAGCAATGTGGGTCAACAGGATATGTGAATATTATAAGGATATTTCCCTATTCTATTCATTTATTATTTAGTACTTCACATAGTTTATTCTTAGCTGATTAGTGATTAAACCATTAGATAGTAATATGTTTGTTCATTTCACCCAATATATATTTACTCCTACTTTGTGCAACACAATATACTAGGCCCATTGAGAAGTACAAAATGTACCCCTTACCTTCAAGGACGTGACAGAAATATAACTTTTTTGATAAAATGATTGCAAAAGATTTAATCAGGGTGACACTAAGAGAATGCTTTTGAAGACTTATCTCAAACAGGTCTTAGTTTATTCCAAGTCTTACAAAGTCAAAGTTGCATAAGTCTTACAAAGTCAAAGTTGCATAAGTCTTATAAAGTCAGAGTTGCAAAGTGAATAGTGAAGCAAATCAAGAAGATTTTTTTAGATCATATAAGAAAAGGTAATAATCAAAAAGTAAAATCCAGTTGCTGAATTTAGGTTAGTTAATATAAGGCATGATTATGTAAAACTGACTGTAAAATTGAGATCCAGTTTTTAAAAATCCAAGTTATTTGTAGGCAAATGTTAAACAATTAAAAAAATTTTTTTTCAATATTTTTGAGACAGGATCTTGCTCTGTCACCCAGGTTGGAGTGCAGTGGCACTATATGAGCTCACTGCAGCCTCCACCTCCCAGGTTCAAGTGATCATCTCACCTCAGCCTCCCAAGTAGCTGGGACCACACGCATGTGCCATTATGCTATGCTAATTTTTAAATTTTTCATAGAGCCGAGCTCTCACTATATTGGCCAGGCTGGTCTCGAGTTTGTGGGCTCAAGCGATCCCCCCGCCTCAGCCTCCCAAAGTGTTGGGATTACAGGCATGAGCCACTGTTTCTGGCCCTTAAACTATATATATAATTAAATCCTGCCCCTGATTTTATATTAGAAAATTCAGCAGGTGCACGCAGCAAATCTTAGGGGGAAAATGGTAGTTTTCCTAATACTTAAACTTTAGCTGCAAATACATGAGGCCCTGGATCCTAAAATCATTGGGGTCATATGCTAGATTCTGTGTGTATGGTAGAAAATTTGAAAATACTATTTTTGTGGGGAGAGAATTCATATAGAAAATGAAGTCTGTTGACGTATGGTAAGTAAGACAGGCGAAAAAAGTGTTTTGCAACTTCGCTTGTTGCTCTGATACTACTCATTAGTGTATGCTCACTTTTTTCTTTCTAAGATCATACCCTTTATTAGGCAGCAATATTCTTCTAATGGAGAAAAGAAAATGAGCAGTTTACAATTATGTAAATAAGACATAGTTTTTTCTATTTCTGAAAAGTAATAGAACTTTTTTCCCCTAAATGAATAAAATCTCAAATAAAATTAGAATCCCTGTACCTCACTACTCATTAAAGGGTGACACTAGTAACAATTTGTAAAGAGGAAACTGTAGAAATGCAATAAAAGAAGATTATCTTAGCAAAATTGAGATTTCTCTCTGTATGTCATGCTAAAAATGTAGCTGAGAGCTGGTCTTTGCAAGATCAATGTGGGATCTATGCATGAAATGTGATTTGCATATTTAAAGAAACAGTTTAAATCATAGCTTATAACCCATGCCACAGAGAGAAAGAAGTAATGTAATGCTGTTGTACCCTTGTCCATCTATGTATAGCTGAGTCCATGTGTGTGCCAAAAGGGCACAGGTGCACTTTTAATTCCCCAGAGACAATAAGGCTGGTATGTGGGGTTTATAAAAGCTTTTCCTTTTCATGTTCACCATGGCGATTGTGACTATTTTTTATATTTGGGATAGCACTGCCATTTCCCACTAATTTGTATTAGTTAAATGTGTTCAATTCTAAAAACCTCTTGATTCATGTTCAGGATGTTAGTCATATTCATTAGTTTCTAATTGCATTCTGTAACCTATGGTAGCTCTGGGGACTTCAAATGTAATTGAAGGTTTTAATTTTAACTCATTGAATCAAGTAGTGATATGGTGACATCAGTGTCTTAAGAATTTTTTTTTTCTGGAAGCATTATGTGATATGGATTGAATGCATGTAGAACAGTTGCAGTGTTCCAACCTTTAGGTGAGATGCACTTCCTAAAAGTGGCAATTGCAATGCACAGACAAAGGTGGATGCCAAAGGCATTTTGAAAATGATTGATGAGACTTGGTGACTGGCTGGTTATGGTTAATACAAAAGATAAAGAGTAAAAGCTAACTCTGTGGTTTTAAGCAGTGACAGCTGGAAGAGTAGTAATGCCACTGGGGAAAACAGGATAATCAGAAACAGATCTGGTTTCTGGGAGAAGGTGGTCTGCTCAGGTTTGGATATGATGCTTATGAAGACATGGGACACTCAATTACATGTTTAATTTTATGTGAGACTAGAAGACCATTCCTCAAATAAAAGATTGGGGTTTGGGTATAGAGATTTGGGCTTATATATAATAACAATATAAGATTTCAGCTTATATATAATAAGATATAATATATTGTTATTATATATAATAACAATATTACATCTTATTATATATAACATATTATATATTATATATAATAAGATGTAATATTGTTATTATATATGATAACAATATATAAGATTTCAGCTTATATATAATAGCAAAAGCCTTGATGTAAGAGCAATGCATTAAGACAGGGTTTATAGAGAAAAAAACGCGTTTATAGAGATCTTGGGGAATGCTTCCATCTGAATGGTGGGAAGGAGAATAGAATGCAGCAAATGAAACAAAGGAAGAGCTGTCATCTTGCTCTATAAAAGTATTTAGCATGAAAGAGATCTCTATTTGGAGTTAAAGCAGTATTATGGTATTGGCCTCAAACAATTTTTCCATGTGTCAAGTAGTAATTTCTTTTCAAATATTGATAAGAAATCTTCACAGATATTACAATAAATGTATTCAGAATTCTTATATACTGTGGGTCTGAAATCAACCATAATTATTTTTATGAGTTGACAAAATTATAATAAATGCAAATATCCTTTGCTGTAGATTAGAGGCATTTTTGGAAAGTTTCCTATGAAAAATATTTTCCATTTACTGGGGTTTTCTTTCTAAATATTCCCTTTATATGTAGAAACTTAAAAGGAAAGAGCCAGAGATCTCTTTTGGCTCCATCCTCCTGCCAAGCACAATTTTCTTATTGCAGCATTTATAATACCATCAACTAAAGATTTTTATATTAAAAACATTTTACAAAGAGTCACAGACCCATTTGTATGTTTTGTTTTGTTTTTAAACGGAGTTTGGCTCTTGTTGCCTAGGCTGGAGTGCAATGGTGCAGTCTCAGCTAACTGCAACCTCTGCTTCCCGGGTTCTAGAGATTCTCAGCCTCCCAAGTAGCTGGGATGACAGGCGCGTGCCTCCACTCCTGGATAATTTTTTGTATTTAGTAGAGAAAGGGTTTCACCATGTTGATCAGGCTGGTCTCAAACTCCTGACCTCAGGCGATCCACCCGCCTTGGCCTCCCAACGTGCTGGGATTACAGGTGTGAGCCACCAAGCCTGGCCAGTTTGTATCTTTATAATGACCCCACCAGATCAGAGAGGCAGGTGATATTATTCCTGTTCTACAGGTATGAAAACTGAGACTCAAAGTGGTTTAGGTGTCTTGCCCAAAGGCATATGTAAAGGAAGCGGGAATTGGGTCTTCTGACTCCAAGACCAGCTTTCTTTTTGCTGTTACTGTGCTGTCTCACATTTGTTATACATTCCCTGAAGACTCCTGTGAGGGAAACTTTAGAATTTCATCAAAGCAAATCCTAAAGGTACATGATAAATTTGTTGTCTGTTTTATTGAGTAAAAATCTGTCTAGTCAGCAGTCCATACGTTAGGTCAGAGGTCTAAAGTAATTGTTTACTGGGCTTTTTTGGATACATTCTGAGGCATATTAATTCTTTCAGGCTTTTTTTTTTTTTTTTTGAGTAAATTACTCTTGAAAGGGTTCTTATTGGTACCCTCTAGAGGTTCAGAAGAGTTAATTGGCTTACAAAACATATGTGGATCGAACTTGGGGAATAGTTCAGTCATCTCTTAACATCTGGATGTACTGTTTTATTATTTTACCATTATGTATTTGTATCTGAAAACTGCAGCCATTTAAAAATAAATATGGTAAGTAAACAGTATGTATATAATTAAGAATAATTCACTGTAGCTCTTCAAGTTTACAGCACTGTTAAAAATAACCTGGTGTATCCATGTAACTTATGAATTCAATGAAATTTAAATAACTGAAAAACAATTTTTACAGTAACATGCCATTCACATTTTGAAAATATTACCAATTATTTTAATATTATCTACTTTGAAAATATGGGAAACAAAATTGTTCATGATGTTTGTGTGCACATCATTCAAAGAACCAAAACAAAATTTTTATCAATCTGCATTCCCTCAGAGAGATAAAATATTGCTCTGTGAAAATCTGATTTTCACCATATGCTAATCATACCCTCTTCCACAGACCTCTTCTCTTACTTCCTCCTGAACATAACCTTCCATCAAAACAAGAAACAACACAAAAACATCCTCCAAGAAAAAAAGAAATTACAAAATACAAAAGCAATTCACAAAGCCAGAAATAAATGTTTATTTAGTTAAAAAAAATAAAAAGATGAATGTTGATGACTTCACCATTGAAAATGATGCCTCAATATACAACTTGGCTTCAAAGATCCTTAGCCTTGATTTGGTCATCACGAGTTATTCTCTCCATTTCAGCTTCCCCCATAGCATGTAAACATCAGACTTTGTCATCACATATGACAGTGTAGCTACCACCAAGATCTCAAGCTCTGAATGTGTCCTTGTACCCACAACCATCCTCACATAGCCCTTGCCTCTGGCGCCTGTTTTTCTGTTGCCCTCATTATGACCTTACCCTTACCCTTCCTCATCTTATTTATTTATTGTTAAGACAGAGTCTCGCTCTGTCACCCAGGCTGGAGTGTAGTGGCGTGATCTCAGCTCACTGCAGCCTCCTTCTCCCGGGTTCAAGCGATTCTCCTGTCTCAGCCTCGCAAGTAGCTGGGATTACAGGCGTGTGCCGTCACACCTGGCTAATTTTTGTATTTTTAGTAGCGACGGGATTTCACCATGTTGGCCAGGCTGGTCTCGAACTCAGGTGATCTGCCTGCCTTGGCTTCCCAAAGTACTGAGATTACAGGTGTGAGCCATCGCACCCGGCCCCTCTTTCTTTTCTCCCAAACTATTTGCTCCCCTCAAGCTGCATTTGCCATATAACCTACACACTGTCTAGCACTGTAGAATCCTCATACTTGCTTCAAGCTCCCCTCCTTTAGCCTTCTGCCGTCCACACCCTGATATTCCTGTTGCTCTGATCCAATCCCAACTCCCGCATACATGACAGAAGTCACACAGTCTACCTGATGGGATCCGTTGTTCCATCATTTCTAACCTTAGCCTCCTAATGGAGTTGGGGTAGCTTTTCATTTAACTCTAATTCTGTCTTTTTCCCCACAACAGCAATTCCAAACTAGGTTTGTTCTCCTCAAATCCCTGAGTCTAGCTACCATATTCCCAGATAAACATCTCTTCTCATTCTTGACTGAAGATGAAAAAATATTCTTTTCATTTACTGCCACATATCTCAAAGAAGACATTACATCTCCTCCTGTTTACAAATTATTTTCTTCCTACTAACTCTTCAGTGTGTTATCATCTGACTGATACTCCCATCAATTTATACGTCTTTGTATTTGGTTGTCTTAACCTCCCTACAATAAAGCTCCATGGGGGCAAAGACAGTGGTTTGTTCCCCTCACTTCCTTGTTTGCTATTGCAGTGCTATGCCATTAGCAGAACTATGTGTTAACTTTCAGGGCCTAAAAGAACTTCAGATACCAGGTTCACCTTGTACTTCCCATACTTGGAAATACTGCTGAACTAAATCTTGCCTTATTCTCAGCAGGCAGTAGAGCATGTTGGTTAAGAACACACATGAGACTTCATAACTTCAAATATTGTCTCTGCCACTTACTAGTTACATGACTTTGAAGAAATTATTTAATCTCTCTTTGTCTCAGGTTTTTCATATGTAAAACTGGCATAATAACAAGATACGTTTTATAGGATGAAATGAGTATGTGCATGTGTGTGTGTTTGTGTGTCTGTTTATACAACACTGGGATTTGTAACTTGGCAACTTCCTGGAATGTACTGGAGTATCATTTTAAAGCCCATGGTAATGACAAAGAGATCAGTTATTTAGGATGCGTTTTGGTCAATTCTAAAAGGAAGCTATAAGATGGGATAATGGAGAATTTCATTTGGACTCCTCCGTGTTATTTTCAGAAGTGATAATTTGGCCATTGAGATTGAATTTCATGTTGCTTTATAGTGGCTGATTTTTCCTTTTATACTGACTGGGATACAGGACCTGGCTTTGAGTTTCTGCATGTGTCTGTTGCTTTTATATTTTATTTATTTAATTTGGGGATTTACAAAATAAATTTTGCCAGCCTGCTTTGATCATAGCTGTCTGTGGCATTGTGCTAACTCAATTAAAAAGTTTTTTTTTCTGTCCTGTTAAATTAACATTCTATTGATACATTCAACAGAATAAACTTATATAATCAATTCCACATTATAGAATTCACAATATACATTTTACCCTCAGAAGGATGCAAAGAATTGTTGTAAGGAGACTCAGTTGCATTATGGTTATAGAGGCATCAAGAAATCCAGAGGCACAGTGGCTCACGCCTGTAATCCCAGCACTTAGGGAGGCTGAGGCCGGTAGATCACATGAGATCGGGAGTTCGAGACCAGCCTGACCAACATGGAGAAACCCCGTCTCTACTAAAAATACAAAAAAAAAAAATTAGCCAGACATGGTGGTGCATGCCTGTAATCCCAGCTACTCGGGAGGCTGAGGCAGGAGAATCGTTTGAACCTGGGAGGCGGAGGTTGTGTTGAGCCGAGATCTCGCCATTGCACTCCAGCCTAGGCAACAAGAGCGAAACTCCATCTCAAAAAAAAAAAAAAAAAGAAAAAAAGAAATCCAGAGGCCTGGTGGTGTATACCTAGGCAATCCACTTTTGTTTTCTCTCTGTTTCCATATCCTCATGAGAGATCTGGACTAGGAAATTGCTGATATCCCTCCCCAAGGGGGCATTTTTGTTAATCTAGAACATGGATCAACAAACTTTTTCTGCAGAGAGCAAGATATTAAATATTTTAGGGCTTACGGACCACACACAGTCCCTGTCACAAGGACTCAGGACTGCCTTTATAGTCCAAAAGCAGCCATAGGCAATATGTAAACGATGGACCTGGCTGTTTTTCAATAAAACTTTATTTATGGACACTGAAATTTAAATTTCATATACTTTTCATGTGTCACAAAATGCTATCCTTCTTTTGATTTTTTTTTCAGCCACTTAAAAATGTAAAAAGCATTCTTAGTTCACAGGCCATACGAAAACAGGCAGCCAGCTAGATATGGCCTGCAGACAGTAGTTCACCAATCCCTTATCTAGTCTAGCCAAGCAATGTATACATATGTCTATTTGAGGAACTTCTATATTGAAGACATTATCTCATAGTACTTGTATTAGTGAACATTTTCACTTTCCTTTCCCTTGTTTCATAAATGATCACTAGGCATTTGAATATTTCAGAGCCTTTAGCCAGATTGCATGTGTATTTGTGCTTGTATATATTTTTGCCAGAACACTTGAAAGTCTCTGGGCCTTTTATTCATCTTTGCTTTGCCAAATATTTTCCCACCTGTATAGATGAATTAAAATTTTCAACAGCCTTTCTTTGAACATGACTTTTGAGACCAGTTGCTATTTAAATTACACAAAAGTATATTTAGCCCTTCTTTGTGTTTTATTCCCTTTTTGCCAGGGTGGAAGGACTTTTCAGGAACATATTTGAATAGATGGAGAATTCTGAAAAACATAACCCAGATATTTATTTGGGTCTCAGAGAAGAAGACGTTTTGAAAACAACCTTTGTGGCTGGGCACAGTGGCTCATGCCTGTAATCCCAACACTTTGGGAGGCCACGGTGGGTGGATCATGAGGTCAGGAGATGGAGACCATCCTGGCCAACATGGTGAAACCCCATCTCTACTCAAAATACAAAAATTAGCCAGGCGTGGTGGCACATGCCTGTAATCCCAGCTACTCAGGAGGCTGAGGCAGGAGAATGGCTTGAACCTGGGAGGCAGAGGTTGTGGTGAGCCAAGATCGCACCAATGCACTCCAGCCTGTGGGATAGGGCGAGACTACGTCAAAAAAAAAAAAAAAAAAAAAAGAAAGAAATTTTATCAATTTATCCTGCTTGAAGTCTTTCAGCGCTTTCTCACTACACTTAAGGTGAAACCCAAATTCCTTACGGTGTCCTACAAGACCCTACCTACCTCTCAAACTTCATCTCAAATTTTTTTTTAAAATCCATTATTTTGTTAGTAGACAAAACTACATAAAGTATAATAAATTTATGACATGATAATGCCCAGATAACTAATCAAGACTTGCTTTATTTAGGGACTGCTTTCAGTAGTGAGGAACTTAAAAACATAGTACAATTATATTATCTAATTGCTTTAGTTTGTATTGCCAATTTCTTATTTCAGGGCATATAGTAATCCTATTAATATCCACAGTTAATGAATAAGGAAAATACAACCATAGGCTTACTATATCCTTTGAAGCATCTTTTGTCTGACCTATAACCCTATTACCCAGGAGAAATATTGCTAATCCAGGCAACACTAATGTGGAATGGACTCTAATGGCTTCAGGACTATGACCTCAGCACTGATCTCAACAACCTGCATTCAGTTTGGGTGAAAATTCGTGGCTTTGTATATGTTACATACCTGTGGACTTCATGCATTAAACTTGTTCCTCAAAAACTCTGTGAAGTGCAAGAATCTGCATATAGTCCTATTAATTTCCCTGAAGAGTTCAGGAATAAAGTTAATGAAAAATTTACCCATGATCACAAAAATTACACTCAACAAGGCTAACATTATTTTAATACAGCATTATAGCTTTATGGAAACACTATTTATGTGTACTTAATTCTTGCCAAATAGTAATGTGGAAGACAGTATCTATTCAAATGGTTCATCAATCTGTATGATCTTTTCACAACTTATTGAAGATACCATTTACCAGAAGTAAGGGTATATATTAGTAAAGTTTTCTTTTTCCTTTTTTTTTCATTTTCATTTTTTTTTTTTTTTTTGAGATGGAGTCTCGCTCTATCGCCCAGGCTGGAGTGCAGTGGCACAATCTCGGCTCCCTGCAAGCTCCACCTCCCGGGTTCACGCCATTCTCCTGCCTCAGCCTCCCGAGTAGCTGGGACTACAGGTGCCCGCAACCACGCCCGGCTAATTTTTTGTATTTTTAGTAGAGATGGGGTTTCACCATGTTAGCCAGGATGGTCTCGATCTCCTGACCTCGTGATCCACCCGCCTCGGCCTCCCAAAGTGCTGGGATTACAGGCGTGAACCACCGCGCCCGGCGTGTAAAGTTTTCATTAAGTGATTGCTCAGATAAAAGCATTTGTGAATGCTTATTCAAGAAGCAGGTAGTCGTCTTGTTGTGAAACAGTGTTCATTTATCGCATCTAGTTTGTCAAAACATTGTTTGACAGTATTGAATATAAATTGTTTTCTACCTGTTTGTTCTTCGTGACCTTTTTGCAGTACTATTTACTCAATTATTGTAGTTCACAACTAAACACACCTATAAACATATACTCAAAATTCCAAATTTTACAGACTAGTAATTTCAGATTTCTTAAACTAGGATTTTCTTCTTTCTAGTTTTAGTCAACACGTCTACATTCTTCATAGCCCTTGCTTTTCCATGATTTTACTAATTTATTTTAAGCCTTTCTATTGTTATATTAAGTAGCCTCCTTTGACAACCTACACTTTTATCATTAGTGTTCTAGTTCCAAGGTTAAAGAAGAATGCATTACATAGATTGGACAAGTGAAGACATTAGTATGGGATTGTCATAAAGGATTTATCAGCATTTGAAGCTCCTGACAAGCTTTTTTTTTTTTAATTTAGAAGAATGCCATTCCAGCCATTTAAATAAAATCTCCAGGAGAAGACTATTCAGGTTAGACCAATATCAAGTCGAAAAGACTTGACCTATTAAAATTATTCCAGTTTGAGTTGTAGGTGGGTGGGGCATCTTTTATTACAAAACAACCAAATGAGTTTTTAAAAAGATTTTTCTTTTTCTTTTTTCTATTTTTTTTTTTGAGACAAGAGTCTCTCTCGCTCTGTCGCCCAGGCTGGACTGCAGTGGCGCCATCTTGGCTCACTGCAAGCTCCACCTCCCGGGTTCGCGCCATTCTCTTGCCTCAGCCTCCCCAGTAGCTGGTACCACAGGCGCCTGCCACCGCGCCTGGCTAATTTTTTGTATTTTTAGTAGAGACGGAGTTTCACCTTGTTAGCCAGGATGGTCTCCATCTCCTGACCTCGTGATCCACCCGCCTCGGCCTCCCAAAGTGCTGGGATTACAGGCGTGAGCCACCGCGCCCGGCCCGCAAAAAAAGATTTTTCTTGACGAGAACAAACCATTCCACCAAGACTTTATCCAGCATTGCTTTATTACTTCCTAGTCCTGGCCTTGAGCTAAGACTGTCAAGAAAGGTAGGAGATTTCAGTTTGTTTTTTAGCCTTTGATTTAAAAAATCACGCATAGTATTTGCTGCAGGCAGAATAACACTTGCAGAAGAGACAGCAGGGGAAGGGACTGGGATTCTTCAAGGGGCAGCTTGACTGTCTGTCCACTACTGTTGGTTTGGTGCTCAGGCTTCAGAATTTTCTTATTGCAAATTATTACTTAGACAGTTTCAAACTTTCCCTTCCTCCTTGTTTTCTTTTTGTTAGAAGTCTCTCTTTATTTTTTCAAACATGCAGTCAGACTGAGGTTTTCAGGCTGAGAACTTGTGCAAATGTATGAACTCAGACATTGAAGTGTACTTAGCGAAGTTTTAAGAGTTAAATCATAGAATGCAGCTTTCATGTTTTCTTACTGGATTTCCTCTGCTATCAGCATCAGTTCAGACCACATTATGAATCCAGTTGAGAAAAACTGCACTTTCTTCCCAAGGGCACATGTTAGAGGAGTAAATGATGGTACTTAAGAACACATATTTAGAATGCACATTTTTAAGTTTTATGGAATAAGAATTCTAGTTGTGTTTTCTGTGAAGGTGACTTTTTAACAGGTTTTTTTTTTTTTTCCCCCTAAGAATGAGTCATTTTCTCACATTTTTCTTCATTATAGGGATTTTTTATTTGGGTACCATTTACCGTTTATTTTCTTTAAAGGCCAAAGAAGCTCACAGTGATGAGCTTTTGCTATTGTTACTGTATAAACACATTTGCTTCATTTCCAGGTACAGCGTTCATGTAAAATGAAACTACCTTATAAATGCACTTGAGAAAGAATGCAACAGTGTCTATTGTTCAGGATGCTTGTAATGTTCCTTTTCTTTTTTACATATGCTTTCCGGATGAGTCACTTTAATGGTATGCCGTTCCGCTGATAGTAATTCTTCAACTAAATATATTCAGTTAAGGAAAATTACAGGGTACTTATATAATCATGTTTGGGCCTATTCACATATAGACTTGCAAGAGTAAATTCTTACTTGGTCTTTCTTAGAGCAAAGATGTAAGAAGTGCTCCGTTAATTTGTCAATGGTTACAATGAATAGAAACATTTAATTCAGAAAAAAATCCACAAATTCCTGGAAATGCTTTTATATTTACATAGAATTACACATTCTTAATATGGTCTAGACAGTGTCACTGGAATACTGTGATTTTTTTTCTTGCATGCATATCTGTTCTCTTATATACTGTGTAATTGAAGAGTCCTTCCGTTCAAACTCTTGCTTAAAATATGTATCTTATACTTTACCTTAGGATTATGTATTAGAGAAAGTCTGTCATTTAAAATGTTTTGAATGAGGATCAGGCCACTATCATATATTTGCTTGAAGCCAGGGAAAAAGTATATGTATATTTTTCAACTGAAGCAAGTAGATAAATAAGATATGTGAGGAAAGTTTCTCCTACATATAACTCAAGAGAGTACACTAAGCTTAAAAGGTTATTTATGGAGTACAAGGAAGAAAGCTATAATAAAGAACCCGATAGCTATAATTTAATTTTTTAGTGTTATAATTCAGATTCAGTAATTCAGTAGCAGATTTAAAAAATGAAATGAGAGAAAAAAAATTAAAGTGCTACCAGACTGACTAATCAGTCATTGAAAATGCCTGTAGTGGGAATTTACTCAGATAGAAAATGTTTGCACTGTCATTAAAGACCCCCTAGTTTATATTAGTGAACTAATATAATGACAGGCACAAAAATATACCCTGAGGCTGAGGCTGTGCAAAGGCAAGCATTTCTAACCCACTCTGGTACTTAAATATTCTTGGCACTACAGGTACCATCATCACCCTGCAACCTCTAGTAAAAATCTCTCTCTCTCTCTCTCTCTCTCTTTCTCTCTCTCTCTTTCTCACACACACACACGCACACGCACATGCACCCCCTACCTGAGAAATATTAGAAGTAGTGTAGGCAAAGACCTAGTTAAATATTTAAATAATCATAATATTAATTGATTGCCAACTCTTAAGATTGAGGCAAATGTGTTCAAGGCAATTAATGAGGCAGGTAAACACATATTAATTCTTTTCTAATACTTTTTTTTTGTCTGTTACCTTTTAGACAAGTCTAGAAAGCCAAAGTGATGAACTTTTAAATGCCAAGGAAATACAGACTATTGCATGGGTTTTAATTTCCAGAAATATTATTTAAATTTGGAACTTGCTAATAAGTCTGATAAATTGGCTGTTAGTTAGTGTAATTGTCACTAGTTCCCAAACCTAAAATTCCATGTACCCTGTAAAATCTAAACACAGAAAACACAATCTAAATTTAGTTCTCTTTATTAAAAAAAGACCAGCTGGGCGCTGTGGCTCGCGCCTGTAATCCCAGCACTTTGGGAGGCCGAGGAGGGTGGATCACGAGGTCAGGAGATCGAGACCATCCTGGCTAACACAGTGAAACCCCGTCTCTACTAAAAATACAAAAAGTTAGCCGGGCGTGGTGGCGGGCGCCTGTAGTCCCAGCTACTCAGGAGGCTGAGGCAGGAGAATGGCGTGAACCTGGGAAGCAGAGCTTGTAGTGAGCCGAGATTGTACCACTGCATTCCAGCCTGGGCAACAGAGCAAGACTGCATCTCAAAAAAAAAAAAAAAGACCAATATTACGTTAAATTAGGCCATAGTAGGGATAGCAGGTTGGAAATGTCTGCATTTTTTTCCCGTAGATTACATCTAAATAGTTGTTTAATTCGTGGTAGCATGTATACAGTGGGAATGTGTATGTTGGAAGGTAGGGTGTAGGAAAGAGGATAGTGAAATATAAAATGAATATTTATGTACTAGGTATAATAATAAGTACTTTATCAAATCATTTAACCTAAATGACTACCCTTTAAGGAAGATATTATCATCATCATTTTGCAAATCAGGAAATGAAGGCCTAGAGAAGCTAAGTCATTGGCTTAAGATAACCTAACTAGTAATATGTATGGCTGAGATTAGAACCTAGGTCTGTCTGATTCCTAAAACCATTCCTACCCCATCCAATTCTGCCACAGCAGCATATATAAGTAACATGACCTTGTGCCAATGAATGATAAAGAGTACAGGTTTTATTTCATGATGCTGGCCTTCCAGGCTCCAGAAATACTGCTTTACATTTACAATTTCCTGAGATGACATCACTTATACCCCTCCTTAAGAGTAGTGCATACCTTATAGAATTTTTGTATTAGATAAGTTAATACATAAAACTACTTAGAATAATGTCTAGCACATAGTAAGTACTCAGTAAATGTTGGTTATTACTTAAGAACTTAAGTAATGACTAATTCTTTTTTTTTTTTTCCCGAGACGGAGTCTCGCTCTGTCGCCATGCTGGAGTGCAGTGGTGCGATCTTAGCTCACTGCCACCTCCGCCTCTTGGGTTCAAGCAATTCTCCTGCCTCAGCCTCCCGAGTAGCTGGGACTACAGGTGCCTGCCACCGCGCCCTGCTAATTTTTTTGTATTTTTAGTAGAGATGGGGTTTCACCATGTTGGCCAGGATGGTCTCGATCTCCTGACCTCGTGATCCGACCGCCTCAGCCTCCCAAAGTGCTGGGATTACAGGCATGAGCCACCACGCCTGGCCAGTAATGGCTAATTCTTACACCACAGAAGGACTAGTTGAAGGAACTGGGTATGTATAGGCTGGGTAGATTAAGAAGATTCAACTGATACATTTCTTGTAAAATAGGTAGTAGACTTGATCAGTGCTACTATGAGGCAAAATTAGGAGTAATAGATAAGAGTTTAAGTAGGCTGATTTTTTTTTTTTTTTTTTTTTTTGAGACGGAGTCTCACTCTTTTGCCAGGCTAGAGTGCAGTGGCGCGATCTAGGCTCACTGCAACCTTTGCCTCCCGGATTCCAGCGATTCTCCTGCCTCAGCCTCCTGAGTAGCTGGGATTACAGGCGCCCACCACCACGCCTGGCTAATTTTTGTATTTTTAGTAGAGACGGGGTTTCACCAAGTTGGCCAGGATGGTCTCGATCTCTTGACCTTGTGATCCGCCCGCCTCGGCCTCCCAAAGTGCTGAGATAACAGGCGTGAGCCGCCACACCTGGCTAAGTAGGCTGATTTTTCTTATGAGTAAATAAAAAAATTCTAGTGATATCAACTGTCAACAATTGAATAAGGCACTTAGGATGTAGGGAGTACTCTGTTTTAGATCTAATATATGCAACACCCCAGATTTACTGGGCACTCCTTTGCCATCTCCCACCTCCAAACCCAGGCTACTCATTTCCCAGCCATAGTGGGAAGTTAACATTGCTAGAAACAATTTCACCAATGAAGGAACAGGAGATGCTAAGGAGTAAGCAGGTAAATGAATTGCTCATTGTCTCCTCTAAGCAGCTCTTTTTTTTTTTTCTTGAGACAGAGTTTCACTCTGTCGCCCAGGCTGGAGTGCAGTGGCACGATCTCGGCTCACTGCAACCTCTGTCTCCCAAGTTCAAGTGATTTTCCTGTCTCAGTCTCCCGAGTATCTGGGATTACAGGCGGGCACCACCATGCCCAGCTAATTTTTTTGTATTTTTAGTGGAGACGGGGTTTCACCATGTTGGCCATGCTGGTCTCAAACTCCTGACCTCAAACGATCCACCCGCCTCAGCCTCCCAAAGTGCTGGGATTACAGGCATGAGCCATGGCACCTGGCCTCTAACCTACTTTTCTAAGTTACATTTGTTTTATCTGGAGACCAGGACTGACTAGATAATTTTTGGGTCCGGGTGCAGAATGAAATGTGGCACCCCACTGCAAATTTTTATTTTATTTTATTTATTTATTTATTTTTTTGAGGTGGAGTCTTGTTCTGTTGCCCAGGCTGGAGTGCAGTGGTGGGATCTCAGCTCACTACAAGCTCCGCCTCCCAGGTTCATGCCATTCTCCTGCCTCAGCCTCCCGAGTAGCTGGGACTACAGGCGCCCGCCCCCACGCCTGGCTAATTTTTTGTATTTTTAGTAGAGATGGGGTTTCACTGTGTTAGCCAGGATGGTCTCGATCTCCTGACCTCGTGATCTGCCCACCTCAGCCTCCCAAAGTGCTGGGATTACAGGCTTGAGCCACCGCACCTGGCCAAAAAGTTATTAAGAATTTCAAAATGACAACAAAGTATTAAACAAAATGCAGGGCCCTTTGCAGCATGGGATCTTGTACAACTGCACAGGTTGCATATCCATGAAGTCAGCCCTGACGGAGACAACCTGAGACACTAAACAACCAGCATTTTTTTTTTTTTTTTTGTAAAGCTATGACAAGTTCTGGAACTTACCCTCTTGTATTTGCTGTCTTTCCCTCATGCCTGCTTCTCTGGGATTATATCCCGCTCACCCCAACAAGGCCTTAAGAAGTAAGCTCTAACTTAGGCTATGTTTTGCAGGGACTCAGACTGTGATACTCTGTAACCTGAGTTTTTCAAATTTAAGAGGCTGGTCCAAATCTCCTTTAATGTCACTTTTACCTCAAAGGTAACATAATTCCCCCATGCAAAGATAAACACTTTACATAATGGCATTGTTTAATGCAGCCATAAATTTCTGTATAAGCTAGAATTCTCAGATTATTACATCTCCAATATTTTATTCTCTTTTGTTCAGGCATAATATAAATAATCCATTAGAGGGGAAGAATGGAGGAGCCTAAGAAAGAAAGGTGCCCTTTACTTTTTTTTACTTTATCCGCTTTCCTCACATTCCCATTTGTCTAAGCATCTCCCGAACCACGTCTATATATTGTTAGGCAGATTTCAAGTCCCTGCTCTCTTTCTCTACTTATATAATAATTGGTATGGTAACTTCAAATCATTATGATTATATCTAACCTCTCCCTGTACTTTCAGTTGTGGAAGTAGACATAAATTTAAATGTGAACCAAAACTTCTTGAAATGTACATATTCATCAATAAATATTTATTGAGTGATAAATACTGAGCACAGTGATAAGTACTGAGGGAAAAGCAAAAAATCAAATATAGATCTTACCATTAGGCAGCTTGGAGTTTTATAAAGGAAACTGTTGTTTATGTATATGAGATAAAAGACAATTATTATTCAAAGCAGAAGGTGATAGGTCGAAGATCACTTAAACAAACAAAAAGTACATATGAAATGGTAGAGAATTTGGAGTAGAGCTCTGGAGAGATTTATAGAGGACTAAAGATTATACATGTGAAATTCGGGAGGACAGATGTTCAGAAAAATATTGATTTATTCAGAATGCAACTTTAGAGTAAAAGTAATTTCCCTGGGTTAAAAATATTCTCACTTATTACTTGACATATGTAGACTGCTGTGTGCATAGCAATTTGATTAGGCTAGTTTTGTATTGAATGATTGGAAGATGAAGTCATTATCATCATCATCCCCTTTTTACTAGTGCCATTACTATTGTGACCTAAACCTGGCCTTTTAGCACATTTTATTTATTACAGAAAGTTAGGGAGGAAAAATAACTTTTCCTTTTCCCCATTTTAGGTTCATTGGCCACGGTCTCTATACCAAAAGGCAGATTAGCAAAAGAAAATAATGCAGATTTATTTAGGTTTTACATAACTTGAGAGGGGAGCATTCATAAGGAAATGAAGATCCAAAGAAACAGTTAAACCTGAGGTTTTCTATAGTATGTTTGATGAAAAATGGAGAGGTGTGGAAAAATATGATAGGGAGAAGGAAAAGTATGTGCTAAGTATAATAAACTGGGAGAAATTTAACAAGACCTATTTGTTCAGATTTCTATGTCCCTTTATTTTCAGAGATAAGGATGTTGGTTTCCTCAGGGTGCATATAGCAAAGTTAGCTCTCAGGCCGGACATGGTGGCTCATGCCTGTAATCCCAACACTTTGGGAGGCCGAGGCGGGTGGATCACAAGGTCAGGAGATCGAGACCATCCTGACCAACATGGTGAAACCCCGTCTCTACTAAAAATATAAAAATTAGCTGGGCGTGGTGGCACATGCCTGTAGTCCCAGCTACTTGGGATGCTGAGGCAGGAGAATCACTTGAACCAGGGAATCGGAGGTTGCAGTGAGCCGAGATATCATGCCACTACACTCCAGCCTGGCGACAGAGTGAGACTCCGTCTAAAAAAAAAAAAAAGCCACATGAGTTTTTGTTTGTTTGTTTGCTTTTGTTTTTTGTTTTTTTCTTTAAGAGAAAGGATCAATCTGTGTTGCCCTGTCTGGAGAAGAGTGGCATGATCATGACTCACTGTGGCCTCGAGCTCCCAGGCTCAAGCGATCCTCCTAACTCAGCCTCTTGAGTAGCTGGGACTAGGCACATAACCACCGCACCCAGCTTGCTTATTTATTTATTTATTTATTTATTTAAGGCAGGGTCTCACTCTGTCACCTAGGCAGGAATACAGTGATGCCATCATAACTCATTGCAGCCTCAACTTTCTGTGCTCAAGCAATCCTCCCATCTCATTTTCTTTTTTTTAAATTTTTTGTAGAGACGAGGTCTAGCTATGTTGCTTAGGCTGCTCTCGAACTCCTGGGCCCACGTGATCCTCCTGCCTCAGCCTCCTAAAGAGCTGGGATTACAGGTGTGAGCCACCACACCCAGCAGAGCTTATTTTTGTATTTTTTGTAGAGATGGGGTTTTGCCATATTGTCCAGGCTGGCCTTGAGCTCCTGAGTCCAAGCAATCCATCCACTTTGGCCTCCACAAGTGCTCGGATTACAGGCATGAGCCCCCATGTGGGGCCTACATGAGGGTCTTAAGACCTGTGCCCAGGAAAGATCAGATAGTCCTTCCTGCAGGTGTCATTTCTAAAAGTTCTTCAGCTTAAAATACTCAATATGCCAAGGCACCATATTTTTGGGTAATGTGCCCTGAACTTCACCATGTCCGTGTAACCTAAATAACATAAGTGACTGGTCAATGTTTTGTCTTCACTTTTTTTTTTTTTTTTGAGACGGAATTTCATTCTTGTTGCCCAGGCTAGAGTGCAGTGGCGGGATCTTGGCTCACTGCAACCTCCACCTCCTGGGTTTGAGTGATTCTCCTGCCTTAGCCTCCCGAGTAGCTGGGATTACAGGCACCCACCACCAGGCCTGGCTAATTTTTGTATTTTTTTTTTTTTTTTGGTAGAGACAGGGTTTCACCATGTTGGCCAGGCTGGCCTCAAACTCATAACCTCAGGTAATCCGCCCACCTCAGCCTCCCAAAGTGCTGGGATTACAGGTGTGAGCCACCGCGCTCGGCCTGTCTTCACTTTTTCAATCAACCAAGTGGGGAAGGAGAAACCTTTTGAATAATTGGAATACAGCAGAGAAACCTAAGTGAAAAAATTCAATTTTAAAATCAGAGAGAATTATTTCTTCCATAGCAAACTCATCCTTTAAATAAAGCAAGCAATGATTGGTGAACCATTAGCAAATTTTTGGCAAAACTTTCTTCTGCAATAAAGAATAATTTCCAAGCTTGTCAGATCTAAACAAATGGAACTAAATTGGACAGAGCTATTTAAACTGACAGATTAATAGAAAAAAAATAGTCTTTAGTGTTAGTGTTTGATTTTTAGTCTCTTGAACTTCCATGTATATTTAAGGTGATTTCTCCTCATTGAGTTATAAAGATGTGCCCATCAACATGATGAATTTGTATCTGAACAGTTTGGCTGAAATTTGCCAAGGGGTTGATTTTGGCAGTCTCTTAAATTTTTCATTGTAATGCTGATATGTCTCTGCATAAGACTAACTTTGCTTAAAAATAAGAAAGAATCATAGTATTTTTCTATTTGTGTTTCATGGTCCTTTAATGAAAATAACAGTATTTCAGAGGCCTGGATTTAAAAACCAATGTCACAGGCTGTCCATCAAATTATAACACTTACCTCATCTTTGCAACTAGAATCTTGCCAAATGCTGTTGATATTGATAGAAGTGTTTTCATACATAATTGGCAGTTATGCAGCAATAGAGTATCTATAAAATAGTTGAAAGTTAAAAAAAAATTACCTGGTAAAAAGAAGGTCTCCTGACAGATCTGAAAAATGTGCATGTATTTAGGAGCAGTTTGAATACAATACATAAAATTATTAGTTGTCAATGAGAGCAAAAGGAAGGTGCAGAGAATGTTAGGGGTAATTACAGCAACTAATGATAGTGTTTGAGGGCAGGCTGAATCTTTGTGGGTATGTACGTTCATTTGTGTTTGCTGGGGTTTGCTCTAAATTATCTTTCTGTATCAACAGTTATTTTTCACATCTCTTTGAAAAATACTAGAGATGGGAACTTTTACCATAGATATTGGTTTATAAAAATCAGGATATTCCAACAAAAGAAAAATATTTGATCCTTTTACATAATTTAACCTTAAATCATTTATAGAGCTACTAACGTGCATTAATAACATCTCTTTGAACCTTAGTTTTTCTTTAATCTTCAAATTAGATTTTAAAGAATGAAATGTTAGGAATTCCGTCAATAAATTTAAATTGAAATGGATTCATTTGAACTAATGGCTGAGTAAAATGGTGACATTCCCATATTAAACATGATAATTTGGTATACTGTATTACACATTTTCATTTATTTCATGGAGAGTAGAATTTTTATAAGCAGTAATTCAGAAAAATGTGAGTTGACTTCATGGAACTATTTCCCACATTTAAAAAAAAAGACTTTAACTGATAATGTCTCCTTTTAGATGTTTTGTGGAACACTTGGTAAAATATTCTAAATCCTTTGCACACTGTTCTTTAGTTTCAGCTCAAATTCTCAAGAGCAACCTTGCATCAATGGAACAACAAATTGTTCATCTGGAACGTGACATCAAGAAATTCCCCCAAGCAGAAAATCAACACGATAAGTTTGTGGAAAAGATGACCATATCCTTTATTTATTTAAGCATTTTGTCTAGTTTTTAGTCTCTATGTCTGTCTGTTTACTAACTGTGTGGTTAGTTCTAGATTTACTAGTCTTTTCACACCATCTGGATGAATTTGTGTATATGCTGTTTTTCTATTAGTAGCATAAATTTTGTTTCATGATGTTTTCAACCAGTAGGCAAGGGAACAATTAGATTTTTTTTGAAGGCTATTTCTCAAAGAAGAATTCCATTTGAAAGCCCACAGGATATGCAAGGTAAGTCTTAAGAGGTTTGATGAAACCTAAACAAAACAAAACAGAATGTTCTTATATAACCAAATGTTTAAAGTAAATTATCAACAGAAGGTTTTTTTTTGTCTGAGATTTTGTGTGTGTGTGCATACATTTTCTGAGGGCATGTGTGCATTTTCAAGGACAATAAGAGGATAACTAATATCACTAGACAGAAAGGACTGTGAAGGATAAATGGATACATGGTTGGATGGATAGACGAATTGATTAGTAGATTATATATTTAAATAAATTGTAGTAGATATCTGTATAACATTAAGCATTTCTTGCTAAATAAACATTTTTTGAAACTTCTAGTTTATAGCAGTATATTCATATAAATCATAAAAATATATAAAAGGAAAACTTGAGAAATAGCATTTAGCTTGAATTGTTTAATGTTAAATCTGGTGTCTAAAGATAAACTACATTAGACCTGATTTTTTTATAATTTTCTATTTTAGTTTTCAAAAGTTAAAGCCATATCCTCCTCCTCTGGGTTTAAATAAGTATCTTGAACTGCAGATTGATTCACCATTTTATATCTTTAGAGGGAATAAATACTGTAAATTCTTTATCTGATAATAAGTAAATTCCTTCAACAACTATTTGGCAGTCACCTTGTTTCAAGGTTAAATCTATTGCCTTTTTCTTCTGTGATATGCTTTATTTTTTGCCCAACTTGGAAGTTACAGTGCTGAACTCGAATTACTTAAGAATGGCAATTTAGATTTATGTTAAAAAAAATTTTAACTCTCAGTGTTTTGGTTCATTAATGAATACTGTGTTTTGTATGGTACTTTAGTGATTCTGAGTACCTTCATGAATACAAATATTGGCAAAATAAGTTTGTGATTGATTGGAGGCAGGGAATCCACAAAAATAACCTTGGGTTGCATTACTGGCCACGTTAGGATACCTAATGTGAAGGTTTCACTTTATTGCTGATTACATTTTTTTTTTTTTTCAAATATGTTATATTGTCCTGTGCCTGGAAACACCACCTCCTTTTTCACCTTTTGATTTTGGTTCTTGCCTCATATATTTGAATTTAATTCCTTATCCCCTTTTTCTTTTGAACATTTTCTTCTACTGTTGGCTTATAGCCACACAACAGCTTGCAACATTGAGTCTTTGTTGCTCATTTAGAAAAAGAAAAGTAATTTCAAACCCTCATGAACTTGGCCTGGACTCCTTATTTTATTTCTCTCTTTATGCAGGTAATTAAGCACTTTAAAATGAAAATCCAGAGCCTTCTGTATCTGTATGTTACAGATGAATGGTTATTCTTCATTTAAGTGGCACTAAAGTGTGACTATTTGTCCACAAGGGGATTGAAAACTGTATTAAAATGTATGGGGCTGTTACTTTGCATATCATATTTTTTAAAGAAACAAAATAAAATACACAGCAATTTATTTCAGAGAAAAAATTAGAATATTGAGTTGGGTTGGTTAAAAACTATGAATTAATGGATTATAAAGATAAAACTGTGGCTCAAGTTATTCTTCCTTTGAAAGACTTCTTGGTCACCCATTGAGAGTTTCTATCTTCTAGAAAGAGACGAACGAAATGCGTAATCATTATATGTATGTATATGAGTTCTGGTGCCTACCTAATATATATATTTTTTACCCTTCTGGCAATGCTAAAAGAGAAAGATATTTTATTGTGGGATACTTGATCCTGTTTTAAAAATAGAACCATGAGCCAGGGGTGGTGACTCACGCCTGTAATCCCAGCACTTTGGGAGGCTGAGGCGGGCGGATCACCTGAGGTCAGGAGTTCGAGACCAGCCTCAACATGGAGAAACCCCGTCTCTACTAAAAATACAAAATTAGCCAGGCATAGTGGTGCATGCCTGTAATCTCAGCTACTCGGGAGGCTGAGGCAGGAGAATTGCTTGAACCTGGGAGGCAGAGGTTGCGGTGAGCCGAGATCGCGCCATTGCACTCCAGCCTGGGCAACAAGAGCGAAACTCCGTCTCAAAAAAAAACAAAAAACAACAAAAAATAGGACCATGATTCCATTTCTAGTATAGGATCCTTTGTACTAGATGATCTTTCCAATATTTCCATCCAGTGCCAATAAATTGTTTTGCTTCAAGTCACTGGCCCTTTAAATTGAATAATTAGGGTCACAAGTATTGGAGTAGTTTCCATGGAAAGTAACTTTAGCTACTTAAACAGTAATCTGTCTGTGAGGACTGAGTTCACAAGCTGAAAAGCATTCGTATGCCTCTGGACTTCAGAACAGCAACAATGCTGTAGTTAGCAGCAATGGCATGATGGCTTCAGGGCAACTGAATATGCAGGTTGGATCTTCAAGTCAGGCTATGTCCTGGAGCACCCTATATTTACCCTTACTCTTTCCCAATTTTGATTGAACACTTAAAGTATGCTAGACATTGCCAGGCATGAAAATTGAACAGTACACAAGATGATAGAAAACTTGACCTCAGGCTGCTGACAGTCTGACATTTGTATGTTCTCTGTCTTGCTGTTCCCATGGCAGAGATTATGTATGGTTTGTTAATTACTATATGCCTACCACCTAGCACAGTGTAGGCACTCAGTAAATATGTGTTGAATCACACGGTATTATAGCTAGAGACAGTGAAGATCATCTAGTCCAAGCCCCTGCCTTTACTTAGCACTTCAAAACGATACTGTCAGTGTTAGGCTGTGCTTATATTTATAAAAATTTTCTTCATATATCTCTCACAAATGTATCATTGAATCACCTTTATAGAGCATGCTGTAATGTATAATCAGTTTTAAGAGAGAGGATCCACAGCTTTTAAAGTAAACATCAGAAAAAACATAGACAAAAAACAAAAACAAAAACAAAAAAACCTCTCCTTTGAATGGAGTTTCCAAGGCTATTTCTAGCCTGCTGGGGCCAATGGCTTTAGAAGGAAACTCATCACCTCTTTCTTCCTTTCTCTACCCAAAATAGGTTGCTTGTTCTGACTCAGAAAAAATTAGATGGTATAGGAGAGAAAAATCAGTCGTTCTTGACCCATTCGAAGGTTCATGGCTGACACCCTATAATACCATATTAACAAGAGCAAAGCATACAAATTTATTTAATGTGAGTTTTATGTGACACAGGAAACTCCATAAATGAAGACTCAAAGAAACAGGGAAAAACCATGTATTTTATGGGCAGTTGTGCAGAAGTATGACTGGTGGATAAAAGGATATGATCTAATGGTAATAAGCTGGGGGCAACCCATGAAGGCTGGTTCAGATTATTTTCTGTATCTCTGTATGACAGTCTTCCCCCAGGTATGGGGAAAAGACACCTGTCATGTGAAGGTCTCTTTTTTTTTTTTTTGGAGACGGAGCCTCACTCTGTAACCCAGGTTGGAGTGCAGTGGCGCGATCCCGGCTCACTGCAACCTGGGTTCAAACGATTATCCTGCCTCCGCCTCCCGAGTAGCTGGGAATACAGGCACACGCCACCACGCCCAGCTAATTTTGTATTTTTAGTAAAGAAGGGGTTTCACCATGTTAGCCAGGCTGGTCTCGAACTCCTGACCTCAGGTGACCAGCCCACCTCAGCCTCCCAAAGTGCTGGGATTACAGGCACGAGCCACAGCGCCCGGCCTATGTGAAAGTCTTTGGTGAGGAAGGACAGAGCTCAGAAAGTGATCTTCCTAGGTTTTATGGCTTCTTTCAAGGGAGAGGAATTCTAGTTTCTTTGACTTGCTTCAGGAGACAAAGGAAGGTACGAAGGAGGGAGGGATAAGTTCAGAGACACCTTCTTGCTTCTGTGGTCCTCCTGGTGTCCTTCAGCTCAAAGTATTCAGCATGCCAAGGTAGCGTACTTCCAGATATTGTGTTCTGAACCCCAACACTTTACTTTTTTAAAAAAGTCAAAGCATCATTTTTACTTACCAATCCTTGCTTCTTCTGTCAGAAAAGAAACCCATTCTTAAAAGAGGACTTCTTAGACTTTTAAATATGTGTTGTGGTCCATTCTTAACATCTTAAACTATCTAAAAAAGCACATCAACCACGATGTCGACCTTACTGCTTATATCCAGTTGACAAATTCCTTACCACATTTACTTGCAGAGATTTTGTCAATGGCAGGGTTTTCTGTTGCCCAAAATCAGCTTAGCTTTTTGATTGACTGCTGGTTAAATCATTTCCCCAACCGGAGGACAGAGAGTGACTGAGCAGCAGGGGCACCATTAACACATTGACAAGAAGAGCTGACAGAATGTTAATGACATTAACACCCTGTCAACTAACTATCAACACTTGGGATTTCCTCATAGTATGAGGGAAGTCATTTGAAGTGGTTACAAATCAAGTTACTGAGAAGGCACATTATCCTTTCCAGATAATTCAAAACAGATTTGGGGTCTTCACTGCACTGCCATTATGTTAATTGTATTCCACCTTTATTTATTAAGATAATAATTTTTAAGTAGATGAAAAAACTCACAGAACCACCAGTGACATTGATCACCTTTGAGAACATGCCAGTAACAGGTTTCAGGGAGATGATAATCCACACTTTGTAAAGCAAATGTCATATAAAATTGACAAAATAGAAATGAAAGCAAAAACAACCCTCAAGAGCAAAGCTGTTGTGTTTTGTTTTGTTTTGTTTTTAATGAACATAGTAATTCAGGTCATTTTCTGGTGCCTAAAGAAAAATTGAGAACTTCAGATTAGGCTGGAGGGGGGAAGTTCATCACCTCTGACTCTCTCCTTACCCTCACTGTCTGCTCCTCTCAAATGCAGAAAATTAGAAAGTTCAATGCAAACATTTATGAGACTGTTCAGGGAGAGGAGGGTACAGGATTTAAAAGGGGGCATTGTCAGTAATACAGATAATGCATACATTGAGAAGCAAATTGTTTTAGAAAACCACAAGGGGGGCCGGGTGCAATGGCTCACACTTGTAATCTCAGCACTTTGGGAGGCCAAGGCAGGTGGATCACCTGAGGTCAGGAGTTCAAGACCAGCCTGGCCAACATGGTAAAACCCCGTCTCTACTAAAAATACAAAATTAGCCGGGCATGGTGGCACAAGCCTATAATCCCAGCTACTCAGGAGGCTGAGGCAGGAGAATCACTTGAACCTGGCAGGCGGAGGTTGCAATGAGCAGAGATTGCATCATTGCACTCCAGCCTGGGCGGCAAAAAGAGTAGGACTCCGTAAAAAAAAATAAAATAAAATAAAATAAAAAAAGAGGAAAAGAGTGCTTTTTAAAAAAGTAAGATTCTTAGCATTTTTTGAAATATACTCTCTTGACAATGGTACTGGTCAATGGAATTTTTAGTTTAATTGAATTTAAATAGAAAGTATTATCATTTATGATAATAATAAAGTAGTAGGCCGGGCACAGTGGCTCATGCCTGTAATTCCAGCACTTTGGGAGGCCGAGGCGGGTGGATGACTAGGTGAGGAGTTCGAGACCAGCCTGGCCAACATGGCGAGACCCCGTCTCTACTAAAACTACAAAAAAAAATTAGCCAGGCATGGTGGTGCACGCCTGTAATCCCAGCTACTCAGGAGGCTGAGGCAGAAGAATCGCTTGAACCCGGGCAGCAGAGGTTGCAGTGAGCCGAGATTGTGCCACTGCACTCCAACCTGGGCAACAGAGTGAGACTCTGTCTCAAAATGAATAAATAAATAATAATAAAAAAAACAGTAATAATAGTAATAAACTGTTATGAAAGAAAATCAAAGCCAGAAAGAAGTTAAAGTGGTAAAGGCCAATTTTATTCAGCAACTATTGCAATAGGAGAGAGACCTTACTATACAACGAGGCTGCATTCTGATACAACAAAGGCAAGTGGGGATTTATAGCCAAGAAGCAGGGTGGAAGTCAGGCAATGGAACATTACTAGAAGGAGATATCAAAGATAAGGGGATTCCCCCTAAACCAACTTGATAGGATTCTTGCTGAAGGCAGGCAAGGCTAATAAGATATGAAGAGTGGAGGATGAGGAATTTGACCATATATGAAGGGTGGAGGATTTTTGCTAAACAGACCCAGTAGGATTCTTGCTAAAACTGGACTGTCAGGGCCAAGGACTGAGCCTAAGAATGAGGCCTAGTCAAAAAGAGGACTCAAGGCTGGGCGCGGTGGCTCACGCCTGTAATCCCAGCACTTTGGGAGGCCAAGGTGGGTAGATCACCTGAGGTCAGAAGTTCGAGACCAGCCTAGCCAACATGTTGAAACCCCATCTCTACTAAAAATACGAAAATTAGCTGGGTGTGATGGCAGGCGCCTGTAATCCCAGCTACTTGAGAGGCTGAACTAGGAGAATCACATGAACCCAGGAGGCGAAGGTTGCAGTGAGCTGAGATCACACCATTGCACTCCAGCCTGGGCAACAAGAGCAAAACTCTGTCTCAAAAAAAAAAAAAAAAAAAAAAGGACTCAGAGGAACCTGACTAAAATTTGGTTCAAGAGAGAGTCTTTGTCACTGTTTAGTTAATGTCATATGCCAGCCATTATGCTAGGAATATCTATATCTATATATCTGTCTATATATTTTCCTAAGTGACCGCCAAAGCAATACTATGAAGTAGGTACTATTACTAACTTTATTTTATTTTATTTATTTTATTTTATTTTATTTTATTTATTTTATTTTATTTTTGAGACAGAGTCTCGCTCTGTTGGCCAGGCTGGAGTGCAGTGGTACAGTCCCGAGTTCAAGCCATTCTCCTGCCTCAGCTGCCCAAGTAGCTGGGACTACAGGTGCTGGCCACCACACCTGACTAATTTTTGTATTTGTATTTTTAGTAGAGACGGGGTTTCACCATATTGGCCAGGCTGGTCTCGAACTCCTGACCTTGTGACCCACCCGCCTCAGCCTCCCAAAGTGCTGGGATTACAGGCATGAGCCACTGCACCCAGCCTTAACTTTATTTTAAATGTGATAAAATTGAGGCTATAGAGGTTCAACCATGTACAGGAGATCACATAGGTAATATGTGTGGTTCATGAGGGTCAGAATTCCAATTTTGGTCTTTCCGACATTAAACCTTGTGCTTCTAACCATGGTATTGTGCTGCCTCCGAGGTTAGACCTGTTTGAAAATCTGAGATAAGTTCTACATTTGTTCCCTGTGAAACTGTTTTTTTGCTTCCTTTTCAATCTCTCTCAAATGGGAAAAAAAATGTTCTTTTTGAAAGGATTGTAAACTGATTTAAAAATTAGCTGCTCACTTATACCATCTCCTCCAGAAAGCCTTCCCTAATCATAGCAATCAAAATTAATTTCCCTATTCCCTGTATTTTTATAACATTTTAATACTTTGATTATTGTACTTGCTGGTTTGCCTGTACTCTGTTCATGTACATGTACATATCTATTTTGCATACTGGTTTATGTACTCTTTTCAGATACAGATTCTGATTCATATTTTGAGTACTTCACAACAAGCCTGTAACAATGCTTTATAGAAAGTCAAGTGCTTAATAAATGTTTATTTAAATAGGTTAGAGTTTATTATATAATTAATATAAAACTTAACATTATGGCCAGTAAACAGAACATTAGCTTGTTTTTCTGGCATAGCCTCAGTTTAACAGAAGAAAGGAGTCTAACATGTTTCAAATGTTATTCTTTTATCATGTCTTGATTTAAAATGCAGCTATTGAAAATTATGTCTTAACAGATTTTAAGATAGAAATCACATTCTAAGACCCTGTCTGAATGGAGCATATTTTTAAGGGTCCGTTAGCACAAAAATTTTCTCTTTGAAGAGTTTTGCTTGCTTGAAATTCACCCTGAAATTACGTACACTATGAGCTACATTTTTCAAACTTTGTTCAGGGAATTGATAGACATTTGGTGCATGATGCTAATGGTGAGAAGAGAATATATTGCTCAGTTAAAGGATACATAAACCCTTTCAGGCCACAAGAGACTCATCTGGGAAATCATCTTTTTCAGAACATAAAACGGAACTTAATTTGTCTGAAAGAGTTAATGTACCCTCAACCTGACAAATTCTAATCGCTCTCACCAGAAGCTAAGTTTTAAAAGATGTAAAAACCTTTCTGTGGGATTTATTCATATTGAGTAGAAATAACACAAAAAAGAAGCTTGAAAGAATAAATTACCCAATATGAATGTGGTTTTTTGTGTGTGTATGCACATAAGGAACATGTAGCATGTGCACATGTCTATTCGTAGATGTAAAGCCATTTTGGTATTTATAAGACTATAAATTGGATATCATACCAATGAATCTGTGAATTTGTTTTCTTTGCTTTGATTTAAAATTTGGTAAAAGTTTTCAATTATGAAACACGTGGTATCTTAAGCATACATAGTTTACAGGTAATAATAGTGATGTTAGTATAATTCCTCAAGTAATATACTCTGGTGCAAAATCTCAATCATGTACTGTTTTCATAATGCAGAAAAATATATCAGTATGTTTTTGTATAATAAAAGTGTGTTTACTTATTTCTAGTTAGGATGTGTTTGACATATAGCTTATGAAAAGTATGGCAAGTAAACTTGGCTTTTCATTCAGTAATCCCTGCTCTTTTCTTCTGTTTTTGTTTGTTTGTTTGTTTGTTTGTTTGAGATGGAGATTCTTTCTGTCACCCAGGCTGGAGTGCAGTGGCGCCATCTCGGCTCACTGCAACCTCCGCCTCCAAGGTTCAAGTGATTCTTCTGCCTCAGCCTCCCGAGTAGCTGGGACTACAGGTGCATACCAACATGCCTGGCTAATTTTTGTATTTTTAGTAGAGACGGAGTTTCACCATATTAGCCAGGCTGGCCTTGAACTCCTGACCTTTTGATCCGCCTGCCTCAGCCTCCCAAAGTGTTGGGATTACAGGTGTGAGCCACCACACCCAGCCTTTCTTCTGGTTTTAAATTGCTTTACAAGATGAAGACTGAAAAAAAAAAAAAATACAAGAAAGTATAGGAAATCATTGTTTAATAATCATGTAATCATGCTGTCTTTTATGTTGCAAATGTAAGATAGGATAATAATGTAGTACATTGTCTGAATTAATTAATGAAGTGAGGAATGGAAAAAAATATATGACATTACTGAAAATTATCTAATTGAATTTTAATAATAGGATTGTATGTATACCTAGTAAGACATATATTTATAGAACTATAATCAATTTGAGAGGATCATATCTCAGCTACTTATTTAAGGCTAAGGGATTCACTAATGGTAAGAATGGAAAAATCAATGAAAAATTTAAAAAGGCCGTGTGGACAAGCTTTGCAAAGATCATCAGTGAGGAGAATAGGACCTAGTCACAAACTGATGATGTCTGAGGAGACAAAGGGCATGAGTAACTGAGTTGACAATGGTTCTGAGAGGTAACGGTAACAAACCCTCTTTATCGTATCGAAAGCAAATATCTAGTAAGTGGCTTTTCATATCTGCTAAGACATTATCAAATTTGTGCACAGCAACTCTGTTCAATTACTGATCTCTAGATGCCTTTATCATAGGCCTGACTCAGAACCTATATATAAAAGTACCTTCAAACTTTAGTGTTCTTTCAGATGCCAAGTATTTTACTTAATCCATGTGAATGAAAAGATATTTGGACTGGGTATCCATTGAGTTAAGCTCTAGCCTTGGTATTTGTGAACTTAGGAAAGACTGTTTACCCAGTCATAAAATTGAAAAAATCATACTTGGCTTGCCTACTTCATATAAATTGTTATTAAAATTAGGTATAATAGAGTGACTTTTAACATGCCTTGCAAAATGGAAAATGCTTTGTAAAATAGAATAACCATTTAAAATTGTCATTTATGTATCATTCTCCCCTAAACCGCACAAATAGGAAATAATTCTATCCCCCAAGGAAAATGTTCTTTGTTTAAAAAAAAAAAAAAAAAAAAAAAGGCCTCTTTTTTCCAATTTCATTTTATCTAACTTTAAAAACATTTTTAAGTTCTAGCTAACTTTGCTTTTTGTATGTAGACCAGTAAAGGGCACATTTTTCAAAATGTAGTGAATGCTTGTAGAGTAAGCAGGATGCTAACACCTCATTATTCAAGGAATATCCAGATGTTCAGTGTTAAACTTTGATTCCTTACTTTTTTCACTTTGGTAGGAAAGAGGAAGATGGAGCAATAGAGTTTGAAAATTCTTGCATACTTTATGAATGATGACATTCTATATGCTATGACACCTATAAAATAAAGATTAAGGGGGCCAGGTGCAGTGGCTCATACCTGTAATCCCAGCACTTTGGGAGGCCAAGGTGGGTGGATCACCTGAGGTCAGGTGTTCGAGACCAGCCTGGACAACATGGTGAAACCCCGTCTCTACTAAAAATACAAAAATTAGCCAGGCGCGTGGCACGCGCCTGTAGTCCCAGCTACTCGGGAGGCTGAGGCAGGAGAACCGCCTGAACCCAGGAGGTGGAGGTTGCAGTGAGCCGAGATCATGCCACTGCACTCTAGCCTGGGAGACAGAGCGAGACTCCGCCTCAAAAAAAATAATAAGAGCCAGTCACGGTGGCTCACGCCTGTAATCCCAGCACTTTGGGAGACTGAGGCGGGTGGATCACGGGGTCAGGAGATCTAGACCATCCTGGCTAACACAGTGAAACCCCGTCTATACTAAAAATACAAAAAAAATTAGCCGGTCGTGGTGGCGGGCGCCTGTAGTCCCAGCTACTCGGGAGGCTGAGGCAGGAGAATGGCGTGAACCCGGGAGGCGGAGCTTGCTGTGAGCCGAGATCACGCCACTGCACTCCAGCCTGGGCGACAGAGCGAGACTCCGTCTCAAAAAAAAAAAAAAAAAAAAACAACAACAACAACAACAGAAACAAAACAAAACAAAGAAAGAAATGATCTTCCTTCCACTGCTCCAAACTTCTAAGACAATGTATGTGAACGCTCAACACAGACAGAAAACCTCTACTGATATCTGCCTGAGGCAGGCAAATCACCTGAGGTCAGGAGTTCGAGACCAGCCTGGTGAACATGGTGAAAACCCGTCTCTACTAAAAATACAAAAATTACCCAGGCATGGTGGCACGTGCCACCATGAGTAGTCCCATGAGTAGTCCCAGCTATGAGTAGTCCCACCATGAGTAGTCCCTTGAGTAGTCTCATGAGTAGTCCCAGCTACTCAAGAGGCTGAGGCAGGAGAATCACTTGAACCCAGGAGGCGGAGGTTGCAGTGAGCCAAGATCCTGCCACTGCAGTCCAGCCTGTGTGACAGCATGGGACTCCGTCTCAAAAAAAAAGATCAAAAATGTTCTGAGAAAACATCAAGTAGACCTCTTTGGCTGGAAGTAGTGAGAGCTGTTACTAAGAAAGAGGGTAAAAATCAAATTCTAAATAATTAATAATATTGGTCTAAGGAGTTTGAACAGTATTTGGTGGGTTATAAATTGCTGAAAGGCAAGAAACTCTTGTTCCGTCTTCTCCCTGCTTCCAGCCACCACATGGTATTTGCCTGAGAGTGATACTTGCTACCTGCCAACTACTGATCCAAGTAAGTACTAAAGTCAGAATTGTTTCCAGTATTAGAAAGGTATGTGTGTGCACCCAGACTCATGTGTCTGATGGGGCAAATGGTTATTTCTTTGTCTTCAATAATGCATTTAACTGTTCTGTGGTTGAATTTGTAATACAGTTATAATAACTTGCATTTATATAGTGTTTTAAAGCTTGAAAAGATCTTTTATCTTCTCATGTCTAACCCTAAATGTTCTGTAGCAAAAATTATCATATTAAGTTTTGTTTTGTTTTGTTTGAGACGGAGTCTCACTCTGTCGTCCAGGCTGGAGTGCAGTGGAGTGGTCTCGGCTCACTACAACCTCTGCCTCCTTGGTTCAAGCAGTTCTCCCTGCCTCAGCCTCCCAGATAGCTGGATTACAGGCGCCCGTCACCACTCCGAGCTAATTTTTGTATTTTTAGTAGAGATGGGCTTTCACCATGTAGGCCAGGCTGGTCTGGAACTCCTGACTTCAGGTGATCCACCCGCCTTGGCCTCCCAAAATGCTGGGATTACAGGCCTGAGCCACCACACCCAGCCACATATTAAGTCTTGCACCTACTTGATGTTGTTGAGGATTCATCCATTTCACAAATATTTATTGGTTGATTACTCACTGTGTGCCAGGCACTGTGTCAGATAGTTGGAACACAGTGGTGAACAAAAAAGATACAATGCTTACTGTCAAGGAGATTTTACTTTGCTAAAAGAGATAGACATTCAGCAACTACATAAGCAACTATGGCAGGTGATAAGGAAGAGATTTATAATGCCATGCCAGTCAACAACCTAGTTACAAGGACTGCCCTCCAGAGAGAATAATACTTGAGCTGAGATCTGAAAGATGAGTAAGAATTAATTCAGGGAAAAGGTGAAGAGGAATCTTTACCTCAGCCTGTTTATCTACAGGTGTTTCAAATGTTTGACAGTTTGGTACCTTGGCGATGATTTGGTTAGTTTCTTGTTTATGGTCTTACTGGATTTACAATCCTAGTGGAGTTTTAAAGTTGGAGTTAGAAATCTCTCAAATTGAGCCAAATCCTGAGGACATTTTATGTTTAAAAAACCCTCTTAACTTTTCTCCCCCAAAAGTTGCTTTTTTACTATTGGCTAGGGATTGAGTATGGATATTTTTGAAAAGCTATGTCAGATTCCGTGGAAAACCTAAAGCTCTGTGAACCTTGTGGGAGCTGGAATTTTTCAGCTAAGAGGTTCGAATAGATTTAGGTATTTATCCAAACCGAACTTTTAAACCACCAGAGATTTGCCCATTACTAGTTTACATAGAGCTTAACTACAGTGGTTTCCTCTTTCAACATTTACTTTTTTTATTTAAACAGCTTAATCGAGAGCTATAAAAACACTGGATCAGTCTTTTCAAATAAAAATGAAATGCAACTGCCATGCGTTAGTCTTTTAGAAGAAGCCCTTCTGCCTGTAGGCAGTTTAGGTGTTAAAATGATGGCTTTTTCAATACCAAAAGATCTAGTTTTTGTTTGCAAGGTCATATCTTTGAATTATTAGTTTATAAAAACCTGGCATATCTTCGAATTATAAGTTTATAAAAACCTGGCAGTTCTTTTGATTTTAGTTACAAGTGCACACGTGTGTGTGTGCACGTGTGTGTGCATGTGTGTGAAACACCAAGAGTCATGAGATTTACATTATTGGCTTGTTAATTAAGGGAAGAATTCCATAATTGTTTTAAATCAATCACACTGCACAGGGGACATTTTGCCTATTTGTTTTTCTGCACATATTTTATATGTCATTGTTTATGTTTGCTTAAAATGCCAAGATGTGCTTAAGTTAGTAATGCTAATATTGATCCAAAACTCTCAATTTATGACTGATTCTTCATTTTTTTCTTTTGTAAGTCATTGCTTTGCTTTAACTCTTAATGTTATCGGGAATAAGGTATTTTAATACTCATTTCCTTTAGAGGAAATAAAAATATCAACTTTCTTTTTTTATTTTTTATTTACTTTATTTTTATTTTTAGAGATGAGGTCTGGCTATGTTGACCAGGCTGCTCTCAAACTTCTGGCCTCAAGCAGTCCTCCCATCTTGGCCTCTCAAAGTGCTGGAATTACAGGTGTGAGCCACCACGCCTGGCCTCAACTTTTCAGTAAATTAACCTGGAACACAGAAAGTCAGAGAAATGAAATAATAATTCCAAGTTATGCAAATAAGTACATTTATGTACAAAGGGATTGTATTAGGTGATCTTGAGCATCACTTTCAGCTCTAAAAAGTTCTTATATTGCCAAAGCTAGGTAGTACGTTCATCCTTGTTCTGCTCAAACATTAAATGCTTAAATGTTGAATTAATTTCTTCTCTGATTCATCACACCAGTATTGATATTATAATATTGTGACATCATTCCTACTGGTCACAAATTCATCTATTCATTCAACAAATATTTATCAAAAAAAAGTTTATCAGATACCTACAATGTGCCAAACCCTGTTTTTTTCAGTGGAGATTCAGTGATGAGAAACTAAAAAAAAAAAAAAAAAAAAAGAAAGGCCTTTGAGCATATATTCACATATATTCTAGTGTTGTAGAGCATCAAAATAAATATGTAGTATAATATCATACAATGATAAGTGATAAGGAAAATAAAGGTGAGTAAAATAATTCATTAAAGAATGATAGAGACACTTGTTTTTAAAGTTGGCCAGGGCAGGACCCCTCCAAGGGAGTAACATTTAGGCAGCTGTTTGAATCAAGTGAGGAGACGATTTGCGTGAGTAACTGAGGGAAGAGCTTTCCATGAAGGAGGAACAACTAGTGCAGAGGCTGTAAGGAATGAGCATGAGTACAAACACACGTAAGGTATAACAGGAAGAGCAAGACCAGTGGCTGGATTGCAGCAAGTGAGGGAGAACGTAGAAGGAGCAAGGATAGTTCTGATGTGAAATCATGGAAGACATTGTATAAGGGAAAGTCATTAGAGAATTGAAAAGAGATAATGACACAGGGGTGAGGATGACTGGATGAGGAAGAAGGGAGGTTGTCGGGGTGATGAATCAAGAGTTTGGTTTGAGAGGTGGGAAGTTTGAGACGCCTATTAGGCATCCAAGTGGAGATGTAGATATGTGAGCCTAGAGTATAAGGGGAAGGTACACATTAAAGACAGAAATCTAGGAGCCATCGCCATGGAAATTGTGTTTAAAGCCATTAGACTGGTTAAGGTGACCTAAAACACATGAACAGACGGAGAAGAGAGAGGTCCAAGGACTCAGGTCTGGAGTACTCCAACGTTTAAAAGTTTGGAAGATGAGAAGAATTTTAACGAAGGTGTAGGGGAACTTAAAAGGTACAGCCTATGTGGTAGGAGGAAGCCAGAAAATTCTGTTGGCCTGAGAGCCAAATGACAAAAATGTTTGAAGAAGGATCTTTTGACTAGGCTCTGTGCATTGATTAAAAAGGTATTATATGTAAGGCATTGAACACAGACAGCAGAGAGGAGCTAGTGACTTCAGAACCCTCTAAGTATTTTATTGAGAAAATGTAGACTCATATCATGCATCTATTCTTTTACTTTGTTATTTGTTAGGATAGCACATGCATTAGATTTTTTTCCTCTATCATAGCTGACTATTTCCAGATCAATCAAAATGTCCCTATTAAGTTGTCAGTTACATCACAGATAATTGCCATAAGCCATTCATTTCATGTTTTTAGTATCCTGTGCAATAAAACGCTGTGAAACACTTTGAACAGTTATTCAGTGAAATCTCAATTATCTGGAATTCTAGTAAGCATATATCTGTTTATAGATAACCAGGATTTTCCAAATTTGAGCATTAACCATTTGAATGCTAGAATATTTTTTTAAGGAAAAGCCTTCTAAAGTGCATTATTATATTGAGCACCAGCCATGTGCTAGGCGTTTTATTAGGCACTATAACTATACATTCTTATAGCTTATGGACCTTTGTAAATAGGATGTTCCAACTGTTATTTATTTATTTATTTATTTATTTATTTATTTATTTATTTATTTTTGAGACAGAGTCTTGCTCTGTCAGCCAGGCTGGAGTGCAGTGGCACAATCTCAGCTCACTGCAACCTCCGCCTCCTGGGCTAAAGCGATTTTCCTGCCTCAGCCTCCTGTGTAGCTGGGATTACAAGCATGTGCCACCACGCCCGGCTAATTTTTGTATTTTTAGTAGAGACGGGGTTTCACCATGTTGGCCAGGCTGGTCTCGAACTCCTGACCTCAGGTAATCCGCCCACCTAGGCCTCCCAAAGTGCTAGGATTACCGGCGTGAGCCACTGCGCCCAGCTCCAACTGTTAGTTTTTTATTTATTTATTTATTTATTTATTTATTTATTTATTTGAGATGGGGACTCACTCTGTTACCCCAGCTGGAGTGCAATGGTATGATCACAGCTTACTGCAGCCTCGACCTCCTGGGCTCAGGTGATCATCCCACCCCACCCTCCTGAATAGCTGGGACTACAGGCACATTGCTACCACGCCCAGCTAAATTTTGTATTTTTTGTAAAGATGGGGTTTCGCCATGTTGCCCAGGCTGGCCAACTGTAATTCAACTACATCTTAATGATCTTAGATTATCATCAATTCCTCTCAGCTGCTGTAGAGATATTTATCTGATAATGCAGTATCATATGCCTAGAAGGCTTTTTTTCTCTATCCTTCTGAAACTTTATTTCATTTTTTGCTTTAAGAAGGTCACATAGGTGCTCTATAGGCACAGATGATTGTTTGGCCCCTTGTGTGTGAATAAATGCACATATGCCTCTTTCTCATCGTTTTCAGTCATTCTGTGTACATATATGTCTCACAGAAATACTCATGCATAGACACACAGACACACACACACACACACATGCTATACATTTCAGGGCACTATATTGAAGCAAATATGACTATTCATTTTCTTGCTCACACATACACACACATGTACACATGTCTCTGATGCCACTGAGGCACCTGGCCAAGTGGTTAATTAACCTTTGCACAAATATATTTTAGAAAAGTTATGTGGCATCAAGGGCTACATTACTGTTGGTCCTCACAACTTCTTACCCTCAAGGAATTCAGGGATGGTCAATCTTCTCCTTAGAAATGACTTTATTCGGCTGGGCGCAGTGGCTCACGCCTGTAATGCCAGAACTTTGGGAGGCTGAGATGGGTGGATCACGAGGTCAAGAGTTCAATACCAGCCTGGCCAAGATGGTGAAACCTCATCTCTACTAAAAATACAAAAATTAGCCGGGCATGGTGGCGGGCACCTGTAATCCCAGCTACTTGCGAGGCTGAGGCAGAAAATTGCTTGAACCCGGGAGGCGGAGGTTGCAGTGAGCCAAGATCACACCACTGCATTCCAGCCTGGGTGACAGAGGAAGACTGTCTCAAAAAAAAACAACAACAAAAAAAAGACTTTATTCTCTGTTGTCAGTGTATGTTAACCCTTTTATTGCATTTAATTTCTACAGGTGTTAGTCTACTATTATTTTTGTTCCAGTATCTCATCAAGTCAAATAAGCACAGAGTAAGAATTTCAAAGCTAGAGAGGGCTGACAATAATAGAAAACAGAAACATACTCAATATATACTCCTCTCTCACTATGAAGCTGGGGCATTGCATGACCAGAGGAGTGGTACTTTAGTAAGATTGCTCTGCCAATCTAGTCATTGCATGCAGAATGAATAAAAAAAGGGAGAGACTGAAAACAGGAAAATCAGTTAAGAGAGTCAAATATTTCCTATGTGCCGCTCAGTGTTCTGGGCCTTCAGTCTCAGAGAGTAATGAAACGGATGAGGTGCCTGCTCTCATGGAGCTAAAATTTACTTGGGCATGGAATGGGGTTTGGGATTCAGTGCTATGTTGTGCTAAGTGCTATGGAAGGAAATAAAACCAGGTTATGTGATGGTGACTGGGGAGCCACTTTAGGTTAGGAGGGCCTTTTTGTCGTGGTGACGTTTGAGCTGAGGCCTGAAATATAGAAAGATTCCAGACATGTAAAGATCTAGTTAAAAGCATTTTAGGCAGGGAGAATAGCTTGTTCAAAATTGTATGGAAATGGACATAAACTTAGCATATTCAAGAAACAAAAAGAAGGCCAATATGGCTGGTTGTGTGGTTAACAAAGGGGAGATTAGTATAAGATGAAAACTGAGAAAAAGGTAGGGACAAATCATGTAGGTCCTTGTTGGCCAGGATAAGGAGTTTGGAGATAACTATACTAATCCAAGTGTTCAGTAAATATTATTATCACTATTGAGTTGAGTTTTAACTAGACAGTTCTCTAAATGAGTTAGTCAGTGTTTAGGAATAACCCATGCTCACAGCATCATTAAATGTTTACTGTTAATTCTCACTGCTCTTTCTCGGTTTCTTGCAAGGCATTGTTGCAAAACTAATTTATCACATACGTTCCTAGTTGGGGTTCTTAAAAGAACATTTCTTTTTCTAGTATGACAGTACAGAACATGTGTGTGTATATATGTATATGTCTGTGTGTATACTTGCATATACTATGTCTGAAAAATACTTTTATTCTGATTGACCCTTTGTACATTTCTCAAATAATATAGTTTAACTACCCTTGAGCCAGAAACTGTGTCAGATGCTAGAGATCTAATGGCGAATAAGTCATAGTACTTGTCCTAAAGATTACAGTATAAATAATGTATTCTTTTGATCACAAGAAAGCTTCGTCCACAACTTTGAAGGAACAAGTACTGGCTATTCTCCTTTATTATTTTATGCAAATTATTATGTTTCATAAGGACTCATTGCCAGCATTTATTTTGTTTATGGACTTTGAAAGTAGGAGTTTCATTAACTCTCAGTTTGGACAGTATTATCTTTACATGCAGTTAGTGCAGTGACTGTCATCATCCTTATTAGAATACCACCAGGACATCTGGCAAGATGTCTAATATAAAGCAGCTATGTTATCTATTTCCAATCAAATGATTCTTTGGTGCTTCGATGTCCTGTAACTTCTCCACTTATGTAATTCTCTGCCATAATCTAATTTGTAAAGTGGGGTGGGAGTAAAAGAAAATTTAGAAAGAAACACAGAGCACAAACCCTTTATCCTGGTAAAGCATCTCATGTTTCAATTTGCAGTTGTTTTGGTAAAGTATAAAACAAGAAATATGATTATAAATATAGTTTTTATTTTTTACTGTGGGTAGGATGTTTTTTGACTAACACATGCTTTTAATTGCCTAATCTATTTTGGCTTTACCTTTAGAGAAAAATTACTGCACTTTGCTGCATCTGTCAAAAATGACACGATAATTCTTTGAGTCAAAACAGGGTACATGAAATGTGATTTTTGTTTATTTTCTGAAGAATAGCAGAACTCATTTTTTGACACATCCTTTACTGTGGTTAAGACTCCATGGCATAGAACAGACTGCTTATTTTGAGGTTGCAAAGTACAGCTAACCTACAAGAATAAGCTCTCTAATATCTTCTATCAAACCAAGAAATGATCTGTTTCACATGCACATAGAAAAGAATTGATTTTCTTACACAGGATGCTGCCACTTGGACTGTACATAGAGTTGATTTGTAATATAAATTAACTCACCAATTATCGATTGTTCCATCTGACTTTGAACACATTAAGAATCTGCAAAAAGTTTCTGAGTTATCAATAATAAGAAAGCTGTGTATGAAATGTAATGGGGTGCGTCAGCTGGATCCGAGTTAGATATTGCTGTAAATGTTGCTTAGCTTTGCCATCTGTCACATACTCTTTTTGCATAATATTTTAATCCATTAAAATGTGTCTTTTTCTTTTAAAAAACATTAGCTTACTTAGGTTACAATGAAAACCCTTTAAGAAACAGTCAGTGACCACTGACCTTTCCATGTCTTAAGTTACTTTGTAACTGTTTTTGCCTTTGTGCCCCCTCATTAAGATGAATAATGACAATCCTTAGAAACAGGAAATGCCAAGCTCCCAGTTGCAATGCTAACAAGTAGGAAGTCCCATTAACTTTTCAACTTCTCAGACAAGAAATAAATTTGGACATGAGACATTATTTCTGAAACTACTTGTCCTCAGGAGCAGTGATTGAATGAACTAAGGACTTGCTTTCACTAAGTGGAATGGAAAACTCATGTCACAGCATGTCAGTTTCTGCTTAATGAATGAGATATTCCCTGGGGAATAAATTAGGCGCCTCACGTACATAACTCTTTTAGGGTACCCAGACCTCATTGATTTCCTTTTGTAGAATAGTACCCACGTGACTTATAAGACTCACTGTACAACTAAACTGACTGACTTTGACCCTCATGAATAGTTTTGTCACCTGGGAGGGTTTGGTTAGAAATGGTCTCCACCCCTTAATAAGAAAGTCAGCTCTTTGCTCCCTGTTGGCTCACTGCTCTCAGGCCACTAAATGAAAGGCACTTGGGTGTCATTTAGAGCCATTTACCAAATGAACTATCTTGGCCTGAGAAAGTTAAGCACTGTTGGGCCTGGCAATTTACCATAATCAAAGAGCTAGAGCAGAAAATATGCAAGATCTGATTTCTGGCCAATTTGTGTTTTTCCCGTGTTGCTCTTGGCAGATCTCTGTTTTGAGTAGCCCACTCTTCTACTTCTCTCCATGTTATTAATTTGTAAAGTGAAACAAATTACTGACCCTTGAATTGTGCTATTACACATGCTTGAGTAATTTTATTTCATTTGCAGAGAATTTCATTTCATTTATGTATTATTTATACTCTACCTACTTCCGAAACAATGTGTACTGGCTTATTTTAATTGTAATTCAAATCATCTGAGTATTTTTCCAAGTCCTGTCCTGAAGAAGACTTGTGTCATCACACATCATTTCACATTTACTGTGCTATGGTGATATATTGGTTATGATGCAATTTCTCTGGCCACCTAAAAACGACTGTATTAACAAAACATCATGCCTGCAGTCTAATGTAACTTCTTTTGTTGTGGTGTGGTCTATTGGGAAAGAACATGCAACTTACAGTTATGTGCTTAGTTCTACCATTTATGTGACCTAGGGAAAGTCATTTGCCACATCTTGCTCAAGTTTACTCAGTTTTAAATGTAGTTGTTAATGCTTACTCCCCAAACCTTTCAAGGTTATGGAAATCAATGCAGTAAATACTGCATATAAAATGTCTGTGAATTCCCATATTTCTCCAGTTAACACCAGGAAGAATAATTGTCAGCTGAACTGAAATGATCAAGCAGCGTTCTTGTATTCAGGCACTGTTCTTTTTTTTTTCTTTTCTTTCTTTTTTTTTTTTTTTTTTGAGACAGAGTCTCACTCTGTTGTCCAGGCTGGAGTGCAGTGGTGCAATCTCGGCTCACTGCAACCTCCGCCTCCCAGGTTCCAGCGATTCTCCTGCCCCAGCCTCCTGAGTAGCTGGGATTACGGGCACTCACCACCACGCCCGGCTAATTTTTGTATTTTTAGTAGAGATGGGGTTTCACCATGTTGGTCAAGCTGGCCTCGATCTCCTGACCTTGTGATCCACCCGCATCCGCCTCCCAGAGTGCTGGGATTACAGGCGTGAGCCACCGTGCCCGGCCTCAGGCACTGTTCAGACAAATGAGGGATGGAGATGTGACAAGAGAGAGTTCCTATTTTGAGGAGCCACAGTGTTGTGGTGAAAAAGGCCCAGCACACAAACAATTATAAAATTCCCAATGGGATAAGTGGCACAAGTGAGGTATGCAAAAGTGTCATAGCTGACAGGAAGAGGAAGCAATGAACTCTGGCCAGGAAAATGGGAACTAAGTGAAAAATTAGGGTAAAACAAGATAACGTGTGGGAAATTCCTTCAGAAACACTCTGTGGATACTAAGACACAATCTTATCAATGTCATTTATTTAACAAGCATTTATGTATTATTTACAATTTGCCAGACAATGTTCTAAATGTCTTACAATAGGAAATCATTTAATCCTGTTCATTCAGGTCTGTTTGCTGCGAAAAGGAATTCTAGAAGCACTAAGGAAATCCTAGATACAGAGATTCCTTTGTCTTCTAGTAAGGAGGAAGCATACTGGGTCAGTTAACATCCACATGTCTGTGAGGCAAATGGTTAGAAAAGTATATACCAAAAATAAATGAATGAATGAACAAACTAAGGAATAAAGACACAATGAAGGAGATACTATTTTTATTTTTTTTTTTTTTTTTTGAGACAGAGTTTCAGTCTTATTGCCCAGGATGTAGTGCAATGGCACTACCTTGACTCACTGCAACCTCTGCCTCCCGAGTTCAAGCGATTCTCCTGCCTCAGCCTCCCGAGTAGCTGGAATTACAGGCATGTGCCACCATGCCTGGCTAATTTTGCGTTTTGTTTTGTTTTGTTTTTTGAAATGGAGTTCCTCTCTTGTTGCCCAGGCTGGAGTGCAGTGGCGTGATCTCGGCTCACCACAACCTCCGCTTCCCAGGTTCAAGCAATTCTCCTGCCTCAGCCTCCTGAGTAGCTGGCATTATAGGCACCCGCCACCATGCCCCACTAATTTGTATTTTTAATAGAGACGGGGTTTTTCCATGTTGGTCAGGCTGGTCTTGAACTCCCAGTCTCAGGTGATCTGCCCGTCTCGGCCTCCCAAAGTGCTGAGATTACAGGTGTGAGCCACTGTGCCTGGCCTAATTTTGCATTTTTAGTAGAAATAGGGTTTCTCCATGTTGGTCAGGCTGGTCTCGAACTCCTGACCTCAGGTGATCCGCCCGCCTCGGCCTCCCAAAGTGCTGGGATTACAGGCGTGAGCCACCATGCTCGGCCTTGAAGGAGATACTATTAACCTCATTTTACATGATAGGAAAACTGTGGTACAGAGGGACTAAGTTGCCCAAGGTCACACAGCTACTAAGTGGCAGACCTGAGTTTGAACCAAATGAGTCAGGCTCTAGAGGTGGCAGCCTTAACAAGGATGCTATACTGCTTCTCCCATCACCCATCAACACAGAAGTGGACATCTTTATTGCTGGAATCCAGCACTGGAATCCCTTGGTGGTCCTTTTGATCTCTGTTTCAGTACCTATAGAAACGACAAGGACTTAACCAGCTCTTGAAACAGCTGACTACATTTTTGGACAGTTGTAATTACTAGAGAGTTCTGAATTTGAGCCAAGATCTACTTTTCCTGGAACTTCCACCCATTGATCCTATGTCTGCTTTCTGACACTACATAGACTAAACCTTCTTCCACATAACTGTAAAAGTATTGGAAAACATCTCCCATGCCTCCTGCTTGAATTCCACATTCCCATGTAAAAAGAAAGTGACATTTGAGAGCAATTAGATTTCATTATTCCATTGAGCATTTATTTATGGGGTGCCTATTGTGTGCAAATTGTTATACAGTGTGCTAGCAATCGCAGAGAAAATGAATAGCACCAGATTCGCATGTACAAAGTATGTACTCTGCACTAAGCTATTCCACTGCTACCCAAAATGTGCAATTATCATTTAAGATACAAACTAATGAATAGAATTATTGCCTGCACTTATTTAAATCAGGGTTTAAATAAGCAGTGTCTTGCTGGGTGCACCTGTATACATGCCTTAATTACCCCACAGGATTACAAACCTGTGGGCAGAAACTGCTAATACAGCCTTGTATTTCCTACCACACCTAGCACAGGTTCTTTGGCAGAGTAAATGAGCAATAAATATTTTTGAATGAGTGAGAGAAATGCTGTATTCATTAATGCTGTCCTTCAGATAATTGCTCTAAATGATGTTCACATGTGATCATAACAATAACAAATACAATTTTACTTTGCTGTTTGAATTTCTTCAAGTTTTGTGTGCCACATTAAATAGCACTAGAGAAGCAAATTTTCCCAGAAGAAATGTCGTAGTAAAATGTTTGAAAGACAGCAAGGTAATTCAACAGCCAGAAATACAGAGCTTTATAGTACTGATCAGTCTTCAACTCTTTTTGAAAAGATTCACTGTTATCAACTGAGAACCTCTCCACCACCATGTGAGCCCAGTAAAGGCATTTTCTAGGTTACCATCCTGGGGTGCTCCTTTGGTACCAATTGTTCTAATATTATTATTATAGTGGAAAATGCAACAACATCATTGAACCTGTACCCTGACCTTTCAGTTGGCCTTGGTGTAGAGCATCACACAGTCAAAGAATCAAGTTCAGATCAGATTTTAATCCCACTACATTACTGTTTGCTCTGCTTTTTGAGGAGATTGCAATGACTATATATATATGCACACACACACACACACACACACACACACACACATGCGTACAGACATACATATATACACATATATGTATACACACTGTATTTTATATATCTATGGAAAATATGTATTTCCATTCTGTAGTCTATGAAAACTTGTATGAATGGGGCAAGGTACAATACACAATAAAATAATAATGCCCATGTTAAAAACTTTTTTTTTTCTTTAAGATGGAGTTTCGCTCTTGTTGCCCAGGCTGGAGTGCAATGGCATGATCTTGGCTCACTGCAACCTCCACCTCCCGGGTTCAAGCGATTCTCCTGCCTCAGCCTCCCAAGTAGCTGGGACTACAGGCATGCACCACCACGCCTGGCTAATTTTTGTATTTTTAGTAGAGACGGGGTTTCACTATCTTGGCCAGGTTGGTCTCGAACTCCTGACCTCATGATCCACCCGCCTCGGCCTCCCAAAGTGCTGGGATTACAGGTGTGAGCCCCCACGCCCAGCCTGTTAAAAACTTTTTGAGTGCCTATTTGTGAACAAGAAACCTTTCTGCTGTCTCATCTGGCATAACCTTAACATCACGCATTTATTTGTGCTACCTAACATAATTAGCCATGATAGAAAACTTTAATGTAAAAGAAAAGAAAAGAAAACTTTAATGTAGCATCAAATCTTGAAAAATCATTTTAAGATTCAGTTGATTATTTTATTAGCCAGGACCTCTGTGAAATGACTCTAGGATGAGAACTAAAATATAATGGAATGGGAGAGGTTCATTCATTATGTTAGAGATTTGGATAGTGCTAGGCCTTTAATTAATTAACATTTCATTAATAATCTGTAAGGAGTACCAGTAAACAGCACTTTAATTAAGTTCATGGGTAATACATTAATAGGTATAGAAAATACCAATGAAGACAGGAAAATAATTCAAATAGACCAGATAATTTATAAGATATAGGAAAATAACAGGAATTCCACTGGCCGCATGCAGTTCCCTACTCAAGCAAATAAAAGGCAGTATTCACTGCATACATTGGGGTATAGAAAATAAACAAGTACAATAAGTAAATATCCTTGTTGGCTGAGCGCAGTGGCTCATGTGTGTAATCCCAGCACTTTGGGAGGCCGAGGCAGGCAGATCACCTAAGGTTGGGAGTTCGAGACCAGCCTGACCAACATGGAGAAACCCAGTCTGTACTAAAAATACAAAATTAGCTGGGCATGGTGGCACATGTCTGTAATCCCAGCTACTCGGGAGGCTGAGGAAGGAGAATCGCTCAAACCCGGGAGGTGGAGGTTGTGGTGAGCCAAGATCGTGCCATTGCACTCCAGCCTGGGCAACAAGAGCGAAACTCCATCTCAAAAAATAATAATAATAAATAATAAATAAATATCCTTGTCAACAATATAATGGCTACAAGAAGCAAAAACTTTTGTTTCTGGTGGGGCCTCTGAATATATTTCTACATATAGAAATGTAAGAATACAAGAAATACATACAAGAAATATGAATAAATTTTTATATATTTTGGCTTTATGCATCTTAGAAACAAAATGATTGTATCATCTGAATGACAGGGCTAGTAAAGAACCTACATTTACTGAATGCAAACTACTGGCCAGTTCCTGTATTTAGGCATGATAAATACATTGTGTTTTCTTTAATCTTGTCTCTTTTTATAAGTTCAGATACATGAAAATTAACAAGGTTTCATATCCATTAAGTGGTAGAGCTTGGTTTTAACCCCGATCTTTCTATGGTACTTCCAATAATGATATGGACGATTGCATGATTTTATGTGTGAGCACATGTGTGTAAAACAGGTTTGGATACATTTACCGTCAACTAAATGGTATACTAATCAGTGATACTCAGATATTTTTCAGTAAGTTTCAGTTTAGGGGGGATTTGTACATGTAAAATGGCTCCAGGAGTCTGTTTGACTAATTAGGCCACCTGGGGTCTCATATAATAGTTATTTTAGGTTTCCACTGAGTCAGTACCCAGTTATACATGTTGTTTGACATTGGTCATTTTAATGAATACTTGAGCCTTAGGAAACTTTATCCATTATGGCAATAATTTTATATATTTACTCTTGGCCTTGACATCATTCCCAGGCAGAAGTAGAAGTGGTCATCATCATTTTCCTTCTAATGACTTAAACCAAGTCATTTGCTGTTGAAACTTTAACAGCAAATAAAACTAGCGGTGTGTGTGTGTGTGTGTGTGTGTGTGTGTGTGTGTGTGTGTGTGTGTATAGAGAGAGAGACAGACTGGAATCCGTTTTGTTTTTCCTATCTCTAAAGTGCATGAATTAAAAAGATACTAAACATACATCTTTGAGTTTATCAGTTCATCAGGAACACATTTTTGAAAACCAGAAGGACTCTGGATAAGTACAACTTGTTTTGGTTATAAGAAACATAACTAGCCAGGCACGGTGGCTCATGCCTGTAATCCCAGCAATTTGGGAGGCTGAGGCAGGCAGATCACGAGGTCAGGAGTTCAAGACCAGCCTGGGCAGCATGGTGAAACCCTGTCTCTACTAAAAATACAAAAATTAGCCTGGCATGGTGGCACGTGCCTGTAATCCCAGCTACTCAGGAGGCTGAGGCAGGAGAATTGCTTGAACCTGGGAGGCGGAGGTTGCAGTGAGCCGAGATCACCCCACTGCACTCCAGCCTCGGCAACAGAGCGAGACTCCATCTCAAAAAAAAAAAAGAAAAGAAACATAACTAAAAGTCATATATCTTGTTGGCAGTGAATCAGTAGAATCATGTCAACATATAAAGGACTATTTTTTACTGTCATTTTTCAGCACAAGTTTTTTTTTTGTTTTTTTTTTGTTTTTTTGTTTGTTTTTATTGATCATTCTTGGGTGTTTCTCGTATAGGGGGATTTGGCAGGGTCATAGGACAATAGTGGAGGGAAGGTCAGCAGATAAACAAGTGAACAAAAGTCTCTGGTTTTCCTAGGCAAAGGACCCTGTGGCCTACCGCAGTGTTTGTGTCCCTGGGTACTTGAGATTAGGGAGTGGTGATGACTCTTAACGAGCATGCTGCCTTCAAGCATCTGTTTAACAAAGCCCATCTTGCACCGCCCTTAATCCAATTAACCCTGAGTGGACACAGCACATGTTTCAGAGAGCACCGGGTTGGGGGTAAGGTCATAGATCAACAGCATCCCAAGGCAGAAGAATCTTTCTTAGTACAGAACAAAATGGAGTCTCCCATGTCCACTTCTTTCTACACAGACACAGCAACAATCTGATTTCTCTATCTTTTCCCCACATTTCCCCCTTTTCTACTCGACAAAACTGCCATCGTCATCATGGCCCGTTCTCAATGAGCTGCTGGGTACACCTCCCAGACGGGGTGGCGGCCGGGCAGAGGGGCTCCTCACTTCCCAGAAGGGGCGGCCGGGCAGAGGTGCCCCCCCCACCTCCCAGACGGGGCGGCTGGCCGGGCAGGGGCTGCCCCCCCAACCTCCCTCCCGGGAGGGGCGGCTGGCCCGGCGGGGGCTGTCCCCCCGCCCACCTCCCTCCTGGGTGGGGCAGCTGGCCGGGCGGGGGCTGCCCCCCCCACCTCCCTCCTGGGTGGGGCGGCTGGCCAGGCGGGGGCTGCCCCCCCTTCACCTCCCAGACGGGGCGGCTGCCGGGCGGAGACGCTCCTCACTTCCCAGATGGGGCGGCTGCCGGGCGGAGGGGCTCCTCACTTCTCAGACGGGGCGGCTGCCGGGCGGAGGGGCTCCTCACTTCTCAGACGGGGCGGCTGCCGGGCAGAGGGGCTCCTCACTTCTCAGACGGGGCGGCCGGGCGGAGGGGCTCCTCACCTCCCAAACGGGGTTGCGGCCGGACAGAGGCGCTCCTCACATCCCAGACGGGGCGGCGGGGCAGAGGCACTCCCCACATCTCAGACGATGGGCGGCCGGGCAGAGACGCTCCTCACTTCCTAGACGGGATGGCGGCCGGGAAGAGGCGCTCCTCACTTCCCAGACTGGGCAGCCGGGCAGAGGGGCTCCTCACATCTCAGATGATGGGCGGCCAGGCAGAGACGCTCCTTGCTTCCCAGACTGGGTGGCGGCCGGGCAGAGGCTGCAATCTCCGCACTTTGGGAGGCCAAGGCAGGCGGCTGGGAGGTGGAGGTTGTAGCTAGCCGAGATCACGCCACTGCACTCAGCCTGGGCAACATTGAGCACTGAGTGAACGAGACTCCGTCTGCAATCCCGGCACCTCGGGAGGCCGAGGCTGGCAGATCACTCGCGGTTAAGAGCTGGAGACCAGCCCGGCCAACACAGCGAAACCCCGTCTCCACCAAAAAAATACGAAAACCAGTCAGGCGTGGCGGCGCGTGCCTGCAGTCGCAGGCACTCGGCAGGCTGAGGCAGGAGAATCAGGCAGGGAGGTTGCAGTGAGCCGAGATGGCAGCAGTACAGTCCAGCTTCGGCTCGGCATCTGAGGGAGACCGTGGGGAGAGGGACAGGGACAGGGACAGGGAGAGGGAGAGGGAGAACAAGTTTTTAAAATAACTTTTTTTTAATTTTTATTTTATTTGAGTTCATTCCTAAAACTATATGTGGTAGTAAATTTGTAAACAAAGTCAGGACTTATTTTGCTAAGTCACCGCAGTGAGTTCCTTACATAAATAAGGAAGACACCTGTTTATTAGTCACAAAGTTCCAACCACATCTTGTTTTGCACTTCTAAGAGATGGAATACCCCCAATGAGTTTCCTTTGCTAAGCACAGAGAAGGAAACAATGCTGATTTCTAGACTTTATAGCTAAGCAACATTTATGCTTTCAGAAATGACCTCAGAATCCTCCTCAACACAGCATTCTAGGCAGCATTTATCAATTGCTTTGAGTTGTAATGCAAGCCGAAACATACTTATCTCCTCCAGAGTTTACCACTTAAATGGCTCATCATGAATGAGAATTGCCTTTAGTCATGACTCAGTGTGACATTAAGTAGTTTGGACATAAATTATTTGGAATATGATAGATAGCCTTTATATGAGAATTGTACCTGATATATATAAATTTTGCTAGCTGCATTCCATAGAATAAGAGAATAAGGTGACTAGATCTTCAAGGTACTGAAGTTAGAAAAACTGATTGAAATGAAACTGTAAGAAATGCCTAAGTGGTACAATCTATGATCATCTAGAACTGTTTCTGCTAGTCAATGTTAGATACTTTATCATGTGATTAACTGAAAATGTTCTTTAAAAAATGCCACAACTAAAGAGGCATGTGGGGCTGGGAGCGGTGGCTCACACCTGTAATCCCAGCACTTTGGGAGGCCAAGGTAGGTGGATCACCTGAGGTCAGGAGTTTGAGACCAGTCTGGCCAACATGGGGATAACCCCGTCTCTTCTAAAAATTCAAAAAGTAGCCAGGCATGGTGGCGTGGACCTCTAATCCCAGCTACTTGGGAGGCTGAGGCAGGAGAATTACTTGAACCCAGGAGGCGGAGGTGGTAGTGAGCAGAGATTGCGCCACTACACTCCAGCCTGGGCGACAGAGTGAAACACTGTCGCAAAAAAAGAAAAAATTAAAAATAAAAAAAAAGACACTGCAACGGGGTGCCTTTCAAATATTAGCTGAAATGCTAGAGGAATATATCAGAGGAGAGAAAGCTCACCCCTAGAAGAAAATGTTAGGTATGGCTTCATAGAGAAGGTTGCATTAATTTCAGGCCTTGAAAGATGGGTAAGATGGTAGGCAGAAACTGGAACAGGGTCCACATTCCAGCTGTACAGACTGTATAGAGTTTCTTGAGCCAGGATAATGAATCTCAAGGTATGTTCCCTGAAGACCTAGCTGAGTTAAGAGTACCTGGTAAGTCCAGCTAAATCCTCTCCCAACACCCCTTCCTACTGGATTTGGGAGCTATCCTTATGCCTCCCATTCTTACCCTGTTCCTCAATCTGAATGTTGATTGTCAGGGAACTTCAGTATAATCCACGCTATTACTTAGCCCAAGTGGGAATAGTTTGTAGAAATGACTATAGCCGGTTGAACATTTCCATTCCAAAAATATGGATTAAGGGCCATGTTTCTTTATTGTTAGCATTCTCGCTCTGTTGCCAGGCTGGAGTGCAGGGGCGCGATCTCGGCTCACTGTAACCTCTGAGTCCCTGGTTCAAGCGATTTTCCTGCCTAAGCCTCCGGAGTAGCTGGGATTACAGGCACGCGCCACCACGCCTAGTTAATTTTTGTATTTTTAGTAGAGACAGGGTTTCACCATGTTGGCTAGGGTGGTCTCAATCTCTTGACCTCGTGATCCGCGTGCCTCGGCCTCCCAAAGTGCTGGGACTACAGGCGTGAGCCACCACGCCCAATCAAGAAGAGCTTTTTAACTAGAGATTTTAAAACAAATAGACTTTAATTTTTAGAGAAGTTTTACATTTACAGAAAACATGAGCACATAGTACAGAGTTCTTATATCCCTTCTCTACCTTTCAGTTTCCCTATTATTAATATCTTGCATTAGTATGGTACTTCTGTTGCAGTTGATGAACAAATATTGATATGTTAACAAAAGACTATAGTTTATATTTGGGTTCACTCTATATGTTATACATATATGGGTTTTGACAAATGTATGTCATGTATCCACCATTATAGCATTATACAGAATAGTTTACTGCCCTAAAAATCCCCTATGCTCTACCTTTTAATCCCTCCTTCCCTCCCCCTAACCCCTGGCAACCACTGACCTTTTTGATGTCTCCATAATTTTGCCTTCTTCAAAATGTCATACAAGTTGGAATTCTGTAAAAGAAGATTGCCTTCTTTTACTTAGCAATATGCATTTAAGGCTCTTCCATGTCATTTTGAGGCTTGATGGTTCATTGCTTGTTATTGCTTAATAATATTCCGTTATCTGGATGCCTAGAAACAGCCATGTATTTTTGAAAATAGCTCCAAGACATGTTTCTATTTGGCTTTGCCTCTGGCACAGGTTGCAGCATATCAGTGTAGTACAATACACTGTTATAAGAATCACAGACACTGAGATAAGGAAGGGTCTGCACCACTGGTTCTTCCAACAGCATGTGTGTAGAAGGATGCGAGACAGGCAGGCTTTCAGGCACCTGAAGGACATGTCTGTGGTTTGCAGCTTACTGCGTGCCTTTAACAAAGCAGTTCACCTCTCTAGACTTTGGTTTCTTCATCTTGCAAACAAAGGGATGTGCTAGATGAGTTCTGAAGTTTCTCTGAATTCTGAAATTTGATCATCTGCTCTCATCTCCTTGTTTAAAAGTTGAGAAAAGAAAGCCTGGGGAAATTAACTGATCTGAATAAGAGGAAATAGCAAATTATTAGCATTACTTGGACTAGAAATCTAGTCTCTAGATTTGGTCTAGCATTTTTTCTATCATTTCAACCTTTATGTCCTGATTTTTCATGTAAGAACTTATTTTTCTTAAGAACTCCTGATTAAACTAAATTGATTTTTTAAAAAAAGAAACATAGATTGAAAGTCACTGAAATTTTTTTTTGAGACTTTTTTTTTTTTTTTTGAGTCTTGCTCTGTCACCCACGCTGGAGTGCAGTGGCGCAATCTCGGCTCACTGCAACCTCCACCTCCCGAGAGTGGGGCGATTCTTCTGCCTCAGCCTCCTGAGTAGCTGGGATTACAGGTGCCCACCACCATACCTGGCTAATTTTTGTATTTTTGGTAGAGACGGGATTTCACCATGTTGGCCAGGCTGGTCTTGAACTCTTGACTTCAAGTGATCCACCAGCCTTGACCTCCCAAAACATGAATCTTTTTTTTTTTAATTTGAGCTTTGACTGCATAGAAAATGTCCATCCAGTCTCTGTTTCTAAAACATGAAATTCTTTAACGTTCTTAAGGCAAACAATTTTTGTAAAACTTTTCACCACTGATGGGGTTGCTCCCCCTTACCACACCAGATTTAAGAGGATAGTGAATATTTATGTCTATAATAGCATGTGAAGAATGTGGCTGGTGAAAATAAGTGGAAGAATATACATCTCGGGCTGTTTCTTCAGTTTCCGGGCAGGCTGCAACACTTTTAACACTGCTAGTGAGAAGAAAGGTGAGAGAGTTAGCTTTCCTCTTGGCTTGGTTGCAGTTAAAGTGGATTCCCGAATCTCCCATTTTCTACATTATAAATATTGAGAGGGACATAAATATAGATATATGGATATGTTTGTTTGTTTTTCTCCCTCCTGTACTTAACAAGTGTAAAATCCTGGAATTTTCTTTTTCCTTACTTATCACAAGTTTTCTTAGTCTCAATCCTTTGTAGTATTTAACCTTTTAGATAGGAGAGGTAAATAAGCCCACACCAGATAAGAGTTACATCACAGTAGCTATAATTAAGGACCGGCATGGAGACATTTTTAATAATAGACTTGCAGCCGGGCGCGGTGGCTCACGCCTGTAATCCTAGCACTTTGGGAGGCCGAGGTGGGTGGATCACGAGGTCAGGAGATAGAGAGCATCCTGGCTAACACGGTGAAACCTCGTCTCTACTAAAAATACAAAAAAAAAATTAGCCCACCGTGGTGGCGGGTGCCTGTGGTCCCAACTACTCGGGAAGCTGAGGCAGAAGAACGAACCCGGGAAGTGGAGCTTGCAGTGAGCCGAGATCGTGCCACTGCACTCCAGCCTGGGAGACAGCGAGTCTCCGTCTCAAAATAATAATAATAATAATGAAATAATAGACTTGCTAAATCTGAGGTTAAAGTGAACATTTTTAATAATCAGTCAAGGTTAAAATATTTGTTTAATATGGTAGTCAATGAAAAAATGTTCTAAATGAAAACCTGGTACTAAAATTATTATGTCTTCAGGTTGCCTAGAGAAGCTGGTGAGGCACTAGATATTACACTGTTTCTCCTCTTTGGAATCATATAGTTTTGATTTAATTAACAGAGAAAGTCTGCATATACAATAGGGGATAGAGTGTGGATTTTACTTCTTTAATGGTTTGACAAGCAGATTGCAACAAACAAGGTATTTGGAAGCCTGCTAGGGTCCCAGAGGCCTTATAAATATGCAGTGCACTTCTCTGCATTTCCCCGGGTCCCTGAGGTAGAGATTTGATGAATAAAATTAAAACCACCAGATCTTTTTGTATAGCTTTTAGCTATCACTAATTTAAACTGAGTAATGACTATTTTACAGGTATACCTTCAGCAGTTTAAAAAGCAAAGGAAGTGAAATGTGAATGTGTTTTGACTTTGTATTAATTTCCTCTTAAACTGAAAGATTTTCTACTTTTTGCATCATGATACGTTTTCTTTAAACCTAATTTCAAGAGTAAAACTCTTTACGCCCCTGTAGGATTGTTTTATATTTAATAGTGCTATTGAGACTGGCATGGGACAAAACATGCAGACAAAGAAAGTATTTCTTGAAAAGTGATGTGTATTTATATATAAACACAACGTTGGAATAGCATACTCCATTTGGAACAAGGTCTTTAGAATTAGATTTTAATAGATTAAAACTCTTCTTATTTACTGTATTTGTAGCTCTTAATGATTGAATAGATCTCTGTGGTTCCTTTTCAAGGATTTCTTGAAACATACTGAAATTCATGGGTAGATCATTTAAGGCTCCTGCGCCCTTTAATATATTACCTAGAAATGGTAGAATATTTTAGAACACATACAAAGAAGGAGGCCGGGCGCAGTGGCTCACACCTGTAATCCCAGCACTTTGGGAGGCCGAGGTGGGTGGATCACGAGGTCAGGAGATCGAGACCATCCTGGCTAACATGGTGAAATCCCGTCTCTACTAAAAATACAAAAAATTAGCCGGGCGTGGCAACGGCCGCCTGTAGTCCCAGCTACTCGGGAGGCTGAGGCAGGAGAATCGCTTGAACCCAGGAGGCGGAGGTTGCAGTGAGCCAAGACCGCACCACTGCACTCCAGCCTGGGCAACAAAGTGAGACTCCGTCTCAAAAAAAAAAAAAACACATACGCAAAAGGTTAAGGTAAAACACAATTCATTGTATATACATTTGCAACAAAGTTCATTAAAGTCTGGGGAAAAATTGTATAATGTAAAGCTCCTTAGCTTGATGTATAATGAAAAAATGTAGATATTACGTTAATAATAAATAGCGTGAATAATATTGGCACTGGGTATACACTTACTGAAAAGGCTGGGCTTTTCTAATGTTAATCCTGAGGAAGAGGAGAGTCTCTTGCTTAAAAGTCAACACTGGTATGTTGCTTTCAAGAAAAAAAGAAAAAAAAAGCATTGATGAGGGTATGAAATTTATTTACTAAGTATTCAGTTGTGAAGTTTGAGGAGTGGAAAAACTAATTTGTCAAATTATACCCTCAGAGTTCAACAGTAAACTAGATGAAGTCTCCCAGGCTTATAACTAGCAGAAGGCACCTATGTTTTGTCTTTGTGTGCCTATGGCTTCACAGCGGCAACTGAATCTCACCCAGAAGTGCTAAGTTGTAATTCCCAGTAGCCACTTTTAGTGCTTTTTGTTTTGCGTTGTTTTGTTTTGTTTGAGACGGAGTTTCGCACTGTCGCTTGGGCTGGAGTGCAGTGGCGCGAAATTGGCTCACTGCAACCTCGGCTCACTGCAACCTCCGCCACCCAGGTTCAAGCGATTCTCCTGCCTCAGCCTCCCGAGTAGCTGGGATTACAGGCACCTGCCACCACGCCCAGCTAATTTTTTGTATTTTTCATAGAGATGGGGTTTTACCATGTTGGCCAGGCTGGTCTCGAACCCCTGACCTCATGATTCGCCTGCCTTGGCCTCCCAAAGTGCTGGGATTACAGGCATGAGCCACCATGCCTGGCCTTTAGTGCATTTTTTAAAGAATGTATCCAAATAACAGACAATTGAATTAAGAAAAGCACATTGTCATCTTTAATCCTTTCCATTTATTTGCCTCTTGATAGATGACCTTTATATTTTTGCTTTTTGACAATTTCTACCTGAGGCATGATGTAACTAAAATTTCTAACATGATAGTGGTAGTTCTCTGGATTAATTTATGCTCATGGTTTTGCTTTGTTTCTCCCTTACCAAAATGCTCTTTTCAGTATTACACAAGAAAAAGATCATGATTTGCATCATGATGTACATAGCAAATTTCATGTATGATCGTGTTTCCTGTTCCATCACATTTCTGGCATTTTTTTTAACCCACTGGGACATTAGGATGTCATAACATAATTGGATGTTAGACATAGGTTGAGAAATCAAGGGTAGTGGTAGATGGAGGCTGACAGACACCTTCCAGATCCACTTTAGAGGTACTGAGTATTCCTAAACCAGTTATGTAATTTGCATGTGGTCATATAGCTAGTTGGTGGCCAAATCAGGGATACAACATGTATGTGAGTATCATTCTATCATCTATCTATCTACTTATTGACAGATAAGAATATACTTGCTTTGTGTAAATGATTACCCTTTGATTTTGTGGTTGTCACAAACACATGAAACTATTCATGGATGGACCTACCTGTCTGATGATGGTGGTAGTGATGATGATGATGATGTTATCCTAGGATATAACCACTATTCTTTAACCCTTGAAACTGAGGTGCATAAGGTACAATAATTCGCCCAAGCTCACATAGATAACAAGTTTGCAGGGCTAGAAATCTTACTGAGTTTCATCTGAAATGCAGACTTTCAGAGAGAGAGAGAGAGGATGCTTAGTGTGCCATATCTTACGTCTAACAATGGCTAATGAATCTTTAAAGAGAGGACTACTCCCTAGACATGAGCGTGTTAGGACTCTGTTCCCATTTCTACACATTTATGCTTATATGAGGGCCATTGATTGGCCAATTTTAGCATTTCTTTGTACTCGTGGGATGATATTTAAAATATTTAACAACTGCCAGGCACGGTGGCTCACGCCTGTAATCCCAGCACTTTGGGAGGCCAAGGCGGGCGGAACACCTGAGGTCGGGAGTTTGAGACCAGCCTGACCAACATGGAGAAACCCTGTCTCTACTAAAAATACAAAATTAGCCAGATGTGGTGGCCCATGCCTGTAATTCCAGCTACTCGGAAGGCTGAGGCAGGAGAATCACTTGAACCTGGGAGGTGGAGGTTGCAGTGAGTCGAGATCGCACCATTGCACTCCAGCCTGGGCTACAAGAGTGAAACTCCATCTCAAAAAAAATAATAAAATAAAATAAAATATTTAACAACTAATATGTCATGAGCATTGACCAATCAAAATAGATGCAATCGTAGGCTGAACTGGAGTCTAAGAGGCCCTTGCTTTGCCAGGTACCTTTTAGCTAACAGGTCACGAGTATGTCTGGGGAGTTCTGGGATGAGGGGCTAGTGCAGCTAGGACAGAAGTTATTTACCAACTTGTATGAAAATATTTTTTTAGTATTTTAATAACCAATGCAGCTATCCTAATGTAATCTGACTAAATATTAGCACAGCATCTTGCCCAGCAAGCCAAGACAACAGTGGTTGTTGTGATGTTCATAAGGACATCTCTTCTTGGTGTTTATGCATGCAATACATGAGAGTTACAAGATTCCTGGGCTAGGCACAGTGGCCCATGCCTGTAATCCCAGCACTTTGGGAGGCTGAGGTGGGTGGATCACCTGAGGTCGGAAGTTCGAGACCAGCCTGACCAACATGGAGAAACCCTGTCTTTACTAAAATTACAAAATTAGCCGAGCATAGTGGTGCATGCCTGTAATCCCAGCTACTCGGGAGGCTAAGGTAAGAGAATCGCTTGAACCCGGGAGGCGGAGGTTGTGGTGAGCCGAGATCGCGCCATTGTACTTCAGCGTGGGCAACAAGACTAAAGCTCCGTCTCAAAAAAAAAAAAAAAACAAAGAGTTACAAGATTCCCGATAAGTGAATGAACATGTTATTGAGTCATGGTGCAAAGGCAAACTATATGCATCAGGCACATTTTTTTCTCTCGCCAGCCTCCCAGGAAGTTCTCAAATTGTGAATATTTGGAGTTAGAGAGAGAGAGAGAATGCTTAGTGTGCCATATCTTACTTGTGTATCTATCTCTTTTCTAAGCTATGAATACCTAGAAGGCAAGGGCTATAACCTCATTTCTATCCCAGTCCCCTAGCACAGTATGTGGCACAGAGCACTCAATAGTTATTGAACAAATAAAAGCATTCAACCCCACTGATGAAAAGCCATTCTATTTGTAATCTAGAGACATAAATTAAAGATATCAGTTTCCTAATCTTGCAGAAGTCATTAACCTAGCTGCAAGATTACTTCTTTATAAAACAATGAAAAACAGTACAGTGTCACCATTACACCAAGTGTGAGGCCAACTGGAAAATGTTTATAACAATCAGATTTGCAATGAAAGAAACCTGGAAGCAAACCCAGTTATTTGAATGAATTATTCCCCTTCCACCTTTCTTGTATTTTATGCATAATGACATGAACCTTTCAAATTCAGCTTTCTAGAATGCCTGTAAGATTCAGTTATGGGGCCGGGCGCGGTGGCTCATGCCTGTAATCCCAGCACTTTGGGAGGCTGAGGCGGGTGGATCATGAGGTCAGGAGTTCAAGACCAGCCTGACCAACATGGTGAAACCCCGTCTCTACTAAAAATACAAAAAAAAAAAAAAAAAAAAAAAAGATTCAGTTATGGTCAGGCTGGCAGTCTGTATAATTGTTTCAAATGCTATGTTGCATCTTTTTGCAATAGTACATCAATATGTCAGGATGGATACTACAAACTTGGTTATTGCTATAATCCTGAACTTTTAACCTATATGTAGGATGAGCATAACCCGTAGACTAGGATCAATACACAATTGTGTCTCCTGTTACTTTTTTTTTTTGAAACGGAGTCTCACTCTGTTGCCCAGGCTGGAGTGCAGTGGCAGTGATCTTGGCTCACTGCAACCTCCGCTTCCTGGGTTCAAGTGGTTCTCCCACCTCGGCCTCCCGAGTAGCTGGGACTACAGGTGTGTGCCACCATGCCCAGCTAATTTTTGTATTTTTAGTAGAGACGAGGTTTTACCATGTTGGCCAGGCTGGTCTCAAACTCCTGACCTTAAGTGATCTGCCTGCCTTGGCCTCCCAAAGTGCTGGGATTACAGGCGTGAGCCACTGTGCCCAGCCTCCTGTTACTTCTTTAATATTTATTTTGTGGGGATTACCTTGTCCTACACCTAGATGAAAATCTAGGCCGTTTCCATGACTTTTCTGCTTGCTTTTAGGTCTCTAAAGTTTCTGTGAGTTGCTAATACAATCTCAGCCCAGAAACTTTTTTTTTTTTTTTTTGAGATGGAGTCTGGTTCTGTCGCCCAGGCTGGAGTGCAGTGGTGCGATCTCGGCTCACTGCAACTTCTGCCTCCCGGGTTCAAGCAATTCTCCCGCCTCAGCCTCCCAAGTAGGATTACAGGTGGGATTACAGGCACACACCACCATGCCCAGTTAATTTTTGTATTTTTTTAGTAGATACGGGGTTTTACCATGTTGGCCACGCTGGTCTCAAACTTCTGACCTTGTGATCTGCCCGCCTCAGCCTCCCAAAGTGCTGGGATTACAGGCATGAGCCACCGCGCCTGGCCCAGAAACTATTAATAGAATGCTACCCTCTAGCATGCTAGCAATAGTAGCAATCTAAACTCTCGGGTTTTAAGTTAAAAGTAAACTGTTTTCTGCTTCCAAGCTGGGCTGTTGCAATGCTAGAGGGGGCAAGGTACTTTTCTGCTTTGAGACCCTCCTCTGCAATTCCCTTAATGTGGGTAATATATTTCCTTCAGCTTGCCACTTGCATGTTGTCCCAGTCTTCTCAGAGCTCCATGCCACACATATTTTAACAAGGATTCTCTGGCGGAGTACGCCTGAACTCCCAGATGTTCCTCTTGGATAGGACTGAAATACGGGCACCTCTCACTCCCACGTGGCTCACTTCTAGTCCATGGAAAACACTCATGCAGGTCTTTGCCCTGAAAAACTCTGAGACTACAGAGATCGAATCCTGTCTGTATACCACTGGCATGGGGCACCTTGGCCTCTTCAGGAATGACCCAGATACCCCTCTTCTGGGTCCCGCAACTTCAAGGAACACATTCCTTTTCTGAATAGCCTGATCAATGTCCCTTCACTTCGCTCAACTTGAAGAATGTAGCATCTCTGTCCACATACTTGGCAGTGGGGTAAGGAGCAAGATGGAGCAGGTGTTATCATGGCAACAACTTCTTCCAAAGAATGTCTTTCAAAATCCTCTTTTCCTCCACTACATTTACCCTTTCATATTTGTGAAATGGATGAGCAAGCTTCCAACAAAGGGAATATGAGAATTATAAAAATGATTTTAAGAATTTTTTGGAGCCTGGACAACATGGTGAAACCCCGTCTCTACTAAAAGGACAAAAATTAGCTGGGTGTGGCCATGCGTGCCTGTAATCCCGGCTATTTATTCTCTGGCATAAAAATCACTTGAACCTGGAGGCAGAGGTTGCAGTGAGCCAAGATCATGCCACCGAACTCCAGCCTGGGCAACAGAGTGAAACTCCGTCGGGAAAAAAAAAAAAATTTGTTTTGGGGAAAATTCTGCATATGGAAATCTGTCTTATACACACTTTTCTATGTACTGTTTAGCTGATACACGTTTTTCTATCTACTGTTTATCTGATATTGCCAATCACTGAAAAATGCGAAGAGTCAAATTTTAATATCTAGTTACACACAGGTATGCTTTTGTTTTGTTTTATACCTGGAATGCTTTATATATCAGTAGGCTATATAAAATTGTCAAAGGCATTTATGTACTTTGTAGTGATTTTAGGTATGGGTGTTGGGTGCTTTCATTTGTCACCACAAACAAACATATTACCACAGAGTTTAGATGACACAGTATTAGAGTATGGAATCAAGCTCTTGTCTTTTGAAGTTGATGTTGTGACCTGTGTAAAAAGAAGTTTTAAAAGTCAATTATTTAAAAAAAAAAAAAAAAAGTAAAGAAAAGAAAGAAACCAGCCTGGCCAACTTGGTGAACCCTGTCTCTACTGAAAATACCAAAATTGGCCGGGCCTAGTATGCACCTTTAATCCCAGCTACTCGGGAGGCTGAGGCAGGAGAATCACTTGAACCCAGGAGGCAGAGGTTGCAGTGAGCCAAGATCGCACCACTGCACCCCAGCCTGGGTAACAGAGTGAGACTCTGTCTCAAAAAAAAAAAAAAAAAAAAAAAAAAAATTAATGCCTTCACAAAGACAAATATCTTGTTTATGGTGAGGAAGACTTAAAAGCAAATCTGGATTTTCTGTTTGACTGAAAGAGTCTAGATACAGGATTTTAGAACGATGGTGATTTTGGAGTATTATCTGTGCAGCAAAGGAGGAAAAACAAAACACATACAAATGAAAAGTGCTTCTAGATGATGCTGAGGGCTTGGCTGAGGTTGGTGAGTATAAATTAGTATTGTTGCTACTTTATAATTCTGTGATTTCCTTCAGTATCCTGCAGTCACCCTAGTATAACAGCAGAGATAGTACTTGAAGTATTTGGTCCAGAGTTAGAGCTTTACTTGGCAGACGTGGAAGCAGTAAGGTTAAAGGAAATTGACAGGGCTAGTAATTATATAATTTAAATGATGAACTGTGGGGCCATGCTAAATTGTGAAGGAAGGGAGGCCAGGAATCAACTAATAGATGGCTTAAATGAAAAGATTTCTGCAGGCCGGTCGCAGTGGCTCACACCTGTAATCCTAGCACTTTGGGAGGCCAAGGTGGGTGGATCACGAGGTCAGGAGTTCGAGAACAGCCTGGCCAACATGGTGAACCCCATCTCTACTAAAAGTACAAAAATTAGCTGGGTGTGGTGGCACATGCCTATAGTCTCAGCTACTTGGGAGGCTGAGGCAGGAGAATCGCTTGAACCTGGGAGGCACAGGTTGCAGTGAGCTGAGATCACACCATTGCACTCCAGCCTGGGTGACAGCGCGAGACTCTGTCTCAAAAAAAAAAAAAAAAACACCGATTCACTCTAAGAGCACTTTCTCATAACCTTGGAAAGCCAGCCAATTAGAACTGGTTAAGCTCCTCATTTGTCCTCCTTGATTACCTAGCTCCCTCATGAACTTAACGTGTCATATATTTCAGGTGCCCCATTTTAAATTTTATTGTGAGCAACATTCCTTCTCTTGTAACAACTTTATTTTCTTAGTTAACTAATGTTTTAATATTGATGAATTCTTCCCGTGTATTTTCTAAACTCACCAATTTGTTTTTGTCCAGGGTGTTGCTGCTTCTATGGTTATTTTGAAGGTGCTTTTTGCTCAAATGAGTTATGGACTCTATCAACCAAATACGGGATTTTTGAGACAGAAATCTGACATTCAGCAAGGGTACAGAAATCTTGCTCTCTAAATTGATGTTAAAACATAACATGTCCATAATTAATGTATTATAACATTTGTCTATAATCTTCCCAGGTGTTGAAATGGTAGTTTCATACTGCTTGCCTTTCAACATATATGGACATTGTTTAATCCATTCAGAAATTCAGAAATATTCAAGATAAATCACAAATACAAAACATGCTGTAATGCCACTAATCTTTTCTATTAGATTTGCTTTAAATGGTGTCATGTTTATGTCTTCATTTACATTGTCCATTTAATAGGCTTCCCCAGCAGTCCTGCTCTGGTAATTAGCTGGCTTATTTATACCTCAACACCTTGAGCTGCTACATCTCATTTAACTTACTGCTCTTTAAAGTTCTTGTATCTCAGTGGTTCTCAACCCTCAATACACATTAGAATCATCTGGGGAACTTTTAAAAAATACTGATGCCTGGACACCATCCCAGATCAATTAAATCAGAATCTGAAAGTTGTAGCTCTGAGAACCATGGGTTCCTAACCTTTGACCAATGCCACTGCAAACACTGTGCTTAAGGTGAGGTTGAAGCAGTAAAAACAACAATCCAATTTTTTTTTTTTTTTGGTTTGTTTTTTGACCCAGGGTCTTGCTCTGTCGCCCAGGCTGTAGTGCAGTGGTGTAATTTCTGCTCACTGTAACCTCTGCCTCCTGGGTTCAAGCGATTCTCCTGCCTCAGCCTCCCGAGTAGCTGGGACTACACGCGTGTGCCAGCACACCTGGCTAACTTTTGGCATTTTTAGTAGAGACAGCTTTTTGCCATGTTGGCCAGGCCAGCCTCAAGTGAGCTGTCTGCCTTGGCCTCCCAAAGTGCTGGGATTACAGGCATGAGCCACCGCATCCAGCCAGCAATCCACTGCTTGACCTCATCCCTTCCACTCTTATTTTCCTTCCCTTGGCAGTAATTTAAATATATATATATATATATATATAATTAGATATCATCACATTCATGGGTTATCAAAACTTAGTATTTCTCCACCAACCCTAAAATGCCATTGGAAAATGCAATAGAATTCTGGAAGTAAGATTGTATTTGAAAATTATAAAAGAGATCCATTTGCTTTGCTTTCATTTTATTGTAATGCAAAGAGAAACAGAGCAAGGAGACTATCAGCAAAGACAAAGGAGATTGAAAGAGCATAAGACATTTAGGAAGCTAAAGGTTGTTTAGCATAATTGAGCCTTAGAATAGTTTCCAAGGGAACAGGGCGGGCAAAGCTGGAGAGGTAAGCATGATCCACATTCTGAGGGACTTTGGATCTCATTTCAAGGGGTTTCATCATGACTGGTTACATAACTTGTGTGGCCACAAAAAGTATGTAGCCAGTACAATATGAAAATGTGGGGCCCTTGTTAAAAATCATTGAGAATTTCAAGATGTCAGCATAAGAGTATTAAACCATGCACAGGGCTCTTCTAAACATTGGCCTGTGTGTGACTGCACAGGACTTATGCCCAGGAAGTTGGCCCTGGGTTTAATTATATCCTGAGGGTGATGTGGGACCTAAAAGATTTAGGCAGTGACTTGAGGTCATTGTAAAGATTGTTCTGACCTTGGTTGGAAAATGGATTGTTGGACCCAGAGAACAAGGTTCTACAATGGCTTTAAGAAAGCTAGTGTATCTGTCTTGGCCGGGCTGGTCACGCCTGTAATCCCAACACACTGGGAGGCCGAGGCAGGTGTATCACTTGAGGTTGGGAGCTTGAGACCAGCCTGGCCAACGTGGTGAAACCCTGTCTCTACTAAAATACAAAAAAAGAAAAAAATTAGCCAGGAGTGGTGGCAGGTGCCTGTAATCCCAGCTACTGTAGAGGCTGAGACAGGAGAATTGCTTGAACCCTTGAACCCGGCAGGCAGAGGTTGCAGTGAGCCAAGACCATGCCACTGACTCCAGCCTGGGTAACAGAGCCAGGCTCTGTCAAAAAAAAAACAAAAAAGCTGGGTGCTGTGGCTCATGCCTGTAATCCCAGCCCTTTGGGAGGCCGAGGCGGGCAGATCACCTGAGGTCAGGAGTTTGAGACCAGCCTGGCCAACATGGTGAAACCCCGTCTCTACTAAAAAATACAAAAAAATTATCCAGGCATGTTGGCACGTGCCCATAATCCCAGCTACTTGGTGGCTGAGGCAGGAGAATTGCTTGAACCTGGGAGGTAGAGGAGACAGAGGTTGTGGTGAGCCGAGATCGCACCACTGCATTCCAGCCTGGGCAACAAGAGCAAAAACTCTGTCTCAAAAAAATAAAAATAAATTTTAAAAAGCTAGTGTGTCTATCTCCATATTTTTTCTGTGAATTTTAACTATTGTGATGGTAATATTAGTGATAGGACCAGGAATAGCTTCTACTAATACAACAAGTAAACAAAGTAAACACTTTTTTTTTTTTGAGACAGAGTCTCACTCTGTTGCCAGGCTGGAGTGCAGTGGCGCGTTCTGGGCTCACTGCAACCTCCGCCTCCTGGTTTCAAGCGATTCTCCCACCTCAGCCTCCCAAGTAGCTGAGATTACAGGCACCCGCCACATCTCCCGGCTAATTTTTGTTTTTGTATTTTAGTAGAGATGGGGTTTCACCATGTTGGTCAGGCTGGTCTCGAACGCATGACCTCAGGTGATTCCCCCACCTCAGCCTCCCAAAGTGCTGGAATTACAGGCATGAGCCACCGGGCCCAGCAAGTAAACACTTTCATATACAATACTGTCATTTGATCCTTCAACTATCTGGTTGTCAGGCAAGGCATATGTTATTATCCTTAGTTTACAGATAAGGAAACAGTTAAGTCACTTGCCAAAAATTACATGACTAGTGATTGATGTATACAGGATTTGAATCAGCCCTTCTGACATTTACACTACTGATATTTCTGCTCTATTAATACTGCTAGTTTTATTAGCTACTTATAGAAGCAATTTTTTTTTTTTTTTTTTGAGACAGAGTCTTGCTCTGTCACCCAGGCTGGAGTGCAGTGGATCCTCCTGCCTCAGCCTCCTGAATAGGTGGGACCACAGGTGCATGACACCACACCAGGCTAATTTTTTAATCTTTATTTTTGTAGAAACAGGGTCTTGCCATGTTGCCCAGGCTGGTCTAGAACTCCTGGGCTCAAGCAGTCCTCCTGTGTCACCCTCCTAATATAGAAGCAATTTTTAAAACATCCATTTGTACAGTATTTAGTAGATTTTATTAAATTGTAACTGAAGTTATTGTCTACTGTGTTTTCAAAGCCTCTCATTACAGAGATCCACATGATGAAATTTGTACTACCAGAAAGATCTTTATGTAGAAAGATGTCTGTTTTCTTTTAATCAGATGTTAAAAATTATGTTACATGCATCACTCTTTTAGCCTAGCTGCCAGAGAACCTATGTGCCAATTTAATACCCAATTTTTTTTTTTTTTTTTGAGACGGAGTCTCACTCTGTCACCAGGCTGGAGTGCAGTGGGGCGATCTTGGCTCACTGCAACCTCCGCCTCCTGGGTTCAAGCGATTCCCCTGCCTCAGCCTCCCGAGTAGCTGGGACTACAGGGATGTGCCACCATGCCCGGCTAATTTTTAATATCCAATTTTTAAAACTAGCTCATACAGCTCCTCAACTCACTCAAGAGCATGTCTACTATTGTTATCGTTGATAATGCTATTTTCACATTATATTTAACTTTCTTATATTAAATGTTATAAGTTGCTTCAAATATATTTGGAAGCGGTCAGGATATAAATTCTTAATAAACTAAATAATAGCCATTTGGAAATTTATGCAAAAGAAAAAAGCAGTGTTTAAATGGCTGAGCAATAGTATAACAGACTTACCCACTCAAGCTTATTAAAGCCAGAATTAACTGACAAGTCAGATAAGCATTCCCTAATTAAATGAAAGAGGAGAATGAATAATAACATGAAAGTGAAAAAGGATGTGTGAGCCTACAAAAGACTTAGGCCAACAAATCTACTCTTAGAGATTTTCTAATGTCACTATAAATTCTAGTACCTCTGTGTCCTACTCAATATCTCTCGTGTTTTTATCGTCTTCCATGCTTAGGTCTTGTTTTTATTTTAGGCCTGTCTTTGTTGATATTTCTTTCTTTTTTTTTTTTTTTTTTTTTTTTTTGAGACGGAGTCTAGCTCTGTCGCCAGTCTGGAGTGCAGTGGCACAATATCTTGGCTCACTGCAACCTCCGCCTCCCAGGTTCAGGCCATTCTCCTGCCTCAGCCTCCCGAGTAGCTGGGATTACAGGCATGCACCACCAGGCCCAGCTAATTTTTGTATTTTTAGTGGAGACGGGGTTTCACCATGTTGGCCAGGATGGTCTCTGTCTCCTGACCTCGTAATCTGCCCACCTTGGCCTCCCAAAGTGTTGGGATTACAGGCGTGAGCCACTGCCCCCGGTCTTTGTTGACATTTCTTTATTATTATTTTGTGTATGTCATGACTAGGGATTTAGATATTTGAAGGCCTTGTCTTTTATAATAGATATAACAAGTAAATTTAGGAACTTTATATTTTATAAATAGTTGATTATTTTTATAGACTCACTATGTTTAGATTGTTTTAGGTGTTTATTTCTTTTTGTAATTTAAGCACTTAGACTTAGTTACACTCCAGGGAAAAACAACATTCTTTTAATAGTCTTGGTTTCACATTTTCTTGATTCTCTTGTCTATCTTTGTTTGTTCCTAATTTGTACATAAATAGTGATTAAAGTTCAGAGTGGCTACTGCAAAAGATAATGTTTGAATTTCAAAACTTACCTTATTTCTTTTATGATATTAATATGTTCGAAGTATCAAGTAAAATTTTAGCATTTGAGACCATGTGGAATATAAGCTTCTATGTATAGGGGAGATCTTATAAAAACAGCTTGAAGGAAGGTGTTCAGCAGAATTTATTGGCTGGATTGAATATCTAGTCCACCATTCACCCCTATATTTGAATGGATTCCTTGCCTTCTTATCCTGGGTAGGTTCGTAGTTTATCTTGTCACATGCCAGCCGTTGTTGTCCACCCTGGACTTCGCCTCTTAAGTAATAGACAGCCCCTGACTTTCACCCATAAATTATCTGATGGTGACTGGTTTGCCTCCTTGGTTTTCTTTCACTGCCCAGTGCCAGCCTATCTAAGCAAGATCTCTATAAAGATAACATCCTTATTTATTAGGACTGGAAAGTAATTTAGAAACATTCCAGTTCGTTGGTCTTAATTTATGGATGAGAAAACTGAGACCCAGAAAGAGGAAGTGACTTACATCTGTATTGAATAACATTTTGTAACATATTGGAATCCAAACATGCAGATTATTTCTATAGCACTTTGTCTAGTTTTTTTAAGAAATTATATTTCTCTTTGAGTTATTCAAGTTATATTTGTGCATATTAGTTACAGGAGGCAGATTAGTCTTTCTTACTTTATTTCACACAGATGATTATAGGAATGTAGAGCATCCACAAGAAAAAAATCAATAGCACTTAATATAACAATTTAGATATATCATACTCTATTGAACTTTGAAGCTATTTGTTATACACTATCATCATCATATTTTTTTCTCTTAAACATATGTAGGTCATAAAATTGAATTGTAAAATTGCGAGTAATTTTTATAATTTAGCAAATATTCAACTAATATTTACGGAGTTCCAGGTATGTGACATTACATTTGTGTTTTCTTTACGCCATCACTACTTGATCTTGCTTTTGTGTACGAAACACTTCATCTGCTTTTATAATTTTCCTCTATTTTACCTTCTTTCTTCATTTCCCTTGGCTGTCTTCACTAGTCCCAAAACTTTAATCAACGCTTTAACATGCAGGACTATTAGCTTTATGTCTCCCTTTTTTGCTCACTCTTTGACACACCAGCCCTAATCTTCTAACCATTAACTCCATGTTTCTACCTAGATATAGATCCTTAACCCCCGAACTCAGTATATTTACTAATAAACTCATTCATCTTCCTCTGGAATCTATTTCTTTTAATGTTACCATCACTTTCCTTAGTTATACAGGTTTATCACTGGTGGTTTTCTTGATACCACTCTCTCTTGCCTCCCACATCCATTCAATAATTATCATTTTTACCATTTGTTTAGCATTTACCATGAGCTTTTGGAATTCAAATATTATCTTTTGCAGTAGCCACTTTGAACTTTTGTCACTATTCACGTATGAATTAGGAACAAACAAAGGTAGACAAGAGAATCATGAAAATGTGAAACCAATACTATTAAAACAATGTTGCTTTTCCCTGGAGTGTAATTAAGTCTAAGTGCTTAAATTACGACAATGAAATAAACACCTAAAACAATCTAAACATAGTGATTCTATAAAAATAATCAAATATGTGCCAGGCCTTTAACATTTCATCCTCAGAACTATCCTATGAGTTAGGAGTTACTATGGTCTCCATTTTACAGTTGGATCAACTGAGGCACAGAGAAATTAGGGACCTTCCTAAATTCAGAAGACTAGTAAACAGAAGAGTTAAGATTCAAATCTACACAATCTGACTCTATAGTTAAGGCTCTTAATCACTGCATTCAGTTGCTTGCTAAATTAATACATGCTGTATTTTCTTCTTTTTTTTTTTTTTGAGATGGAGTTTCACTTTTGTCGCCTATGCTGGAGTGCAATGGCCTAATCTCAGCTCACTGCAACCTCCGCCTCTCAGGTTCAAGCTATTCTCCTGCCTCAGCCTCCTGAGTAGCTGGGATTACAGGCGTGCACCACCATGCCCAGCTAATTTTTGTATTTTTAGTAGAGACAGGGCTTCACCACGTTGGCCAGGCTGGTCTCGAACTCCTAACTTCAGGTCATCTGCCCACTTCAACCTCCCAGAGTGCTGGGATTACAGGGTTGAGCCACCATACGCAGCCATATTTTCTTCTTTTACAATGTATTTGTTCCCATCTAGTCACTTTCTATTATTACCTTGGCACAAGCTCTCATTACTTCTTGCCAGAACTATTGCAGTAGTAGTCTAGCCAGTTCCCCCGTCTCTACCTCCCTCCAGTCCATTTCATATACTTTCCTGAGATAAATCTTTCCCAAGCATGGCTAGGTGTATTTAGCTGTCCTTAGCCTAGAGAAAAATGGAGTGGCTCCAAACTAATTAGGCCCTTGAATAATATAGGAATTTTCCCTACTACCCTTCATTTATCTTGTGATCTAAGCAAACTTAATTACTTCCTGAAACACCATTCTCTTTATGTATTAATTTATCTATGCCTGAAGTTGTCAGCTTTATGTTCTTATTTATGTATATTATTTTATAATTATCCATATTATACATTATCCTGTGTACATGTATCTCTGGGACATATAGCTATTGTATATGTGTATTGCTTGTTTTCCCTCTGAGATCTTTAAATTCTCTCACATGTAAGCATATGTTGTTGATGTATTCTGAAAATGTTTTTTATGTGTCATTGGCGTGATTGTGATTTTACACCATAATTTCCCAATGTTTATGTAAACATTATAGGAACTCTGTATTTGAATATGAAACTCTTTATGCCATTAGGGCATTTGCCCCATCTATACCTTTTCTGGTTCCTATTTTAACCAGGGACATGAATTTGTAGCCTGGCCAGCTATAGTTATAGGTATTGGCTACAGAACTTTTTTTTTTTTTTTTTTGAGACGGAGTTTTGCTCTTGTTGCCCAGGCTGGAGTGCAGTGGCATGATCGCGGCTCACCGCAACCTCTGCCTTTCGGGTTCAAGCGATTCTCCTGCCTCAGGCTCCCAAGTAGCTGGGATTACAGGCATGCGCCACCACGCCCGGCTAATTTTGTATTTTTAGTAGAGATAGGGTTTCTCCATGTTGGTCAGGCTGGTCTCGAACTCCCGACCTCAGGTGATCTGCCCACCTCAGCCTCCCAAAGTGCTGGGATTACAGGTGTGAGCCACCAGGCCTGGCCTTTTTTTTTTTTTTTTTTTTTTTTTTTTTTTTTTTAAACAAAACTAACTGGCTCTTACAAGAATCAGACTCATGACCTTGGCCTCATTAGCACTATGAGCTAACCAAGTCTGACATATAGAAATTACACAAGCGACAACTCATAAGAGAAACCAGAACTGTAAGATGGCCTTTTGGAAATAATTTTCTTAAAGAGCATATCCAAATGGAGACCTTCATTTAGCAGCTTATAACAAATTCTTGATCGCAGAGTTGCTTCATTTTAAGAGTGAAAAACAATATAACAATAGCAGTAGAAATTGAAAGCAGGGAAGTTTTCCTGACATATTGTTTTCTTTCTTGTATAATGTAGATTTATTTAGAACAGGGGCTCTAACCACCTGTCAGTAATATGTTTCTGTCAATTTTCCTGTAGATTTTTATTCATGGAAATAGCACTGGTGGCAAACATGAGCTAGTGAGTGAAAGTATCCTACACAATTCCCCAAACGCCTCTGCCAGTTTATTTTAGTGTTAATTTTTAGTGCACTTTTTTTTTTTTTTTTTTTCAGTGTGGTTGGAGCAAAACAGAGATTAAGAGAAAATTGCTATGGTTCTACTGGTTTGGATAAATGGGACAGGTGCCAACAATTACCACTGGTGTGACTTTTCCCCCCAATATAAGCATTACTATTATGACTATTTTGTTTCCTCCTTTTACAAAATGCCAGGTGGAATTTATAGAGTTCTTATTGTGAAAACTAAGACCTATTCCTGATTCTTTTCTGAATTTCATGACTTTGGGAATATCCTTTAGTTTATATACTACAGTTACCCCCTCCATAATATGGGGATACCATGGTGTTAAGATTGATGTAAGAATTAATGTGTTTACCAGTCAGTCTTCTAGCCAAACAAAAATAAGACACATTTGCACAGCTTTAGTTGTCAGAGAGGTCTGGAGCAATTGTTACATCCTATATATACTTCTGCTTGTGATTTTGAGGGCTTAGGGTATGTTGCTTCAATCATATTTATAACTAATGCTGTATTTTTTTACTATTTCTGATTGCTACCTTAACTAAATTAATTTTTTCCTCATACCCTGATACTAGGCATTTGGAATTTAGTAAGTAGCTGAAATTTGAATAAATAGCAAAAACGGTATAAGTTTTTCAGGTTTTTTTTTTTTTTTTTTGAGCTGGCTAGAACAGACACATGGATTGAACATGATATCTGACATTGTTGATAATATAATGAGTAATATCAAGGAACGGTGAAGGAAGTGTTGTAGTTTCTAATTTTTTCAATATGGAAGTGAATCTACTCTATGATAAGTGCAACACAGCTTATCTAATGCTACTTAAATTGAAAAAAAAATGAGAGTTCCATGATAAGATTTAAAAAGTCATGTTTGCAAAACTCATTTGAATAGTCAGAAGTATAGAAAGTCGTCATTAGGCAGCTCTTCATATATTTGTTACTAAATCATCTATGCAGTTACAGATTTTATATATGTGTTTTTTTCACATTTACCATTAAGGGACTCTTAGTCCTTTTTTTTTTTTTTTTTTTATTGAAACGGAGTCTCACTGTGTTACCCAGGCTGGGGTGTAGTGGCGCGATCTTGGCTCACTGCAAGCTCCGCCTCCCGGGTTCACGCCTTTCTCCTACCCCAGCCTCCCAAGTAGCTGGGACTACAGGTGTCCACCACCACGCCCAGCTAATTTTTTTTTGTATTTTTTAGTAGAGACGGGGTTTCACCGTGTCAGCCTGAATCGTCTCGATCTACTGACCTCGTGATCCGCCCGCCTCCGCCTCCCAAAGTGCTGGGATTACAGGCGTGAGCCACCGTGCCCAGCCTCTTAGTCCTTTTCTTACCTGTGTGAGTTTATCAGTGCTACACAAACCAGGAAGAATGTTAATTTGCTGGCTGCCTCCCTTGAGCTGTTTACCACGTTTTTGAGGCAGAATAGAAAAGGAAAGGAACTTAATTGAGTGTAATAAACTTTAAAAAATCTTTCCAGGCCAATTGAGCAGTCATTTCATTACTTTTAAGACAAGCAGGGAATGATCTATAAAGAGGGAAAATAAGAGGAACTAGCTGTGAGGACTAAATGAAACAAAGACATAAAGAGTACAGCATAGTATAAAGCACATGGTATCCTCTAAATAGTAATAATAATGGTTATTGGTAAGGCCTTGAACTAAATTATGCTTGAACTAAATATACCCAAAAACATAACAATTCAGATTTAAAAATGATGAATTGCCCAGTGACGTTTACCATCAACCCCTATGGATAAGATGTTTCATTTTAGAGAGTGCTTGGTAGAAAATGCTAGATGGAAAAGTCAGAGGATTCTTTGTTACAGACTACATAGCTTGAAATTTATCTTGTAATAATGCATTAATGGAAAAATAGGAAGACCTCAATCATAGATTCAACTTTTAGCACTGGGTGCAATGTCCCTCATTTTTGAGATACTGCGAGATTCAGATGATTTGCCCAAGGTCATACCATTTGTTAGTGACCAAAGAAGATCTTGAACCTCAGACATCTGATATAAAGTTATTCCAGTGTTCTTTTTATTTTAACAACCTGACATCAGGATGGATATTATAAAAATAGCGCCAAATGTCAGTCTAAAGCAAAATATTTTTGTATTTCAATAAAAAAATGAAAATTATACATTGGATGAAATGTATATGACTAAAGTAAACAGGCTTTTGAAATTTAAATCAAGGCTCTTTCATAGAATCTGCATAATAAATGCCATTTATAGTTAATTTATTCTATATGTCATATATTTAAAATGCATTCAAAATCAAATATCAAGACTAAATTGTACTCCAGTTGAAAATCCATGACAATTTTCTCTTTGTCTAAATCCTAGCTGATATTTGTTTATTGCACCCCTTTCTTTTAGAATAATAGAAGCTTGAGAACTATGCTTGGTAATATAACAAGAAAGCATGATTATAGATATAAATGATGTAACAAGAATTCTATTCCCAGTTGTGCGTTGTAAGACTGACAAACATTGGATTAATGTTGAATAGGTCATTTGCAATTCTATGCTGTTTGTAGAGAAATCATATTTTGCTATTCTTAGGAACTTACATATGAGTTTGTTTTGGAGGTTTTCTGAAACATGAAAGACATAAAAAAGACAGACTTTTCCTGTAGCAATTCATGGAATACGTTGTACATTGTTCTTCCTAAACTACGTAACTCTCTATGTGAATAAGACATCATATCCTACAAGCCTTACAAACTTTGACTGTCCCTGGACCTCTTGTGAGAATAAATTAAAGATGTCATGTCTCATATATTTTGTTATCAGTGAGGAAAAAGAAATAACATTTTCTTTTTCATATTTTGGTAGAGAGTGCATATGATTGATAGTGAAATACATGCCTATAGTAACTATTTGTAGTTATATATAGATGGAACAATTCAGTGACGCTTTCCAACTTTATCAGGACCTAAGACTTTTACCTTTCCAAGTCCAAAGTGACTAACTGTAACTCTACTAGTAATTTTTTTAAAAAGCTTATTTAAAAAAAAAAAAAAAAACAAGAAGAATGTCTCCGGCCGGGCGCGGTGGCTCACGCCTGTAATCCCAGCACTTTGGGAGGCCGAGGCGGGCGGATCACAAGGTCAGGAGATTGAGACCATCCTGGCTAACACGGTGAAACCCCGTCTCTACTAAAAATACAAAAAATTAGCCGGGCATGGTGGCGGGCGCCTGTAGTCCCAGCTACTTGGGAGGCTGAGGCAGGAGAATGGCGTGAACCCGGGAGGCGGAGGTTGCTGTGAGCCGAGATCACGCCACTGCACTCCAGCCTGGGCCACAGAGCAAGACTCCGTCTTAAAAAAAAAAAAAAAAAAAAAAAAAAAAAAAAAAGAAGAAGAAGAATGTCTCCATAGTTATTCATAACAATTGTGAAAATTTAAGTAATTGGCCGGGCGCAGTGGCTCACGCCTGTAATCCCAGCACTTTGGGAGGCCGAGGTGGGCGGATTACAAAGTCAGGAGATCGACATCGCGCCACTGCACTCCAGCGTAGGCCACAGAGCGAGACTCCGTCTCAAAAAAAAAAAAAAAAAAAAAGAAAATTTAAGTAATTGGATGAGTTGTTTTCGTATAAATTGGATGTATACGTTTGATGTCCTCATTGTGTTCAGCAAGCTAAGATGTATATGTACAGTTAAACATGAGTCATGCCCTCTATGATGAGTTTAAACATTTAAACCAAATATTTGTTACATATGATACATTAAGTACAAATGTTTTTTATCTATGGTACCTTAATTTATATAACATATCTTAGGTTATAAACTGTTTGTTTATAACAACAAATAAAGCGAAGTATTCAAAATGGCTTGTAGCAAGGTGCTGAGACATGTGAAGGAGTGCCAGATTGTTCTTGATAATTTACTTCCCACCTCTGACTCACTTTTACATGGTCAGCTTTCAGAGAATAAGCACAAAGATGTTAGCAAAATTAAGGGCACTTTAAAGTTTTTGTTGAGATGTTTTTAAGTCTTAAACAAAATTTCAAATCCAGAGATTTGTGGGACCAAAATGATGAATTAAAAGAGAAGGATTCAGTGTATTTTCTGAAAAATTATTCATTACCTATAGCTGATACGACCAGTGCCAGCCATGAATTACCTAGTCCCCATGCATTGACAGCTGATTTACATTCTTGCGCCAGCTCCTTATCTCATAGTAGATCAGGCGTTTGAGTAGCATAGCATTAGCTTATCTGTTTTTTTAAGATCAATAGAACTCAACAAAGGACGATAGAACTGTATACCCCAGTCAATAAGTTAGACACTTATTAAACCTTTTATAAAAGTATTGGATATGGCCGAGCACAGTGGCTCACGCCTGTAATCCCAGCACTTTGGGAGGCCGAGGCGGGCAGATCACAAGGTCAAGAGATCGAGAACATCCTGGTCAACATGGTGAAACCCCATCTCTACTAAAAATACAAAAATTAGCTAGGCATGGTGGTGCGTGCCTGTAGTCCCAGCTATTCAGGAGGTTGAAGCAGGAGAATCACTTGAACCCGGGAGGCAGAGGTTGCAGTGAGCTGAGATCGCACCACTGCACTCCAGCCTGACGATAGAGCAAGACTCCATCTCAAAAAAAAAAAAAAAAAAAAAAGTATTGGACACTCAGCCAGGCATGGTGGCTCACACCTGTAATCCCAGCACTTTGGGAGGCCGAGGTGGGCGGATCACCTGAGGGCAGGAGCTCAAGACCAACCTGGCCAATATGGTGAAACCCTGTCTCTACTTAAAAATACAAAAAATTAGCCGGGTGTGGTGGTGCATGCCTGTAATCCTAGCTACCCAGGAGGCTGAGGCAGGAGAATTGCTTGAACTTGGGAGGCAGAGGTTGCAGTGAGATGAGACTGTGCCATTGCACTCCAGCCTGGGCAGCAAGAGCAAAACTCTATCTCCAAAAAATAAAAATTAAAAAATAAAATAAAATAAAATAGTATTGGACACTCATCCTCTGAGGAGGCAGTGTAACTGGGTGAGAAAAAACTCTCTTATATATCCTTTAGGTACAGCTCTGATTTCTGATGATAAGCTTGCTATAAAACAATCTATTAAAAATGATTCTGGCTGGGCATGGTGGCTCATGTCCCAAAGTCATCCCAGCACTTTGGGAGACTGAGGCAGGCAGATCATCTGAGGTCAGGAGTTCAAGACCAGCCTGGCCAACATGGTGAAACCCGTCTCTACCAAAAATACAAAAATTAGCCGGGCGCGGTGTCGTGCGCCTATAGTCACAGCTACTTGGGTGGCTGAGGCATGAGAATCGCTTGAACCCAGGAGGCGGAGGTTGCAGTGAGCCGAGATCGCGCCACTGCACTCCAGCCTAGGGGATAGAGTGAGACTCTGTCTCCAAAACAAAAGATATCTCCTATACCTTGCATAAGCAAATGATGTGAGGAAAACTTGCTTAATTAAGATCCCAATTTTGTTTTGGTGCTTTTGACACTCTTCATGCTTGACTAAACTTTTTCATTATGGATTTGCATTTCTTTTACTTTTTCTTTTCTTTTACTTTTCATTTCTTTTACTTATATGAATAAAAGGTCTATTCCCTTATTGGTTTGAATTTGGGTTACTTGGTGTCTTTGGTCAGTAAAGAGAAATAATTTGTTTTAGCATCCAATGGATTATGGTCTGCTTCCCAATTGTTTTTGTTTTTCAATTCCATCCTGATACTGGAACAACAGATCATCTTGTTTTTGCTACAAACAGGTGACACCCAACTATAGTTTGTGTATATTGTAAGACATACAGAGAGTGTTACAAATTCCCAGTGTTTTCCTCTGTTTCTTAGTCCTGTACTATTCAGGAATTGTTTCACACGAGCCTTGATAAACTAGCTTTCTCAAGAAAGAAGGTTATGATATGTTGTTGTTTTGAGATGTTGAAATTATGTTAAATTATGCATAGGAGGTATTATTTATTTATTGAGTTTAGTGCTCCCAAACTGTATTCTACAGAATATTGTTCTACAGGATGTTACAATAATGTTAAAAAAGGGAAAGAAAAAGTATGGAGGTAGTCAAGGGGATCATCTGTGGCAAATAAGTTGTGAATGTGCTGGGTTAAACAAAGACAAACAGATCTATTTTCTGCAGAACTTCTCATGACTTTTAATATGCTATTTTTATTGTAAATCTATAAGGGGCTATACTATAAAACATTTCTCTAACTTATTTAGCCATGGGGTGTGTGTGTGTGTGTAATACTTTTTAACATCTCAAGTATGGCACACAGTTTGGGAAAAGGTGGTCTAGCTATTTGTTCTTGTATGCAAAAGGCATGGGTAAAATGGACACAGGACAAAATTGTTAAAATGTTGTTTGTAACATGCCTACAGACCTTGTTGGCAAAGCTTCCTGATTATAGGAAATCCCCATTGAAATATTCAGGGGGAGAAAAAAATCAAATAGGATTATTTTTTAAATGCATTGGCTATAACACCCTGTATGTTGAATGTGGGAAATAGACTAATTTTAGCTAATATATAAATAAACAGTATGGATTATATCAAACCCAGGACTTCAGAACATTATGAAGCTGTGCATAAGTGCAAGCCTGAGTATTGTTAATTAGTAAGGATGTGGTTTTCAGATCATGTCATCCAGTTATAACAACATACCATAAACACTGTCCAAGCATTGTCAGTTTGTAAACGTATCATTTGCTGTGAGTTACTTAAAACATTCAAAAGGTGTTTAACAACAGTAATAGTTGATCTGAGAAGAAATCACAGTGGTCGATCTTGAATAATTATAACAGCAGTATTAAAACCATGGGACTGCAGTGAAGCTGTGATCATGAAAGAACCTCATGTTACAACATAAAACTCTCTGTGAACCATTACTGAGAACAGAACAACACTGAAAAAGGCCCGGATAGATATATTGCTAGAAACAGTTGCCCTAGTTATTTAGTTTCAAAATGAAGTAGCAGAGAATCCCATATGGGAAAAGTACTTGTACATATCTCTGTGATGGTGTTCATCTCACGATGTTTGATTCCATTTTGATGGGTTTGTTGATAGCATGATTCCTGCTGTCACTATGATTTGTGTTTATTATAGCTGTTTCCTTTTTAATAAAGGATGCTGTTGCATATAAACACTGACATGAAGCTATCTTTTCAGAAATTGCATTCTGTATGCTGATATAGTCATTGCAATGTTGTAAAGTGAGTATTTTGCTACCAACAGAGTTGGATTATATATTTTAATATATCGATTAGTGTATTTTGTTGTTTCAATATAAGAAAGGACCTATAGTTATATTTATTTTGCATTTGTTCTTAGGTAGTATACACACTTTCAAGGAGAGATAGCACAGTAGGCAATACAATGTGGCTGAAGCACACCTTGATAGAAGAACAAATAAAGGACTGGGCAGAGGTGAAAATGATTATGTAGGAAGTAGGAGAAAGTCAGATTCACCATAGTCGAAGAGTCATGGCAGGAGACCATTGAAAGTCAAGAGGCACCATCTGTCCTAAGCTGAGCTGAGGCAGTGTCTAACTGCCATAGCCAAGAGTAGGAGCTAAGAAATCTCAGACCGAGAAAATAGCCAAAGATTGAGGGGCTAGGTTGGGCGCGGTGGCTCATGCCTGTAATCCCATCACTCTGGGAGGCCGAGGCAGGTGGATCACCTGAGGTCAGGAATTAAAGACCAGCCTGGTCAACATGGTGAAACTCTGTCTCCACTAAATACACAAAAATTAGCTGGGCGTGGTGGCGGGCGCCTGTAATCCCAGCTACTTAGGAAGCTGAGATAGGAGAATCACTTGAACCCAGGAGGCAGAGATTGCAGTGAGAAAAGATTGCACCATTGCACTCCAGCCTGGGCAAGAAGAGAGAAACTCCGTCTCAAAAAACAAACAAACAAACAAAAAACAACAATAACAACAAAATTGGCTAGGCGCGGTGGCTCATGCCTGTAATCCCAGCACTTTGGGAGGCCGAGGCAGGCAGATTACCTGAGGTCAGGAGTTCGAGACCAACCTGGACAACATGGTGAAACCTCATCTCTACTTAAAAAAAGACAAAAATTAGCTGGACGTGGTGGTGCGTGCCTGTAATCCCAGCTACTTGGGAGGCTGAGGCAGGGAGAATCACTTGAACCTGTGAAGTGGAGGTTGCAGTGAGCCAGGATCATGCCATTGCACTCCAGCCTGGGCGACAGAGCGAGACTCCTTCTCCAAAAAAAAAAAAAAAAAGAAAGAAAGAAAGAATGGGAAATGGGAGGCAAGAAGGTAGGGAACTGTCACTAGGGCAGTTCAGCTGGTTGTGCTGAATAGTGTTTTTCTCACCTAGAGCTGCTTTTAACAACCTCATACCTAATGGCATTTTAAATTTTATGTCTGGCCCCAGAAAAAGGTTTGCCTGTAAAATAAATTGAACATGATTGAATAGAAAGTATAAAGAAAAAAAAAAAACCTTCCGTACATCTGGTTTAATTAATTTACAGTCCTCTAGCAAAGTGTCATTAAAGGCATTTCTGATCAGATCCAGATTGGCAGCAAATCCAAACCCATCATTTCCTCTCTCCTTTTTTGCCTCCCCGCATCTCTCCTTCTTAGGTTAGAAAAGGATCTGTTTGAATTAGCCAAGGATATACTACGTTGTAGATGGTGAGGGCAGAAGTACATTAAGCAGAATTCAGCATAACTCTCTTTGGCCCCCAGAGTAGCTTCAGGGGGCAGGGCCATTGGTGGTGGTGAGGTTGTGGGGAGGGTTTGTGGTATGTAGGGATAACCTTCCTGGCCCCTTTCTGTAAGCTGTCACCAGATCTGGAATGTTCAAATCTTGCTGTATCACTGCTCTTTTTCATACAGACCTATCATTACCATTCAGGAAGAATTTCTGCAATCTATATACGTTCTCATTTAATGGGATATTTACAAATTCTGAGCCTTCCTTATCTCTGAACCAAATTCAGCATTACCAATACTGCCAGGTATCCTGGAACAACATCTCGTTTTCCATTTCCTTGCAATCCGTTTATCATTTTCCTTCTTCTCCACATGCCAATACACTCTCTAATTTCTTTGTATCTGGGTGGTTATGATACTGCCCTGTTTTTGGAGGGCCACAGTAACAAATTCATTTCCTCGTGAGTATTTGTTCTTACTTATCCAAATTAGCCTTATGGAAGCACTTGTAACAGATAAACATTTGCTTTGGAACTTTGTGCTCTTACCTTAAAGGAACTAGCTTTAAGCTTTGAATCTGAAGTAGGAATAGAGATAAGAAAAAAAGACTTTCCACACTAAAGAGACAGTTAACAAAGGCTGAGAAGTGGGAAACTCTGAAAGGTAAGGGGCACCGAATTGTTACATTTAATTGGATTATTGGATAGATAATGAATTGTGAATGGGGCAGTTTAAGATAAGACAGAAATGTCTATTGAGACCAGACCCCTCTGGGTCTTGAGTACCTAAGGAAGAAGCTCTTATTATATGTATAAATAAGGTTTTTGAGTAGAACCCCACTGAAAGGCTGCTTGCTGACTTGAATAAAAAGCCACTGTTGAATCACCAGGATGATCTTGCCAGTTACAAAACCCTTGCCTTGTGAAACTAAAAGTTTATTCCTATAAAGTAGAAATAGTCATAGCTGACTCTGTATGGGAAAAAATGAAATGAGCATTTATGCAAAAGCTTGAAGCATGCACCTGCCTTTCAGGTTTAATCCTTGTGTCTCATTTGGCAAACCAGTTGTACCCTTTGTCTGAAACACTCCTGCACTTCATCTGAATGGAAACCCTTTCATTTCTGTTATGAGATTGAATAACCAGGTGATTGGAGGAAGACTACAGTTAAGTGTGATTTATAGACAATAGATTTTGCCAGAGGAGATTTTGAAGCTATGTAAAAATTCTTTTTATTTTTTCATGATATTTACTAAGGTTTTATCGATTTCAGATTCAGTCTCAATATAAAATAGTAATAACATTAGTGGTACAAATTTCATTAGCACATACTTAGATGTAAGAAATCATAGGCTGGGTGCGGTGGCTCACTCCTATAATCCCAGCACTTTGGGAGGTTGAGGCGGGTGGATCACCTGAGGTCAGGGGTTCAAGACCAGCCTGACCAACATGGAGAAACCCCATCTCTACTAAAAATACAAAATTAGCCGGGCGTGGTGGCGCATGCCTGTAATCTCAGCTACTCGGGAGGCTGAGGCAGGAGAATCACTTGAACCTGGGAGGCAGAGGTTGCAGTGAGACAAGATTGCGCCATTGCACTCCAGCCTGGGCAACAAGAACAAGACTCTGTCTCAAAAAAAAAAAAAAAAAAGAAAAAGAAAAAGATATCATTACTATAGATTAGATTGGCATGACTCAACCTTCTTTAGAGGTTAGTTGTTTCTACTGAGTATGTTTGCCATTTGGAGATCTGGCATTTGGGGAGTATTTGTGCTTCAGGTGGTTTGAAAGGCAGATCTTATAAGTTTATAACATTGTCATCTATTTTCAATAGGTTTTTGATATTGAAAGGAATCATTTCCAAACAGTATCACTACTGTCTAAACACTGAGTAGTTACACATACATATTAGCAATGACTAAAAAAATACTGTTTGCAGCAAGGTTGGAAAGAAATAGAATGATCTAGGCATAAACCACATATCTTCCTAATTAAATGAAACAGTATTTCATTGCTGCTTAACCTACTCTTGTCTTACAGATTGACCTTGACTCAATTCCAGGTCAGAAGTCTTCCCACACTGTGCTTATTAAGGTCTCTGGCATTTGAAATGGCAGAGCTGCTCTAATCTTCAAATCCCATCGCTTTACTTTGCTTGCTATACTCCCTTTTCCCTCACTTCTGTACAGCCTACAAGTCTTATGTGTTAAAAAGCCTCTGCTAAGGCCAGGCGCGGTGGCTCACGTCTGTAATCCCAGCATTTTTAGGAGGCTGAGGCTGGCAGATCACCTGAGGTCAGGAGTTCCAGACCAGCCTGACCAACATGGTGAAACCCCATCTTTTTTTTTTTTTTTTTTTTTTTTGAGACGGAGTCTCGCACTGTCGTCCAGGCTGGAGTGCACTGGCATGATCTCGGCTCACTGCAAGCTCGGCCTCCCGGGTTCACACCATTCTCCTGCCTCAGCCTCCCAAGTAGCTGTGACTACAGGCACCTGCCACCACGCCCGGCAAATTTTTTTGTATTTTTAGTAGAGACGGGGTTTCACCATGTTAGCCAGGATGGATGAAACCCCATCTTTACTAAAAATTCAAAATTAGCTGGGCGTGGTGGTGCATGCCTGTAACCCCAGCTACTTGGGAGGCTGAGGCAGGAGATGGCTCGAACCTGGGAGGCAGAGGTTGTAGTGAGCTGAGATCGTGCCATTGCACTCCAGCCTGGGGAACAAGAGTGAAACTCCGTCTCAAAAAAACAAAACAAAACAAAAAGCCTCTGCTAGCAGATTTTTGATCAACATTTTCTTTTATCAGTGGCTTGCTCAATTTTATTTATTTATTTTTTTTTTGAGACGGAGTCTCGCTGTGTCATCCAGGCTGAAGTGCAGTGGCGTGATCTTGGCTTACTGCAACATCTGCCTCCTGGGTTCAAGCGACTCCTGCCTCAGCCTCCCGAGTAGCTGGGATTACAGGCATGAACCACCACACCTGGCTATTTTTTATATTTTTAGTAGAGACGGGGTTTCACCATACTGGCCAGGCTGGTCTCTCGAACTCCTGGCCTCAGGTGATCCGCCCACCTCAGCCTCCCAAAGTGCTGGAATTACAGGCATGAGCCACCGCGCCCGGCCAATTTTACATTTTTTATACCCAATTTTCATTGATGCATTCTCAAGACTTAAATAATAATGAAGTGCCTGCCCATATGTAATATTTCCTGATACTCCATGGGCTTTAGCGGTAAGGTAACTTTGTCATATAAGAACCTAAAATAACTGTAGTTACACTTTTAAAATAGCTTGTTTTGCTAGTGTTGCTATAGAAAATGCTTTATAAATAACATTTCAAGAACTGTGTTTCTCTGAATCTCCTTATCGTTGCCAGAATGTTTCCCAGTAACTTATCTGTATCTACAAAGAAAGTGCTATGTTTAGATACTGGTCAGTTCTAAGTCATTTTCATTGATGACAACATTAAATATAAGTTATACAAAATAGTAGATATTCCAACTAAAATTTTATCTCTTCTTTGTGAAGGATCTGTTTCAGTCCTTAAGAAATAGAGTCATTTGAATGGGAAAACCTAGAAACAGTTTTAAGGCCCAGGGTATGGTGAAGTCACCAACCTGTTTCTTCTCTGCCAGTTCTAATCTTGACATAACAAGAAAGTTACTGGACAATCAATCATGACCTTTAGGGGTGTGGGGGAAGGAAAAGAAAAGACAAGTTTAGGCAGCTCCTCTATTTCTAAAGAATGTCATAGAGAAATTTAAAGAAATCCTTGCTATACTTTACCTGGCCCCCTCCTGGATTAACTCATGAGGCAAATGAGATTTCCTCACTCTGAATTTGCAAAGCGACAAAATTTCCACCAAAGAATCAGCATGAATGGGATTTGAAGAATGGAATAAAAAGTGAATTAAATTACTGATCACCCTAATTTTCAATACTCATTCATTCATTCAGCAAAAATTTATTAAGTGCCTCCTAATCTGCTAGATAGTGTTGTAGGTTCTGGAAATACCATAGTACACAGATAAACATTTCTGCCTTCCTGGAGCTTATGTAATAGTAAGGAAAAACAGATGAAATAAAGACATTGCAAAGTATGTTCAAAGGCGATAAATGCCATAGGGTATAAAAGTGAAGAGGGAGTTTGGTGGTATGTTCGTATTTTAGATAGCACAGAGGGAAAGCCTTATTGACTTGGTGAGTTCTGAATAAGGATCTAAAGAAAGTTAAGTCATGCAGATATGTGGGGAAAGAGCATTCCAAGCATTCCAAATGCAAAGACCCTGAGGCAAAAAGCTGGTGTGTTCCAGGAAAAGTAAAAGTAGTGAGTCCAGTTGCCTGAAGCTCATGAATGAGAGGGAGAGTCGTAGAAGATAAGGTAAGAAAAATTGTGAGGGGTGGAGGGAGTTGTACACCCAAATGATATAGAAACTTATGGATCTGCCGGGTGTGGTGGGGTGGCTCGCGACTGTAATCTCAGCGCTTTGGGACGCTGATGCGGGCAGATCACTTGAGGTCAGGAGTTTGAGACCAGCCTGGCCAACATGGTGAAACCCCATCTCTACCAAAAAATATAAAAATTAGCCGGGCATGGTGGCAGGCGCCTGTAATCGCGCTACTTGGGAGGCTGGGGCAAGAGAATTGCTTGAACCTGGGAGGCGGAGGTTGCAGTGAGCCGAGATTGCGCCATTGCACTCCAGCCTGGGCGACAGAGCGAGACTCCATCTCAAAAAATAAAAAAAAGAAAAAATTAGAAAAAGAAACTTGTGGGTCATAATAAGGACCTGAGCTATTATTTAAAGATGAGAAGCCATTGAAAGGTTTTGAGTGGAGGAGAGACATGCACTCAGTTAGGTACAAACAGAATCACCCTGAATAATGTGTTAAGAACAGACTGATAAGCAAGGCAGATGGGAAGCAGGGAGACCCATAGGAAGTAATTGCAATAATCTAGGAGACTATTGCAGTAATCTAGGCTAGTATTAGTAGAGGTGATGAAAAGTAGCCGAATACCTAGATATGATGTAAATGCCCAGTGGGTTCACCTTGCCAGCTACCTAGACAGAGCTGATTTATCAAGATAGGACAGTTGCAATAAAGAAAGAGTAATTCACTCAGAGCCAGCTGTGCAGTACACCAGAGTTTTATTACTCAAATCAGTCTCCCTGAGCATTCGGGGATCAGAGTTTTTAAGGACAACTTGGTGGGGGGAAGCCTGTGAGCCGGGAGTGCTGATTGGTTAGGTCAGAGATGAAATCATAGGGAGTCAAAGCTGTCTTCTTGTGCTGAGTTAGTTCCTGGGTGCGGGGACACAAGATCAGATGAGCCAGTTTATCTATCAGGGTGATGCCAGCTGATCCATCAAGTGCAGGGTCTGCACAATTTCTCAAGCACTGATCTTAGGAGCAGTTTAGGGAGTTTCAGAATCTTGTAGCCTCCAGCTGCATGACTCCTAAACCATAATCCCTGGCTAATTTGTTAGTCCTACAAAGGCAGTCTAGTCTCCAGGAAAGAAGGGAATTTGCCTTGGGAAATGCCGTTATCATCTTTTTTTTTTGGGTGGGGGAGGACAGAGTCTCGCCTGTGGCCTAGGCTGGAGTGCAGTGGAACAATCTCGGCTCACTGCAAGCTCTGTCTCCTGGGTTCATACCATTCTCCTGCCTCAGCCTCCCCAGTAGCTGGGACTACAGGCGCCCGCCACCAAGCCCGGCTAGTTTTTTGTGTTTTTTAGTAGAGGCGGGGTTTCACCATGTTAGCCAGGATGGTCTCGATCTCCTAACCTCATGATCCGCCCACCTCAGCCTCCCAAGGTGCTGGGATTACAGGCGTGAGCCACCATGCCGGCCTATCATCTTTGTTTTAAACTATAAACTAAGTTCCTCCTAAAGTTAGTTCAGCCTACGCCCAGGAATGAACAAGGACAGCTTGGAGGTTAAAAGCAAGATGAAGTTGGTTAGGTCAGATGTCTTTCACTGTCTCAGTTACAATTTTGCAATGCTAGTTTCAATGTCAGTTTGTACCATATGAAATTGCCAATATTTGATCACTTTTGATCAATAGAATCCTTTTTTTTTTTTTTTTTTTTTTTTTTTGAGATGGAGCTCTGTTGCTCAGGCTGGAGTGCAGTGTCATGTTCTCAGCTCATTGCAACCTCCTCCTCCCCAGTTCAAGAGATTCTCCTGCCTCAGCCTCCCGAGTAGCTGGGATTACAGGTGCCTGCCACCACGCCCGGCTAATTTTTATATTTTTAGTAGAGACGGGGTTTTGCCATGCTGGCCAGGCTGGTCTTGAACTCCTGATCTCAGGTGATCTGCCGCCTCAGCCCTCCAAAGTGCTGGGATTACGGGCATCGGCCAGTGCACCCGGCAAGAATCCATAATTTCTAGTGGTTCTTTCTAACTTTTTGAAAGTAGAATGGATAGAAGTTTACTAAAATTATACACTAGATGTGTGGGATATGAGAGGAGTGAAGGAAAATTCCCAAGGCTTTTGAGCTAAGCACATGGTAAGAATAGAGTTGTCATTAACTGAGACAATGGAGAGCCCATGGCTATTAATTGGACACTTCTGAGCTAGTCAGCTTTAGTTTACCGAAGTCTAAATTCAGGCAGCTTTTGGCTGGGCGCGGTGGCTCACACCTGTAATCCCAGCACTTCGGGAGGCTGAGGTGGGCGGATCACGAGGTCAGGAGATCGAGACCATCCTGTCTAACATGGTGAAATCCTGTCTCTACTAAAAATATAAGAAAAAAAAATTTAGCCGGGCGTGGTGGCGGGTGCCTGTAGTCCCAGCTACTGGGGAGGTTGAGGTAGGAGAATGGCGTGAACCCGGGAGGCAGAGTTTGCAGTGATCCGAGATCGCGCCACTGCACTCCAGCCTGGGAGACAGAGTGAGACTCCGTCTCAAAATAAAATAAAATAATAAATTCAGGCAGCTTTTTTGTTGCTGTATACTAGTGGTCACAAGTGAACACTGGATAATATGCACAATTCATTGTAGATCCATCCACATTGCTGGCAAAAATAATCAAGCTTTCCTGTTACACTGATTGATACTGGGTCTGTGTGGTCATCTTCTTATAAGAAATATGGTCATCTTCATAGAAAAATAACTTTATATCTTTTATATAACATGGTTTGAAAAATGTGATTTCAACTTTGTCATCGTGCTGCTTCTTTCAACTTTTATTGTCTAAGCTCATTTTCTTCATTTTATTATATTCTTTCATGACTTCCTCTCACTCTAAATCAGTTAAGATTCAGCTAGAATATATGTTGGTACATACAATTTGGAAAGATTGTCTTTATGTTCTGTGATCAAATGTGAAAAATAGAACCATGGAGTCAAAACAGAGTAAGGCTTTACTGTTTTTTTTTGAGACAGAGTCTCCCTCTCTCGCCCCGGCTGGAGTGCAGTGGTGTGATCTCGGCTCACTGCAACATCCACCTCCCGGGTTCAAGCGATTTTTCTGTCTCAGCTTCCCAAGTAGCTGGGATTACAGGAGTCCACCACCATGCCCGGCTAATTTTTTGTATTTTTAGTAGAGACAGGTTTTCACCATGTTGGCTAGGCTGGTATCGAACTCCTGACCTCAAGTGATCCACCCGCCTCGGCTTCCCAAAGTGCTAGGATTACAGGCATGAGCCACCGTGCCCGGCCTGGCTTTACTGTTTTGTAAAACTGCTTTCAGGAAGTAATTAAGGTAGATACACACAAGCCCAAGTTGAACAACATTATATCTCACTTACTTTGAATGGCCTAGTCAGGAATATTGTATATATCCATAAACGTGAAAGTAAAACATTTGACGATGTATTTTCTTTAGGTGTATTAAGATATAAGGCCAGGCTGGGCATGGTGGCTCATACCTGTAATCCCAACACTTTGAGTGGCTGAGGTGGGAAGATCACTTGAGCCCAGGATTTCAAGACGAGCCTGGGACACATAGTGAAACCCTGTCTCTACAAAAAAAAAAAAAAAAATTATCTAGGTGTGGTGGCGCACACCTGTAGTCCCAGCTACTCGGTAGGCTAAGACAGGGAGGATCACTTTAGCCCTGAAGGTTGAGGCTGCAGTGTGCTATGATCATGCCACTGCACTGCAGTCTGGAAGACAGAGTGAGATTCTGTCTCAAAAAATAATAATAATAATGGTATGAGGCCAGTTCATCACAGTAAAAAATAATATTGTGGAAAATCTATAGTGTTGAGTTAGATTCAACTTAGAAATTAGCAAACACTGATAACTACTTGTCAAAAATGCTGATAATGTACTTTCAATAGAGGTCACAGTATTTGTCTAGAATGAGTTAAAGATAAGAGTCTATACCTTTGCTGTGACTTTATCTTTTTGCCTGACTAGTGTCTCTTTGATATATATCTTTCTATACTGTAGGGGCTGATTTCTTCTGCGTTTGAATTTATGAGGCAAATAGAATTGGACTGAAAAGGTGTTAGAGAATTTAGAGAAATACTTAAATGAATCACTCAGTTTGTTTAAATTTAGAAACAATAAAAGCTGTTTGTTCAGGCTACTATTTTCAAGATACCATGTTGTGTATGAGCATAAATAGTGCCCCAGGTTGCTGGAAGGCAGGCTTGGTTTTGTTTTTGAGAAATGTTTTAGTTGAACAATTTTTAAAAGAAGAATTGATCCACATGTTTAACATTTCACTCCCCCAGACCAGCCTGGGCAACATGGTAAAACAGGAAAGGAAGATGAGAAATAATATTCTCCTATTATTATGGAAACATACCTTTAATATATGGCCATTGACTGAATGCTTAGTTTTACTTATCATTCTCCTTTTTTGTTAGACTCTTAGCCTTCTTCTCCCTGCCCTTAAAGACCCTATAAGAGAGAAAAACAGGTATACAAGTCAGTTGCCATGGTGCACAACTGTAGTTTCAGCTATTCAGGAAGCTGAGGCATGATGATTGCTTGAGACCAGGAGATCTGGGCTGCAGTAACGATCATGGTGCCTGTAAGTAGCCACTGCACCCTAGCCTTGGCAAGTGAGACCCTGGCTCTTGAAACAACAAAACAAAACAAGTACACAAATAAAGCAAGTAATATAAGGCATGATATGGCGTAACAGAGATGCTTTTGTGTTTTAAGCATTTTTACTGGAGATTAATGAGTGGATGTGAATTTTAAGGTGTGCTCCAAGGTACCCAAGGGGTTTCCATCAAGATGCATCAGAGGTTGCTGATGGGATTGGAAACTTATCCCCTTTACCCCCACTCCTCTACACACATGCTCACACAGAGCAGCTCCACTTTTATCTGTTTTATAAATTGGGTTTTTGTGTAGCACTGTGAAAAGAAAGTGTTCTTTTTGTTTGTTTGTTTTGGGTTGGGATGGGTTTGAAAGTGTTCTTTTAACCATTTTTTTTTTTTTTAAACCACAGCTGTAATAGAAAGAACACGAGCTTTGGAGTAAGAAACATCTGAGTTGAAATTTTAGTTTTGCTCTTAGATGATGCTTACCTCATCCATCACCATAAGCTCTTCCTTGTTTCTCAATTTTGATCTTCATTTTGAGTATCAAATGAGAGATGTGTAGAGTGCCTATTGCATTGACTGATCAAGGATTCCTGTTAGATTGGAAAACTGTGAGTTCTATTAAACTATTTTTTATATCATAGATATTATTTTAAAACCTTGAGAAAAGCAGGTTCACATATTTATTAAGCCGATGATTACATTTTTTAACTTAGCCCAAGTTTCTTTATGTAATTTGGCCTAAATATATCTGAGATCCTTTAAGCCATCTATCGATATTTGTACTTGATCATCGCATCATAGTGATCTCACGATGTTGAGATGTTCAACTCCTGAGCCCTTGGGGTAGCCAGTGCCCTCTAGCGGGTTGGTTTGCCTTAGCAACCTTGAGCAGCCTTGTCCGTTTACCCTAGTGTGCCATGTAAATAATATCATTTCCTAAATATGCCGTGAAGACATTGATTTAAAGAAGCATAGATGATCCTTCCTGTTCTGTTTTTCTCCTCCTCTGTTCTTTCTCTTCTCACTTTCTTGTCTTCAAATCCCCTGGTTTAAGGCCAAAGAAATCAGTAGACTAGCCGAGCGCAGTGGCTCAGGCCTGTAATCCCAACACTTTGGGAGGCCGAGGCAGGCGGATCACGAGGTCAGGAGTCCGAGACTAGCCTGACCAATATGGTGAAACCCCGTCTCTACTAAAAATACAAAAAAAAAAAAAAAAAAAAACTAGCCGGGCCTGGTGGCGCGCACCAGTAGTCCCAGCTACTCGGGAGGCTGAGGCAGTAGAATTGCTTGAACCCAGGAGGCAGAGGTTGCAGTGAGCCGAGATTGTGCCACTGCACTCCATCCCGGGCCATAGAGGGAGACTCCGTCTCAAGAAAAAAGAAATCAGTAGACTAGAGGGTAGGCAGCATAAGCAATTTGATGATGGGAGACAGTCCATTTCTTTTTCCTGTACCTCAAGCCCTATTTAGATAGACTTTATTTACATATTAAGGAAAAAAAACATGTTTTGACAAGTTGACTAGTTTCCTCCTGGGTTTCCATTTTCCTTGAGCAAAATCTGCAACAGTCTCATGTAGATGGGGTAAATGGGTTTATGTGTGGGGGTCCATGCCACATGAAGAAGTTAGATGTGCACTAGCTTCCATAATAGGAACAGCAAGAATTGAAACAGAAAGGAAATAGAAACCAGTGCAGGGTGTCTAGGCAAGATGAGAAAGCAAATTGCTTGGAATATGAATTGCATGATGACTATTGTAATGCTTCTATTATTTTCTGAAAAGTAAGAATGTCTTTATGTTGAGCTTGAACCAGAAGGATTACTGAGTCCATTCTGTGTTCAATCTGTAAAGAAATAAACTAAAACAGGTGAACATTGAAAATGTTACAATGTCATAATTTGTTTTTTTTAGCCCAATCACCACTTTTCTGATTGCAAAGTAAGTCCTTCAGTCAAATCCATTGTTTGTCTGTGGTTCTTATGATTAACTTCCTTAAACTCAAATAACGTTTGAAACTCAACATTTTAAGGATGTTTTTAAATAAGCATTATTCTAACGGTGCAAGGACATTTTTTAATGCCTTGCCTTCTCTTGCCTAGGAAATAGAAGGCAGAATTAAGACTTGAAACATCATTTTCCTTTCTTTTAAGTGATGATTCAGTATTTTAGTTGATTGTAAACAGACATTCCTCTTTTGCTTATGATTACCTGATGATAATTCAAGTTAAATCATTGAGATAATAAATCTCATACATTGATTTGATGAGAGAAATCAGTGTTAACGCCAAACCATGTTGAAATTGGTCTTAGAGATATAAGCCATTTTGCAGGAGTGTGTTTTTGACTAATCATGCCAGAGAGAAATTAATCGAATTGTGGAATATTACACTTTGCATTCATGAAAGAATGTGATAATGCCACTACTCTTCAAATGCATGAATGTGACTGAAGGGAACAGTAATTATCTGCATTCCTTTCTACTTTAGGAGCCAGTGTATCCTGACCTTGTCCGTGATTGTAATCACCGTAACTTGATTAGAGATTTTTTAAATTATTTTTCAATTGACACATTTTAATTTATTTATGGGGTACAATCTGATGTTTTGATACATAGCTATATTATGATACAACCAGTTTAGCTAGTGTATCCATCACCTGTGCATTTATCATTTCTTTGCAGTGAGAAATTATATAAGATACAATATTTTACTGTTAAACATAGTTACCCTACTGTGCAATAGAACACCAAAATTTATTCTTACTATCTAATTGTAACTTTGTACCTATTGACCAGCCTCTCTCCATCCTTCCCTTCCTCTTCCCCTCTCCAGTCTCAACCACTGGTCTATCCTTTTTTGTTTGTTTGTTTTTTGAGATGGAGTCTTGCTCTGTCGCACAGGCTAGAGTGCAATGGCGCCATCTCGGCTCACTGCAACTTCCGCCTCCCAGGTTCAAGCGATTCTCCTGCCTCAGCCTCCCGAGTAGCTGGGATTACAGGCACCTGCCACCACACCCGGCTAATTTTTGTATTTTTAGTAGAGACGGAGTTTCACTATCTTGGCCAGGCTGGTCTCCAACTCCTGACCTCGTGATCCACCAGCCTCGGCCTCTCAAAGTGCTGGGATTACAAGCGTGAGCCACAACGCCCTGCCGCCCACTGGTCTATTCTTGATTACAGTTTTCTTTTTTTTTCTTTACTTTTTTTTTTTTTTTTTTTTTTTTTTTGAGATGGAGTTTCTCTCTTGTTGCCCAGGCTGGAGTGCAATGGCATAATCTCGGCTCACTGCAATCTCTGCCTCCCGGGTTCAAGCTATTCTCAGCCTCCTGAGTAGCTGGGATTACAGGCACCCGCCACCATGCCTGACTATTTTTGTATTTTTAGTACAGACAAAGTTTCACCATGTTGGCCAGGTTGGTCTCGAACCCCTGACCTCAAGTGATCCACCCGCCTTAGCCTCCCAAAGTGGTGAGATTACAGGCATGAGCCACCACGCCCGGCCGATTACAGTTTTCAAGATGTCATGTCATCCTTGCTGTTCTAAACATCACCCAAAATTGGAGAAAGAATAGTGGTAAAACAGTAGCGACATTAAACTTAGGTAAAGCTTCTCAGTGATATTATTAATAGAATCAGAAATAAATGACGTTTTCTTATAAGGATTCAAACACAGAAAATCTTCAAGAAATACCAGTAGCTGTATTTTTTTTCCCTTCTGAGCCAAAGGTTAGATTGGGAGGACTGTATTTTGATAGACTCCTTACGACATTTTAAAATAAATTCTTCAGATCTAGAAAGTTGACTCTGAATATTTTCCATTCATAATTTTGAGAATTTTCTAAAATTGATGAGCAAACAGTTATGCAGTAAGAAAAAGATTGTATAGAAATTGATAATTTGTTCTCTTTCCATTTATCGCTGATGCTCCCTTTCTCACTTCTACAAATAAAAAGTTTCAAATCTTTGTTCTTTGTCTCTTCCATGGCAATATAGAAGTTATAAGGTAATAAATCAAATTTGGAAAAAGATCTTTTTTCCTACTCTAATTGTAGGGCTTTAACTCTTATAGAGAATCAGAACGTTAAAGTACTTCTCATATAAAATTCCCCTTTTTTTTTTTTTTTGAGACGGAGTCTCGCTCTTTGGCCCAGGCCAGACTGCAGTGGCGCTATCTCGGCTCACTGCAAGCTCCGCCTCCCGGGTTCATGCCATTCTCCCCTCAGCCTCCCAAGTAGCTGGGACTACAGGCGCCCACCACTGCACCCGGCTAATTTTTTGTATTTTTAGTAAAGACGGAGTTTCACCGTGTTAGCTAGGATGGTCTCAATCTCCTGACCTCGTGATCTGCCCGCCTCAGCCTCCCAAAGTGCTGGGATAACAGGCGTGAGCCACCACGCCCGGCCAAAATTCCCATAATATTATTTCAAAATAGAATTAGTGCCTAGTATAACACCTAGTACTGAGTAGGCACTCAGTCAGTATCTGTGTAGGAAGGAATAGATGGGACATGATAAATATAATTGATAATAAATATTGGCCGGTTGCAGTGGCTCATGCCTGCAATCCCAGCACTTTGGGAGGCCGAGGCAGGTGGATCCCCTGAGGTCAGGGGTTTGAGACCAGCTTGGCCAACATGGTGAAACCCCATCTCTACTAAAAGTACAAAAAATAGCCGGGTGTGGTGGTGTGTGCCTGTAATCACAGTTACTTGGGAGACTGAGGCAGGAGAATTGCATGAACCTGGGAGGCGGAGGTTCCAGCGAGCCAAGATTGCGCCATTGCACTCCAGCCTGGGTGACAGAGTGAGACTCTGTCTCAAAAAAAAAATATATATATATATAATTGATAATAAAAATTGATAATATTAAATAATAATAATATTAAATATACTCTTGAAAGACTATGTTTTTCTGCTGCTAGACATACTACTTTGTAACCAAAAAAGCATACTTATTTGTTTTTGTGAAACATTCACAACATAAATGGTTAAACAGCATAAAGGACCGTATGTTTGAGTGTTACCTCTAAATTAACTAACTGTAGGCACTGAAGGATTTCCATGAACACAGGACTTTTAGTACTAAAACTAGGGGGTCTATCCCAGGCAAACTAGAACAAACTGATCACCCTTAAAATTATCTCTCAATTTGGCCAGGCGCGGTAGCTCTTGGCTGTAATCCCAGCACTCTGGGAAGCCGAGGCGGGCGGATCACCTGAGGTCAGGAGGTCGAGACCAGACTGGCCAATTGTGGTGAAACCCTGTCTATACTAAAAATACAAAAATTACCCACACGTGGTGGCGGGCGCCTGCAGTCCCGGCTGCTCAGGAGGCTGAGGCAGTAGAATTGCTTGAACCCAGGAGACTGAGGTTGCAGTGAGCCAGGATGGTGCCACTGCACTCCAGCCTGAGTAACAGAGCGAGACTCCGTCTCAAAAAAAAAAAAAAAAAAAAAAAATCTCTCAAGTTGAGGCTGCCTTGAATGTAGGTTAAGCTTTCTGGATAACTTCTTACATTAAAATTTTTGGATAATTTACATTACAAACTGAGTCAAATGAAAGATCTTTTATTTTACTTGAAATATATAACATATTCAGCATAGAAGGAGTAAAAAGAAAAGTATAAAAAATATTTTCATTAAAAGCTATGTCTTTAATTTCTGATGGAATTAGTAGAGATTTTATTACTAATTCATTTAGTATTTATGAGTCCACTATGGTTGTCAGTTATCCTTTATGACATAATTTATAAGATTACTGATAGGAGCACATTTTCTAAGCTGAAACATTTAGAATACCATTATACAATTCTTTAATAGCTGGAGACGGAAAAGAGAGTGCTAGATGGAGAATTAACCTCTGAATCATGTTATGCACTAGGGACTTAGGGTTACTTTTGGAGTAGTATGGAAACAAATTTAAGAATAGAGTGTGCAGTATAACTTTATAACACGGCTCATTTTCAGTGTCAGAGATCAAATAAATAATGTGAAATATAGCATTACTGTGCAGTAGAAATCCAAAATAATGCAGGTAGCATATGATATAGGCATTATCATACCCCTTAACGCACAACAAAAGGTGTTTATTATTATCATAATGTTATTTTCCCTAATATTTATTTGCTTTAATAAATTATTATTGCAAAATAAGTAATATAAATTAAATGAATTTACATGTCATTGCATTCAGATTTACATATATACATATGCATGTACGTTCACATACATTCACATATGTATGTGTTTTTGTTGTTGTGTTGTTATTTTTTTTTTTTTTTTTTTTTTTGAGATGGAATCTCGCTCTGTCCCCCAGGCTGGAGTGCAGTGGTGCAATCTCCGCTCACTGCAAACTCCGCCTCCCAGGTTCATGCCATTCTCCTGCCTCAGCCTCCCGAGTAGCTGGGACTACAGGCGCCCACCACCAAGCCCGGCTAATTTTTTGTATTTTTAGTAGAGACGGGGTTTCACCATGTTAGCCAGGATGGTCTCTAGTTCCTGACCTCATGATCCGCCCGCCTCGGCCTCCCAAAGTGCTGGGATTACAGGCGTGAGCCACCGCGCCCGGCCATGTATGTGTCTTAAATGGCTATTTGCCAGATCTTTAAAGTTGCCTTCCAATTTTGGCTGAGAATCATCTTAGAAACTGTTTTGATTTCAGGCATATATATACAAATGACATGCTAGTTTATACCTTTAAAAGTATATTTGCATGTAGCATAATTTGGAAGGACGTATTTTTATTAAAGTATTTGGATTAATAAATGTTAATGTCAAATCTAAAAGCCCACAGCAATGGAGTTGAAAATTTAATTTTAACTAAATTTTAATGTATTCATCAAATATGTGTTCCACAGTATTTAATGAAGATATATTGTTTATAATTCACACTTTGCAGACCCCTTTGAAGACAATAAAGGCATACTTTTAGGACAGAAAATATTCTACATAGTTTGTGAATTGGAGCCAATGTTCTCTTGAGTTTATTCTTCTTATTTTTAATGCAATTTAAAAAATGTATTTAGGGCACATTTCTGTAAGTTTAAGCATATGATTCTTTATGGGAGAGTAGAAAAAGAAATCAAATATATTTTGCGAGGTGGAAGAAAAGCTGAACATAGGATATAGAAGGGGCAATGCCAAAAGGAAAGGAAATGAGGATGGGGAAGGGCCATATTTTTAATTACTTCCAAAGGGCACTGGTGTATGTTTTATAACCATTCATCTCTGTTTTTATGAAGCACTAACTCCCTGAAGCACAAAAATTACATGTGTGTGCCTGAAGGCATACACAAAGAAAACACCAGAAACCATAGCTGACTCTTAGTCACTGGTTTAATATGTACAGTTTTGGAGAGGTCTGGGAGTCTATCTGAATCTACTGATTTTGATTAGTTTTTAAAGAATGAAAAAACAAACAAAAAAAAACCCTTTCACATGAAACCTACCACTCAAAATTTAAGTTGGATTAGAGATAGTGCTTTGAGATTTCCTTCCTGACTAAAAAGTAGGTTGTTGATAGCAAAAGATCTTTTGCAACTCTAGTATTTGCTGTAAACTATGATATATTCCTACAAGTACAAATAGAAATATTTTAACATTTATTCTTAAGTTTATCCCAGTTCTTTTTTTTTTTTTTTTTTTTGAGAGAAGTCTCACTCTTATACCCCAGGTTTGATTGCAATGGCTCAATCTCGGCTCACTTCAACCTCCGCCTCCCAGGTTCAAATGATTCTCCTGCCTCTGCCTCCCAAATAGCTGGGATTAAGTCGCCTGCCACCACGCCCGGCTAATTTTTGTATATTTTAGTAGAGACGGGGTTTCCCCATGTTGGCCAGGCTGGTCTCGATCTGCTGACCTCAGGTGATCCGCCCACCTCAGCCTCCCAAAGTGCTGGGATTATAGGCATGAGCCACCGCACCCAGCCCCTGAGCTTACTTTTTAAGAACTGGCATAGGCCGGGCACAGTAGCTGGGATTACAGGCGTGAGCCACTGTGCCCGCCCTATGCCAGTTCTTAAAAAGTAAGCTTGGCCGGGCGCGGTGGCTCACGCCTGTAATCCCAGCACTTTGGGAGGCCGAGGCGGGCGGATCACGAGGTCAGGAGATCGAGACCATCCTGGCGAACACGGTGAAACCCTGTCTCTACTAAAAATACAAAAAATTAGCCGGGCGTGGTGGCGGGCGCCTGTAGTCCCAGCTACTCTGGAGGCTGAGGCGGGAGAATGGCGTGAACCCGGGAGGCGGAGCTTGCAGTGAGCCGAGATCGCACCATTGCACTCCAGCCTGGGTGACAGAGTGAGACTCCGTCTCAAGAAAAAAAAAAAAAAAAAAAAAGCTCAGGGACCGGGTGCGGTGGCTCATGCCTGTAATCCCAGCACTTTGGGAGGCCGAGGTGGGCGGATCACCTGAGGTCAGGAGTTCGACACCAGCCTGACCAACACGGAGAAACCCCATCTCTACTAAAAATACAAAATTAGCCAGGAGTGGTGGCGCATGCCTGTAATCCCAGCTACTCAGGAGGCTGAGGCAGGAGAATCTCTTGAACCCGGGAGGCAGATGTTGCAGTGAGCCGAGATCACGCCATTGCACCCCAGCCTGGGCAACAGGAGCGAAACTCTGTCTCAAAAAAAAAAAAAAAAAAAAAATAAGTAAGCTCAGAAAAAGAGGCTCTTTATAGGCTAAATCAAATAACTTGTTGAACCTAATTTTTAAATTTGGCTCTTATTTGTGTACTCAGTATTTAGATCTAATTTGACTCTGATAATAACCAACTTTAAGTGAAGCAGCTACCCTTTGGTGCCTACAGATGACTCTCCTTTCAATAAAACATATTTAAATAGATGACAGTGATATTTTCTATGATATTCCCATTCGAGAAGCCCCTTGCTGTGGTTCTGGCAAGGCTTCCACAGCAGGTGATGTGGGGCTCATGAGAGGAGTGCCTTACTTACTCCTATAGAAAGCTATAATAAAAGGAGCAAATAAATACCTCTTGTAGCTAAGAATCTGATGTACCACTTAATATTTTCAGGTGGCAACTGCACTGTCATTTCATATAAAATTCCTTTCATTAGCTATAAAAAACATTGCCTGCCTGCCAGCTGTTTGGAAAGCATCGTAAGATCAGGAAAATGACAAAACAGCCCCTCATTCGCAGTAGATACAATGAACTAGTCAAATAGTACATTTTTAAAATCTATCTTTTGCAAAAAGAATTTTTGCTTTTCATCTCATGCGTTTTTGTTTTTAATGACGGCATCTCAATTTTTGTTCTTGTTTTTTTCTATCTAAGCTAATAAACAGATTGTGATAGTCTGTACTCAAACACAAAGGTTCAAGAGATCTGGAAGAACCTGCATATAGTAGAGTATAAAAGGCCTGTGCAACTTAGACTCAAATGTATCAATGCCTACAGGAAAACACCACAGGTCAGCTCTTTGTATATTCTCTAGTCAGGTAATGATAACCTAAACTATCTCTATGAGACTGCTGAAAAGTTATCGAAGTAAATTATTTTTCTTGTCTTTTTTTTTTGAGATGGAGTCTCTCTTGCTCTATCGCCCAGGCTGGAGTGCAGTGGCATGATCTTGGCTCACTGCAACATCCACCTCCTGGTTCAAGCGATTCTCCTGCCTCAGCCTCTCGAGTAGCTTGGCTTACAGACACCTGCCACCACACCCAGCTAATTTTTGTATTTTTAGTAGAGACGGGGTTTTGCCATGTTGGCCAGGCTGGTCTCAAACTCCTGACCTCAGGTGATCCGCCCACCTCGGCATCCCAAAGTGCTGGGATTACAGGCATGAGCCACCTCACCCGGCCAATAAATTATTTTTCTTAAACATGTATCATTCATCTTAGAGTGTAGAAACATTGACCCTGGTGATGACCATTGTTATTTGTGCACATGGCTGTGGATGAAGAGGTAAATGAACAGCCTCCATTGTCCACTGCCTGCGTGTGGAGGAGGCTCTGTGGTTGGCCTTATGTCTGATGAGTGCAATCTGCATCTGCAACTCTGCTTCTTATAGCCATAATTTGCCTAATAGTATTGCTCAAGGAGAGAAAATACATATCCATATCTTCAGGAATATAGGACCATCTGGTGAGAATTACTTTTAATGGCTACATTGAATATTAGTAGTTGATTGTTAATACAGAGAGTAGGAAGGACATTATAATGCTCAATAGTTGTCCAGTCTGGGCAGTTACTCAGCTGTCTTAGACAAGACCAAGTTTTGCCTTTTTTAGTTTTTCATCTTAATGTTATTTTATTTTATTTTATTTTATTTTATTTTATTTTATTTTATTTTATTTTGAGATGGAGTCTCACTCTGTCGCCCAGGCTGGAGTGCAGTGGTGTGATCTCGGCTCACTGCAAGCTCCGCGTCCCGGGTTCACACCATTCTCCTGCCTCAGCCTCCCGAGTAGCTGGGACTACAGGCGCCCGCCACCGCGCCCAGCTAATTTTTTGTATGTTTAGTAGAGACGGGGTTTCACTGTGTTCGCCAGGATGGTCTCGATCTCCTGACCTCGTGATTCACCTGCCTTGGCCTCCCAAAGTGCTGGGATTACAGGCGTGAGCCACCACGCCCGGCCTAATGTTATTTTAGGTATTTTAGGTGTGGTGCCTAGTTTTCAACTCTTGTTAAATATTTCTTAATGCATAATTCTAAGAGGTTTCATTTAAACTTGATCTACTTTATTTAATCTAAGGCATTTGCAGTATTGTTTCTGTTCTTTAATTTAGTAAAAGGAAAGTTAATTATTGTATTCTTTGGAGTAGGAAGTCTTTGTGAATTTAAATATTTGTCGTATAGAAGTCTAACAAAAAATATTCTTTTTAAAATATGGTCAAATACAAATTGAAAGCAACTATATCTGTAGAAAATTTTTCATAAAAATCATTGACTGAAGGAACAAAAGCATGTCATTGTATATACCAACCCTTCTTTATGCATTATCCACTAAAATGACATTTCAAAAGATTCACAGTGGGTAGCATATGGAATACTCCATAAACACTGATTAGATTTAATAATGTTTGTATCACTGTTTGGGAACATGTACAAGGAATGCGACCGCCATATATTATTAACATCAAAATAACTCAGAAGAAAAGCTCCTAATTAAAGCAGGGTTGGTTTAGAGACTTAGCAAAATTGCAGCCAGAAATAACCACCTACCCACCTGCCCGGGACTTGGGGCTTGCTTTCATGCATGCAAAACAGACTTGATTCTTAGAGCTTCAAGATAGCTGCTATGAAAATTATAATGGGCTGTGACAATACCATTTTCAGCCCGTCCAGTTCTGCACCAAACCTAGTTTCAGAAGGACAACACTACTGCTTGAGTTGAGGTTTCAGCCAAGTAGCATCAAAGGAAAGCAAGTTTGTGGTTTGCAGTTCTGCTGAGCTGCACTCAGTGACTCTGCATGATTGATTAGTATCCTTTTGCTTTGCAAATGTGCATATATTAAGTTCAGCATTGCAGTTTGCAAAGATTCACTCATGGCCTGCCATGGTAATTGATGCACACCTGTCCTAGGGAGCAATGTATGAGTTTTTTTGTGCTTTCACATAAGAAGTCTCTGGAGTATTTTTAATTGGTCATCTCTAGAAGAGGGAAACAGGAGCAGATTAAAAGTATACAGGAAAAGGAGGTTGTTCTACAAGCAGTTTAAAAATCTATTTGAAAAAGATCCCCACCACTTATAAGCTGAATAGTTATAATTAATTTGTATCCCTGCATTCTAAAATAAGAGTACTCAACAGGTTTTATTTTTATGGACAAGTATCTGTGGGCTTAGGAAATTTCTTTCTTTCTTGTCTTTTTTTTGAAGATGGAGTCTCACTCTGTTGCCCAGGCTGGAGTGCAGTGGCGCCATCTCTGCTCACTGCAACCTCCGCCTCCTGGGTTCAAGCAATTCTCCTGCCTCAGCCTCCAAAGTAGCTGGGATTACAGGTGCCTGCCACCCCGCCCGGCTAATTTTTGTATTTTTAGTAGAGACAGGGTTTCACCATGTTGGCCAGGCTGGTCTCAAACTACTGACCTCAGGCAATCCGCCTGCCTCAGCCTCCCAAAGTGCTAGGATTACAGGCATGAGCTACCGCGCCCGGCCTAGGAAATTTCATTGTTATTTATTGTTGTTTTTGTTTTGTTTTTATTTTTGTTTGAGACAGTCTCGCTCTGTCGCCCAGGCTGGATTGCAGTGGCACAGTCTTGGCTCATTGCAACCTCCGCCTCCCCAGTTCAAACAATTCTCATGCCTCAGCCTCCTGAGTAGCTGGAATTACAGGTGCCTGCCACCACACCTGGCTACTGGCTAATTTTTGTATTTTTAGTAGAGACAGGGTTTCGCCATGTTGGCCAGGCTGGGCTCGAACTCCTGACCTCAGGTGATCCACCTGCCTTGGCCTCCCAAAGTGCTGGGAGTACAGGCGCAAGCCACTGCACCTGGCCTAATTTTTGTATTTTTAGTAGAGACGGGGTTTCACCATGTTGGCCAGGCTGGTCTCAAACTCCTGACCTCAGATGATCTGCCCGTTTCTGCCTCCCAAAGTGCTAGGATTACAGGCGTGAGCCACCACACCCAGCCTGTTATATGTTTAACCCTTTTTCCAAGTTGACATTTCCCTGATACTTTGGCTTTTTAAATAGCATACCCTTCCCCACAATTCATTTAATGAATCCCTTCTTAATTTACTTAAAAACAAAGATGTTCCTCCAGAAGCAACCAGTTTTTTTCTGTATTGTTTAGGGATTGTGTTTTCTGGTTTTGTAATAGTATCAGAACATATAGGTAAATATTATTTTGGAGTCTAGTTTAATCAGATCACTCTTTTGCTATAGAAATATGTTACTAGCTTCTTAACGGCCAGGCGGAGTGTCTCATGCCTGTAATCCCAGCACTTTGGGAGGCTGAGGCAGGTGGATCACTTGAGGTCAGGAGTTCAAGATCAGCCTGGCAAACATTGTGAAACCCCATCTCTCCTAAAAAATCAAAAATTAGCCATGCATGGTGGCGCACGCCTGTAGTCCCAGCTACTTGGGAGGCTGAGGTTGGAGAATCGCTTGATCCCGGGAGGCAGAGGTTGCAGTGAGCTGAGATTGCACTACTACACTCCAGCCTGATACAGAGTGAGACTCTGTATCAAAAAACAAACAAACAAACAAACAAAAAACAACTATGTTATTAGCTCCTTAAATTATAAGTCATTTCATTGCTTTCTCTGGACCTAGCATCTATCATTGCTCTTGTTTACATCTCAGTAAACATCTCAGTTTCAATCTGATTTAGATAAATGTGATTTTTTAAGCTGAAATTCCTAAATCAGTAGTAAGTGTGCAAATATTTTAAAGATTATTTGCCATATGTTATTTTAGATACTTATCCCTATTTTTCTGCTTTTAATTAGAAAAAATAATTTATAAACTGGATGATGTTAAAATATATAAATAATTTATTAATTTCATTCATAAAATGAGCTCTAATATATATACTTCTTATATTTCTAGACTAATATACAGCCACATTCATCATTTTTTCCTAGTACATTAGTATTTTTATCTAAATTAATTTTCACCCGCTAATGAATATTAGGAAGCACTATACATCATTAAAAGTATTTATTCCAAGATGATTTCCCCAAATGTGTTACTATGTAAACATACTCTGTTTACCCCTCCCTTTCCATCAAAAATAGCCTTAAGGCATCATGATAAAAATGATACTGTATTTATGGACAGGATAAATCAAACACAGTGAAGATGAAAGAATCAGATTAGGCATTCCATTTGCTTACTCAGTATGGTTTCTCTTATGCCCAGGTTTCCATCTTTACAGAACTTATTGGGCATGTTTCACCCACACTGCAATGTAACTGATTTTCTTTTCTCTGCCATCTGCTGTTCAGTTAATATGTGTTTGGATGTGTGTTTTATGCAAAATAACTAACAGTCTAACATTTTGGCACATTTTGCTCTTATGTCTTGACAATGTCTGGGCATTTGTAGATAAAAGAGATATATTTTTGTTTTACATGTAAGTGAGTGAAAATCACTTTCCCCCACCCACCTCTCTAAAATGAGAAAACACTGAGAGGCTAAAAGGAAAGAGCCCACATTTAAAAAAGAAACAAACATTAAATCTTATTTCAGAGTGATTCAAATATTGATATCCAGTAGAAGCATATATGAACAATTAGAGTGTCTTGGTTTTTATTTTTTTGAAACTTCACTAAACTGGACACTGGTGTATATAACCTGTTCTATCAGTTGTTGGAGATTTTCTCTACGTCTGAAAGTCTTTAGACCAGCCAATGACTACTTTCAATATTCTGAGGGAGTAACATGTCCTCCAAGGCACCAGGACATTACAAAAGGGAGAGCACATGTGAGGGAACGAGCCGGGTTCTCCACTTATGGTTGGCTCAATCATAGAACTTTTCTCTTGTAGTTAATACCTCTAATTCCATTGCTGTTTTCATAGTAACTCTGTGTAACACTTAGAAGCCTTTGCTCGACATTGTCACAAAGTAGCTCTAAAATGTGGATCTCATAGTCTATCTGGGCACATCTATTGGCATTTTTTCTGCCCTCCCTGCATTCTTAGACACACACACACACACACACACACACACACACACACACACACACACCCCACATGCTTTCTCTGGGCTCTAATCAAAGCCTTTGTATAATGAATTGCCTAGGGGAGAAGGAGAAAGTCACTGACCCCTCTCTCCTGAACTTGCACAGAGCCATATGACTACTCAAACATAGAAATAAAAATTTAGATTTGGTGTTTGTGTGTGTGTGTGTGTGTGTGTGTGTATGTGTGTGTATGTGTGTGTAGAGTTAGTGACCTAAATAGAAGTTTGCCTATTTCTTCCTTTATTGTGGTAAAAACACATAATGTGAAATCTACCCTCTTAATAAATTTTTGAATGTACAGTACATTGTTAATAATAAGCACAATGTTGTACCACAGATCTCTAGAAAATTTTCATCTTGCATAACTGAAACTCTACACCTACTCAATAGCAACTCCCCATTTCCCTCACCCCTCAGCCCCTGGTAGCCACCTACTCTCTGTTTCTATGAGTTTGACTACTTTAGATACTTCATATAAGTGGAATCATACAGTATTTGTCCTGTGACTGACTTATTTCATGGATCATAATGTCCTCAAGGCTCATCCATGTCGTAACATATGACAAGATGTGTTTCTTTCTTTCTTTTTTTTTTTTTTGAGACAGAGTCTTGCTCTGTCACCCAGGCTGGAGTGCAGTGGTGCAATCTTGGCTCACTGCAACATCTGCCTCCCAGGTTCAAGTGATTTTCCTGCCTCAACCTCCCAAGTAGCTGGGATTACAGGCGCCCGCCACCACGCCCAGCTAACTTTCGTATTTTTAGTAGAGATGGGGTCTCACCATGTTGGTCAGGATGGTCTTGAACTCCTAACCTCAGGTGATCTACCCACCTCAGCCTCCCAAAGTGCTGGGATTACAAGTGTGAGCCACTGCACCCAGCCTTTTGATGTCTTTGTTTTTAAAGACTGAATAATATTCCATTATATGTATAAACCACATTTTCTTTATTCCTTGAAGGACATGTAGATTCTTTCAACTTCTTGGCTCTTGTGAATAATGCTGCATTGAATATAGGAGTGCAACTATCTCTTCAAGATCCTGCCTTTTTCTTTTTTTCAGTCCAAGAGCTGGCTTTGAATAACACATTGACATTGAAATATATATGGTTCCTAAGATCATGTAATTTTTTGAGATGTCAGAGACACCTAGAGACAGCAAACACATTAAAGATAGATTCACAGTTCTAGTTTATATCCATGTCACAAACTGAACACTACTGAAGCTATTTTGTTATTGTTTGTTTTCCTCAAGCAGAAAATTTTCACAGGGCACATTTTTGTCTCTAACAAAGGAAAGAAAAGAAAAGAAATGTGTTCTTTGGAAGTAATGCCACTGTATTCAAATAGCTTCTTCCACATAAAGCTAAAAATGTCTTTCAGAGTTAAATAATGCAGTTTCATATTTAAGACATACATTAAATTGATACTAGGAAAAAAACACAAAATCCACCAGTGACCCAGTAAAATTAGTAAATTCTTAATGTATGTATAAGTATATACACATACATACCTACACGTACACAGAAATGCATATATTTTAGGGAAACCTTAAAAGAGAAAAGGAGTTGCTGAACAGCTTAGGAAATACAGTACAAACAAAAAGCAGTATTGTCTGCAAAAAAATTTTTGTTGCAAAAGTAATATTTTCCTTGTGGAAATTCTGGTCCAGAGTTGGGCTATTACCTATATTGAATAAATTCAGGGAAACATTCTGAAATGTTTGACTGCTATGATTGAAGTATTATATTAAAGTACTTTATATCGTGAAATGCACTTGTTTTCAACCATGCAAACAGTTTTATTAAGTAGGAGGATATCAGGGTTAAGGTTAGGTTTACATGACCATATGAGAAAATTTATATAAGGTGATGGCATGAATGGATTCTGATCTTCAAACTAGACAACTAGAAGTTGGAATTCTAATGTCAGGGGTATCAAACAGCCCACATGGAAAAGAAATGAGAGTCTTTAATAAGCAATTGGGTTAGAAAATATATAGTATTTCAATGTCATTATTTTATTTCAGAGTAACATGTCTGTCATTGAGATAGTTTACTGTAGGTTAAATTCAGTATGAGGTTGCCATGTACTTGCAAGGTTCTTAACCCTGTTTTAGAGATCATAAGACATAAAAGTGTGCAAAATATATTCATTCTAGAATAGGGAGTTTCCTACACTAAACAACCAGCTTAAATAATATATTCAAGTGTTTTCATGAGAAAAAAATCAAAATACTTTTTATCAAGATGTTAGTGCTTTCATTTTACCTGAATACTTATAGAATCTAGCATTATACAGCTGGAAGGAACCTTGCAGAATTTCTACTCAAATTGCTTTATTTTGTATCTGCTGTGAGGGATGTAAATTCCACAGATCATCTTGTATATATATAAAAAGGGCTAAATCTCTTGCCTCAGTTCATAGATCTTTTGAATGCACAGAATTGGCTCTTATCTTTATTAGTAAACTTGATTTGGAAGACATTTCCTTTTTTGTTGCCACTTCTTTACCTCATTGGTGATTTTAGTTAAGTAAGCAAAGATAAACAAGAAGTGGAAAAGCAGTATCAGCTGAATTGAAACCACTACTTAGATTGAAAAAGCATGATTGGACACTATCTATAATTCAGTATAATTCTCAAACCTAAAATGGGACATTTGAAAATAAGTGTAGGAAAAATACTTATAAAATGGGAAAAATGGAAATAAAATGTCCAAAGAATTCAGAAAATTATACTAAAGGGTCCAATCAAACCCAAATATGTACATATTCATTCCAAAACAACAGACATATCAGAAGTACCTGGTACCATAAAAATTAAAATACACACACACTCACAAAGACTGCACAATATAATGAGAAACATCGTCTCAGACACTTGGCATCACCATTTCTAAGTAATTTCATAACTGTATCCAGTTATTCTTGAATCTGTAGTAATATTTCTTAAACTCCTTTTTGCCCTAGCTCTGTCACTGTTCAATAAAACTAGATTCCCCAGGGACCTTCCCTTTGGCAAAATTCACACTGAGTACAGTTTTTGTTTCATTGATATTTGTAGTAAAATCATCCTTTATAATCATTGAAACTGTTAGCACAGACTGCAGGATCTGATAGTTTGCTCTGTAGTTAGATATTTCCAGAATATCCTATATTTGGGGGGAGTATATCAAGGCCAAGCATATTCGGACTAAAGGAATGTCCACTGAACCAACAAGAATGTTAAGGGAGCCTTGTTAAAGTACTGTCCTGATCTCGATCCGATTGGCTAAGAGGAAGTCTTCCTGTCCTTGCTCCTTGTACTTCTTACTGCTTTGTACTTCTTACTGCTGCCATGCAACCTGATCTCCATTTTATCAAGGAGCCTATATACTTCAACTGCCTATTAGATTTCACTATCCCAGTATTTCACAGATACCACAAACTCAATTTGTCTAAAACTAGTCATTATTCTCTGCCCCCAAAATAGTGCTCCCTTACTTGTTTCTCAAGTTCTGATAAAACACAAGCTCACACAAAACATACTAAGAGTCACCCAGGCTGTAAAACTCAAGGGGTATTGTCAATATTCCCCTCTCTCTAGCCACTAATATCTAGTCAGTCACCATGTTCCATGGATTCTACTTCCTTCATATTCCTTTTTTTTTTCTTTGAGATGGAGTCTCACTCTGTCGCTCAGGCTGGAGTGGAGTGGTGTGATCTCCACTCACTGTAACCTCCGCCTCCCAGGTTCAAGCGATTCTCCTGCCTCAGCCTCCTGAGTAGCTGGGATTACAGGCATGCACCACCATGCCTGATTAATTTTTGTAGTTTTAGTAGAGACGGGGTTTCACCATGTTGGCCGGGCTGGTCTCGAACTCCTGACCTCAGGTGATCCGCCCGCCTCGGCCTCCCAAAGTGCTGGGATTACATGCGTGAGCCACCGCCCCCGACCCATATTTCTTATATCTATCCCCTGCTTTCCATTTGCAGTACTGTTCTGTTAGCTTCCCAGATGCTCTCCCTATGTCCAATCTCTCATCTCTCCAAATTATCCTTCTCCTGTTGCCAAACTAGATTCCTAAAAACAGGTAAGGTCATGTTACTCCTCTGATTAAAAATATTGATAACTCATCACCTGCAAAGGAAACTTGAAAACATTAACATGCATTTCATTCCTTTTCAGGCTTATCCCCTCTATAGCTCCCTGCTTGTGCAAGCTACCTTATCTCAGAATAGTTCCAGTTCCTTAACAGTTCTAGATACATTGAGGCCGGGCACAGTGGCTCAAGCCTGTAATCCCAGCACTTTGGGAGGCCGAGGCGGGCGGATCACGAGGTCAGGAGATCGAGACCATCCTGGCTAATCCGGTGAAACCTCGTCTCTACTAAAAATACAAAAAAATTAGCCGAGCGTGGTGGCGGGCGCCTGTAGTCCCAGCTACTCGGGAGGCTGAGGCAGGAGAATGGCGTGAACCCGGGAGGCGGAGCTTGCAGTGAGCCGAGATCGCGCCACTGCACTCCAGTCTGGGCGACAGAGCAAGACTCCGTCTCAAAAAAAAAAAAAAAACAAAAAACAATTCTAGATACATTGAGACCTTTGCTCATGCTATTTTCATTGCCTGGAGTGTCTTCTCTCTGGATAGAAAAATCCTTTCCATACCTCAAGATGGAATTTGGAAGTTACTTCCTTGTGAAACTTCCTAATGATTCCAAAGTCAGGCCTTTCTATGTGAAATTTATTTTACCACATGCTAGTTTAAAAAAACAAAACAAAACAAAAAAAAAAACAGAGCAGGCACGGTGGCTCACGCCTGTAATCCCAGCACTTTGAGAGGCTGAGGCGGGTGGATCACAAGGTCAGGAGTTTGAGACCAGCCTGGCCAACATAGTGAAACGCCGTCTCTATTAAAAATACAAAAAATAGTCGGGTGTGGTGGCAGGCGCCTGTAATCCCAGCTCTTCAGGAGACTGAGGCAGGAGAATCCCGTGAATCTGGGAGGCGGAGGTTGCAGTGAGCCGAGAACGCACCACTGCACTCCAGCCGAGGCGACAGTGCAAGACTTCGTCTCAAAAAACAAAAACAAAACAAAAAAAAAAAAAAAAAAGAGGAAGCAAACTATGGGCTAAACATGCTGGTTTAAAACAGTTTTGTCTGAATCCACCACATACTATCTAGATGGCGATGAAAAAGTTAGTTGGTCTCCCTGAGGCTAATTTCATCATGTGTAAAATGTAGTTAATAATAGCATATATAGGCCATTGTGGGGGTTAAATAAGACAAAGCTTGTTAAGCATTTAGTTCAATGCCTGCTTCCTTGTAAGAGTTCAATAAACATTAGTTTCTGCTACTGAGGCTCTGCTGTTACTTATCGTCTCCTAACACTAGTTTATAAATTCAGTGAGGGTTAGGAACCATGTCTTATCACTTTACTTTCTTTTTCTCTATTTAATCTCTAGCAGTTTCTTATATATTATCGCAGCATGATAAATGATGCTGAGAACTGAGTGTGAGGTAGGGCTTGGGGTAGGACCTTATCTAATTAACATCTGTGTATGCCTACCATGAATATTAAATAATAATACTGACATTCCAAAATATACACATCAATCTCAAAAATGTTTAACCATAACTCCTGTATTCCGGTAAACACAACTATATGGCAATCTTAATAGTTATGTATTGCCTAACACCTGTTATTTTTTAACTGCCTTTGATTCTGTGTAACATTCTCAATAATTTATCAAATGTACTTTAATTGGATATTTACATACTGCATACTCTTCTCATTAGTAGGAACTAGCAAATAGACTTACTATCATTTAGATTGTATTCTATGCTTCATTTAAATTAGTCTGAGAGTTTTTGGTTGTTGTTAGTGTGTATGTATGTGTTTTAATTTAGGCACCATTTTTTATACCTTAAGCAAAGGAAATCTGATCCTACCACTTCTTTGTTTAAACCTTGTCAATGACTTACGTTTTGGGCAAGAAAGAGTTTTAAATGCTTAATAGATCTATAGAATCTGGTTCCTGCTTACCTCAGGAACCATCTCCTTCCTCACTCCCACTTAACTCCGTAGTCTCTAGTATTCTAGGCCTTTTTCATCTTCTTTGTGTTCCTAGAATATTTAATATCCTTCCAAGCCTTCCCTCATACTACCACAATACTCCTTGTGGCTCTTACCATCCAGGTTTGAGTTTTAGTGCGTCATCTTTCAAGAAGCATTTCCAGACTCATGGCCTACCCCTGTCCCCCACAAGTCTATTAAGTCTCCCAAATATACATTCTTATAACAACTTAAGCTTTGCAGTCACACTTTTCTTTTCTTTTCTTTTTTTTTTTTTTTTTTTGAGACGGAGTCTCGCTCTGTCACCCAGGCTGGAATGCAGTGGCACGATCTTGGCTCACTGTAAGCTCCGCCTCCCGGGTTCACGCCGGTTCTCCTGCCTCAGCCTCCCGAGTAGCTGGGACTACAGGCGCCCGCCACCACGCCCGGCTAATTTTTTTTTTGTATTTTTAGTAGAGATGGGGTTTCACCATGTTAGCCAGGATGGTCTCGATCTCCTGATCTCGTGATCCGCCCGCCTCGGCCTCCCAAAGTGCTGGTATTACAGTTGTGAGCCACAGCTCCCAGCCTGCAGTCACACTTTTCAAATTGCAATTTAAAAAATGTTTTGTATTTGTTTAATGTATATTTTCCCCACTCAACTGACATCTCCTTGGAAAGCAGTAACCTTGTCTGAATATTCACTACTCCGTCATCAGCACCTAGAAGATACCTGGCACATAGTAGGCATTTAATCAAAATGTTTGAATAAATGAGTGAAGAAATCACTCTGCTGGGTGACTAAGGATGCAAAGCTAAACTCTGTCTTCGAAGGAAGGATAAAAAGACAGACACATAAAAGACAAGAGAGTGAATAAAGAAAGTGGGTAGAGAAAATTAAGAGTGCTGAGTGTACTTCTTATCTCTCTAATAACTACCACATTTGTGACTTTAACAGGAGGCTTATTTAAAAGCATTTTTTTTATCCTAGCTGACTCAGACCATTTATGGAAAAGTGGGGTCATTGCAGAATGTTTTTATCTTTCTGGTAGCATAATTACCTCCTCTATGTTAAAAACTGAGGACTTTGGTTCAAAATACTCACCACTGACTATACTATCTTTGTTATATTATTTAAATGTCCTATGCCTCGATTTTCTTTCTTTCTTTTCTTTTTTTTTTTTTATTTTAACAAGATCTACTCTTTAGGTAGTGAGAGAGCACTAAGAAAATGGCTACTCCAATGGGGCAGGAGGTAAAAAAGAGAAGCAGGGGTACTTGATATACTTCGGATAGTACAAATCTGGTGATTCTGATCCCCAGAAGGGATTATGGACTGATATGGTTTGTCTGTGTCCCCACCCAAATGTCATCTTGAATTGTAGTCCCCATAATCTCCACGTGTCATGGGAGGGACCCATTGGGAAGTGATTGGATCATGGGGACAGTTTCCTCCATGCTGTTTTCATGATAGTGAGTTCTCATGAGATCTGATGGTTTTATCACTGTCTGGCATTTCCCCTGCTGGCATTCATTCCCTCCCCTGCCACCCTGTGAAGAGGCGCCTTCCACCATGATTGTAAGTTTCCTGAGGACTCCCCAGCCATGTGAGACTGTGGGTCAATTAAACCTCTTTCCTTTATAAATTACCCAGTCTCAGGTATTTCTTCATACCAACATGAGAACAGACTAATACATGGACGTAACCCCACATTGGGTGTCAGAATAACGGAAAAGGTGTAAAAGTGAGGTGACTGATTCTCCTCTGGAAGGTTTGCAGGGAGGCTGTCCTAGTGGGCTGCCACCAGGATAGTTGCTACTCACCTGTGTCCTGGCCTGGTCCTGGCTGAGTCCTCACCCAAACTGCTCTGATGGGTGGCAGTAATGATAGCCATGCCTCAGTTTTATAATCTGATTTTTTTTTTTTTTTTTTGAAACTGAGTTTCGCTCGTTGCTCAGGCTGGAGTGCAGTGGTGCAATCTCAGCTCACTGCAACCTCCATCTCCTGGGTTCAAGCAATTCTCGTGCCTCAGCCTCAGAAGTAGCTGAGATGACAGGTGTGCGCCACCACGCCTGGCTAATTTTGTATTTTTAGTAGAAATGGGGTTTCGCCATGTTGGTCAGGCTGGTGTCAAACTCCTGACCTCAGGTAATCTGCCCGCCTCGGCCTCCCAAAGTGCTGGGATTATAAGCGTGAGCCACCGTACCTGGCCTATAATCTGATTTTTAACAGAATTTTTTTAGTCTATATCTTGAACTATTTTAAAGTATTATGTTGAACCCAAATGAAAATTAATACATGCATTCCATATTATCCTTGTTAATGCTTCATATTTGTAAATACTTGTCAATGCATATTCATCACATAATGTGTGGTTTGTAAGTTTCACATATTTTAATATTATTTTTAAAGTACATTTCTTTGAAATGTTAATAATTTCTAACTAAAAATTATCCAAATTAAATGGAAAAATTCATGTTTTGTTTTTAGCATTAAGAGGAATCTTTTCTGACAGGTTTTAAAAAGTGGAAATGCTGTCTATATTTTAATAGATTGTATATTTGTGACTTCCTTTTATTTAAATGGGTAATTATGCCAGGTTGTTAACTAAAGCTTGTGTGAAGGTTAAGTGGATCTCAAGTTGATTTTTCCATGTTCTTCAACAATCCAGCAGTAATGATATTTAATATTTCAGGCTTTTAAAATGAAAATTATAAGTAACTAAGGTACTACCTATGAAGATGAAAAATTGTAGCAACTGATTTGACTCAAGTATCTATGAGCTCTATAAACTCTTCATTTCCCAGTGCTCTGCTAATGCTTATTCTAATTCTAATGGAACATGTTTTTTGTGGTAACAATTACTCCTTACATCAAAATTAAGTAAAATGATAAACAGTTTTCTACACATAGCATTGATGAAGTGATCCTACTTTACCAATAGGATCAGTTAGAGGGCAAGGGGGTATAACACCTGCCTTCAGCTACCTGAAATAGTCAAAACCAATATAAATGTACATTAAAGTATAAAGGAAATAACTTACTTTCTATTTTGGTATAAGCTTATGGAGGAATTACAACTATCTCAGGTTGAATTTTAAGTCCATACTGTTAGTATATTACTAAGGAATATAATCTAGAAATTCATATATAGTCACACAAAAACATGAGTGATAAAAGCTTTAAGAGAATTCTATATAGTGCATAAATACCCCAGTAATTCTGATCACTGCTTCCCTAGATGAGATTCCCTAGATAAAAATGCTTTGTGGGCTGGGTGCAGTGGCTCACTCCTGTAATCCCAGCACTGAGAGGCCTGGGTGGGCAAATCACTTGAGGTCAGGAAGGAGTTCGAGACTAACCTAACCAACATGATGAAACCCCATCTCTACTAAAAATAAAGAAATTAGCTGGGCATGGTGCTGGCCACCTGTAATCCCGGCTACATGGGAGGCTGAGACAAGAGAATCACTTGAACCTGTGAGGCAGAGGTTGCAGCGAGCCGAGATCACGCCACTGCCCTCCAGCATGGGAGATAGAGTGAGATTCTATCTCAAAAGAAAAAAAAAGGAAATAAAAATGCGTTGTGGGACTTATGATAAATGTTTTATAAATTAACTTTCCAGATTCATGACTGAGACCAAACTGATTTCAAATTAATAACATTTTCAAAACATTAGCATTTTACCTTGCAGTGTTTTAAAATGCTGCACACATTTTAGTTTATAAACCCCACAAAGAACACTTCTGTTAGGGAGAAGATGATGTGATTTTAGCTTACAGTTATCTTAAATAACTTCATGCTTGAAAAATCAGAAATATTTGTCTTTGTAGAACAAGGAATTTGAAAGGGGACTAGTAAAAGGAAAATTGCATTGAATTTCTTATTTTCCTCTCATACTTGCCAAGTTTATATGTATTAGATATGTCCCACTTCACTGCCATAAGGTTATATTTATTTTAGGTTATAAATTACTCTGAATTACCTTCATCTTGGAAGGTCCATTGTTTTCCCAGAGTTCTTCTCTTTAAATATTTCAAGGACTTCCAAAGTTGCTTAAACAGATGGGAAGAGGTCACTCTACATTTTGATCCTGGAATAGTCTAATCATCCTCCCCAGAGTGTCCTGTTCTTTGAAGCTTTTGTAGTTGTTGTCACTCTCTCCTGTGGCACCAAATGCCAGGAAATCTGGGTATTCAGGAGCAAATGCCCTTTGGCTGCTGATCGTACCAGTGCCTTCAGTAGTTTCTCAGGGAACTGTGTTAGGAGAGGTTCTAGCATTAGTTATATAGTGTGTCCATAACCAGCTTTCCCGTGTCACCCTAAATATGGCCATAGGCTTCTCCCTCAGTGCTGCCAAAACACAACTAAGGGCAGGCTGCCTGGCCGAGTCACACCAATCATAATGGTCTACAATACACTTTCTTAAGTCTCAGTTATATTCAGTCTTAACCCCAAGTGAGGAGTAACAGTAACCCAGATCAAATCTCTACTGATGAAACAAGCTTTCTCCTCCTTCTCCATAGACAAGGTCCTGTTAAAGATATACCCACTTTATATTATAAATAGAAATCTACAGGTAGCTGTAAAGATACCTTGTATCTCTACGACATGAAAATGTCATTCTGTTTCTAGAATCAAAACTGCCTGTAAGCCACCAAATAGCCTTGCTGGTTTTTTGTTTTATTGTTTTTTTTGTTTTTTTTTTTTTTTGAGATGGAGCCTCGCTCTGTCGCTCAGGCTGGAGTGCAGTGGCATCATCTCGGCTCACTGCAACCTCTGCCTCCCGAGTTCAAGCCATTCTCCTGCCTTAGCCTCCCGAATAGCTGGGATTACAGGTACCCTCCACCACATCCTGCTGTTTTTTGTATTTTTAGAAAAGATGGGGTTTCACCACATCCAGGTTGGTCTCGAACTCCTGACCTTAAGTGATCCACCTGCCTTGGCCTCCCAAAGTGCTGGGATTTCACGCGTGAGCCACTGTGCCCTGGCAATTAGCCTTTCATAAAATGCATTTTATAGTAAGTTTTTTTTTTTTTTTTTTTTTGTGAGGCATCCCACTACATACATTTAAGTCTTATTTCTACTGGGTATGGTGGTAGATGCCTGTAGGCCCAGCTACTCAGAAGACTGAGATGAGAGGATTGCTTGAGCCCGGGAGTTCTGGGCTATAATGCGCTAGGCTGATTGGGCATCTGCACTAAGGTCCACATTAACATGGTGACCTTTCAGTAACGGGGGACCACTAGGTTGCTTAAGCAGGGGTTACCTAGCCCAGGTCAGAAACAAAGTAGGTAAAAACTCTCATGCTGATCAGTAGTGGAATTGCACCTGTGAATAGCCACCACACTCCAGCCTTGGCAACATAACAAGATTCTGTCTCTTAGAAAAAAATAAAAAGACTTATTTTCTTTAAACCGTATTCTTAATTTCTATTCTCTAATATAGGAGATAAACAAAATGGCCAGTTTTAAATTTTATCTATTGTATTAGGGTTCTCCAGAGAAAAAGAATATATATATATTTCTTTTTTATATAAAATAAGAATATTTTATACATCTATATATAGAGAGAGAGAATTATGGAGGCTGAGACATCTTGTCATCTAACCTCCAAGCTTCTGCAAGCTAAAAAACCAGGAAAACTGATGGTATAGTTCCAATACAAATCCACAGGCCTGAGAACCAGGGGAGCCAATTGTTTATGCCCCAGTCCCAGTCCCTTGGCCCAAAAACCAGGAATGTCAATGTCCCAGGGCAAGAGATGATAGACGGCTCAGCTCCAGAAGAGAGAGAGAGCATTCACCCTTCTCCACTTTGGTGTTTTATCTTGGCCCTCAACAAATTGGATCATTTCCCACCCTCATTGAGGAGGGTGATCTTCTTTACTCAGTCTACTGATTCACATGCAAATTCTTCCAGAAACACCCTCACAGTCACACCCAGAGACAATGTTTCACCAGCTATCTGGACATCCTTTAACTCAGTCAAATTGACATAAAATTAACTATTACATCTACTAAAATATCTACTAGAGCAACATTCAGGTCTAAAGACACAAACTTAATTTAGGCTGACCATCATTCTACTGATAAACATATTCACTATTACATATATAGCTTTAAAATAAATATGATTGAAGCCAACCTTGTTATTAAAATGTATTTAAGATGTTCAGATTGATGAAACGAGGGGATTAAAATGCGTTCTCAAATACAATGAAATAGTACTGTAAAAATATTCTCAGTAAATGAGTTTTGCTGTGAAATTGGTTTAAGATTCATAAAAGGGATTTCAGGTTTTTAAGTACTCAAGTCAGCCCATGACCCAGCCTTCAGTGGTGTCATCCTATGCAGTGTTAGAATGAGCCTTTACTCCTTCAACAAATATTTCTTAAGAACTGTATAGCTTACTGGTTAAGAACATGGGTTCTGGAGGCACACTCAGTTTATTTCCATTTTTGTGACATACTAGCTGTGTGACCTTATGCAATTATTTTTTTATCTCAGAAAGCTGTTGTGAAGATGAAATGAGTTAGTCCATGGGAAGTCTTCCACAGCGGCTCACACAATTTATTTTTTAAAAAGGTTAGGTACAGTTACATTGTCGTTATTGTTGATTTTCATTTCTTTTGTTACTGCTACTATTTCTTCTCTGTGCCAGGCGCACGTCTAGGTGTTGATGAGTCAGTGATCAGAGAAGGTCTACTTTCATGGACCATATTTTTAAGTAGGGAAAGGTAGGCAATAAACAGATTGAAATAAGAAATAAGAAAAATAGACAAAAGAGATAATGTCAGATAGTGATTAAGTTCTCAGATGAAATAAAATAGGTCAGAGTAACAGTGATGGGGATGGATATTTTAGATTGGATAGTTGGGGAAAGCCTCTATGAGGAAGTGGCATTTGAGCTGCGACTGAATGGCTTGGTGGGAAAGAAACAGTCTAGGCAGAGAGAACAAGTGCAAAGGCCCTGAGTTGTCTGTGACCTTGGTATGTTGAAGGAACAGAAAGAAGGTTGATGTAGCCAGGCATAGTACTTTAAAGGGAGAATGGCATGAGCTTACATTGCAGGGATGGGTAGCGGACAAATCATGTAGAGCCTTGTAAATCATGGGAAAGACTTTGGATTTTCTTCCAAGTGTTGTAGAAAGTTATTAGAGGGTTTTCAGAAAGGAATTTACATTTGAAATATCAACAGATACCATTTTTTAAAAAATTCAAGTAGAGATGATATGTAGACAGTTGATTATGAAAGTGTGTGTCTCAGGGGAGAGATTGGGATAGGAGAGATATAAATTTGGGCGTCATCAATATAGATGATATTTAAAGCTATGTGAATTGCTGAAATCAACTAGACAGAGAATGTAGATAGAGGGCTCAGGACCAAGCCCTCTACTCTAACATTTTATAGAAGTCGCCAGAGGAATCCAGGCATGGTGGCTCACGCCTGTAATCCCAGCACGTTGGGTGGCCCAGGCGGGTGGATCACCTGAGGTCAGGAGTTCAAGACCAGCCTGGCCAACATGGTGAAACCCCATCTCTACTAAAAATACAAAAATTAGCTGGGCATGGTGGCATGCGCCTGTAATCTCAGCTACTTGGGAGGCTGAGGCGGGAGAATCGCTTGAACCCGGGAGGCGGAGGTTGCAGTGAGCTGAGATCATGCCACTACACTCCAGCCTGGGTGACAGAGTGAGACTCTGTCTCAAAAAAACAAAACAAAAGAAAGCAAAGCAAAAAAAAAAAAGAAAGAAAGAAATTATTACCAGAGGAGAGGAAGTGAGAAAGAAAACTTTTCATTTCTGTGTCACAGAAATTAAGAGAAGTAGCTAAATGTGTCATATGCTGCTGAGACCTAAAAAGAAAAATAAAGGAGTTAATATTGGATTTTGCCACATGAAGGTCACTATTATTGTAAACAATACACTGCTATATGAAAAGAACTAGATATCATGCCATGGACTATTACAGTGTCTACATTCTAACCCTAAATGGATGACTGCCTTTTATCTAGCTCCCACAACTCTAAAATTTGAATGGTAATATTGCTCTGCCTTTTTGAAAAGGTTGTTATAAAGAATATGGGATATAATGGAAGGAAAGGTATATAATAAGTGATAAAGTCTTATACACATGCAAATCGATGGTGGTAGAATTATTTGTACTATTAGATTATAAACTTCTTCAGGGTAGAGATTAAGGCTTTAATGATCATTCTATCGACCACAATGCTTAGCATGATACCACCCCAGTATCTTGTATTTAGTGGCTTAAAAAACAAAATAAAAATTTCCCACATGAAGCCAGGTGTGGTGGCATACATCTGTAGTCCCAGCTACTTGAAAGGCTAAGACGGGAGGATGGCTTGAGCCTGGGAGTTCGAGGCTGCAGTGAGCTATGATTGTGCCACTGCACTCCAGCCTGAGTAACAGAGCAAGATCCTGTCTCTAAAAAATAATATAGATAATTTAAAATAAATAATAAGTTTTTAAAATTCCCACATTAAATACAGGGATGATATGGAGTGATGTTGTCCACTTCTTTTCTTACCTGCAGTCCCATATAGGATTTGGTGACATGGTTGCAATTGTGAAAAATTTCAGTGCTGACTCGCCAGCCATCTATCCCTTTTACAAAGTAATCTCTTTGAAGATAAGTGAAGGATTTAGAGATTGGGCTGCTTTCCATTTGTTATTTTCAAGATAAACCATTCTCAGAATTTTTCAGGTTTCCTCACTTGGGTACGAGACAATTTCTGAAATCAGTTTTTGTTCTATAAGAACAAATTTATGAAATTCGGTATCACTACATGGACATGTTTTAGCTGGTGAAAAATTGTGTTATGATAAATGGGGAACATACAAATTTTCCCTTTTTTGTTATCTTTGGCTTTTTCTCTGTGTTATACAGATGTTGAGCTTTCTGCAATATGCAAACAGTTTAGTAATTTGCATTGCAAATAGATTACAAGTAAGTGACCTTTGCAAAGTGCTTCTGCCTAGCGAGTCCCTGGAATGAATCTGTTTTATTTAGGGAAGAGAGGCTAGAAAACAGAAATGTCACTTTCATTCTTTGCTAAAAAATGAAGAGTCTTCTTTCTGCTATGCTTAAATATGATGATAAACATTTTCTTAAAAACCAATATATATATGATGACAGTCTCAAAGGTAAAAATCAGAATGTTTTTATATGAAGCATTACGTGTACCCTTCCATTGCTAAAAAGGAAAGTAGAGTCTGTCAGAAATGTGTTTGTTTTTTCGGGTCTATTGACACAAAAATGGGCTTGAGGACTAAAAGATTTAATGTGGCTTGTCAGCATGAAAGAGGCTGTTGTGTTGTTAATGTGAATGCTAATACTTACGTAGCATAAAAAAAGAACATAGGAAGTGGGCATCTCACTTTTAAAATCATGGTGTATTCCATAAGTGTCAGCTGCAAAGTAACTTTCCAGAAATGGTCTGATTTCCCCATTGACTTCCATTATAGAACTAGAGCTGTGTTCCCATGGAAAATAAATTTGGCCCCAGGTTATAATAAAACACAGTGAAGAATTCAGAAAATCTTATAAAGTCAAGTTTTTCAAGGCACAATTATCAGTACTTGATAAAATAATAACACCACAAAATATTAATACTCTATAGTAGATCTTAAAATAGTATGCCCCAGACTGCACCATTATTTTTCTATACAATTCCAAGTCTATTACTTTTGCATCTAGAGAAATTTTACTTCTGTGATCATTATTAATTTTTAATGGATTTAACTCTAATTTAAACTGTTGATTTTGTTTCCTTTTTTCTTTATGGTTAGTCCACTTACCTTTTTCTAAAACATTCTTATCTATGACAATCAAAAGTTACTAGCCATAGAAGAAAGACCAGAAGGAAATGCTCCAAAATGTTCACAATACTTGTTTCTGAGTGGGAAATTTTAGTTGATTTAAGTTTTTAATTTCTAAGTTGTAAAAAAGGGCCATTTATATCTTCTATAATCAGAAAAAATGTATTATAATTTCTATAAGTATAAATTTATATATAGTGAGATATCTTTAGTAGGACACATTTATATATTTGGTTCATTTTATGATTTGGTAATGGTAGTTGTTAAGATCATTTATTCCTTCAAAATTTTTTTAAAACTGGTAAAATTAGTTTCTGGAGATAATAGCTTCTACTTAATTTTCTAGAACATACTACTCAAAGTGTGGGCCTGGACCAGCAACATCAGCATCACTTGGAAATTAGTTGGAAATGATAATTCTTAGGCCCCTGATCTGGGGCCCCAGGAAACAGCTATTTGTGTTTTAACAAGCCCTTTGGGCGATTAAGGTTCTAAAGCTACAGAAAATTCTCTCTAGAGCTACAGCAAATTTTCTTTACCTCTCTCTCCTTCTCCTCCCTCTCCCTCTGTGTCCCTCTCTCCCTCTCCCCTTCATCCTCTCTTCTCCCTCCCCCCTTCCCTCCTTCTCCGTCTTCCTCCTTTCTTGCCAGGCCACTTCCTCTCCTTTATAGAGGAAAAGTAGTTTCTCTTCTCACCCATTGCTGGGTTTGTAGCTGAGACCTCTAAAACAAAAGACAGATTAACAAGAGGAAAACTTATGGATTTATTTAATATAAGTTTTATGTGACACAGGAGCCCTCAAAAATGAAGACCAAAAGAAATAGGGAAACTTGTATATTTTTATGATTAGGTTTGATGAAGAGTGGACAGTAGGGAAATATAATCAGGCAAAGGGGGTATGATCTAATGGTAATGAGCTGGGGGAACTTAGCAAGGCATATTTGTTCAGATTCTTCTCTGTGTCCATATGTCTCCAGAGATAAGGACATTCTTTTCCTTCAGGTATAGGAGGAGCAGCTCTGAAATGAGGGTCTTATAACCTACTTCAGAGGCAGTTAAGAGAATCATTTTCTTGCCTGCTTCAGGAGAAAAGGATTAGAAGATCAGAGAGAACTTCCTGCTTTTGCTGATTTCTCAAATGCCAAGGTGCCATATTTTGGGGAAGTGTGTCTTGAACCCCATCACCTTCTTCCTTCTCTGTTTCCTTTCCTCATGTGGGTTATGCATATATGTATACACACACACATATATAACACTCATATACAGAATTCACTATAACCTCTTTTTTTTTTTTTTTTTTTTTGAGACAGAGTCTCACACTGTCGCCCAGGCTGGAGTGCAGTGGCGCAATCTTGGCTCAGCACAGCCTCCACCTCCCGAGTTCAAGCAATTTTCCTGCCTCAGCTTCCCGAGTAGCTGGGAGTACAGGCGCGTGTCACCATGCCTGGCTAATTTTTTTGTACTTTTAGTGGAGACGGGGTTTCACTGTGTTGGCCAGGCTGGCCTCAAACTCCTGACCTTGTAATCTGCTCACCTTGGCCTCCCAAAGTGCTGGGATTACAGGCATGAGCCACTGCACCTGGCCTCACTATAACCTCTATCTCTACTTATATAGAGATGTATATTAAAAAGAGAGAAAAAAAAATATATATATAGTTTTTTCTTTAAGTTTTTTGCCACTGTTTTCTACCTTACTCATAAAAATATATGAGGCCGTTTTCTGGTATTTATGCCTATATGCTTTCATTTAGCAAACATTTTCTAACAAATGTTCCGTGTGGCTACATATTGAATAGTTCTGCCTAATTTAAAGATCTTCAAGTCTCACTAACCAATATAATGACTCTATCAAGTTATTTTGGGCTAAAATGTGTCTTCCCCAAAATTCATATGTTGAAGTCCTAACCACCATGTACCTCAGAATGTGACTATATTTGAACATAGGGACTTTAAGGAAGTAATTAAGTTAAAATGAGCTGATTAGGGTGGGCCCTAATCCAATATGTCTAGTGTAAGAAGAAGCGATTAGGATACAGACAGGGGAACGACTATGGAGAGACCTCAGAAGAAACTAAACCCACCAGACCCTGATCTCAGACTTCTAGCCTCCAGAATTGTGAGAAAATCAGTTTCTGTTGTTTAAGCCACCTAATCTGTGGTATTTTACCATGGCAGCCCTAACAAACTAATACACAAGTATTTGTGCATTACTAATGTATTTATAGAAGTGATGATTTAATTTAATCTTAACATCTAGTGATTGATTGCCTTTAAAAGGTACTGTTGAGCCATGTTCCTTAACAAAAAGCTACAGCTTTACAAAGACTGCCCGAGAACAGTATGAAAAACTCTCCACCATGCACAACAACATGATGAAGCTCTATGAGAATCTTGGAGAATACTTCATTTTTGACTCAAAGACAGTGAGCATAGAAGAGTTCTTTGGTGATCTCAACAACTTCCGAACTTTGTTTTTGGTAAGTAATACATCTTAAAGCATTGCAAGACCTGTTGCTTATATTTCTGAATGTTTTCCTTCTATTGTCATTTTATGTTCCTATTGACTATATTGATTTCATGTGACATTTTTTTAATAAGAATTGACAGATATTTTATACCTGTGACATGGATAAAAATTAAGTTATAAGTCATGGCTGGCTTAACATAATGTGGACCTAAATGAATCATCTTCAATGTTAAGTATACATGGGAAATGTTTTACTGAAATTTTATAGGAAATGAATGAATTGGTACTTAAATAACCCCAATTTTTATATAGCATAATATTATAATTTCACGTAGCGTAAACATTAATATCTAGAACTTTTCACATAATAAATTCAAATGCTGTGATTTATAAATAAGTTTCTTTCACAGCCTAAATGAGAAACTGATTTTGAATTGGACTGTGTAAATAACATTGAATACCTAAAGTTTCTTTCACAATGTGGGCTCTTGTTTTAAACTGGAACTCTTGAGGATCACAGTAAATATTAGCATTAATTGGGGGTGGCAATTAGGGTACAAGTTATGATGCTAAAAGGAATCAAAGGCTTTGCTATATAAATGCTATGGAAATACACGTCCTCTGCATCTAACAAAGGAGTAGCAGGAAGAGCACAGACTGATTGCAATAGTAACAGAAAGATATGCATAATAGTTGATATCAAACAGGTAAAGGTGTGTGTGTATATATATATGTGTGTGTATATATATGTGTATATATATGTGTGTATATATATGTGTATTTATATATGTGTGTGTATATATATATATATATTTTTTTTTTTTTTAATTTTTTTTGATATGGAATCTTGCTCTGTTGCCCAGGCTGGAGTGCAATGGCGTGATCTCGGCTCACTGCAACCTCTGCCTCCCAGGTTCAAGTGATTCTCCTGCCTCAGCCTCCCGAGTAGCTGGGATTACAGGCACATGCCACCACGCCCAGCTAATTTTTGTATTTTTAGTAGAGATGGGGTTTCACCATGTTGGCCAGGCTGGTCTCGAACTCCTGACCTCAAGTGATCCACCTACCTCAGCCTACCAAAGTGTTGGGATTACAGGCGTGAGGACCTCTAGCAATAATCCCCAACAGGAAGATCAGTTAACAAACAAATTCATTCCAGTGTGAGGTATTCCCAAAGCAGTACTTTCTTTGTATTCCCAAAGCAGTACTTTCTTTGTCAATGCTGTTGCCCTGTGAAATCATTTGATTTTGGTGTGACTTCATCTGTGAGATATGAATATGCTTGTGGAAATCAAATTGCTTTCATCTCCTAACCCAGGGCCTATAACCCAGAGCATACCCGAACAGTTAAACAAGCAGCTTTAGTCACAGAAGTTAATCCACAAACTTCCAGAAGTATGATCATATGTCTTCTTTTTTGCTGAAAATATTAGTTGATTTTTGTCTTTGACCCTTCATAGAGACACATACTTTTTAGCTAACCCATAACTAGTAGAATGTGTTCTACTGGCAATGAGAAGAGGGCTAAGAGAAGTAGTCAAATCATTTTCAAAACTTAAAAGCTGATTATATGCTATGAACACATAAGCGCACAGGTTATATCTACTTGGATTATTTTCAAAAAGGACAAAACAATGAACATTAAAAAGGAATGATGACCAGAAAATATACTTTAGTTGACACACTGAAATGATAAATCCAATAATTTTTTTTGTAACAATGTCTGTGGGTGAATGGATATATAAGAATATGTATGTGGCTAGGCGCGGTGGCTCACACCTGTAATCCCAGCACTTTGGGAGGCCGAGGCGGGTGGATCACCTGAGGTCAGGAGTTTGAGACCAGCCTGGCCAACATGGTGAAACCCTGTCTCTACTAATAATACAAAAATTAGCCGGTCGTGGTGGCGGGTGCCTGTAATCCCAGCTACTTGGGAGGCTGAGGCAGGAGAATCGCTTGAATCTGGGAGGCGAAGGTTGCAGTGAGCCGCTGGAGACAGTGAGACTCTCTGTCCCAAAATAAATAAATAAATAAAAGAATATATATGTAAAATATATAAGAATACATATGATTAATATTGTTGATCTCCATTTAGATCCTAAAACACTGTCTGTCTTATTATATGTTCCCTTACCTCCCCAATACACAGACACAGAGTAGTAGATGGTGTACTTGCCCCCCCATGTTGCAGCATTCTTCTAATAATTCCAGTGTTACAGCCTGTGTGTACTCATATTAGCCATATGCCTAGAAGGCTAAGAACTCTACTTGTATCACTTTTCAATCATAACTTGTTTTTTAAAAATGTAAGAATATTATTGTTAACGAGACCTGATTTTGTATCCTGGTACTGCCACTAAAAAGCTGTGTGACTTTGAGTAAGTCATTTGTCCTTTCTAGCTATCCATTTCTGTCTGTCTTTTGTAAAATGAAAGAGTTAAAGGATTGATCTCTAAGAATTCTTTTCCCTGTTAGTAGTCTGAGTCACAGTTCGAATTTCAGAGATGGCAGAGTCATATATATTACATACATATGTAGGATATGTTTTATGTCTTTCTGCTGACTTCACTGCACATGTAGCTTGAGTACAGAGTAAGAATTTTTCATATATTGTCACTGAATGTAAATAATTTGATATTCTTATGTCCAGTTTCATGTCCATTTAAGTTAATTTCTTGAGAACCTGTTACGATTAACTTTCAAAACAAGTAATCAGATCCTAAATGTGTCAACCAATCTGAAACACTTACCTAATGCACTCCTGACCAGCCATTGCTATCTTTGCCTTATATAACAGTACTGCTACCACTTCTATCTACAAATCTTTATCAACTTGCTGCCATGAGAATTAGGTGTGCAACGTATTAACTGTTTTGAACGTGGGTGGGACATATAACCTCTCTGGGCATTTGTTTCCTTGTCTATAAAAGACGGAAAATAATTTAAGCCATGTCTTCCTCACTACTATCTGAAAAGACCTTGAAACCTATGCTATACAGATGTAGAATATTATTAGCCATTCTCTGACTATCCTTTCCATTAACTACTGAAAACCAACTTGATTTTGGTAATGCTCTGGGTCACAGATAAAAGGAAGAGAATGGTTTCTCTCTATCCATGAGTGGGGACAGACAAACAAATGCAATATAATTTGATAAGTGCTGCCATAGAAATATGTTAAGGTGCGATAATAACATAAAGGAGGAACTGCCTAACTCTGCCTGTGTTGGCCAGAGAGGCCTTCATAGAAAAAGTGACATTAGGGCCCGGCGCGGTGGCTCACGCCTGTAATCCCAGCACTTTGGGAGGCCGAGGCGGGTGGATCACAAGGTCAAGAGATCGAGACCACGGTGAAACCCCGTCTCTACTAAAAATACAAAAAATTAGCCGGGCGTGGTGGCGGGCGCCTGTAGTCCCAGCTACTCGGGAGGCTGAGGCAGGAGAATAGCGTGAACCTGGGAGGCGGAGCTTGCAGTGAGCCAAGATCACGCCACTGTACTCCAGCCTGGGCGACAGAGAGAGACTCCGTCTCAAAACAAAACAAAACAAAAAAAAGTGACATTAGGGCAGAGTCTTGAAAAATCCATAGGCGTTTGACAAGCAGGTTTGAGGTTTTTATACCTGACCTTTAAGTCGAAGACTCCTAAATCAACATCACCAACTTCAGTCAATCCTTTGTGCTCACCATGTTCCTGTTTCATAGTGAACTTGAAGTGATTTCACTCTCCCAGGGGAGGGAAGAACCCTGAAAGATTGGCAAAAATTGTAATCGCCAGAAGTTCCCATTTTCTTAGTGCTTTGTGTGTTTGGCCTCAGGGTTCTTAGCACTAAAAGCATATTGGACTATAGATGGAAGCAATAAAATACCAGTAGTGCTGAGAAGAAAATAAGAGTTCTGATGCATGTGCTACCAAAAATTACTTCCAAATGAGCTCAGAGTTTCATCTTGGGAGATCTATTTGGCATATGTAGCATAAACAAAATGCACATACCAAAAAATCTTCCTCCGATAGAGATATCCTCTAAAAGATGGGGCAAATACAAATAAAAGAATTTGACATTATGGATTAAGATCTTTTTGAAAGTAAACAATTCAAATGAATGAAAGCAGAATTGGATAATGTCTTTGGAAGACTTCTATTAGTTAATATTCCTATTCTATATTACTCAGCTAATGAGGATATCAAAGGTATTCCAGATGAATGTACAATATATTGGTATCAAGGTATATATAATTAGAAACATTTCTAAATTCAGAATTGAGACCCTTTCTAGTTAGTTTCTCAGAGATTTCATGAGTTTAAAGAACAGCATACAGGCCAGGCTCAGTGGCTCAAGCCGGTAATCCCAGCACTTTGGGAGGCCAAGGTGGGCAGATCACGAGGTCAGGAGATCGAGACCATCCTGGCTAACACGGTGAAACCCCGTCTCTACTAAAAATACAAAAAAATTAGCCGGGCATGGTGGCAGGTGCCTGTAGTCCCAGCTACTTGGGAGGCTGAGGCAGGAGAATGGTGTGAACCCAGGAGGCGGAGCTTGCAGTGAGCCAAGATCACGCCACTGTACTCCAGTCTGGGGGACAGAGTGAGAATCTGTCTCCAAAAAAAAAAAAAAAAAAAAAAAGAACAGCATACAATATAGACAAAATTAATAGCCCCTAAATTTAAGTTGCATATTTTGTGGAAGAAAATCAAATTCCATGATACACAATGGAGACTCAGGAGGGTTTTGTGGTAGGAGGGGTGTGGATAATGAGAAAAATTACTTAATGGGTATGATGTATGTTATTCGGGTGATGGATACCCTAAAAGCTCTGACTTGACGACTGTGCAATCCATGCATGTAACAAGATTGCACTTGTACTTCATAAGTGTATACAAATAAATCAAATTCCATATTTATGCAATGTCTAAACATCTTTTTTGCTTATTCTCCTTTCTATGCTTCAGTCATTCTTTTAGTTCAAATAGTTGACTGCACAAATAGTCTTTTTTTTCTTTTGAGATATTTTGAATAGAATATTCAAAATCGGTGAACCGTATATGTTTCACCACCATGCAGTATCTTGCTTAGGCATAAAAATTAATTTCAGCTGTTGGGAAAGTGTTCACGGCAAGTATTATACTTCTATAACTTTCACAGCTCCAAATAAATTATAGAAAATACTTCTTTTCTGTTTTAAATCTGTCAGTTTCCTGCTGCTTCTGTGTGTTTTTGTTTTGCTTTTTTAAAGAACAATATGTTACCCAGGCACTCCATAAATATTTGTTGTGTGTGTGTCCTCATTCTGTACCTCATATACCAAATATAGGAATAAGGCTTTGCAGAATTATTAGATTCATTGACATAACTTGAAAATGTTACCGTTGCTTTTAATCATGCCAGCCAATTTCCCCTCAACAAAATCAGTATGTGCTACTGTTCATTTGATAAACTTTGGAACAGCTCCTAGATGAGCATTAAAATAACTAAGTGTTAAGATGCTAAATGATATCAAGTAATCATAGCGTTTTATGCCATTATTCAGGCTTGCTGCTTCTACTTCCCAGATTGACTGATTGATTGAGACCGGGTTGCTCTGTTTCCCAGGCTGGAGTGCAGTGGTATGATCATAGCTCACTGTATCCTCAAACTCCTGGGCTCAAGTGATCCTCCCACCTCAGCCTCCTAAGTAACTAGGACTACAGGCATGCATCACCATGCCTGGCTAAATTTTTAATTTTTAATAGAGATGAGATCTCGCTGTGTTGCCCAGGCTTATCTTGTTTTCCTGGCCTCAAGCAATCCTCCTGCCTCAACCTCCCAAAGTGCTGGAATTACATGCATGAGCCACTTTGCCTGACCCTAGATAACTTTTGAATCCATCCATTTCTCTCCAAGCCCACTGACACTATTTGAATTCCTGGCTTCAACCATCTCTCGTCCGGACTATAATAATGACCTCCTGACTGGTATCTGTGTCTTCTTCTCTTACCCATTTCCATTTCCTAATCCATTCACCCCATTTTAGTCAGAATAAAATTAAAAACAAAAGAAACCAAACAAGATAACCTTAGTTTCCTGACTTAAGATTCTTTCATAACTTCCCTGTGGCCTCAGGATAAATCTGAGCTTTTTTTTGAGATGGAGTCTTGCTCTGTCGCCCAGGCTGGAGTACAGTGGCTTGATCTCAGCTCACTGCAACCTCCACCCCCTGGGTTCAAGTGATTCTCCTGCCTCAGCCTCCTGAGTAGCTGGGATTACAGGCACCCACCACCACGCCTGGCTAATTTTTGTATTTTTAGTAGGAGACGGGGTTTCGCCATGTTGGCCAGGCTGGTCTCAAACTCCTGACCTCAGGTGATCCACCTGCCTCGGCCTCCCAAAGTGCTAGGATTATAGGCGTGGGCCACTGCACCCGACCAAATCTGAGCTTTTTAAACTAAAATGGTTTACAAAATCAAAAGAGCTATGGTTACTTTAAAGGCCAGACCATCTATGGTTGGCTCTGAATGGGCCGCAGTCACTTAGATTGAACTCTTCTCCCAAATTGGGAAATGTTACTTCTGGAAAGTAGAAGCAGTAGAACAAGATAATAGCAAGTTCCTAAGAGGAACTGTGTCTCTCAGAACAAAGAGAAACTTTGGAAGCACCATATGAAAATTCAAAAAAGGCTGAAAGGCCAAAGTATGATTGTCATTATGCCTTTATTGCTCCCATAGCTGGTGTGACATGGAGAGTTATAACCACTGAGTTCACTCTTACGTTAATTCTCAGGGATGTTCTTCCTTCTATCTTAAGTAATTGTTCTTTAAAAACCTAAACTTGTCTGAGAGCTCCCTGTGTAGCCATGTTGGCTTATGGAGATAATTAATTTTGAAAATCTCTCATCTCTCTTAAGCTATCTTCCCTTTTACAAGGCCTCAGTCATGTCTAAATCTAAACTATAATTGGAAAGTCAATGAGTATATCTGCATTTAGTTAGGCTTGAAAGACTAAATTGATAATATACAGAAAATTTGATTCATTTATTAATGGTAATTTACCTTTAAAGAAATGAGGGTGAATTTTTACATGAAAGGATTGTGTATATAATCCCTGATCCAAAATGACTTAAGTTGTTTTGACACATTTTTAAACCAAGCACTTGACATTAAAAAAAAAAAAAACTTCAGTATTATAAAAATGGTAGGCTTATGTGAGAAACCAAATATATTGTTTAACAAAGTAGTGTCTTAATCAGTAATGTAAATTCTGATATCTAGAATTTCATCATCCAGAAATTTCTATTAGATGCCTCATAAGTTGGTGCCTCTTTGCTTTGCCAGTAAAATGGTAATATTCTGAAAACAACCTTAAGAAGCTGCAAGACCGTGATGTGCTTCTTTAATGATATAGTTTTTTTTGTAAACTAGATGTCTCCAGGTCTCTTCATTTATGAATTCAGAGGGGGTGTCCTTAGTAACAGTAATCCAAATATCCCAGTTATCTCCTCTTTTCCCCCACTGGCAGGACTCAAGCTCTTTACAAAGTCTTTACCCCTAAAAGTACACCTGGAGTCATTTCATGGGTGCTGAAAACGTCATCTGTAGTCACCAGTTGAAATTTGCTCACCAATCAGCAACTGAGTGCCTTTATTCTAGAGTGATGAAAATATAGCAATGAACAAAACAGACAAAGCCCCTGCCTGTCCTGTCTTGCTGTAGCTTCAGCTCCATTCTGCTAAATGCTTTTTGCAGGCAAAACTGCTTGGGGTTGCCTTTAATGAAAATGCCTATGTGTGGGCCAAGGGTACAGTTTCCTACTGCTCCAATTTTGTCATCAATCTTGAAGTACCATTGTGGTATTATGTTCAGTGCAGAAGTAGCCATGTTTCACAGGACACTTCATAAAAACAGTTCATTTTGCATCTCTTCTGATCCCTTTCTCCTTGGAGACTAAAAACTGTTTCAACTCCTAGAGACCTGAAGGGAATCCTAAAATCTTAAGCCCCTCCATTGCCCTCCTTCTCCCCTTTTGTTCAAGTGCCTAGGCATGTATCTTCCTTTTCCTAGGAGCTGGGAATAAATAAAATGCCAGCATAAATCGTTTCATGCAAATAGAGCCCTAAGGGCCCACCAACTCTCTCTAGTTAATCATATACACCCAGATAATTCCCTTTGAGCTCAGCTGGGACCACCCTGGGTATATAGCCTTAGGTTTATTTTGATCTGTTGCAACTCTTTGAAAATAGGCAATCCATGGAAAATATATGGTAACTCTATTAAGCAGAATATTTGACCGGAATACCTCATTCCCCAGCTGTGCCAGAGAGCAGACTTTACTGTATTTTACAGATATCATTGAATTCTTCTTTAGAAAGAGATGTCACCTATCAAATGTTGTATTCTCTTTGACTGTTTACTTTGGGCCAGAAGTGGATGTCCTATTTCTCTTATATGATTTTTCCTTGTATAGAAAAGCTAAATATCATATCATAGGGAACTAAAGGAATATGTAATAAGGGAAGACATGGTTTAAGGAAAACTCAAACTCCCTAACATGATAAAAAAAAATACCTACTAGTATGGATGGTTTTTAAATATGTATGCATTTTAGATTAATATTATAAAACTAAAAAAACAGTTTTTTCTAAAAATATTTATAAAAGTTGACAGAATTGTTTATGACAAGCTGAATTTTACCCTTTAAAAATCTGACAATATAATAATTAACAATGAAAATATTAACAAAATCAGTTCAATGCCACCTTTTCCTATTAAAGTCTAATAAGAACTAGAATCAGGAAACAGAATGTAATATCTTTAGTTCCAGCAACAACGCCTCATGCAGAATTTTTCACAGAAGTGTTCCCTATAAATAAGTTATTATTGAATTATGTCCAAACACCAGGAAGTGGGAAAGTGTAAGATAAGCAATATGGTATACAAGCTGACCTTTTCCAGAAGTCTTGAGATTGGCCAGAGGTATTGATTGTGATCAGAGCATGCCTGTTTCAACCTAAGCATGAAGATCCCTGAGGTTAATACTACTGGTGGCACCCTCTCAGCTGGCTGAATTTTTCTTCATTCTGCTTCATCCTGTTTTGTTTGTCCATTTGCTAATTAATCTTCTGTCAGAAAAGATGCCGTCACCCCTGAATAAGGCAGTAGAAGGGAGGACTTCCCCGGAATTGTGCCCATTGAGCTCCTTTGGTATGCCTGCCCCCTCTTCTTCTCCCCCCTCCTTCCAGTTGCCTACCAACTTGTTCAAGTCATTTCCTCTAAGAAGCCCTCCCTAACTTCCATTTCGGTGTAGATTACCCTTCTCTGTGCTCTCATACCTCCATCTTAGCACATTTTACCCTGTAATATGTTTATCTCCATACCCTCGTGATTAATACTATAATTAGCCTACTGTGGGTCAAACACAGTGCTGATCTCGAAGGATATGTATGAATGGCTTAATGAATTAATAGAACAATGAGTGAATCAAACAAAAAATCAAAATATTTGCTCTCCAGAGCTCACATTCTAGTGGGAAAGGCAGTGAAAGAACAAATAGTGGTAATGAAATATAATACATATGTACAAAGAGCTTGTAAGCACAGAGCAGTGAGGCATTTCTTCTGTCTGATTTAAGGAAAGCTTCAAAGACATAGAGATATGTGAACTGGGTCTGATCATTGTTTTGCTACTATATGGCCTTTCATGTTTTAAGGAGCACTTTCCTTTTTGTTCTCCCCCACCTCATTTGGTGTTTAATTTTAATGGTAAACATACATTGTCTCCTAGTTTTCCATGCTGAGTTCAAAGTGGAAAAACAGCTATTTTGTTGCCAGAGAAGCAGTTACCAGCTAATTATGATGATCTAAAGGTTATCTGCCATATGCTTAGATGAGCAGTAACCAAGCTTCAGTTACTTCTTATGACTGACAGTTGTCCTGAGCAATAGGACAATTGATGCAGATTATCTAGGGCAAAAGCAACTGCTTAAAGTCTGACTTGCCTGGTGTTAATTTAGGCCAGTGGTTCTCACCCAAGAGCGATTTTGCCTCCCAAGGGACATTTGGCAAGATCTAGAGACATTTTTGTTTATCACAACTAAGTAGGATCTGCAACTGGCATCAAGTGGCTGAAACCAGGAACACTGTTAACCATCCTACAATGGACAGGAGAGCCTCCCACAATAAATAAATATTCAGCCCAAAATGTCAGTAATGTTGAGATTGAGAAACCCTGTTTCAGGATTACCTGCAAAAGATTTTTTAAAAAAAATTATAAAAAATCAGTGGAAAACAATGTGCAATAGTCCAAATTAATAAGCAAAATCTACTAGATAAGTTAATATTATATCTATCATATTGATGTAATATTTTAATAATTTCAAATGTTAATTTGATCACTGTATTGTTACAGTTACTACTTTTTTCTATAGCTTTGAAACATCCCAGTTTATATGGCTTGTAAAATTTTTTAATTACCAATCATGCATGTAAATTGTAGAAAAATTAGAAAATATAAATACCAAAAAGAAAAAAAACTGTCGACTGCAATTCCACTATCCAGAGTTAATTAATATTAATACCTCGGTACATATCCTTCCAGGCATTTTCCTATGCATGTACATAAGTATTTAGATTGTGAATTTGTTTTTCTTAAAATAATAATAAAAAGACTTCTGAAAATTTAAGTTTTAAATTTATATTTTCTTGTAAAAAGGCTAGTGGATCATGCTTATATGGATATGTCCATCCACATTCAGTGTATAGTGCCGTTGGTTATGTCTTCAGTTGTGATTAAACATGTTAATTGGCTCACTTCATGATGCCCTTTTACAAACACCTGGTCTTTGGCACCATGCTAACAATCATGACTACTGTAAGCCATCTGTAAAGAGATCGGTAGAATCTTGATTTCTCTTTTTGTTTTCTACATAATACCCTCATTAAACTTCCCTGTGTCAAGGGGCCTTAAATCAGTAATTGGTGACTGTCCAGTTAGGCTATTCACACTAGTGTTTCTTAAGCACTTTGCTGTTGTTCTCTGCTGTGCACTTTGATTTAAGAACCATTACTTACCTAAACTAGGGTGTTCTTTTTTAATCATTGCAAATTGTTAATAATATAATGATTTGTAATCTAATCACAAAAATTCTTAACAAAAGCAATGTTACGATTTAAAATGAGAGTAAGTGTCCTATATATGTCCTATATATGTGTGTGTGTGTGCGTGTGTGTATTTTTTTCCTTTGTTTCTGTCATCCTCTTCTTGAATCAAATTTCATTGTCATGGAATACAGTCTCCTAAACTGCTTTTTAAAGATCTGAAACATGGATAATCTTTTTTTTTTTTTTTTTTTTTTTTATGATACAGAGTCTCGCTCTGTTGCCCAGGCTGTAGTGAAGTGGCAGGTCTCGGCTCACTGCAACCTCCGCCTCCCAGGCTCAAGCGATTCTCCTGCCTCAGCCTCCCAAGTAGCTGGGATTACAGGCACCTGCCACCACGCCTGGCTAATTTTTGTATTTTTAGTAGAGATGGGGTTTCACCATGTTGGTCAGGCTGGTCTTGAACTCTGGACCTCGTAATCCACCCACCTCAGCCTCCCAAAGTGCTGGGAATACAGGCGTGAGCCACTGCGCCCGGCCATGTTATAATCTTAATAATGAGGCAGCTACTATTTTTGCTCATATCCATTTTAATTTCTGTTTCTGCAAACATACGGTTTTGGAATATTCAGAATTTCCTGACATTGTTCATGGGGTATTGGGCAAACCAGAGAATACATAGTATTCCTGAAAAGCTAATCATCCATTCAAATCTTGACATTTTGAAATGGAAGATGCTCTATTATTCTTCAGGGATCTTATATATTTTGTGCTCAAACTACTGGATTACTCAGTATGACAGTGTAGTTGAAGTCATTTTATTTTATTTTTTCAAATTTATTAATCAGGCACAAAAGAGCCAAACTTCATACTGGAGACACTATAGTTTAGAATAGTGTATTATTTGTTCGTGCTCAATTGTCTTTGGTCTAGTAATAAAAAACTAAAGTCTCATATACATTGGGGACATATAAAACAGCAGTAATTAACAAAACAGTCTGGGTGCGGTGGCTCACGCCTGTAATCCCAGCACTTTGGGAGGCCAAGGCGGGTGAATCATGAGGTCAGGAGTTCGAGACCAGCCTGGCCAACATGGTGAAACCCCGTCTCTATTAAAAATACAAAAAAAAAAAAAAAAATTAGGTGGGCATAGTGCCGGGCGCCTATAATCCCAGCTACTTGGGAGGCTGAGGCAGGAGAATCACTTGAACCCGGGAGGTGGAAGTTGCAGTGAGCCAAGATCGTGCCTCTGGACTCCAGCCCAGGCGACAGAGCAAGACTTCATCTCTAAAACAAACAAACAAACAGATGATTATGTAAAATGGATGAAATCGCAAATATAACTGTATTAAACAATATAACCTCTACATGGGAGATATGGGTTGGTGTTCCCCAAAAACTTGAAACTTTATTTTGAATGTTAATTATTTTTAGTGTTGTGAGCAATCCTCCTTCATCAAATGACATCTACGAGATATTATTTGTGAAAGTATTTGCTCCTTTGTTTAAAATATAAGATTTGTAAATAAAAATTTAAGATGAAGCCTTTTTTAGGTGACAGTCTCCTTCTGTTGCCCAGGCTGGAGTACAGTGATGCAGTCATAGCTCACTGTAGCCTCAGACCCCTGGGCTCAAGCTATCCTTCCACCTCAGCCTCTTGAGTAGCTAGGACTACAGGTGCACACCACCATGCTCGGCTAATCTTCTTCTTCTTCTTTTTTTTTTTTTTTTTCTTTTTTAGAGACAGGATCGTGCTATGTTGCCCAGGCTGGTCTTGAACTCCTGGCCTCAAGCAGTCTTCCTGCCTCAGCCTCCCAAAGTGTTGGAATTACAGGCATGAGCCACCATGCCTGGCCAGAAGCATTTTTTAATACATCCTAATTATATGGTTGTTATTTCATACTATATTAAAAGTTTTAGAATAGAATATATTCAAATAGATAGACTTGTTTCATGTGAGCATTATTTAGGCAAAATATGTTTTAGGTAACTCTTTAGGTAACAGTCTTTAATGAATAGGCCAAATTAATTTTCAATTATTACTATAAGTGCTTGTGTATGTAGATATTATTGCTCAAGTTTTTCTGTAAGTACCTGAAAATAATTGATTTAACTCTGCTTTTGAACGCACTAGCATATTTTGATGTTTATTCTTTTGTATAATGTATTAGGATGCCTTTAGCTGCCTAGTGACATAAAACATAACTAAAATTAGCTTAAGAATATGGTTTTACTCTCTTACATCACAAGAAGTGTAGAGGTAAGGCAGTTACAGGGTTGGTTAATTCAGTAGCTTAGTAATATTATTAAGGACCCAGGATATTCCAGATATTTCTGTTCTGCCATCCTTGGCATGTTGGCTCTTGGTTGCACAATGGCTGTAGTTGTTCCAGGCATCACATTCAAATATGGGGACGTCTAACAAAGGAGAGTGTGTTGTCTCTATGAAGCTTTTTTTTCAATTAGGGAGAAAAGCTTTTCCAGCAGCTCCTGGGCAGATTGATTCCTTCACATTTTGTTGTCCAGGATTGTGCCACATGCCCATCCATCCCTAAACTAATCACCATCAAGGAGAACCTTAGATTAATCCATGGCTTTGCCAGCAAGTAAGATGGCTGGCATTGGCAGCGCGCGGTGGCTCACGCCTGTAATCCCAGCACTTTGGGAGGCCAAGGCGGGTGGATCACTTGAGGTCAGGAGTTCGAGACCAGCCTGGCCAACATGGTGAAACCCTGTCTCTACTAAAAATACAAAAATTAGCCGGGTGTGGTGGTGGGCATCTGTAATCCCAGCTACTTCAGAGGCTGAGGCAGGAGAATCTCTTGAACCCAGGAGGCGGAGGTTGCAGTGAGCCGAGATGGTACCACTGCCCTCCAGTCTGGGCGACAGAGCAAGAGTCTGTCTCAAGAAAATTAAAAAAAAAAAAAAGACTGGCATTGCATGGATTGGGACATGCAACTAAAAGTATCAATATAGCACAAAAGTAAATTGTTGCTCAGTATTATTTGAATTGTCAAACGTTGCAAATTGGCAAAAGAAAAATAAATGAGATGTTATCTGTGAAATATACACTTGTGTTCAATTAAATAGTTTTTAAAAATCTTAGAAAACAGAAATGTAAATAGAAAACATTACCCATTTATTTTGAAGTTATCCTTCACTGTTTGCGTTCTGTCTTTCGCTAGAATATACTTACACAAGGACATTCTGCTTTTCTAATTTGCTTGAAAAGCTATTAGTTTACTTGCTTTCTTTTTCTCATTCATTCATTCAAGGATTATTTATTGAGTGCCTATTAAACAGTGGACACTGTTCTAGCCACTGGCATTGTTTGATTTATTTCAGTAAACTAAAACAGATTTTAAAGCTCTGCCATCATGGAGCCAAATGTGGAAAATGAGAAAATAAACTATAAACATAATTATTGGGAAAATTATATTACAAGTTAGAACGTTAAGTGCTATGGAAAGAAGAAATCATACCAGTGGAATGGCCACATGACAGTGGCTAAAAGGTTTCAACAATAGTTATAAAGTTCCATTGTGCAATCAATTTCTTAAGCTAAGATTTAGATTTTAACAGTGTAAATGTTTCCTAAAATTCAGGGATCACTGAGTTGTCCTATTTAGAAGACTTCACTAGGTACAGTTAGATGATTTTTATACAAACCCGAACTATTTCATCAGCCATGTATCCTTATGTGATGTAGAAGAAATAAAAATTAATTCTGTCCCACTTTACAGAAAAAGTCTTGCCAAGGGCTTTATTGTTTCAGTTAAATAATTGTAACATTATCTTCTGGAATATGGAGGATATACAAATAGAGAACTTTACCTAGAAGCCCGGCATATTGTCTACTTTTAGACACAGATCAAATTTAAAAATTAAAGAGGAAACACCTGAGAAGAAATCTGTCCTTTTCCTAATGCCATTTCAAAATCAATGGCTCTTGCCTTTGTTAATTAAGCAAGTTAAAACCTTTCCTTGTTCAAGAGAAAACAAAGCAAAACAGTATTTTTGCTATTAAAAACGCCAACTAGGCCAGGCGCAGTGGCTCACGCCTATAATCCCAGCACTTTGGGAGGCTGAGGTGGGCGGGTCACTTTAGGCCAGGAGTTCGAGACCAGCCTGGCCAACATGGCAAAACCCCATCTCTACTAAAAATACAAAAAAAAAAAAAATTAGCGTGGCATTGTGGCTTGCACCTGTAATCCCAGCTATTTAAGAGGTTGAGGCAGGAGAATCACTTGAACCTGGAAGGCGAAGGTTGCTGTGAGCCGATATCACGCCACTGCACTCCAGCCTGGGTGACAGAGCGTGACTCTGCCTCAAAAAAAAAAAAAAAAAAAAAAAAAAACCTAACAAATACAGATTCAGTCTCAGTCACTACTTCTTCCTCAAGGGAACTCGGATATCTTATTTAAGAAGATAGACAATAACATCCCGAAATGGGTTTCTAGACAGGAAGCTCTGACAAAAGGTGAGATGTATAGCAAAGCATGTAGTGAAGTAAAAGCATATTTTTAGTGCCAAAAATATGAAAAATTATAAGGAACTTACAAAGACATTTAGTTCATCTTGGATTCCTTTCCCCTGGTCCTTGTTCTCTGCCAACTGTCAGCTAGTTGATCTGATAAACTAATGCAGTACTAATGTGTCACTCATTCTGTATTACATACATGCCCTTTAAATTCAGGACAATGCCTTAATTCAGCAGAGCAATTCTGCTGTCAAGAACTTCTTGCAACATGGCTAGCTGATAGAGGAAATATTGGAGGGAAAGACAGCCTTTCTTGTACCTCTGAAAGAACATCATATATGTAGCTGCACAATCTTCCTGGGTCTAGAATTTTTCCCCCCACCTCACACCCTCCTCCCAAGGACATTTCACAATTTAACCTGTCTGTTCTGGTGTCATAATATAGCTTTGTCAAATTGGCATCTTCCTGGGAGTGACCTCCCCTTCGACATGGATCAGAGAATTCAGGCAACCCAAAACCCTGATCCAGCCCACCCTGTCTTTTGAGAGGCTGGAAACTCAGGAGTTTCATTGGCAGAGATGTAGTATCAACTCAGCTTTGATTTTCCCTTTCTTTCTGGGTGACATTTACTTTTTTATATATTGTCCCTTAGGCAGAAATACTACACTCACCTTGTAGGCTTAGCAGGATGTCTACAGGGGGTTACCCCAAGCTTACTGTGTGAAACCCAAGCCATGCTCAGCTCACTTACTCAGCCACGGAGACAAAAGACAATTAGTGCCTTATGGTATAGTAGGTACAAAAGAAATGTTTTATACTCCAGATTTCCTCCCTACTCTACCTTATGGTATGGTACATATACAGCCTGATCACTAGAATAATCCTTTGTCATAATAAAGGCGGGATTTCTTGGTTTGATTTTCAGTAAAAATGTCTCCTGGTGTTTTTTTTTTTTTTTTTTTGGATCTCCTTCCTTCAATCTTAAATAAAGCATTTCCAAAGGTCTTACTTTTGGTCCTGCATATTTTTCTTCCTGGGTAGTTGATATCTATTCCAATGGCTCCTACACTTTCCTGAGTTGTGATTTTATTATTCAGCTCTAGACCCAAGTTTATTTTCTGTTGGATGCCTCTAACTAGATTTGCCATAACTACCTCAAACTCAGCATATTCAAAAGGGAACTCATTACATCCTTTTCAACTTTCTCCCATATTCTCTTTGGCTGATGGTACAACTTGATATCTTCTTTTCCCTCGCTATTTACATCTGTTCAGTCTCCATTTCATACCCAGCTTATGCAGTTAAAACTCAAGAGACTCTATCTGTTTTTTATGATTTCCCCATCAGAATCTTACCAAAGCACCGTTGTTTGCATGTTCTATATTAAGTCTCAGCAAAGAAAAAAAAATCTTACTTTCATCCTCACTTTAACGGCCCAAGTTTCAGTGTTTGTCCTCTCTCCTTCCCATGGACTACTGCAGTAATCTTTTAGTTCTCCTGAGCTTAGTCTTAGCACTCTCTAAACTGTATGCTGCTGCCAGATACTGTTTTCTAAAACGTAGGTTTCATTGGGACATTCACCTTCTCAGAAACCTTCAGTGGCCTTCCATGGGTGACAGTAAAGCCTAGACTAGCATTTGGAAACCCTTGGTAATCTAACTCTCCCCAGCCACTACCCTTTTTCTCTGATTGGAATACAGTCACACGCACAGTCTCCCTTCTACCTGGTGAAATTGTTTTCAACTTTCAAAACTCCATTTAGTGGCTACTTTCCCTGTTATGCCTTTCCTAATACCCCCTGCTGAACTCCAGGGAAAATTACCCCCTATTTGGTATGCTCATCATATTTTTCTTTTTCTTTCTTTCTTTTTTTTTTCATTTTTTTTTTGTTTGTTTTGTTTTGTTCTGTGATGGAGTCTTGCTCTGCTGTCCAGGCTGGGGTACAGTGGTACAATCTCGGCTCACTGCAATCTCCACCTCCTGGGTTCAGTTCTCCTGCCCCAGCCTCCCAAGTAGCTAGGACTACAGGTGCACACCACCATGCCCAGCTAATTTTTGTATTTTTAGTAGAGACAGGGTTACCATGTTGGCCAGGCTGGTCTCGAACTCCTGGCCTGAAGTGTACTACCCGCCTCAGCCTCCCAAAGTGCTGGTGTGAGCCATCGCACCCGGTGCTCATATCATATTGTTAATGTGGCTTTTGTAATATTCAACTAATTGGTGATGTACAGACCTGCCTTCTTTGTGCTGTGAATTCCTTTACAGTAAATACGTCTCACTTATCTTTGAATTTTTATTACACAACAGAGTGTGTGGCACATAAAAGTAACCAGCAAATATTTATTGATTGGTAACCATGTTTGTAATTGGTAATCATGTTCCTACTGTTCTAGAAATCTAATAATAAATGGTCTTTTAGATTAATATTTCAAAGCCCTCTAGCTGTCTCTCTCTGCCTCTCTCTTTCTCTCTGCCACCTTTTCAAGATCTTTCATTATTTTAACGACTCCTTTTACTCTTCGTCAACATTGATTTAGCAAATATTTGACTCAAGTACTTAAACTTGTCTACTTTCACTCCATCACTCTAAGTTGTGAAATCCCAAAGTGAGCTATATTTTCCTGGTATAATTCTTGAGCAGAGCTAATAATAGGCACAGGAAGTACCTCATGTTTACTCCATTTTATTTCTACATTCTAGCATCAAACCTCTCATTTGTCAGCCTTTGTGATTTACTGTTCACTTATGATTGACCGTGACCATTTACATCTTCATTATTTATCCATAGCCAGCAGACACCTGCTTATGTCACTAGATTTTTTTTTCTCTTTATGATAAAAATCATTAGAGAAGGACTATTCTTCAAACATACCTTCAAACATCTTTCTACTTTCTCTAAGTCTTACTAGCTTCAAAGATCCTTTGAAGAAAGAATTGAAAATTCCAACTTCTCTTTTCTGGGGAGTTGCTATACTTTTAAAAAGTGTAATAATTCTAAGTTTCACGGGATAAAATTTTGTCATTTAAAATTTCTTAAGTATATTATAGTGTCATATTTTATTTTTATGAGTGCTTAAGTATAAGCACAATATGCAAAAAGTAACACAGATTTCATTGTACTAGAGTATCCATGAGTCAAAAGGGCATACAGAAGTTTACATTGAAAGAAGTCAAGTCTAACACATGACATTTATTATTGCAAAGTGTTGTATAGGAAATAAAATTCAATGTGTCTGTAAATGCCCTAAATCCTCTTATAAGTTATTTGTCCAACATGTTAAGCCTAATGGAAAAAAATCCCTTTATACCAATAAATAAGGCAACTTAAGCAGAAGATTCATGATGAAGCCAGAAAAACTCTATAAATAATGGGGTAGTACCCAGGGAGGAGGGAGGTAAAGGAAAGGGCAGTAGATCATTAGCACAATAAGGAAAGGATATTCCCATCAGTAAGTAAGCAGTGATATTTGGCCAAATCTAGGTCATGATCAAGGATATAATCACAAGTGAGATGTTTTACATTGTGCAATGTAGCTGGCATACTCATCTACAGATGGAATGGCTTGCTTCCCAGAATGCAATCACTACTATATAACAGTGTCCTTATTATTTCCAGTTTGGAAAAGAGGATTGTAAAGCAGAATATCTCTGGTTCCGACCTGTATCCCATTCAAACATGATCCACGCTATTTTGTTTTCAGATATTTTTACAGACCAACTCTCTGCTGTATCATACCCAAGATTTAGGGTGTCAAAGAAAGATATGAAATTGTATATTCATTGTATTTTTTTGTTTGTTTTATAAACTAATGACTCAGAAACATATACCTATAGAGCCAGAATAGCCTAGGATAGAAACTAAGGAATTCTCTATCGGTAAAATATCTTTTTTTTTTTTTTTTTGAGATGGAGTTTCTCTCTTGTTGCCCAGGCTGGAGTGCAATGGCACAATCTCGGTTCACTGCAACCTCTGCCTCCCAGGTTCAAGTGATTCTCCTGCCTCAGCCTCCCAAGTAGCTGGGATTACAGGTGCTCGCCACCAGGCCCAGCTAATTTTTTTTGTATTTTTAGTAGAGATGGGGTTTTGCCATGTTGGCCAGGTTGGTCTCGAACTCCTGACCTCAGGTGATCCGAGTGCCTCGCTTCGGCCTCCCAAAGTGCTGGGATTACAGGCGTGAGCCACTGCTCCTGGCCCTCTATCGGTAAGTTATCTTAATAACTCAGGCTCCTGGCAAGTTTTGCCTAACCCTTCAGCAGCTAACTAATCTTTCAAATAGTTTTCTAGAGAAAGTAGTTTCATAACTTGACTTGATTCCATTGCTTTGCCATCCTTAATGTAAACTTCTTTTTAATTATCAGAGTTTCTCTTTTTAAAATTTAAATTCAGGTCCTATTATTTTGACGTGGGAAACTCTGGAAGATATCTAATAAGACTTGTTCTTTAAATACATATCCACTTCATGTCTATGGATATAGTTATATCCCTTAATTCAATCTTCCCTGAGCTTAATTATCCATCTTTTGTTCATGGTTTGGCATTTCCCAAACGTTCAGCACTTCTTTTATTCTTCATCGGACATCAGGTTTTTACATATTCTTTAAACAGTGGAGGATCCAGATTTGTGAGGCTGTATTTTGTATAATTTGGGAGCAGCCATTTAAGAAAAGGAATTTTTTTTTAAAAGAAATCTTTTTTATTTTTAAATTTTAGCAAAACACATGGCCAAGTGAGCACATTGCCAGTGCCCCTCCCATGCAAGTTAGAAGTCCTAATGCTTTTGCTCATTAGCTTCATGGTGAATCTGTCTCTGCCCTTTGAGTCGTTCATCCCATAAATTAACCACAGCTCTTTTAAAAAGGCCAAACTGTCAAAAAGTATAAGCCCAAGTAAGATATTGGCTATCACATATGCATGCTGGTCTGGTATTTACACTAAATTAATCAGCATTGTCTTCATTAAGTAAGAAATAGTTATTGCATGCCTCTTTTGTATTAGGTGCTGTAATAGGCTTATAGTTAAGGGTGCTTATCTTAATAGAATATCACACCTGAAGCAAACTAAACCAACAGAGTCTACCCTTTCTTTTTTTTTTTTTTTTTTTTTTTGAGACGAAGTTTCGCTCTTGTTGCCCAGACTGGAGTGCAATGGCACGATCTTGGCTCACTGCACAACCTCCACCTCCCAGGTTCAAGCGATACTCCTGCCTTAGCCTCCCGAGCAGCTGGGATTACAGGCATGCACAACCACGCCTGGCTGATTTTTGTATTTTTATTAGAGACAAGTTTTCTCCATGTTGGTCAGGCTGGTCTCGAACTCCCTACCTCAGGTGATCCGCCCGCCTCAGCCTCCCACAGTGCTGGGATTACAGGCGTGAGCCACCGCGACCAGCCAGAATCTACCTTTCAGAGGCTGTTAAACTAAGCCAACACCGAAGCAAATGTGCATAAAGGATATCTATGAATATCTGAATGCATGTTAAATACATAATGGATATATTAACATTATATATAAAATAGGGTGAGTGCATCTTGTAGTGATGGTTAGTGAAGCAGCCCTTGAAGTCTCCAATTTAATCTGAGGGAGGAGAGGTTTAAAGGTATGCTTGCTCTATAACTTCATTGCCCTTACCAGCAATATTACCTAGTGGCGTGAGGTTAATTTAAGGACCACCATGACCACTAAGTGCTATGTTTTCATACTTTTCCACACCTCATCAGTGCTCCTTTTTTTGTTTGTGTTGCTCGGTTTCCATTCATTTTTGATGTTTTATATATATATATATTTCTCTACATATAAAGATTACCCTGAGTTTTCAGACAACATCAATAAAGGGAAAGGTGCTACCCCATAATTACTGAAAGGACATCTTGCTGTCAATATCTTGGAAGATAGGACAACAAATCATCAAACAATCACTTTCTACTTACAAAAGCACAAGGTTCTGACTGGCAATCAAGAAGGCTTTGTGAAAAACAAATTGAGCAAAACCATCTTAATCTACTTCTTTGAAAGAATCTGTTCCCCATACTGCAAAAAAAATCTCTCTGTTCACTAGGATTTTTATTCCCTCCCATGTGACAGTCATTCTCAATGATTGAAAATAATAAGAACTAGACTTTAGAGTACGATTTTAACTGATAGTAAGACAGTGCTCTAGGTGGGTCTGGGACATAGAGCAAAAGTAGACTAACCCTCTAGTGCTTCTTTTGATGATCCCTAAGAGCCATGAGTGAAAGAGGCTTGTTTGTGATGCTTATTATTGATTCCCCAGGGACTAGAACGGTATGTGACAGTTCATGCTGGATAATGAATGAATGAATGTTTCCTGCTTCTCAATGAAGGCATAAGTCACTGGATATTAATCAGCCTACTTTTTTCTTACCTTTATTGCTTCCCTGCCCTCTTCTTCCTTTCCCTGTCCCTCTCATCACCCAAAGGACAGATAAATTTTCAATGGCAGTATGTCCAGAGAGATTTCTAACACTTCATTAAAAAAGGAATTTTATTGGCTGTGTATGTTCCCTCAGAAATAGGATCAAGCTCAGTTAGGAATTAGTAAGATATAAATTAAGGGCACCAAGCAGGTAGCATGCAGACAAGAACATACATAAATTCACTGGAAAAAGATTCTTGATTTTTAGTGGAACAGTACAGTACTAACCATGAATTAGCAGTATATGAGGTGTAACTGTTTTTTAAAGAAGACAAATCAGAAATGTGTAAAGTCAAAGAAATTTTAAGCCTCTTGTTATCTTAATTGAAGGATAATGATATTACCCTAAATATTTTGGGAACCCTTATTTTGGATTTCCCTAAGAGTTATGCAGCATGTGCTTTAGGTCTTTCCAGGAGTACTAAATATTTGTAATCTGAGGGTGCGCTTGATTTTTGGAAATAGCCGGAAGTTACATCAAGCCAAGTTTTATCAATAAGATACATGATCAAACTGAGTAACAAAATATGTGGTCAAAAATATTGTGAATATAAAATAATGAGACTAATTTCATTTGATTCAGAGGTTAATTCGGAACGAGGAGTTTCAATTACAGTGTAATAGCCCTCACCAACACAAGTTTAGGACTTCCAAAGGTGGCTATTTGTAGGACAGGATTCAGCAGATATATCGGAACCAATCTTCTAACTTTACAGTTGCACTTGAAAATGTTACAAAACAAATGCTATAATATTTTAGAAGATTTAGAGCATGAAAAACTGGTAGATATTGGATAGCACATCTCTTAGAGTATTGTTTCCAGCTTTGTCCTCTTCTTTTTTGGGGAGGCAGGTGAGGATGGAGAAGTCTATAATTTAAAAATAATATCTAACAAGTAGAGAACACCCAGAAGAAAACCTAAACATTATTAAATGTAGGCAAATTAGTCTCTATGAGAAAGTTATTGTTCAGAAAATGGTATTGATTGGCTTAATTTAAAGTCCCAACAGTTTTTCTCAAGGGTCTCTTGGATCCCATCCTTCCCCCAGTACTCTACAAGCTAAGAAATTCACCTGCGTTGCATTTAGGGATTAGTTTCAACTTTGTGGAATTCAGGCAATATGGCGGTTCCTGGGGACAAGCTACACCTCCATGAAAAAGTTTTAAGGAAGATATTGACCAAGTTTCTATTTCACAGAGGCCAACAGACAAGACGTGGGCTTAAAAAACTGACAGCTTTTAGCGAGGCATAAGGAAATATTTCCTTTTTGAGGAGGTTAAGTATCAGAAGAGGTTCCTGAGGGAGATCATGGAACCCTATCCACAGGCAGAACATTAGAGCAAGCATTCTTCTAGAGCCCTTCCTGTTCTGTGAGTCTATAATTCTACTTGTCAAGGTAATTTGATATTCTTATCCAAGTCTCTAAGGTGCTTTTGCCACCACCTAAATTGGTCTCATCAAAAACCTTATTGATTGTGCTGCCTCTCCCATCTTCTAAGATGGTGACAGTATTAAGGCAGTAAACTCAGATCTCAGACCTGTCACATACCACTTGTTTTGTCATTTCCCTCCACCTATACCTCCCCAAGATGTTTTTTCATTAAAATATTGTTACCAGTCACTTTAGAATTTCATTCTGTTCCTTTGGTTCAAAAAATTGTAATTAATTTCCTATAGTCACTTAAAGCACTTCGTAGATTTTAATCAACAGAGGTCTACATTGGCATGTTGAGCTCAGTTGTTTATCCCTTCCAGATGGAGATAAATATTCTCAAATACCTACTAAGAAAAATATGTCTGCAGAAACCTGCAGCATTAGAAAACCTATTCTTTGCTGCAGATTGCAGATTAACTTCTAGCTAATCAGAGTTCAGCATTCTAATGGACTGTGACGGGAGAGACAGTTTTTCCCCCAACTTCAGATCACATGTTTCTGCAGTTGTAAGGCAAATTTTAAAAGGCCTTGGGGATCACAGCCAGCCTTCATTATCGGTGCATGACCGCTTTGTAACCAACTGTAAGTTTAATATCCAAGGAGATTTGCACATAACAGTCTTTTTTCTTTCTTCTTGTTTTTAATAATTCACCTTTGAGATTCTCTTCACCACCATGCTGGTGTGCAAAGATCTGTTTGTCTGTCAAACCTACAGATATGTAGCGCATGTGAAAGCTACATTAATTTTTTATTTGTTTCCTAAGGAGGCTGAACAATAAGCTGGTTTTGCTGAATACAAGAGGGCTACTTCAGTGAACACATACTTGAATTCACTTCAGCTGGCTCCCTCACCTGCAGCACAGCAGTTTCTCCTATGATTCTCCCCTCTGCCAAAAGGGAGTCACTTATACAACTAAACTCAAGGACTTTTTGTATAAACCATCCACCTGAACCTGAGAAGGTTTTGTCTGAAACCAAAAGATTACTAGAAAAGCTGTGTAAAGCAGGGCGTGGTGGCTCAGGCCTGTAATCCCAGCACTTTGGGAGGGCAAGGCAGGCGGATCACCTGAGATGGGGAGTTCGAGACCAGTCTGACCAACATGGAGAAACCCTGTCTCTACTAAAAAAAATACAAAAAAAATTAGCTGGGCGTGGTGTCGCACGCCTGTAGTCCCAGCTACTCAGGAGGCTGAGGCAGGAGAATCACTTGAACCCAGGAGGCAGAGGTTGCAGTTAGCTGAGATTGTGCCATTGCACTCCAGCCTGGGCAACAAGAGCGAAACTCCGTCTCAAAAAAAAAAAAGAAAGAAAAGCCGTGTAACACTGTTTGTGGATCCTGCAAGTATCTCATTCAAAACAAATGCCTCATTTTCAAAATTAGAACACTTCTTTTAACTTTGGAGACTCAATGTAAACACTAATCTCTACACAAGTGAATTTCCTCAGCGGAATATTGAGCTATGTCAGTGTGACAAATGTCATGGATATCGGGCCTCTGAAACGCTAAGCACTGGCATTTTTAAGAAAATAAATGTAGATGTCAGTGAACCATAACCTATAGATGATTAGAAAGAAACTTACCATTCGAAAGTGGATGTTTTCTTCAAGGCTGCTAAGATTTTCTACAATAAAGAAATATGAGGTGCGTAGGGAACTATGTGTAGAGACGTTCTCGGTAATTTAATGTTTTGAAAACTCCCAGGCTGAAAACTATTATTATGTAAATCAACTAGCTCCAGCTGCTAATTCTTAGAAAATGGAAAGAGTATCTAAAGTTTAACTAGATTTTGACCTTTTATGTTATGAAGACTACAACAAGGAAGAAAGAGGAAGTTTGTTAGGGGGTTATTTTTTAAGGTGGTCAGGGAAGGCTTCACTCATAAGACAGACATTCAAGCAGAGACTTAAGGGAGATACTTTTTTTTTTTTTTTTTTTTTGAGACGGAGTTTCGCTCTTGTTGCCCAGGCTGGAGTGCAATGGCGCGACTCGGCTCACTGCAACCTCCGCCTCCCAGGTTCAAGCGATTCTCCTGCCTCAGCCTCCCGAACAGCTGGGATTACAGGCATGCACCACCATGCCTGGCTAATTTTGTATTTTTAGTAGAGACGGGGTTTCTCCATGTTGGTCAGGTTTCAAACCCCTGACCTCAGGTGATCCGCCTGCCTCGGCCTCCCAAAGTGCTAGAATTACAGGCGTGAGCCACTGTGCCCGGCCTGAGGGAGGTACTTAAGAGCAGAAGGAACGCAAGTGTAAAGATGAGGAGCGAGGGAGACCAGTGGGGCTGGAAGAGAATAGCTGAGGAAGAGATGAGGACAGAGAGAGGTAACAGGAGGTCAGATCACATAAGGCTTTATATGCTATTGGAAGCACTATTTTTTTTTCAACTATGAGTAGGAATAGATGGCCTCACTGCCAGAAAAAAAAGAAGGGAAGAGATGAGGACAGGGCTTCAGGGGAAGGTGAAAATTAAAGGGTGGGACAGGGAAGTATAGTCTAGAATGGATATGGAGGGAATGCAATGCTGTCTGTAGGAAGAAATGAACATAGTACCTCAGGAATCAAAGAGGGAAGAAAATTTCTATTTTGTTTGGTTTAGCAGATTACCTATGGTCTGTTATACTTCTGTGTTTCATACCATATTTACACAGGTTAATAAGCATGCCTTTAATCCCTGTCTAACTACAGTATCAATACATTTGTTCAGTGTCTGTTACTGAGGCACCTAACTACTTGAGCAAGCTAATCAAGGTTTCAATTACCCCAGTGAGAAAGAAGTTCTACTTCTCTGTTGCAATCGTAGTTGATTGGTTGATGAAGTATTTATAAGATCTTTCATAAGAGGAACTTTAAAGGTCACTTGTACCATAATAAGTGGAAATCGCTGGGAAAGAAAAAGTTTAGCAGTATTATAGTGCTGATAAAGTCTTCAGAGGTACTGACTCTCAGAGTCTAGTTACTGCAGCTGAAAATTCTTTGCCCTGAGCATTTGTCATGACTCCTTCAATCCAATATGCCCTTTAAACACAGTGAAACTATAGAAAAGGAATATCTAATGTTGTTGGGTGTTAATTAAGGAGTAGGCTTCCTTCCTTTCCTTAATGGAAAGCCTTAATTTGTCTTCAGTTGCAGCTGAAAATTCTAAAGACTCATTTCCACCATCTTATGTAGGTTTTTTCTCTAATGATCAGGTTGTTCAATTTCTTGTTCAGATGCTGAAAAACTCATCTTGACTCACACTGTATCTTCCTACTTGTAACCTGATGTGATCATTCTCAAATGGGAGTGAAAAAGACCTGTACAACTATATGAGTCCTGATTTACTTTTGATATTCTTTAAGATTTTCACCCACCTTTACTATAATAACAAATAAGGACCTCAGCCCAAGCTACAAATCAGGTAGAGGTAACATACATTGGGATCTGTGTTTCCTATCACCTCTTTTCTCCTTGGTTCCAGGCAAGTGCAACAAAAGTGTCAATAGTATAGGCCAGGTGTGTTAGCTCATGCCTGTAATCCTAGCACTTTGGGAGGTTGAGGCGGGTGGATCACCTGAGATCAGCAGTTTGAGACCAGCCTGACCAACATGGTGAAACCCCGTCTCTACTAAAAATACAAAAATTACCTGGGCGTCGTGGTGGGCACCTGTAATCCCAGCTACTCGGGAGGCTGAGGCAGGAGAGTTGCTTGAACCTGGGAGGCGGAGGTTGCAGTGAGCCAAGATCGTGCCATTGCACTCCAGCCAGGGCGACAAGAGCACAACTCCATCTCAAAAAAAACAAAAACAAACAAACAAAAAAAACTGTCAGTAGTAGCCAAAACAATTCAAGCACAGAATATGTTAACTATATGAAGTAGAGGAAAAGGGAAGAAGAATTTTTAAAAAGAAAAAACTTTTTGGTAAAATGATGAAAAGTTATTGCATATAGAATTGCCTTTCCTGTTTCATTGTCATGTTTAGGACATCTTTGGGACAGGGAAAGGAAACTGCTGCTATAACCTTACCTAGTTCACTGGTCTGGACAACCTGTCCATTGCTACCTATTTTGCCTCCTGTTATGACTGGAATGAAATGAGAACCCCACCAATAAGCAAAAAGTTTCCACCTTTCATCCTATCTCCTACTTGCAATCCCTCAGTAGTGATATTCCAGCACAGCTAACAGCCTCCTATCAGTAAAGATGGGAAAAGTATCAGAAAGCTTAGCAAGGCCTGGGGTAGGGAACCAAGTGTGGGCTAATTCTCCTGGTCCTTCCGTAAACATTAAGGCAGACTAAGTGAATCCCTCATTCTAAGACAAATGTTCCCTAAAGAAGTAAAATTAAACTCCTATTTTCCAAAGCAATTGGACTTTTATTGTACTGTGTGCTTTATTTTCTGAGTGAGGTGACAGAACTAGAGATGTTTAAAAAAAAAAAAAACAGTAATTCCCCTCCAAATTTACTACCTTTCCCCAGGAACCTTCATCACTCAGTTTTTGCTACAGTCCTGTAAGGCATGTTGAAACTTGAGTAAAATGATGCATGAATTTGTTAGTCAAAATAGCAAATTATTCTATGACCTTTATTATTTCTTAGATTTGTCAAATATGATATCCTAACACCAAGAATTTTCCCCCAAAACCTCCTGTTTATTTTACCTCTATCTTTTTTCTCTTGGCACAGAAAGACGAGTCCTATTATCTGTTCAAAGTTGGTGGCTTAGAGAGTGTGTGGGTGTTTTGTTTCTTCAAATTTTTACCTGATGTTGCAAGATTTTCATATCAAAAAGAATTCTTCTTTCTCCCCAGTGTGCACGCACATATGTGGACATGGTCCTGGATTGGAGGAAATGGAGTACAGACCCTGAAATGCATGGGACCTTTGTATTGCCCAAATGTGGAATAATATAATAATAACCACCACCATTTATTGAACATGTTTTATGTGCCAGGCACTGTTATTAATAGCTTTATATGTGATTCCTCATTAAATCGCAAACCAACACTGTGAAGTACAGGTACAATCATGTGTTGCTTAATGACAGGGATACAGTCTGAAAAATGCATTGTTAGGTGATTTCATTGTTGTATGAACATGACAGAGTGTACTTATACAAACCTAGATGCTATGGCCTACTATACATTTAGACTATACGGTATACGTAAGCCTGTTGTTCGTCGACTACAAACCTGTACGGCATGTTACTGTACAGAATACAGTATGTAACACATTGGTAAGTATTTGTGTATCTAAACATCTAAACAGAAGAGGAACAATAAAAATACTATATTAAAAATAAAAATGGTACACCTGTATTAGGGCACTTAGCATGAATGCACCTTAGAAGATTGGAAGTTGCTGTCCTCAGACACAAGCACACACATTAGCCTAGGACTACACAGGGTCAGGATCATCAGTATCACTGTCTTCCATCTCCATGTGTTACCCCACTGGAAATCTTCAGGGGCAATAACACACATGGAGTTGTCATCTTGTGTGATAACAATGCCTTCTTCTGGAGGACTTGAAGGACCTGCCCGAGGCCATTTTACAGTTAACTTGTTATAAGTAGGTGTACACTCTAAATGGTAGAAAGTATGGTATAGCAAATACGTAAACCAGTAACATAGTCACTTATTATCAGTATCAAGTACTGTGTATTGTACATCATTGTATGCACTATACTTTTATAGGACTGGTAATGCAGTAGGTTTGTTTATACCAGCATCACCATAATAAGTACATGAGTAATGTGTTGTGCTCTGACATTATGGTGGCCGTTTCCTCACTAGGTAAAAGGAATTTATCAGTTCTGTTATAATCTTATGGGACTGCCTTCATATATGTGGTCCCATCTGTTGTACTACATGTCATTATGAGATGCATGACTATATTTCACAGATTCAGAAAAGAGGGTTAGCTCAGTTAAGTAAATGGCCCAAGGGCATAAAGCACTATGGTCTCTAGAGGAGCTTGGATTTAAACTAGATCTCCCAGCCCTTCAAGGCCATCCTGTGTTCATTATGATATGCTGTTTTACTTAGAAAGTTTGGATTATGGATCCCGACTTAAAATGATCCATATAAAGAGGACAATTTCCTATTATTTTTACTCTGGCCATAAAATTACAGGTAAGACATTTAAAAAAAATCTTATCAAGATGCATAAAATTAGAATTATACTTATCTAGGAAATATGGAAATGGATGGTATTCTGGTCAGGGGTTATTTAATAAAAATTTTAAGTGTTTTATTTTTAAAAGAGGCGACTGAAAGAAACAATTTAAAAATTCTTCAGTGTCTAGCAAAAAAAAACCCAGAAAACTTAAAAAAAAAAATCTAAAAGCACAGTCTGAATTAAAGCAAAGAAAGAATCAGTTGCTCAGAGAGTTCAAGATTAAAAATGTGAAAAATATTTAAAAATTAGCTGGGCTTGGCTGGGCACAGCAGCACACACCTACAATCCCAGCACTTTAGGAGGCCAAGGCGGGCGGATCACTTGAGGTCAGGAGTTTGAGACCAGCCTGGCCAACATGGTGAGACCCCGTCTCTACAAAAAATACAAAAATTATTTGGGCATGGTGTCACATGCCTGTAATCCCAGCTACTCGAGAGGCTGAGGTGGGAGAATCGCTTGAACCCAGGAGGCGGAGCTTGCAGTGAGCTGAGATCGCGCCACTGCACTCCAGCCTGGGCGACAGAGTGAGACTCCGTCTCAAAAAAAAAAAAAAATTAGCTGGGCTTGGTGGTGCAAGCCTGTAATCTCAGCACTTTGGGAGGCCGAGGCAGGAGGATCACTTGACTTCAAGACCAGCCTGGGCAACATAGCTGGGCTCCATCTGTAGAAAGGAAGGAAAGAAAGGAAAGGAAAGAAAAAAGAAAGAAAAGAAAGAAACTTTGCCAGGCATGGCAGCTCACACCTGTAGTCCCAGCTACTTGAAAGGTTGAAGCAGGAGGATCTCTTGAGCCTAGGAATTTGAGGTTGCAGTAAGCTGAAATTGTACCACTGCACCGCAGTCTGGGTGACAGAGGGAGACCCTGACTCTAAAAAAAATTGTGGAATTTCCCCTATTTTGTTGAGTTTTCATTAAAACTACTATCTCAGTGACTCATATTTAGTGTATAAAAAGATTTGCAATATAATACACACCACGTTTCTTTATATTGTTGCCAAATCATTTCTCTCAGTATCATTTTCAAATCCTTCCAACACCCCTGATCAACGAAGAAATACTCCTCAGTGTGATCACAGTATTCCTCTGGCACCAGAGTTACCAATTTGTTCACCATGACATTTCTAATTTACGTAATTTTATGGTTATGTGACTCTACTATCATACAACTTCTGATACTGTAATGAACTGAAAGTCTTGCCAACTATATTCACGCGGGTAACCAGAATGATCCAAAACTCAAAAGAGAAAATGAATACATTCCTAGTATTTTTTTTTCTTTTCATGAGTGCCAAGTTACAGTGATATATATGGAATCGTAGAATTACCTTAGATGCCAATATTATGGTACAGTTGAAAATCATATTCAGTATAGTTATGAGGGTAGATAGTATCAGGTTGGTATATTTCCAGTCATAGATTATGTCCTCATAACTTCCCCAAAAAGGGAGGAAGGGGGTTTGCAAAATAAGTCATTGAAAACAGATGTGGTCATTTGTCTGTCAATGACTGAATTCTTGCTGTTCAAACTTTTAAATGATTCTGTTATACATAATAATCACAGCTACTATATAATAAGCATTTCCTCTGTACCAGGCTTTGTCTTAAGTGTTTTATATAAGCATTATTTCACTTAATCTGTTCAACAGTCCTGTGATTTAAGTAGTATCTTGATTCTGCAGATGTGGAAACTAAAGCTCAAAGAGATGAACTAACTTGTTCAAGGTCACACAGTTTTTAGGATAAGTGATGGAGCTTTGATTTGAAACCAGATTTTTCTGATTCCAGGATCCTTACTACCAATGGTTTTATTTCTCTGTCCCTGAAATATGCCTTCAGCTTTCAGTGATCTCATGGTGCTTGTAAAGTACTTGAGCAGTCAGTCATCTCTGGAATAGGAAGCCATTAGAAGCCATGAAAGTAAGGAATTGTTTGCTGTAATGGTGGTGGTGGTGGTAGTGGTGGTTTATGTTTTCAAATATCAAGGCAAGGTTGGAAGATGCTTGCTTCGTGTAGACCTGACCTGAATGAGGCTGGCATCTGGGCTCCTTGGAATTTTCTGAATCAGTTTCATCCATTTCTTAAAGCTTAATTGAAATAAATGAGAGGTCTTAGCATTTACGTGAATTTCTTTCTTTTTTTTTTTAGCATATGACATTTTTAGTCTGTAGGTCTTATTTAGTGATTATGCATAGCAAGGGAAATAAGATTTGTAATTTATTCACTTTTTTTTTCAGTAAGGCAATAGAGGTTTCAGTGAGAGATTTTAAAAATTAGGTTGGTGAATATTTCGTAGTAAATCCTAGATACATTTTTCATTATATTTTACTCATTTTGTACCTTTTACCAACCCTTAACAGATATGCCAGTAAAACTGAGACTTTTTTCTGTAAACATATTTCTTATCTTGTATGAGGTTAGTACCAAAACACTTTTTCAATTAGCATCCTTTTAACAGAACACTGTCCTGTACAATGACAGAATCTAATCAGTTGGCATTTCCAACCCTGAGAAATAATGATTAATGCTTACTTGAGAATGATCTTTAAGTACTCATGAGTTAGTGTTTTAAAATGTTTAGTGAGGCTTGACAAGTACAAAGTAATGTTAATCAGTCAATTATTTAGGGGATTTTCTTAACCTGACCTTAAATTTGCTCCTACTGCTTTTGTTCTTTTGATTATTTGATTTTTATTTTGTAAGAATTAGGATGATGAGAATACATCCCATCCCTCAAAATAATTTTTTTCTTCACCAGCTTTTACATTTTTAGAAGGGTTAAACAATGTCTTAAAAACTAAAGATTATTGATATGAAACTGTCTTTAAGATTTCCCTTTCTCTAAGCATGCATTTTCTATCCCTAATTTCCTAAAGCCAGAGCCAAGTAAAAACACCAAGAGGAATATGTTATTCTTTTCAGCATGAGGCCTTTTCATGAAAACAGCACTAGTGACCAGAATCTTATTCTAGTCTGTGTTGCTTGAAAAATATATGCCTTTGTAGATGTTTTCATTTACTGTCAATAATGCCAAACCACAGAAATGGTTTTTTTAATTCTGTTTTGGCCTCTTAAAGATTACACATTGCCATTACAAATTGTGATTGTTTTGTAGTTAAATCTATTCCTGAAACATTTCAGATATAAACTGATAGACCTATTACTTGTTCTGTTTTATCCTTTAGTAGATCTACATTCATGTTGTTTTAGTGGTGCCTTTTGCAAGCTTCCCTCTCATATAAAAATTTAATCTCTAGCCTTATTTTCTTCTATCGCAAATTGTATCACTTTGATTTTTATATGAACTTTTTTTTTAGTTTTAGCATATTTTCCAGAAATAATAAATACATGGAGAATGCTACAGAAATAGCATGATTCAAGTTCATGTACAATATAATGCCTATCAATAATCTGTATCAACATTTCTATTTTCAAAATGTGGTTTTGATTTGGGCGTTTCTTTTTGTAATCATTTCTACTGTCTTTATTAGATGATCTTAGTCGATCAAAGGATGCTTATAAAAAATCAACACAGTCTTGGGAATCGGACTGCCAGGTTTATGAAATGAAAATATAGGATTCCCAGTTGAAGCTGAATTTCAGATAATGAATAATTTTTTAGTATCAATATATCCTAAATATTACATGATTTTTTTTCTATTTAAGTATGTTCCAAATATTATATGAGACATACTTCTACTAACAAAAGTATTCACAGTTTATCTGAAATGTAAATTTAACTGAGAAGCCTGTATTTTATCTGGCAACTCTATTTGGAAGGCATCATAGTAGTGAAAATGAACATAGAGGCTAATGCCAAACAGTCCTAGGTGGTTGTGTTACTTAAGAAGCTGTGTAGCTTTGGGTATGTCACTTAGCCTACCTGAACCTAAATTTCATGTATAAAATGGAACAAATAATACCTACTTTGCAGGTTTTCTATAAAGATTATAAAGTATGTATTTAAGACTAGATAATGTTTAAAACTCCTGGTACATAATAGATTTCCCTTAAAGAGTAGCTGTTATTATCAGAACAAAGAAGAAATACAAATGCAAGTAACCAGCCGTTTTTTTTCCCTCCATCTTAATAAACTATGTGAGGAATCCTAATGGGAGCACTCAGCATGTAAACAACCCATTAGATTGATAATATAATAGTCCACCCAGATCTTGGTGACTGTTTACCAAATTAGAGATTTGACCACTAATAAAATATATACAAGCATTAGCCTTCTTTCTTTCCTCTGCTACTTGCCTCTTTTCATGTTACTTACCAAACATTATATAGCTTATTAGTATCAGGGCCTGAATATGTGATGCCTTTTCACATTGTTTTTTCCCTTTTGAGTTACAATTTTACTTCCATCCTGTCTTTCTTAGACATCTATTTATTAATGTGATTAATTTTTATTGAGATAATTTACATACCATAAAATTTACCATTGTAGTTTATATAATTCAGTGGTTTGGCCGGGTGCGGTGGCTCACGCCTGTAATCCCAGCACACTGGGAGGCCAAGCCGGGCTTATCACTTGAGGTCAGGAGTTCGAGACCAGCCTAACCAACATGGTGAAACCCCAGTTGTCACCACTGGAGTGGGATCATACTGGCATCTGGCAGGTAGAGGCCAGGGATGCTGCTAAACATCCCACAACGCATAGGACAGCTCCTACCAAAGAATAATCTAGCCCAAAGTGACAGTCGTGCTGAGGTTGAGAAACCCTGCTTTAAAATTATGATTCTAGTATGCCAGTTTATTTTTAAGTGGTAGTCTTTGAGTTCATCTACAATAGCCAGGTACCTTTGTGCTCCTAGCCTATTGCTATGGAGTCTAAGAGCACAAAAACAATGACAGGAGAAAGGGGAGGTACCAGTGAAGGTAAAATCATTTAGATTTTGTAGGAAGAAATCAATTCTTGCAAGTCAGGAGAATTTTGAAAGTGTTTTTAAGGCTATTTTAAACTGCTGTGTCTTTTAACATAAAGAAAAAAATTATTTCAATATAAACCCCTCCAGGCAAAGCCTTGTAGACGTATTCTCGTTATTGAGTCTTTTTCTTTAGGGTTTCTGGAACAAAATAGTTTTTGTCAAACAGCTTGTACATGCTATGAAGTATATTTAATCAATCATAATAGAAAAAAGAAACAGAGCAGCTTGATGGAGGGAACTTGTAGTTGATATGTCTCTGCATTCGTGATTTACCTGAACTCAAAGGAAGTTGATATTCCAGCTGATCACATTAATTCAGCTTTGTCTAATACCAACTACTGGAATGTACTCATTCACTTATGTTCCACAAATAATCTATCCAAAATAAAACAGACAATAGCTTGAAATATGTTTCAGCATTTCTAAATATTTTCACAAGTAAAAAGCTGTCATATTTGAAGGTATTTCTTTTCTGTGATAATACTGTTGATTGTTTCCTGCCCTGCATGATTAGATGTAATCATTATCACCAGCACCAGGACCACCATCATCGCCATCATAGACTAAAATTCCTTGATTATAATATATCAGGATCTATTCTAAGCACTTTATGTTTGTATCATTTTTCCTCACAAAACTCCTATAAGGTAGTTTTTTTCTTAATCTCAATTTTGCAGATAACAGAAAAGTACACAATAAAGGGGATAAAATACTTGCTGAGTCATATTTCCTTACTATGTCTTCTCATGTGTCAAACTAGTTCATATTTTAACAATACATAAAGTATACTTATTGTTAAATCTGTAACATTGATGTCCTTAATTTTCTGGCACCCTAGATAATGGCAATTGAAGACTGAGTTATTTCTAAATCTTTTTTCAAGAAGAGATATTTTACAATTAATTGTCTCTCTCAAAAGTATATATATGCACATTCAGGCTGCTGTAATACCTTCCCATCTCTGCATATTTATATAAATTTAAAACTGTGCAATTTCTCCATTATATAAGTAATGGAAAGGTTTTTGTTTAACTTTGTTTATATGTATAGGAAGCAGTGAGAGAAAATTCAAAACTGTGCAATGTCTCTATTATATAAGTAATGGAAAGGTTTCCATTTAACTTTGTTTATATGTATAGGAAGCAGTGAGAGAAAACAATAAGAGAAGAGAAATGGAAGAGAAGACCAGGAGGGCAAAACTTGCAAAAGAGAAAGCTGAACAAGAAAAGTTAGAACGCCAGAAGAAAAAGAAACAACTCATTGATATAAACAAAGGTATGAAAATATTTCCAATTTTTACAAAAATGCAAGAAGTACAAAATAATTGCAGTTATTTATTTTTGGATTATAAAGTAAATTTTCATAGAAAATTCACAATAGTATTAGTTACTTGTGCTAAATTTCTCTCATGATGCTATGTGTGGTTTCCTATCTCCCTACGCTGAGCATTCAGGATTTTTGATAACCAATGCAAGATGATATTTTGTTGAGATAGTGTTTTTCTCCCTACTTTTCTTGCCATAGTATATTATATTCTGGATGAGGCAGTGGGGAGGGAAAAAGTGGGTGAGATGAAATGTGAAAAACGGGTATGGGGAGATAAGCCTTAGCTTTTAACTTCATTTTGTTGGCACATGTCTGTTGGCAGTGCAGTAACAGTTAACAGTCTTCCTTGGAAGCTTGAACATTTTAAGTCCTAAGAAATATTGACAGCACTATTACAAGTTGAATAAAATAGGGAAAGGCATCTTGCACAGCTATAAACCTAAGTACAAGATGCTGGCATGTCCATATAGTTTAAAGTAAGTTGTTTGAGGCCGGGCACAGTGGCTTATGCCTGTAATCCCAGTACTTTGGGAGACCGAGGCGGGAGGGTCGCTTGAGGTGAGGAGTTCAAGACCAGCCTGCGCAACATGGTGAAACCCATCTCTACAAAAAATACAAAAATTAGCCAGGCATGGTGGCAGGCGCCTGTAATCCCAGCTGCCCAGGAGGCTGAGGTGAGAGAATTGCTTGAAACTGGGGGGCGGAGGCTACAGTGATCCAAGATCATGCCACTGCACTCCAGCCTAGGCAACAGAGCGAGACTGTATCTCAAAAAATAAATAAATAAATAAATAAATAAATAAATAAAGTTGTTTTATTGGTTAGCAAGAGTGACTGTATATTGTTGGTGAGTTGTTTGGTTTGGTTGGTTTACTTTCTAAAGAAGAGAGGGCAAAAAAAGAAAGTGATTGGTATCAGGTATCTGCACACTGAAAATTTAGGAATAAAAAAAGCATGCATAGTCTTTGTCACCTGAGGTTTAGAGAATTTAGGAACAAAACAAAACAAAATCTGAATAAGATACAAGGTAATATGATTAATATGGACCATGTATTACTGAAGATAACAATAGTAAAAATTGCAAGCACTCTATAATATTGACCACATGCCAAGCATGGTTGTAAGACTTTTACGTATTTATTTATTTATTTTTTTGAGTCAGAGTCTAGCTCTGTCGCCCAAGCTGGAGTGCAGTGGCTTGATCTCGGCTCACTGCAACCTCTGCCTCCTGGGTTCAAGCAATTCTCCTGCCTCAGCCTCCCGAGTAGCTGGGATTACAGGTGCCTGCTACCATGCCCAGCTAATTTTTGTATTTTTAGTAGAGACAGGGTTTCACTGTGTTGACCAGGCTGGTCTCGAACTCCTGACCTCGTGATCCACCCACCTCGGCCTCCCAAAGTGCTGGGATTACAAGCGTGAGCCACTGCACCCGGCACTTTTACATATTTTAAGTCAATCCTCACACCATCTCTATGAGGTAGGTACTATTATCATCTCATTTTACAGATAGAAAACTGAGGCTCATAGAAATTAAGGAACTTGGCCAAGGTCACACAAACAGGAAGTACTAGCACCAAGATTAGAATCCAAGTCGTCTCACTATAGAATCTTTCCATTTACCTATGCCACTGTCAGGAGAAAATGATAACAACAACAACTAACATATAGCACTTGCTATTTACCAAGAACTATTCTAGGAATTTTACATTTAGGAACCAATTTAATCCTCATAGAACCCTATTAGGAAAGTACTACTATCTCATTTTAAAATGACAAAACTGAGGCACAGAGAAGTTAAGTAACTTGCCCAAGGTCACAATGATAGTGAGAGGTAGAACCAAGATTTGAACCCAGGCAGTGTGTAACCAGAGTTAATTATTATTATGTGTTTTTAAGTGTAATTATTAATTATAACAATCATTATCAAGTATTTTGCAGTAATGTCTTAATGGCTAATCTTCTAAAGTAATATCCGTACTGTTAAGTTTAGTCTTTGTACTTTTAAAATATATAAACATTTTCAGGAATTGACTATAGTTTATATCTTCCACCCAGGAAACAAATATAACATTTTAACAGAAGAAAAAAAGTAATATTATGTAAAAAGCTGTGTTAAAATAGAATAGTATCAACATAATTTAGCAAACGAACTTCATAATTAGAATCAGGAAAACTGGTCATGACTGAGGTCACTCTATCAGGAGGTAAGCACTAGAGTACAGCATGGCAATATGTGTTTATAGGAAGTTATCATTGAAAAGGTGAAGAAGTCAGTAGAAAAGTTCTGAAAGTGGCTGGGCATGGTGGCTCACGCCTGTAATCCCAGCACTTTGGGAGGCTAAGGTGGGTGGATCACGAGGTCAAGAGTTCGAGACCAACCTGGCTAATATGGTGAAACACCGTCTCTACTAAAAATACAAAAATTAGCCAGGCGTGGTGGTGCGCACCTGTAGTCCCAGCTACTCGGGAGGCTGAGGCAGAAGAATCGCTTGAACCCAGGAGGTGGAAGTTGCAGTGAGCCGAGATCTCACCACTGCACTCCAGCCTGGGTGACAGAGTGAGACTCTGTCTCAAAATAAAAAAAAAAAGAAAAGTTCTGAAAGTTAGCTCCTTTATGTGCAGGGAGGAGTAGTCGGAGAAGAGGCCAGAAGAGATAGTAGGGGACAGGGGACAGATTGTGAGCTCTCTTTCTTTCTTTTTTTTTTTTTTTTAATTATACTTTAAGTTCTGGAGTACACTTGTAGAATGTGCAGTTTTGTTACATAGGTATACACGTGCCATGGTAGTTTGCTGCACCCATCAACCCATCATCTATTTCTCCTAATGGTATCTTTCTTTCTTTTCTGCTATGCCAAGGGTCTTAATGCTGAAAGCTATGGGAAGCCCATGAATGTTTATAAACTGGAAAATGATGTACATAGTCAGGATTCTTAGATCATTTTGTTTTTGTTTTGTTTTGTTTTTTTGTTTTTGTTTTGTTTTTGTTTGAGACAGGGTCTCACTCTGTCACCCATGATGGAGTGCAGTGCCATGATCTCAGCTCACTGTAACCTCCCAGCCAGAAAGGTCATTTTGACAGAAGCAGAAAGAATGTATTAGAAGGGGAAAGCCCTAAGAAAATAGAGGTTATGAGGATATTGTCATAGTCCTGACAAGAGATGATGGTGGCCTGAACTAATACAGTGACAGTGAGATTTAAAAAGCAACAAGAGGTGTATTAGTCAGAGTTCTTTTGAGAAACAGAACTAGTAAGATGTGTGTGTACACAAACACATATACACACACAGATTTATTTTATGGAATTGGCTCAAGTGATTATAGAAGCTGGCAAGTTTAAAATCTGCAAGGCAGGAGGACAGGCTAGAGACCCAGAGGAAAGCCAATGTTACAGTTCAAGTCTGAAAACTATCTGCTGCAGAATTCTCTCTTGCTTGGGGGATGTCGGTGTTTTTGTTCTAGTCAGGCCCTCAACTGATTGGATGAGGCCCACTCACATCATGAGGTACAAACCGCTTTACCCAAAGTTCACTGATTTAAATGTTGATCTCATCCAAAAACACCCTCACAGAAACTACCAAAATAATGTTTGACCAAATATCTGGACATTGTGGCCCAGCCAAGTTGACATATAAAATTAACGATCATGAGAGGGTGTTAAAGGACAGAATTGACAGGTGCTGATGATTGATTGGATGTGTAAATCAAAGGAGGCAAGTGTTAAAGAAGATGGTATGCTTCACAGAGAAAGCAAACTCAGGAATAGAGCACATTTTCTCAGGAGAGTTACAATGACTAATATCATTTTAAACATGTTTAGTTCCACCTTGTAAAGATGGAAAATGTCTAAGAAGCCATTGTATATGTGATTGTGAAACTCAGGAAAGAAGTCTAAACTAACCATATCGGCTTGGGGATCATTGGTTTTTATTTGAACATTAAAGTTACAGTGTACTAGTTTGCCAGGGCTGCCATAAGAAAATGCCACAAGCTAAGTAGCTTAGAACAACAGATACATGTTGTCTGACAGTTCTGGAGGCTAGAAGTCCAAGATCAAGGTGTCAGCAGGGTCATGCTCCTTTTGAAGAGTCTACGGTAGGATCTGTGTCAGACCTCTCTCCTAGATTCTAGTAGTTTTCTGCTTTGTCACAGCATAACTTCAACCTTCAAATGGCATTCTCCCTGTGTGCATATCTGTCTTTTCACATGGTGTTTATTTTATAAAAATACCAGTGATATTGAATTAAAGGCCCACCCTACTTTATTTTATTTCTTTAGAGATGGAGTCTCACTCTGTCACCCAGGCTGGAATACAGAGATGTGATCATAGCTCACTGCAGCCTCAAACTCCTAGGCAGAAGCAATCCTCCTCCCTCAGCCTCCCATGTAGCTGGGAATATAGGTGTATGCTAACATGCCCAGCTGCTCTTAGTTACTGTTTTTTTTTCCTAAAATAAATATTTTAGAACAATCACCTCTTAATTACATAGTTCAACTTATAGCATGTGTGTTTGAATGGGATCACCACGGTAAAGTATAAATCAGAGGTTCTGAAACTATTTGATCTCAGAACCCATTTACACTAAAAATCATTGAGGACCCCAAATGCCTTTTGTTTATCTAAGTTGTTTATATTGACATTTATCATCTTAGAGTTGAAACTGAGATAATTTTAAAATTATCGATTGATTCAATTAAAATAACAATAGTAAACCTTTTCATGTTAAAATAAATAACCTTTTAAATGAAAACTACCTATATTTTCCAAAACAAAAAAAGAATTAGAAGAGAAAAAGAATAATGTCATAAATCTCTTCACAGTCTGACTTAATAAGACAGCTTGATTCTCATACCTACTTTTCTATTCAATCTGATTCAATATCATTCTTCATGTAACTTCTGGAAAACTTCACGATACACTCAGGAAAGAATGAGAAATAGAAAGGCAAAAAAGTGTCAGTATTATTATGAAAATAGTTTTCACCTTGCAAATCCCTGAAATGATCTTTCGGGGCCTCCAGGAGTCCCCCGCCACACTCCAGCATTGCTGGAGTGAACAATGAAAAGAGTAAGTGGTTAAAAATGGAGCCTATCGGCCGAGTGCAGAGGCTCACACCTGTAATCCCAGCACTTTGGGTGGCCTAGGCGGGTGGATCATGAGGTCAGGAGTTCAAGACCAGCCTGGCCAAGATGGTGAAACCCCGTCTCTACTAAAAATACAAAAATTAGCTGGGCATGGTGGCAGGTGCCTGTAATCCCAGCTACTCGGGAGGCTGAGGCAGAGAATTGCTTGAACCCGGGGGGCAGAAGTTGCAGTGAGCCGAGATCACGCCACTGCACTCCAGCCTGGGCTACAGAGCGAGACTCTGTCTCAAAAAAAAAAAAAAAAAAAAAGGAGCCTATCCAGTTTTGTTCTGAGAATGTAATCTTTCTCCCACACTACAGCAATTCCTACGCTCCTCCAAGTGTTTATTAACCTTTCACTGTTCTCCTAAAAATGTGTCTATAACAGACAAAGAAAGAAGGGCTTATTTTGATTGTGTCTAGTTGTTATAGGACCAACAAGTTTGTATGCCTGCTGCACAGTAACAGACCAATACCCTGAGACAACTGGGATGCAGCAGAGAAAGACATTAATGATTGCAGGGCACCAAGCAAAGAGATGGGAGGAGACCCTCAAATCCATCCCCTCAAGGAGTTCTGGGCTGGGATGTTTAAGTGGATCTCGGAGAGTAGGGGGCTGGAAAATTGGAGTCATTGATTGACCAGGGCAAGGGGGATGAAATCATCAGGATGTGGAAACTGCATTCTTTGGTGAGTCAGCTTCTTGTGGGATCCTTCAGACCAGCTGACATCAGTAGTTTCATTGGTACACAGCACTGAAAGAATAGCTCCAATGGAAAACTTAATGTTTTATAATGTTCAAGTTGTTATCTACACAGCAGTTAAGGGGAACTATAATCTTGTAACAGGGTCTGTGTGATTTTGAAGCAATAAGTACCGAACAACTATGAGGAAGCAGGTCAAGCCGGTCAGAGAGCAAGCTGACTTAATGATTAACACTGAATCACTGAATGTACCACAAGCTTGGTTTATCTTTTTCCCTGCTTTCTGTCTTTTTTTTTTTTTTTTTTTTTTTTTTTTTGAGACAGGGTCTCACTCTGTTGCCAAGACTGGAGTGCAGTGGCGCAGTCTTGTCTCGCTACAGTCTCTGCCTCCCGGGCTCAAACGATCCTCCCACGTCAGCCTCCCCAGTAACTGGGAATATAGGCACACACCACCATGCCCAGCTAATTTTTGTATTTTTTGTAGGTGTGTGGTTTCGCCATGTTGCCCAGGCTGGTCTTGAACTCCTGAGATTAAGCGATCTGCCTTGGCCTCCCAAAGTACTGGGATTATAGGCGTGAGCTACTGTGCCTGGCCTATTTTCTTTTCTTTTCTTTTCTTTTCTTTTTTTTGAGATGGAGTCTTGCTCTGTTATCAAGGCTGGAGTGCAGTGATGCAATCTCAGCTCACTACAACCTCTGCCTCCTGGGTTCAAGTGATTCTCCTGCCTCAGCCTCCCAAGTAGCTGGGATTACAGGCATGAGCCACCACGCCCGGCCTTGGCCTATTTTCATTTCTTTCTCTCCTTTCTTCCCTGATTAATTTTTAAATTTTTATAGGGATGGTTTCATAGTCTGTATGTATTTTCATTTGCTAATATTTAGTTAATTACCTTTTCAAATGTCATTGAGACCGTAAGATAAATATCCAAATAAGTTTTTATGCATATGCTCAGCTGAGTGATTTGAGCATGAAAAATAAATTTTTAAAAATTGGATTTATTTTTTATGTTTTAGTACCATAGCTCTATTTACGTATCAGTCAAATAGTAAACTACTGTTACCTTCTTGACTCATGGCCCATGTGTTACAAATATTATTATTATTTATTGTAATGTTACTTTATACTTGGACTATATGTGCCTTTGTACTTATAAATATGTTTCAAAAACAGATCCTTCCATTGCAAGTGTGTAGTTTTAATTATGAAAATGAAAAGATGCAGGAAAGAAAGAGTAAGAATAATAGAGTTGGGTGTCTGTCAAGATGGAGCTCACTGTCTGAGTTTCTCAGAGAGTGTCTTATGAAAGATGCTCTTATCAACTAGATGGAAGGCAGTTGTGAGCCTTCTGAGAGCTGGGAGGAATCATGATGGAGACATATCATATGTGAATCCATGGGGCGTGAAAGCCTATGGAAGATGTGAGTGAAGTGTCATCAGAAAGTGATTTATATAACTTTAAATATGTCCAATTAGAACATTGTAATCTTCTCTTCCACCGAAAGAGAGATGATATAGAACATTTCATTGCCATTGCGAGGTATGTAATATATAGTACATAGAGGTATTTCATGCATGGGACCAAAGATACATACCATTGGAACCATAGGATCTTACCTGTAACAAAAGTAGAGAGTTCCCTGGATAAAGTAAGTCACATTGGAAATTACAAATAACTTTTTAAAAAAGTGTACACTTTCCGTAAAGCTTCTATTTCCTATCAATGTAGCAAAGGACAAACACTTCTCCCCCAACCTTTTTTTTTTAACACATCTATTGCTTAGTAGATGTAACTTAGCAAAAGTAAGGTATCTTTATGTGGCATGCAAAATTATATACATTCATCAAGGAGAAATATTTGAGGATTTAATTATTCAGAAAAATAATAGTATAAAGCAAACACAAAGATTATTTCTGTAATCTACATTTGATCAACTGAGCTCAGAATTAAGTAATGATATCATGAAAACCAAGCAGCCAGAGAATTATATCTTTCAAGTTAAATCCATAAAAAAATACCATGTACCAAGGCTATATTTTGAGAGATTTGGAGATCAGAAGGCAAATGCCATGATAAGAAACAGTTTTTTTAATTGTAAAGGAGAAAATAGATATGATTAAATATTAAAGAGACAGGCATTTTATAAACATTAAGTGGTATTACTAAAAATTTAAATTCTGTGTGTTCAGAAGTGAAGATCAGTCTTAGCTCTGCTACCTAGCTTTATGACCTAGTTCTGTTGCCTTATCTCTTCATGCCTCAGTTACCTCATGTGTAATATAGGATAATGACATTCACCTCTTATAGTTTTAGTGAAGATTAAGTGAGATAATTAAGTACAGTACAAAACACAGGACCTAGAATATACTTGCTGCTGCTGACACGATGAAAGAGTCATTTTTATGCTTCTTGAAGAATCTAGTAAAAACTCAAGAAATAGTCTCCACCCTTAAGAAGTTTTCATTTTTGTCAGAGAAATAAAATAAAGGTGACCTAGCAAACATTAAACTGTGTGCTGATACATAATAGAGATTATTTGCTCTTTAACTCTATCTAAAAAGGGAAATCAGTGAGGTCTGGTAAAATTACATAAAGTTTCATGGAGAAGGCTAAATACAGCCTCTGAACATACCAGTCAAGCTAGACCCTGAAGGATGGGTAACATTTGGCTGAGCAGAGGTGAAACTATCCAAGTAAAAGGGAATAACATCAGCAGTAGTGCACGTCAGCACATAAGGCAGCATGCTTTATGTAGGATATGTGTATAGCCCACAGGAAAATACATCAAAACGATTAAGAGAATGGGTCCTAAGTTCAAGTCCCAGCACCACAGTTTGCTAGCCATATAATCTCTGACAAGGTGTTTCATCTTTCTGTGCCTCAATTTTTTCTTCTGTAAAACCAGAGACTGGTGTTATTTATACTGTAGTCTGTTTATTGATTATACGTTAATGGCATTTGGCCTATTACCAGTCCCTGATAGTTAAATGTTCAGTCAGTATTTTCTGTTGGTGTCGTTTTAGTGAAGGGTTTGATTTGGAAAATTGTTGGAAAGGTAGGATGGAGCCGGGCTGTGAAAGAGCCTTCCAAGTCAGGCAGGGGAGTTGTGGCATGATGAGGTAGGAGAGCTAAGGTCATTATGGGAATTCATTTAGGGATTTTCAAGAAGTAAGCCAGAAGCACAAGAAAGGAGAGGAGACTACAAGGAGGATGTAGCTGGAAAAGAACAGTGAAAGGTGATGAAAAGGGAGTGAGCTCATACCTGATTCTCTCTTCAAAGGAGTTTAAACCTGAAGCAGTTTGAGAAGATGGTAACAGGAAGGAAAAAATTTCATAAAGGAGATTTTAAAAGCAGTTGGAAGTTGCAAGCAACAGATTGACTGATGAGCAAGAGACATCTTTTTAAAAGAACAGCACAGTTTTACCAGTAGATAATTATATATTGATATATTTTGGCACATTAGGCTATTTGATCCATCCAATCAACGTTTATTGCACCATTTTCCAAATAATTATAATTAGAGCATGCACAGTAATATACCACTTATTTAAATGTAAAATTGAGAAAGCTAATTTAAATGCAACAAAAATATGCTAAGTCAACAAATGTACTCTAAAATGCGTGCAACAGTATGCAAACTATGTAAAGTACTTGGTCTAATCTATGTTCTCCAATGTTTGGCTATATTGATATAGAGGATAATTATGTTAGGGACCACTAAAAAAAAGATTAATTAGTTCTGTAGGTAGAAGAGAAAAAGCTTACCAAATATTTGTAAATAAATCTCTTTCTTTTCATGTTTATGGAAGTCAGCAAATTAACTGCAAAATCTTAGAGGAAGCAATAGGAAAAAGTATGTTAAAATGGGTATTTTGAAATTGCAAACTATAAGCATGATTCTTATGCAAATATTAATTTAATCAGGAAGAGTTTTACTCCTCCTTGTATAAGATTATATGGAAATCAGAATTGCCTGTTTACTTCTAGTGTCATGATAAAGAATGAGGTACCTTAGATTTGATGAAAAATCAGTCTTCAGAGAGTTGATGAGCAGTTTTGCCAAATAAACCTAAACATTTAAACTCTGGTTGATAGCAATTTTGTTTTTATCTGTTTTCCTAGTTGTAAAATAATTACATCTTATAAGTGAATAAACTCATTTCACATTATATTATTTTGATCTGAATAGGTCAATTTATGTTTCTTACTGTCATACCCCAGACATTAAATTATAGTCACCAAAATTATAGATTAGAAAACTCACAAATAATGGAATTGATTCAAGTAGCAGTAAATCACCTCCAATAATATAAATTAATGAGGCAATATCGGTACTATCGTTCCGGCATATTTTTACAACTGCTAATAAACAGCTCATAGATGCTAATACAAAGTAAAACAAGTTTGTATGCTTGGTGGACCTAGAAAACAGTCTTTGGCCTAGCAAAGCCTTACCTATGAAGAGAAAAAGTGTATCTGGCTGATACTATGTTTACTTTAAGTTACCTAGTTTCCTACCTTAGCAAAGATTTCAAGAAATCTATGTTTATATAAAGATCAGAATTTTTTTCTCTTTGTTCTCTAGATTTGATTTTTCAGTGAAAATTTGGGTTTTGTTTCCCCAGATAAAATTATTCAGTACAGTAAAGACTTACCCAGGTCTTTGGAGCTTCTCACACATTAAGATGTTTAGTATGAATTCGTGACTTTGTTATTTTAATGAAATATCTTTAGGTCCATGTTAAGGCAATATCGTGTCATGCTGCTGCCATTCAGTCAACATTTGTTGAATTTCTAAGTTCAAGCATTGGGATAAAAGATATTGAGATGCAAAGAGGAGGAGCTCCCATTGTAGCAATCATCAAATGATAAACCACACCCTGCTGGTTGAATCTGCTGATCCCCAGTGACATGTAATCTGTCAGATCTCTCCATCATTGGTTTAGCCTGTGATTGAAATGAGTTTACCCCTCTTGCCTTTGGAGCCAGACAAAACCAGTTCACATCATGGCCCTGCTCCCTACATGGTGTATCCTTGAACAACTCATCTAACCTCTCTGATCCTCGAGGACAGAGAAAACAACAGCATCAACCTCGTAGGATTTTCATAAGAAGTAAATGAGAGGATACATGTAAATCTCTTAGTACTTGCCTGGCACATGGTTAGCATGTAATAAGTGTTAAATGTTATCCCTTTGATAATAATAATTATTTAGTGAACATATCAAGGAAAATTATCAATGGCAATAATCATTACAATAAGATCTTGATTGACTAGCCTAAAAGAAGTGGAGTTTTGATTAATCTGACTTTATAATTATATAGAAAGCTGTTTATGCATCAGTCTTTATCATCTGAAATCTTTCTCAACTCTTTGTACAACTCTCCTCGCACTCTCCCAACCACCTCCGCCCACAAAAAAATTTTGGCTTTACATGTTACACAGGTGAAAATGTGCAGCAGCATGTGGCACATAGATATAATTTTGGACATGTAGCCAGCACACAATATACATTTACTGGTAGATCATTAGGATTTCGTTATTGTCTCTGGGCCATTATTCAGAGCATCAGTGATCAGTATACACTAGCATTGGAGCATGTGCTTTATCTGTACTATTTCCAGAATACACTCTAGATTAATTGAAGATTCTAGTTATTTTTTCCTGTAGCCTATTTGAGCCACTTATCACTAGTAATTTTTTTTTTCTGACCCCATACTAAAATAATTACATTTCTGGCTTCAGTTCTCGGGAAATAAGTGCTAAACTCTCATTCTATCTGCCTTAGCAGTAAAACAAATTTCTACATCTACTAAAAATATTCTTTTAAATGAGAGACAAAAATAAATATGTGAAACAAGATAGGTAATATACTTTAGATCTCATTAAGAGTTCTTACATTCTAAATGCAGAAACTCAGATTTGCAAAAACTGTAAGAGCTGTCTTCAGTGTGCTGAACATTTAACAAGATTTCATCAATTTGTATGTAGAAGATGAGTAACACTGGCAGTTACAAATTTGGCTTTTCTCTACAATATATGCTTGTTGCTATATATGATTTATGCAACTTTACTAGGCAGAAATCTATGAAAATATTAGAGCAGGTAAGTGAAAACAATAAAACTGACTATATAAGAAATTACCAAAACACATTGTAGGTGGCCTAATCATTTATTAAAAACATGCTTTGTTCCATATTTTAATATTCTAATTCTTATTACAGAAAAGTGTCAAATGAATAACAGCTGTTATACAGCAACATTGCAATTAATTTTGCTCTGTTCTCAGTCAAATGCACTTAGATTCATGTCAGTAATTACACCTAACAGATTCACAGAACCAACAAACTGCACTGAACCCAACTGAGTCTCTAATGACTTTTTTTTAAATTATATTTGGTCCACCCACATTGAATTCCCGAGCCCCTGGGCTGCTTTAGAATCAGGACAAAATCTACTGTTACACTTGGCCGGGCGCAGTGGCTCACACCTGTAATCCCGGCACTTTGGGAGGCTGAGGCGGGCAGATCATCTGAGGTCAGGAGTTCGAGACCAGCCTGGCCAACATGGTGAAACCCCGTCTCTACTAAAACTACAAAAATTAGCTGGGTATGGTGGCGGATGCCTGTAATCCCAGCTACTCGAGAGGCTGAGGCAGGAGAATTGCTTGAACCCGGGTACTCCAGTCTGGGCGACAGAGTGAGACTCTGTCTAAAAAAAATAAATAAATAAATTCCGTTGTTACACTGAATGTGCAAAAGGATTATGGACAAAAACCTTTCAGTGATTGTTAATTTAATTCCACAAGTATTTATTCAGTGCCTACAGTGTGCTGATCTGTGGTGACATATCCTAATCAAAGTATGATTGACTGATAACTTAGCACTATTAACCTATTTCAGGGGTTATTAACTATCAGCCTTTCTCCCTCTCTTATGTGTGTCTGTTCTGTAAGAAATAATGGTTGTTGCTTCATGTAGTCCCATAGGTGTATGTATATACTCACACAGGACCGTATGTAGCATATAATATTTTTCACATATCATATATAATCTCTTAAAATCATCTATATTTCTTTTTTTATAAATAGTCAATCCTCAGTCCTCTGTTACACCCCTCACACATGAACAACCTATAAAGTATATAGTATCTTAACTTGTTAGTGGGATAAAATGGAAAAGAAGACATCGTTTAAGAAAGCAATTATACCTTTGTCACAATGGTATTAGGAAGACATTAAAACCTAAACTTAGAATACCTGCTTGTCATATATATCAACAGTAGGTTTCATATGCTATTTCGTAACAGCTTAGAAGATGATGGTATGATTCATTTGAAAATCAAAAAATAATTATCCTTTTAAATGTGCAATTAACTATGGATGGCATAATACTTTTATTTGTTTGAACCAGCACTGGAATCTACTTTAAATGTACTTTAAAAAAAAAAATTCTTTTTGTCAGACTAGATATTTCAGAGCTCCTGTATTTGATTTAGCCTTTTCTATTTGCTGAGCCCTGGAGAAAGTTGCGTAGGAATTATTTGGGGCATCATTAAATAGGATGGATGCATATAGGTCTAGGAAGACTCAGGCATAGCCCTGCTGAGGATTGGACAGGGTCCAGGAGGTTCCTTTTACATCCGTGTGGTTCTGTGGTATAAGATAACCACATTCTCAGAGTATGCTGGTTTAGGCTGTGTTGTAATCTGTAAATCATAGTGTCTTGTTTTGTTTGTCTCTTTAGTCCCATATTTTTATAATGTAATCCCTACCCCAATTTTTTAGCTAATAATTTTACGCAGTTGAGTGTTTGAAGTTGAAGAAGTTTTCCAAATTTCCTGTTGATCTCACCAATATCTACACATTCTTGGTTGAGTCACTACCTTGTCTGATTTTCTAGAACAGTATTTCTGTGAAAGGAAAATGTGTTCCCTCTAGTCCTCTTTTGTCAAAAACCCTTTGCACTTGCTTTCTTTTGCCAATTGAACCTTTTTTGAAATGCATCAGTAGGGAGAGCTTGCCTAGCCTTTGCTAGACAGGAGTAGCTGTAGGTGCATTTAAACAATCCAACTTGAAAAGGGGATTTCTCTCTTTCTATTTGAAAACAATTGAAAATGAAAAGTGTATGTCTCAGGACAGAGTGCTTAACCGACCTCATTCTACTGAACTTCAGCATGGTATATGAAACTACCTCCCCTGTGTCTTCCCCAGTGTTTTAAAAAGATGCTTAACTTGTTTGAGGCAACTGGTTCTGAGTCAGAGCTCTCTATCCAGCATCACCAGAATCCATTATGTTGTTAGGTCTTGTTATACCGTTCTTTGCATCTCTTTTTTCTTCACTCAAATAGTCAATACAGCTTTGTTCTAAGGGCTATCTGATCATGTTTTGAGGGGAAATCGAGATTGAGCTATAGAGATGAACTATGGTTACATTAACCTTTAAATGTAACCACATTCCTTCCCCCACAGTACATTCACATGCAGCCTGTACTTTTAAGTAATCCTGTAAGCTCCTGTGGCTAAAGCATGTTGAAAGTATCTATTTTCAACTGAGTAACCCTGACAGTAGATGAAACCTCCAAAAGATACCTCCCTCCTCAAGGGTGGAAGTGGGGGTAGGGGCAATGGTTGGCAGTGCAGTTTTCAGCCTATTCTCCCTCATCCTCTCTCTTTTTTTAAGACCCTAGAGGAGCAAGGTAAACATCTTTATAAGGAAATGTATGAGTTAGCTCTTTTAAAACCACAGATAAGTATAATCTTAGGAAAAGAGATCATGTGCCCTAGACTTTAGTAGTTAACATTTCTTCTGAAGGATGTGATTTTTTTTTTTTTTTTTTGTGATGGAGTCTTGCTCTGTCTCCCAGGCTGGAGTGCAATGGTGCGACCTCAGCTCACTGCAACCTCCGCCTCCCGGGTTCAAGCAATTCCAATTCTCTGCCTCAGCCTCCTGAGTAGCTGGGATTACAGGCACCCACCACCACGCCTGGCTAATTTTTGTATTTTTAGTAGAGACGGGGTTTCACCATCTTGGCCAGGCTGGTCTTGAACTGCTGACCACATGATCCACCTGCCTCGGCCTCCCAAAGTCTGGTATTATAGGCGTGAGCCATTGCACCCGGCCGGATGTGATTTTTTTTAAAGACAAAGTAACTAAAGACTAATTGATGCTGACATACCAAAGTAAAACCAGAAGTCTGTATTGAGGAGCCATCTCAAAAATTTACTTTAAGACAGTATGTCTTAAAGAAAAAAATGTATTATTTAAATGGAAAGTAGGACCATATGCCAGGTTTTGTTTGTTTTGTTTGTTGTCATATTTTTGTTGTTGTTTGAGATGGGACATAAGAGACTAGTTGCTTGTCTCACAGATATGGTAGGGAAAGGAAACCTTTTGGTGGAAGTTAGCCATCTCTTCAATCTCTGATATTCAAGGAGTACCCAGTTTTGGTTCACCAAATGTAAGTCCTTTGTTATAAGCATCCTCTTTTATGTTGGTTTGTTTGGCCTGTAGACAGTTTCTGAAACTAATTTCTTATTTGCATGTAATGCTTTCATATAATATTCATCTGTAAAACCATTTGGATTTTTCGAGTTGATACATTTTTATCATTCTGCTGCACCTCTCTCCCCTCCTTCTTTGGGCTTGTTGCACTGTCATGCTCCTCCTGATGCATTGCTTCCTGGTGGGTGACATCATGATTTGTGAGCAACCCGATATATAAATAAGGTGGTGAGAACTGCCTCAGCAATTCAGTTTCTATTTGAAAGGCATTAAGCAGCCTCTTTCTGTTTTCTTACATTTTTCTCTACTTTGTGTTTTCACAGTTTTATTAGGCACTGTAGAAGGACCTGTTTTTCTCTTTCATTACATTTCTGAAAATCATTAGGTTGATTCAAAATCTTTTGGAAATGTAATGCCCCCTTATGCTATAATATACCTCTCATACTGTATACATTTTGGTCACACCCAGATGTGGAGTTTAGCAATAACTAACAACTACTAATTTTTAGGAGCATCCTAGGAATACAGATGCTTTCAGCAGTATGTTTTTATTTTCACTGATATTAAAGGAGTATTTATCTTAGAAGAGTGGTAGGAAAGCACACATGAATTTGGACCTTAATCCTTGACTATGTAGACATTGAATATTCATAGGTGTTTTGTGTGCTATGGTAGGTGTGGAAATATATGTGAGATCAATATCACTTCACCTCAATATCTTCAAAAGTGAATATGGATATGGTTTTGTTAGCTGAACTCATTAGCAAAGATGCCTTTTAAAAATAGCAAAGGTTACAGTATATATAATGTATGTGTGAATATCCACATATTATTAGATAGATTCCAACATGAGTATTTGTATGTGTTTCTGTTAACAATATAATTTACTATCACAGCTTATTTTTCAAAATTCCATTGAAGTATAAAGCTGGTTAGAAAGATATACGGCATCTTTTTCTTTTTTTCAGCTCTCCTAAGGTATAATTGACAAATAAATTGTACATATTGACAGTGTACTATGTGATGTTTTGACATATGTATACATTGTGAAATGATTAAATCAATCTAATTAACATATTCATCACCTCATATACTTTTTTGGTGGTGAGAACATTTTAGATCTACTCTCTGAGCAATTTTTTAGGGTACAATACAGTATTATTAACTATAACCACCATGCTGTACAATCAGTCTCCAGAACTTATTCATCCTGTCTAACTGGAACTTTGTACTCTTTAACCAACATCTGCCCATCTCTTCCCCCAGCTGTTGGCAACCACCACTCTTTCTGCTTTTATGAGATTGACTTTTTTAGATTGCACATCTAAGTGAGATCATGCAGTATTTGTTTTTGTGTAAACAAGCATACAGTATTGATGTCAAGGTCTTGTATTACCCACCTTAGAACAAGACAGTAGGATCATTATTTTTATTCAGTTAATGTTCATTTATACTTACCCACATATTATTCATTTTTTTTTTTTTTTTTAGACAAGGGAGTCTCACTGTGTTGCTCAGGCTGGCCACGAACTCCTGGGCTCAAGTGATCCTCCTGCGTCAGCCTCCCCACTAGCTAGGATTACAGGAGTATACCATGGCCCTAGCTCCACATTTTACTCTTCATTCTTTTTTAGCATTTCAGAGCATCCATCTGGAATTAACTCTTTTTGCCTGAAATACTCTTTCCTTTGGGCAATGATAGCAAAGTATTTGGGCAGAGCTTCTTCAGGAACTTTCTGAGTCAAGTCAGACCCAAGCCTTGTCCCACCCCTCCCCCAAGGCATGGGACCTTTGCCCTTCTTGTTAACCTCCTATGATCTTTCATTCCTATTGTCCCATCTCACTAACAGTGTTCCTCGTGTGTTCTGACTCATCACTTTAGCTGATTCTCTCTCATCCCTTAGTTTACCTGGTTTCATTTTCTGATTTAGGGCCTTGCATAGTCTGATTGATTAGTCTCAGTTTCAAGTCATAACCTCCTTGCTTTCTCGAGGTTCATCCAGCCCCACTCCCCTCACCCCACCCCTTGTTAATTAGCAGGCCAATGTACTACCATCTTTCAGCCTGAGTTTCTTCTGAAAGAACACTGCTGTTCTCTGTTGATACTGTAGCATCTTGGCAGGTGCCTCAGGAACCCTGCTACTGTGGGTTTAGTACTTCAGATTCTTGCCATGCTGCAGCTTCAGCATAACCTGGGAACTGGTTAGAAATGCAAAGTTTCTGGCTTCACTCTAAACCCACTGAATAAGAAACTGGGTGGGGGTAAGGGGACAGCAATCCATTTTCTAACAACCTCCCTAGGTGATTCTGATGTACACTAAAGTTTAAGAACCCTAGAGCCCAATGACTCATCTTATTTCACAAGTGTGGCAACTGAGTTACTCCAGGTCCATAAAGCCAGTTTAGTGCTAAACAGTAGAGCCAGGAGTAGCCTACTTCAGCCCACCACCTTGTCTACTAGGCTTCTCTATGTTACTTGTGCTGAACATTGTTTTTAGTTAAATATTAGAACTGAGTCATGACATTGCTGTACATTTGCAAATGAGAGGCTTGTCCTCTAAGCTTTGCATTCCTTCTGCCAGTGACAGTATCAGTCAGAATCAAGTAGTTCTCAGTGACAAAGTGGGAGGATACCCTTGGCATTGGACTCTTTACAGGGAACTCAGTAGAGTCTTTGTGTTGTTCATTATGGCTTTGGTTGATGTATAATATATTGCCATGTTCTTAAAACTAAAACATGCTAGAATAAACTCAACAAGTGATAAGGAATGATCATTTGCATCGTGTGTGTGTGTGTGTGTGTGTGTGTGTGTAGATGTATTAATATTTAGTTTGTAAAATGAATTACCAGAGAATTTCTTAAGTAGCAATGTCCCTGTATATTAAAATGTAACTCTTTGAAAGTGGGAAGGAGGTAGATAATGAGTTGGATAACTGTTCAGGAACACATCTACTGAAGAGCACATTTACATTCTCTTAGTTCCTAATATAGTATTAGTATACTTATTCAATAATTGTCCTTGTTTGTATGTACTTTAGAACATTTTGTTCACCCTTGCTGGATGTTCTCATATCTTCTTTAGATAACAAGTAAACATGTCTGAGAGTTTCCATTTGTTTTAGTTTGACATCTTTGCCCTATAAACCCTCATGTATCTGAACTTTAGAGGAAAGGAAATCTGAAGCTACTATTTCAATCTTTTCTGCTTTCAATTTTATTTTTAACAACCAAACAGTTCTTTCTGATGATAAGGAATCAGAGCATTGAGACCATTTTCTTACTAAATCATGCTTATGTGGATGGAAAAAGTTAGTGCAGCCTCTAACGGAAGTGACTTAACCAGTGGGAAATTCTTCCTTTATATGATTTTATAAATACAAAAGTAAAATCGCATTAAGAAATTATCAGGAATAGTAACTACTGCATAATTTTGAAGACCCTGTAATCTTTCAGATGTTATAAGAAACTTGTGAAAAATGGACAACCAAGATAGTTTATGATGTTACAGATGAGTTTTGTTTTACCATAACTGGCTACATAATTTGTGGAGCTCCTTGCAAAATGAAAATGTGGGACCTCTTGTTCAAAGATTATTCAGAATTTCAAGATGGCAGCAGCAGAGCAGTAAACCAAGTGTGAGGCCCTTCTGAGAGCAGGGCCCTATGTGACTGCTCAAGTTGCACACCCATGAAACCTCTGTGGTTTACCTAATTGAGACAGTTAATGAGAGAAGCAAAATGTGCACCACTTTGTTCCTGGAATAAAATGAATGTTTTGACTTGAATAAAAGTGAGAATCTTTTAACAAAAAGCCACTTCTACAAAAGGCTCTTCCTGTAAGTGACCTCTTTTATTCATTTCAAAATGTCTTTTTCTATCAATTCCAGCATGATCTTTGTCACAAATAAAAAAGGGAGCTTTCCCCATGAGAATTTCTGTCAAGAAACAATCTTCTTCAACTCTCTTCTGATATGTGAAGAAATAGTTCTTATCTCTCTTAAAGTAGGTTTGAACCTTATTCTCTGATGAATACTTTACATACTCTAAGCAAACAGCTTCAAATTTCTCACAGATTTTGCCGATGAGATTCCCATTTCTCTTTTTTAGTCCCTAATGACTGAAGGTATCGTATCTAGGGATAGTTTACACCACATTCTCTATAAGTAATGTAATAGGACTTATAGCATTTCATTTTGCAGCATATCTTTGGGTCTGTTTGCACTTAATGTGGAGTTCGCTTTGAGTAATATCAGTCCTTTGAATTTGTTTTATGTGATTTGGTTTTTATAAAACATTAGGATGCTCTCTAGATTATCCAGCCCAGTTCCCTGCCTCTAGGTGTACCTGAATGTAACTCTGTAAGACAAATGGTTATACAGTAAGTTTCTAAATGTCCCAGGAAAACAAAAATGTAATGGTACAGATAATCCTTTTTTTTTTTTTTTGAGACAGACTTTTGCTCTTATTGCCCAGGCTGGAGTGCAATGGCTCAATCTTGGCTCACCACAACCTCTGCCTCCCTGGGTTCAAGCGATTCTCCTGTCTTAGCCTCCCGTGTAGCTGGGATTACAGGCATGCACCACCACGCCTAGCTAATTTTGTATTTTTAGTAGAGACAGGGTTTCTCCATGTTGGTCAGGCTGGTCTCGAACTCCCGACCTCAGGTGATCTGCCAGTCTCAGCCTCACAAAGTGCTGGGATTACAGGCATGAGCCACCACGCCTGGCCTCAGATAATCCCTATATAGTGAGGGATGTTCAGGGAAATACCAGCTGTACTTGTATTCCTGGCAAGTTCCATTATTCTTGAATGTAATCATTATTCTTTTTTTAATTGCAGTTATTTGATGTGTCTTATTCCTTTACTTCAGTGAAAGTTTTATTTGTAAACCTAACCTTATTTATATTCTTGGCCGAGAAAATAGAAAGCAGACTTTTCTACCCAGTATAGTCCACTGTGTAAAACTCTTGAAAACTTTCTCATCACATTTGTCAGCTGTCTCTGATACATAGACAGACCTGAGTTAATGATTGTTATTGTTTACATTTCTTTTTTCTTTAATGAAAAACTATTGAATTATTCAGTTTTTATTAAAAGTTCAATGATTTTTATATTTCAGATGCTCTTTAGTATTCAATATATTCACAGCATACTCCAAGTCTCCCTCACTGGTCCACTGGTTCTAATATTTACTAGAATAATTTTATTTACCATATGCTTGTGTCATATTGGAAATGTTAGGGGAAAAATTGAATTTTGAATGTGAAAGGTCCTTTCTTCTTTTATCAAAAGGAAAAAAATGCATTCTCTGACATTAATAAAAGTCATGCTGACGTTCTCTTACAAGAAACTCACTAAAATGACAAAGAGCATGAAAAAATGTAATTAGGTGTTTGAGCTGAGTTGGTTGGTTTGTTCTCCTACCTGATAAATTCTAATACACAGAAATAAAATTCCAGTTAATGAGAAAGTGCAAACATGGCAGATATATCGATATTCTAGATAATATTGTCATTATTTCATGTGCTTACGATAGAAAAAAATAAATTTGACTTTTTTGCAAATATTGCTGGGTTTTCCTCTGAAAAGCACTATAATGAGTGGATTTATTTATTCAATTCTCAGTGAGTTACTGGCTGAATCAAGGTTTTGGAAAAATAAACATGTATTCTCTATCTCTAAGTATATTAACTAATCTATAAAGGCTTGACATTCATTAATGCTTGCTGAGGGAAAAAATGAGTTCTAGAGATTGTGTTTTGCTCAGTACTGCATAACTTACTTTCACAAGCTCTGCTTAAGCTTTGATTTCTAAATCTCTCCCCAGTGAAATCATACCTCAAAGATGTTTCATTAAAATGACAAGATAAGCTCCCTCGCATCCCTATGCTGGAGTGGGGGCAAGGGACAGAGTTTTGGGAGATCTTGCAAAACGGTTCCTAAGCTTTAGGGAAAGAAGTGCAAATTATTGACTTCAGTGAAAAATTGACAACATCTCCATGGTGAAGACAGTAGCCAAAAGGGTGGGCCAACTGTGTGCCAAGCCTCCGCTTGTCTTGATCTTGTTCTCATGGTTGTGCTGATGACTCATGGGGGTTGGATTTGTGTAATGTAGGAACCATTAGAAAATCCATGCTTTTCAAGTAATGCATTTTAGAAAAATATTTTTAAATGCATATTTTCATTGTCATAACCTGCATTGTACAATCTTCCACTTTTCGTTCCCTACCTCTTTTCTATTTGGAAATATTTTCTCAGAGTGTTGGTAGTAGTTCACATGGCTTAATTATGTCTCTAAATATTAGTTCAAACCATATGAAATTGTTGCCATTTGACTGTTTTTTGCCTACAAAATGACAATGTAATATGGTTCAATCTAATAAGAAATATATAATTCCCAAACAGAAAGGTAATATCCTAGTATTACTTAATCACTTTTTGTTGTGGATGAAACTCAGATTCTACCTTAGTTGATCATTTTCTGGCTGTGAGATAATTTTCTCACAGATTGTTGGCATTGAAAGAGAACTCTTAAATAGGAAAACCCTCTCCCTGGGCATCCAGGGCCACCCTGGAAAACAAGCCTTAATGAAGTCACCTGATCAGTAACCTGGTCTCCTGTGGATATAGTTCTCCTGTTTGCATTGTACATCTTTAGGGAAAAAATGCAGTATAGTTGGTTAATTTATCAGTCTTTATTTTTGTTCCAGTGAAACAAAATGCCCTGGCCATTCTAATTAGATCAAGAGTCACTGTGATGTCTTTGATAGAGCTGGGTGTTAACAAGGTTTTTCTCAGCTACCAGTTTTCAAATTGTTTTTTAAAAATGGATGATTAATCCATCCAGCACTTGTTGATTTCTCCCGGTTTGACTCTGAGGTGGAAGTGACATCTTCCTCACTTTACTACCCAATTCAGAGTGTACCTTAAAATAGCTTCCTCTAAACTGGATATAAAGATGTCAGCAATGTGTAGATTCTCTAAATATGCTTTTCCTTCTTTGTTCAAGACAGTGCTAATGTGAGTGCTTAGTTACTAAAACAAATATAATGACATTTTTAAAGCCTCACACAGTTGGATAATTGCTTTAAAGAAATCATGGTACATTTTTTTACTTCCTCTTCCTGAAATAGAAATCATAGTCCTATTGAAGACCCAGGATTCCATACGTCGTAAGAGTATAAGTAGTGTATTCCTTTTAAAGGATGGGGATAAATTTCCCCTATACTAAAAATCACCAGCTGCCGTAGAAGTGCTGAGTGAAAAATGGTTCTTATCATTTCTTTGTGGACTGCAATTTCCCCCTGTTGATATAGGCTATAAATAGGAAATAAACAGCCTTGAATGAAATCAGATATAGTATGCAAAGATTTCACTGATGAGTTTAGGTGAGCAACTCATAAAAAGAACAAAATATTGCCTGGTCCTAAATCTTTGCCAAGGAACCTTTAGTAACCTCCTTGCTCTCAACCATTTTGGCAAATACCACTTTTTAACTCCATTTTTTGGAGAGTAACAGATATTTGTTTTTGAATTTTTTTTTACATAAAAAAGAGTAAAAATAATTAAGAATATTAAAAATTATGACTGTTACACGAACAAGCAAAATAAACATAGTCTTGAATATCTTTTAATATAATTAGCAGTTTCTCCCTTTATGACATTTATCTGAGATAATTTATCAGCATTTGGACTATACTAAAATGAATTGCTTTTCTAAACAGTAGAAACTTGGCTTCTGTAAATACCTGATCCATGCCGAAAGTATAATGTAGAAGTAGGCTTTTCTATTAACTATTGTTTGAAGAACCAAAAGTCTATAGTATTTTTCTGTGTTCTTCAGATATATTACATATCAAACAAGTAAAGATTTTTAAAGAATATTTCATTTTACTTTATTAGCAAATAATTCTCTTTATGATTATTATTACTGGCCATGAATTCTTTTAATCTCCAAATTAGCCCACATAGAGGAAAAAAAAAACTACACAATTTGCCTATTTGGAAGATACCTTACAATTCTCTCTTTTACATAGTGCTATCTATTGAGTAAGTGCCCAGTGGTTATGCATTGATAGTTTGAAAGAGTTAATTGGAAACTACGTAGGAGTTTGCTGAAAGCATGATTGAAGCAGTGATGATGAACTGTATCTAAGTTTGCCCTGCTTTCCTCTCTGGAGCCCACTGTTCCAAGAAGAGACATAGTTAAAAACAAATTTGAAATTGTAAATCTTTTCTAGTTAATCCCAAGCAAGAAATTAAGTGCCTATTTGCAAGTCTGGCTCTGACCATACCTCTATTCATTTTACTAAAATATAATGATATTTGCAGACAGTAGTGACACAACAGTAACTAGATGGCAACATAGTAACTTCATAAAATAGCATATGATATAAATCATGGAAGTTTTTGAATTAAAAATATCAAAGAACTGCAAAGGTCAAGTAGACACATCAACTTAAAGCACTTATGAAGTTAAGCTCTAAGGAATGACAGTCTTTTAATGCCACTATTTTCTCTGGTTTTACCAGCTTTGGGGAGGTTATTTAAGCATAATTTTTATTCATGACTTTATTTTAAAAGAACCACATGATGTTCAGAAATTGATATAATTATATCTCTGAGGTATTGGTGCAGAATTTTGTAATTCTATACCATTTTCTTACAAGTGATCAACTCTCATGTAATTCAATGGCATCCATATTATTTATTCAGTAATCTGTAATTATAGATTTCCTCTAATGAAGCACCCTATGCTTTATTGCCCTGGGTTCTCAGGAGCTCTGTGGGTGTCAATTTTAGAAAATTTGAAATTGGGAAAGCTATATTTTCCCAGATGAACATTATAAAGTAATGAAGAGGTTAGTAAGTGTTGCCTTGATTGTTTGAAACACCAAAAGGCAATACCACCCAATATACAATTATCATATTACTTTTAGTATACCATCTTCTTTTTTTAATTTAAAGGTTAGATTCAATTAAATGGTAGTAGCAGTATGTTAAATTTACTGTGAGTATATGCCTTAGGAAGTTATTTATCTATTTATTTTGAAGTTAATTTTTTTCTATTGGAGAACAACTTCTCTTTTACGAAGTAAAGTATGTAATTAAGGTCTACCTGAATTTTAATTATTAGAACAGAATATTATTAATATGTATTTATAAAAATTGTCTAAATTACCTGAATTTAGAACATTTAAGTTTCTAAAGCACTCATTCCCTCATTTGATTCCTTGAATAGATCTGGTGAGCTAAAGTATATTTATGTGGTAGTCTTTCTAAAAGCAATATTCATTTAAACTTGGCAAGTGTAAAGTATCTAGGCTTGGTATTTTTTCTTTTGCTATTTTTTAGAATTTATGTGTATCTTTTCTTTCCAAAATTAAGCACATGAGGGAAGATGTATAGGTGTGAACACTCAAGGTATGTACAAAATGATAAAGACAAGTAGCCTAACGGGGAGTTGAAGAAGCCAAAGAAAAATTTTTGGAAGCAACTTATAAAACCATTGTAGATTGGATTGGATCTGATACACATTGAATCTTAGAAAAGAGGATGATGTTATTAAACTTATAGTTTAGTAATGGGAGAGACTAGAAACAGGGAATTCAACAAGTTAATCCATGTAGTAGTAATCCAGGTTAAGGGTTGAGTGATAATGTTGGAGAGGAAACTCTGATTATGAAATATTTTGCCTGTGAAGAAGTGGTATAGCTGAGTCATGTTTTAAATTTGGAGATGAAAGAATGTCAAAGACCATGCATAGATTCCAAGCCTGGGGAATAATCAGAAATGAAAAAATTGGGATAAGAAGTCATTAGGGGTATGGTTGGGTGGGGAATTTGTCCACGATTAAATAAGTCTTAGACATGCTAAATCTCAGATGATGGGAAATCTTGTAAATAACATTGTTTGAGGGTAGCTGATAATTTAGACCTGAAATGGGACTGAGCATGAATAGTGAGGATGTGGATTCCATTCCAAGATGGCCAAATAGGAACAGCTGCAGTCTGCAGCTCCTAGAGTGATCGACACAGAAGATGGTGATTTCTGTGTTTCCAACTGAGGTACCTGGTTCATCTCACTGGGACTGGTTAGACAGTGGGTGCAGCCCACAGAGTGCGAGCCGAAGCAGGGCAGGGCATCACCTCACCCGGGAAGCACAAGGGGTCAGAGGATTTCCCTTTCCTAGCCAAAGGAAGCCATGACAGACTGTACCTGGAAAATCGGGACACTCCCACCGAAATACTGAGCTTTTCCAATAGTCTTAGCAAATGGCACACCAGGAGATTATATCCCGTGCCTGGCTCAGCGGGCCCCACGCTCACGGAGCCTTGCTTACTGCTAGCACAGCAGTCTGAGATTGACCTGCAAGGCAGCAGCCTGGCAGGGGGTGAGGTGTCCACCATTGCTGAGGCTTGAGTAGATAAACAAAGTGGCTGGGGAAGCTCGAACTGGGCGGAGCCCACCTCAGCTCTGCAAGGCATGCTGCCTCTGTAGACCCCAACTCTGGGGGCAGGGCATAGCTGAACAAAAGGCATCAGAAACTTCTGCAGACTTAAACATCCCTGTCTGACAGCTCTGGAGAGAGCAGTGGTTCTCCCAGCACAGTGTTTGAGCTCTGAGAACAGACTGCCTCCTCAAGTGGGTCCCTGACCCCCGTGTAGCCTAACTGGGAGACACCTCCCAGTTTGGGCCTACTGACACCTCATACAGGCGAGTGACCCTCTGGGATGAAGCTTCCAGAGGAAGGATCAGGCAGCAATATTTGCTGTTCTGCAGTGTTTGCTGTTCTGCAATATTTGCTGTTCTGCAGCCTCTGCTGGTGATACCCAGGCAAACAGGGTCTGGAGTGGACTTCCAGCAGACTCCACCAGAGCTGCAGCTGAGGGACCTGACTCGTAGAAGGAAAACTAACAAACAGAAAGGAATAGCATCAACATCAATAAAAAGGACATCCACACCAAAACCGAATCTGTAGGTCACCAGCGTCAATGACCAAATGTAGAGAAAACCACAAAGATGGGGAGAAACCAGAGCAGAAAAGGTGAAAATTCTAAAAATCAGAGCACCTCTTCTCCTCCAAAGGATTACAGGTCCTCTCCAGCAACGAAACAAAGCTGGACAGAGAATGACTTTGACGAGCTGACAGAAGTAGGGTTCAGAAGGTCAGTAATAACAAACTTCTCCGAGCTAAAGGAGGATGTTCAAACCCATTGCAAGGAAGCTAAAAATGTTGGAAGAAGATTAGACGAATGGCTAACTAGAATAAACAGTGTAGAGAAGACACCTGATGGAGCTGAAAACCATGGCATGAGAACTACGTGATGCATGCACAAGCTTCAATAGATGATTCAATGAAGTGGAAGAAAGGCTATCAGTGATTGAAGATCAAATTAATGAAATAAAGCGAGAGGAGAAGTTCAAAGAAAAAAGAGTAAAAAGAAATGAACAAAGCCTCCAAAAAATATGGGACTATGTGAAAAGGCGAAATCTACATTTGATTGGTGTACCTGAAAGTGACGGGGAGAATGGAACCAAGTTGGAAAACACTCTGCAGGATATTATCCAGGAGAACCTCCCCAACCTAGCAAGGCAGGCCAACATCCAAATTCAGGAAAAACAGAGACCGCCACAAAGATACTCCTCAAGAAGAGCAACCCCAGGACACATAATTGTCAGATTCACCAAGGTTGAAATGAAGGAAAAAATGCTAAGGGCAGCCAGAGAGAAAGGTCGGGTTACCCACAAAGGGAAGCCCATCAGACTAACAGCAGATCTCTCAGCAGAAACTACAAGCCAGAAGAGAGTGGGGGCCAATATTCAACATTCTTAAAGAAAAGAATTTTCAACTTAGAATTTCATATCCAGCCAAACTAAGCTTCATAAGTGAAGGACAAATAAAATCCTTTACAGACAAACAAATGCTGAGAGATTGTGTCACCACCAGCCTGCCTTACAAGAGCTCTTGAAGGAAGCACTAAGCATGGAAAGGAACAACTGGTACCAGCCACTGCAAAAACATGCCAAATTGTAAAGACCATCGAGGCTAGGAAGAAACTGCATCAACTAACAGGCAAAATAACCAGCTAACATCATAATGACAGGATCAAATTCACAAATAACAATATTAAGCTTAAATGCAAATAGGCTAAATGCCCCAATTAAAAGACACAGACTGGCAAGTTGAATAAAGAGTCAAGACCCATCAGTGTGCTATATTCAGGAGACACATCTGATGTGCAGAGACACACATAGGCTCAAAATAAAGGGACAGAGGAAGATCTACCAAACAAATGGAAAGCAACGAAAAGCAGGGGTTGCAATCCTAGTCTCTGATAAAACAGACTTTAAACCAACAAAGATCAAAAGAGACAAAGAAGGCTGTGACATACTGGTAAAGGGATCAATTCAACAAGAAGAGCTGACTATCCTAAATATATATGCACCCAATACAGGAGCACCCAGATTCATAAAGCAAGTCCTTAGAGACCTAAGAAGAGACTTAGACTCCCACACAATAATAATGGGAGACTTTAACACCCCACTGTCAATATTAGACAGATCAATGAGACAGAAGGTTAACAAAGATATCCAGGACTTGAACTCAGCTCTGCACCAAGCAGACCTAATAGACATCTACAGTACTCTCCACCCGAAATCAACAGAATATGCATTCTTCTCAGCACCACATCACACTTATTCCAAAATTGACCACATAGTTGGAAGTAAAGCACTCCTCAGCAAATGTAAAAGAACAGAAATCACAACAAACTGTCTCTCAGACCACAGTGCAATCAAATTAGTACTCAGGATTAAGAAACTCACTCAAAACCACACAACTACATGGAAACTGAACAACCTGCTCCTGAATGACTACTGGGTACATAACGAAATGAAGGCAGAGATAAAGATGTTCTTTGAAACCAGTGAGAACAAAGGCACAACATACAAGAATCTCTGGGACACATTTAAAGCAGCATGTAGAGGAAAATTTATAGCACTAAATGCCCACAAGAGAAAGCAGGAAACATCTAAAATCAACACCCTAACATCACAATTAAAAGAACTAGAGAAGCAAGAGGAAACAAATTCAAAAGCCAGCACAAGACAAGAAATAACTAAGATCAGAGCAGAACTGAAGGAGATAGAGACACAAAAAACCCTTCAAAAAATCAATGAATCCAGGAGCTGGTTTTTTGAAATTATCAACAAAATTGATAGACCACTAGCAAGACTAATAAAGAAGAAAAGAGAGAAGAATCAAATGGACACAATAAAAAATGATAAAGGGGGTATTACCACTGATCCCACAGAAATACAAACTACCATCAGAGAATACTATAAACACCTCTATGCAAATAAACTAGAAAATCTAGAAGAAATGGATAAATTCCTGGACACATACACCATCCCAAGACTAAACCAGGAAGAAGTTGAATCTCTGAATAGACCAATAACAGGCTCTGAAATTGAGGCAATAATTAATAGCCTACCAACAAAGAAAAAGTCCAGGACCAGACGGATTTGCAGCTGAATTCTACCAGAAGTACAAAGAGGAGCTGGTACCATTCCTTCTGAAACTATTCCAATCAATAGAAAAAGAGGGAATCCTCCCTAACTCATTTTATGAGGCCAGCATCATCCTGATACCAAAGCCTGGCAGAGACACAACCAAAAAAGAGAATTTTAGACCAATATCCCTGATGAACATCGATGTGAAAATCCTCAATAAAATAGTGGTAAACCGAATCCAGCAGCACACCAAAAAGCTTATCCATCATGATCAAGTTGGCTTCATCCCTGGGATGCAAGGCTGGTTCAATATATGCAAATCAATGAACATAATCCATCACATAAACAGAACCAAAAACAAAAACCACATGATTATCTCAGTGGTTGCAGAAAAGGCCTTCGACAGAATTCTACAACCCTTCATGCTAAAAACTCTCAATAAACTAGGTATTGATGGAACATATCTCAAAATAATAAGAGCTATTTATGACAAACCCACAGCCAACATCATACTGAATGGGCAAACTGGAAGCATTCCCTTTGAAAACTGGCACAAGACAGGGATGCCCTCTCTCACCACTCCTATTCAACATAGTGTTGGAAGTTCTGGCCAGGGCAATCAGACGAGAAAGAAAAAAGGGGTATTCAATTAGGAAAAGAGGAAGTCAAATTGTCCCTGTTTGCAGATGACATGATTGTATATTTAGAAAATCCCATCATCTCACTCAAATCTCCATAAGCTGATAATCAACTTCAGCAAAGTTTCAGGATAGAAAATCAATGTGCAAAAATCACAAGCATTCCTATACACAAATAACAGACAAACAGAGAGCCAAATCATGAGTGAACTCCCATTCACAATTGCTACAAAGACAATAAAATACCTAGGGATCCAACTTACAAGGGATGTGAAGGACATCTTCAAGGAGGACTACAAACCACCACTCAACGAAATAGAAGAGGACACAAACAAATAGAAGAAGAATATTCCATGCTCATGGATAGGAAGATTAATATTGTGAAAATGGCCATACTGCCCAAGGTAATTTATAGATTCAGTGCCATCCCCATCAAACTACCAATGACTTCCTTCACAGAATTGGAAAAAACTATTTTACAGTTCACATGGAACCAAAAAAAGAGCCCGCATTGTCAAGACAATCCTAAGCCAAAAGAACAAAGCTGGAGGCATCACACTACCTGACTTCAACCTATACTACAAGGCTACAGTAACCAAAACAGCATGGTACTGGTACCAAAACAGAGAGATAGCCCAATAGAACATAACAGAGGCATCAGAAATAATACTACACATCTACAACCATCTGATCTTTGACAAACCTGACAGTAACAAGAAATGGGGAAAGGATTCCCTATTTAATAAATGGTGCTGGGAAAACTGGCTAGCCATATGTAGAAAGCTGAAACTGTCCAGGCATGGTGGCTGACGCCTATAATCCCAGCACTTTTGGAGGCCAAGGCAGGTGGATCACGAGTTCAGGAGATCAAGACCATCCTGGCTAACATGGTGAAACCCTGTCTCTACTAAAAATATAAAAAATTAGCCGGGCATGGTGGTGGGCGCCTGTAGTCCCAGCTACTTGGGAGGCTGAGGCAGGAGAATGGTGTGAACCCAGGAGGCAGAGCTTCTTGCAGTGAGTGGGAGATCACGCCACTGTACTCCAGCCTGGGCGACAGAGCAAGACTCTGTCTCAAAAAAAAAAAAAAAAAAGCTGAAACTGGATCCCTTCCTTACACCTTATACAAAAATTAATCAAGATGGATTAAAGATTTAAGTGTTAGACATAAAGCCATAAAAACCCTAGAAGAAAACCTAGGCAATACCATTCAGGACATGGGCATGGGCAAGGATTTCATGACTAAAACACCAAAAGCAATGGCAACAAAAGCCAAATGGGATCTAATTAAACTAAAGTGCTTCCGCACAGCAAAAGAAACCACCATCAGAGTGAACAGGCAAGCTACAGAATGGGAGAAAATTTTCACAATCTACCCATCTGACAAAGGGCTAACATCCAGAATCTACAAAGACCTTACACAAATTTACAAGAAAAAAACAACCCCATCAAAAAGTGGGCAAAGGATATGAACAAACAGTTCTCAAAAGAAGACATTTATGCAGCCAAAAGACACATGAAAAAATGCTCATCATCACTGGCCATCAGAGAAATGCAAATCAGAACCACAGTGAGATACCGTCTCACACCAGTTAGAATGGCGATCATTAAAAAGTCAGGAACCAACAGATACTGGAGAGGATGTGGAGAAATAGGAACGCTTTTACATTGTTGGTGAGAGTATAAACTAGTTCAACCATTGTGGAAGACAGTGTGGCGATTCCTCAAGGATCTAGAACTAGAAATACCATTTGACCCAGCCATCCCATTACTGGGTATATAACCAAAGGATTATAAATCATGCTACTATAAAGACACATGCACACGTTTGTTTATTGCAGCACTATTCACAATAGCAAAAACTTGGAACCAACCCAAATGTCCATCAACGATAGACTGGATTAAGAAAATGTGGCACATATTCACCATGAAATACTATGCAGCCATAAAAAACGATGAGTTCTTGTCCTTTGTAGGGACATGGATGAAGCTGGGAACCATCATTCTGAGCAAAGTATCACAGGGACAGAAAACCAAACACCGCATGTTCTCACTCATAGGTGGGAATCTAACAATGAGATCACTTGGACACAGGGCAGGGAACATCACACATGGGGGCGTGTTGTGGGGTGGGGGGCAGGGGGAGGGATAGCATTAGGAGAAATACCTAATGTAAATGACGAGTTAATGGATGCAGCAAACCAACATGGCACATGTATACCTATGTAACAAGCCTGCATGTCGTGCACATGTACCCTAGAACTTAAAGTATAATTAAGAAAAAAAAATAGTGAGGATGTGAATTAAGACATCACCACCATGGACAGGAACTAGAAGCTTTGAAACTGAGATAACTTCCCAGAATCCAAGAAAGCAATGGCCACAGACTATCCAGTGACACCTTGGCCTGTTTTCTGAATAATTATCTTTCAGCAGCTTGTTTCAGTTTTATCAACAGACAGAAGTAAGTCTGCTAAGAGCACAAATATATTCTAGTTAATTGAGAAAGAATCCAGAGTCAGACTGGCTATTTCCTGGAGCAGATTATTGAACTGCCCTTAAGAAATTATTGAGGGATTTAGATCAAGGCTTAAAGGTAAATCCTTCCCCCTTCCATCTTGTTACATCAAATGTAAATTACAATATTGAGTTATGATAATCCATATCAGAAGCATATACCTTCAGCTGTTTTTCTGAAGCTTGTGACAAGAGACAGGCTTTTATACATTGCTGACCATGTTTTGTACCATGTCATCCTCCACTACTTTCACATTAGACAAGAGGTTGATTCTTGACCCAAAGACAGCCTACTTTGGCTGCTCTACTTTGTAAAAGATAGCCTGTAATATACACCTCTTCCAAAAGGCTGTTCTGTGCTGGTTGAATCAATTTGATTATTTTTCTTAGGGAGTTTGGACTCAAAGACACAAAGATAGAAAATTAGTTGGTAAATGGCAGAAGAGAAAATTAAAACAGATACTAAGAGTTAGGTGTACATGAGTAGAGCTCATGAGTAGGGGAGAATGGACACCAAGATACTAAAGTCGTAACATTAATGAGTCACTAGGACTATTGTGCCTGGAGGGAGAGTTGTGGTTATATCTTGAATGATCCTTGGGTTCTTTGTGAGGCCTGACCATGCAGCTGCTGAAACCTGTTTCCTTTTCTTCTTTACTTCTGCATATATCCTTATACTAACCCCTCATCTTTGTTTTCTTGCAAGCCATATAACATGTTTATCAAAAGGGTTATAGCAGTAGCCAATTAAGTAACAGACACTCCCTCTTTTCCTTCTCCTTCTTCCCTGCCCCAAGCCACTAGTGGATCTAATTTCTCTAAGGAAAAAGAGGGGCAGGGGAAGTGAGTGGTGCCACCCATTTGCCCCTTCAGGTACCTGGGTCCGAAAGACAAACCAGCAATGGAGGAGGGAAACACTTTGAAGCATATGTAAGATTAATAATTAAACTACAACCAGAAAGTTATGGAATCTTCCCAAGATGTTATTACAGGACTTGAAAGGAAGATTTGACATTGTATGTCTGGGAGCAATGGTGAAGAAAACCAAAAAATAATTTTATGTTCATACCCTCACTGAGGTGAGACTTCTCAATAAACTAGATATTAACAGTTATACATGCCCTTTTTCAAACTACTTTTGCTTTTTTAAAAAAGCAAAAATATATAATATCATCATATAAAAGGAAAGGATGATACACTCCTCAATTTGAAAAGGGTGGTTGTAATAAGGACACATAAGTTTGCAGCAGTGTGCATTCAAAAAATAGGGTGGTCACACATACACACACACACACACACACACATACACACACACACACACGAGATTTATTGTACTTTAAAAATAATGAACACCGGATCACCTGAGGTCAGGAGTTTGAGACCAGCTTGACCAACATGGCAAAACCCCATCTCTGCTAAAAATACAAAAATTAGCCTGGGCGTGGTGTCACCTGCCTGTAATCCCAGCTACTTGGGAGGCTGAGGCAGGAGAATCGCTTGAACCCAGGAGGCACAGGCCACAGTGAGCAGAGATCGTGCCACTGCACTCCAGCCTGGGTGACAGAGAAGGACTCTGTCTTAAAAAAATAATAAATAAAAATAAGAAACAGTTAAGTTCCGGCGTAAAAAATAGAATAAAGTTGTTACAGTAACCCCCACTTATCTGAGAAGGATACACTCCAAGACCCTGCCCCTCTGCCCCTGCCCCAGTGGATGCCTGGACCCTGTATACAATGTTTTTTTTTTTCTCCATACATACATACCTATGATAAAGTTTAATTTATAAATTAGGCACAGTAAGTGATTAACAACCACAATAATAAAGTAAAACAATTCAGCAAAATAGGGGTTACTTGTAAACAAGTACCAGGATACCATGACAATTAACTGATCACTGAGATGGTGGCTAACTGACTCCTGGGCAAGGAGCATCTGTAGCATGGAGACACTGAACAAAGGGCACCATGCTACTCAGAAAGGCATGCAATTTAAAATGTATGAATTGTTTGTTTCTGGAATTTTCCATGGAATCTTTTCAGACCATAGTTGACTGTGGATAACTGAAGCCATGGAAATTGAAGCTGGATAAGGTGGGATCTACTGTTTTGCCTTCCTGCAGTTATGCAAGGAGTTGGCAGGGGAATTGATTCATTATTTAATTTTATAATGAAAGAAAGAAGAACATTAGGATTCAAAAGTTGGATTACCAAATGATGACTTGTCAACTCATTCCCTGCACTCCAAGTATCAGCAAATTAAGAGTACCAGTTCCTTCATTTGCCACATTTTTATACTCCGTGGGCTGCCATTACTATTCTCATGTGTCACTTGTGTTACAGTTACCTGACTGCACTCTCATAAGGACAGTTCTTGAAAAGCCGCTTCCATACCATACTTGCTTTGTGCCTGTGCTTGGCACTGAAGAAGACACAGATACACATTTGACCTCCTGATGGTGCTCTGGAAGCCAAAATGATTCCTTTCCCTCTCACCTTCCTGATTAGGCTTGTGTTTGTGTGTCTTATGAAGATGGTTAGCTATATTTTACGGTGTTATATTCTGAGATGGCAATCTAGTTGAAGTCCATAGGTAAGGAGCTAGGTCTTTTGTAGAGAAGCTGAGTTTATTCAGTGTTATTCAGAGGCAGTCTCAGACAGCAAAGCAAAACTTGAAAAGCAGATTTCCCCTTGGCTTTTGAAAAACCTCTCTTCTCTTTTTTGTGACTGTTCTTTTGGAACTGGACTTTATGGGCTCTAAAATGTAAATTCAGAAAGAAATGAATGTGTAATTGTTGCTTCATTATCTTGTGTCATTCTTGGCTTTGGCTCTCCAAAATTGCTCTCTTCAATTGCAAGTAGACTTATATTGAATGTTGATGTTCTTTCCCTCCTTCCACCTGTGATGAGGCCTTGTTTTACTGATGTGGCTGGTCCTTGCCAAGGTCCTTCAGCACCTCAAAAGCAGATTGTGAGATCCACACATATCTGTACCTAGCATGATTTTTTTTTTTAAAGACACAGCATCTCACTATGTTGGCCCACACTGGCCTTGAACTCCTGAGCTCAAGAGATCCTCCCACTTTGGCCTCCTGAGTAGTGGAGGCTACGGGTGCACACCACCACATCCAGCAATTAGCATATGCTTGTCGTTGACAGTATATGCTCTAGAGCAGGGGTTGGCAAACATTTTCTGTAAAGGGCCACGTAGTAAATATTTTAGGCTTTGTGGGCCATAAGGTCTCTTACTGCAACAACTCAACTCTGCTGTTGTGGCATTAACACAGCTATAAACTAAACATAATGAATGATCTTGGCTGTGTTTCCATAAACATAGGGACTAAAATTTGAATTTTGTGAAATTGTTATGTAGCACAAAATATTATTCTTTTTAAAATGTCAAAATCATCCTTAGCACATGTGCTGGTAAAAAACCGCCAGTAGGCTGGATTTAATCACAAGAAATGTAGTTTGACTTCCTCTACTCAAGGCGTCTCGGGGTCCTAAAGCTGGTTCTGTCACTTCACAACTATGTGACCTTGAACAAGTTAATTCACCCAAATTACCCTCAGTTTCTTTACCTGGCCAATAAAATAGGTTGGTGTGGAAATTTCAATATAAATCTCTTCGAACACTGCCTGCCATATAGTCAGCATTCAATAAATGGTAGATATTATTAATATTCCTACCTCCAAAGACATCTTTGTTTTATCTTTTCAGAGATTAAACTCAGATTACTTTGGTACATCATTTTGAATTGAGTTAGATTTGTTCTTTTTCCAAATTTGTTTTTTACTTACTTTTCCCTTCACAAGCCTTCCATGCTCTTAGTAAGTAAATGATTCTGATAAGACACACGGAGTATTTCAAAGCTCTCTTTGAAATATTAATTATTTAAAATATCGAATGTGAGATTTTTTTTTCCAGAGGCATAAACTGGTTTTTCTGGTAAGCGTTAACATTTAGGTTTATTGGGTGCTTGTTTATTTATAGAATGTGTAATTTTCATCTCTCAATCTTCTAGCATATAGGTAACTGGGAAAAAATGAATAAGCATAAACATTTTTTTAACCACCATTTGCTATCAAACTCTCTCACCTTATGCAAAGTGTCAAAATGTGCCTTTGGCTGAAATGTTTCTTCACTGAAACTCTACCATTAGAAATAACAAGCTTCTCTTTAAGATATACATACATTAGGGAAAGTTAACTCACCAATTCAGTTCCCCTAACAAACTTTTAGGTAACACCTACCATGTAGACATTTTGGGAGAAATCACTTCATCCATCCTTCATCATTTATCAGTTTGGGGTATAATATCCACTTATGACCCCTAATACAGTATTTATTCCATGGCAAAATGTACCTAAAACATTAATTTTAAAAGTATTTAGGAACAGTAGTATTCACTATGAAGTTTATCTGGGATTTGATGATTCACCTCACTATAGGAAACTGTTAATTACCTGTTCTGGCAAGGAGATGAGATACTAGAATGAATGAACTCTCTAACCGACATTTTCCCCTATGGTTTTAACTTTAATTGCTCTGAGATTAATTTTCTTTTTAGTGGATACCACTGTGCAAGGCCTCAACCTGGGAATGTAATGTTTTTCTGTTTTGTTTTACAAACTTTCGACTACCACATCATGTAATTACTACACTGCCCCTAGCTCATCCTGTGGATTCTAGTAATTTCTTCTAAGCTCCTGTGTCCTCTTTTCCATCTTGAAAGTTTTCTTCTTTTGAATAAGAGCATCTGCCTTCATTATTTTCCATAGAACTTTATACTTTCTATTTATGCCCTCTTCTAATCTCTTTGGAATATCTTGATTTCCTTAAACACTTTCTGGCTGTAAATAACTTCATAGACTATTATCTTAGTTACCATCTGTTGATTTTCCAAGTCACCATTAACTCCATTCTTCACTCACTTCCAATTAAACCACAAACTAACAAAATCCTCTTGTCGCCTAAAGGCTTTCTAGGTGCTTGTGGACTGAAATATAAGTTGCTGAGGTTTTTTTGATGACTATTGACACAGTGCTTTGCCAAATGGTTTGATTTCTCTTATTTCTGATTCATTTATGGTTTTACTATTACTCTTACTGATAGATATTAAAGTCTTGCAGAACGATGTGTTATTTTCACCATATTGTGGTAACCTTTTACTTAGTCTTTATTATCTCCTATTGTTTCATGTTAAATTCTGAGAGTTATTTGTCAGCCGTGGGCCTTCATGTTTGTTAGATCTCAGAGAAGGGATTTTTATTTTCCTCTTCTTTAATAAATGAGCAGTCTTCAATTTTGTGTTATCTACAAATCTGTATAACTTGCAGCACGTTCTTAATCTGGACCATGATAGATACCGTGAAAAAGATTGAATCTAGCACTGGTTTTTCTTGCACTCCACTTGTCATCGCCTTCTTATGCTGTCAACTTCCATTTACTACTGCTGATGACCTTGCTCACAAAACAATTTTGCGTTTCTATTTATTCTTTTACCAATAATGACCAAATTGGCCATCTGACTGTACCTAGAGTTCTATGCAGAATAATATTTGTCACTGCAAATCAAATTGTATTTGTCATATAATTGATTTCTCTCCCAATCTGGTCCACTTTGCATGCTACGGTGAGGCTGATCTTAAATGCCACCTTTGTCATGTCACTGTCCTGTTGAAGATCAATCAGTGGGTTTTTAGAGTCCACTGAAGCACATTCAAGTTTCTTAAAATGATATCCAAGCTCCTTTAGAACTTTGCTCTGATATTACCTATCCAACTGTAACTCCTGTATCTTTCAACTCTGTTTCTCTCCTCATGCTTTATCATGGATACCATCCATATTTTATTTCAGGTGGCTATGCTGATTCAAAGTGGCCTCAACTCTTTTTTACCCCCTTAAAATTATGTGATATAAATAGACAAAACTAATATATGATGATAGATATTCAGACATATGTTTCCTCTGAGTGGGCAAAAGAGAATTTTCTAGAGAGTTGGAAATGTTCAATATCATGATTGTGGTGGTAGTTACATGGATGTATGCATTTTTCAAGACTCTTCAAACTGTACAATTAGTATCTTTCCATTTCAACATTTGTAAATTTACACACACACACACACAGTGCACATGTATGTGCACTAGGAGTTCAGATATTTAGATTTTATTATCTGTGAACCAGTATGATCTGTTTTTTTTTTAAATCTGTTTTTGTGTCTTTTACATGAAATTATAATAAAGTGCTCTAGAAATGTAATGTTTTCAGAGGCTTAAGTCCCATTTCTTCCATGAAATCTTCCCTAACTCCTCAAGCCCACAGAAAGCTTAGTTTTATTTTTAAAAATGATTTCATATGTGCAAGTATTATCTCACATAAAGAAGGGTCCTACTTTCAGTAAGAAGCCTTTTGCTTCTATGGGATCATTTAACAGTGATTGGTTCATAGCAACTTTTTTCAACTTTGAGCAGCTCAACTTTTGCAGAAAACTTTAATTATACAATCTAGAATTCAAGGAGGCTATAACAGTGAATTAAAACCATTATGCCTCGGTTAAGATTTTAGGAAATGATTTTTATAGTATTGGCTTTACTTCAGTAATTTTCAAGGTGTGATAAACTGGAATACAGTCTTAGGAAATGAGAGAGTCCAGGGCACTTGGTGCTTAAGTGCCTAGAGGAGTAAGGGGTATTCTAATTAATAATGTTTGATAAAAAGGAAGGAGAGCACAGAGTAATTTCAAAAACTATGAAGGGTCAGAGATTTTGCCCTACTTGCATGCCAACAAGTTAGCCTGCTGCAGTTTCAGCGATGCTGGCAGAACACACAAGACTCCTGGGTCAGAGACACATAACTCTTGTTATTCATTCATGATACAGCAAGCAATATGAGCTTCACGTTCACATTGTTTTCCTTTGCCCTCCAACCCCCAGAGTTGGAAAGCAAACCTAGACCAGGGTTGGGAAGGCAAACCTAGGTGGATGCTGCACTCACGGTGGGTTTGTGTCATTGCTGAGGAATCCCTGCTTAGGGAACCCAAATCTTTTATAATGGACTGAACACAAACCTGCCTGACATTTTTCCTAGAGGGAGATATAACCTGTCTGCAAAGCAAATGAACCTGTCGTCTTCTCTAGAGGAAGACACTGTATCTTCCAAGGTTGTTTTCTGTAAAAACATCCTTGAAAAGATAGTACAGAAAAAGGCCATCAGTGCCTCTGTTCACAAAATGTGCAGAAATGTGAGAAACCCATAGAGAATTGTCTGTAAGTAAGTATGTGCTAGCCAATAGGAATAGGCTTGCACAAAGGTATAGCAGAGGTAATTCATTTACCTAGTGCTAATTGTAATCTGTATCATCTCCAAACCCTTTTGTGAAAATTAAGACAACACAACACAAGTAAATGCTGATACTGAAAATTAAGCAGCAGGCATTCGGCATCTACTAAATGACAAATACTAAGGGAAACATGAAAAAGAAGGTACAACCCATACCTTTTATTTGATATGATGATAAGTAGCTCACACAAAGCCCACAGATGCATGCAGCCCACCTAAGTCCTTAGTAATATCTGTGACTTTCAAGCTGAGTAGAAAGTTGCTTCTAAAGTGTTACCTCTCAGATATGCCCATAAGTTATTATTTTAGTGGCTAAAAGCATTACAAAATTTTCCCTTGATATTCTTTCACTCAGTTAAATAGGTATTGTATGTTGTAAAAAACACATTTTTTGCACGTGTTCAATAAAGTTTTTGTCTTTTTTAATGAAATAAACACATAAACAATTTTTTTTCTTGAGGTTGAACTCGTAGACCAAAAAAAACCCTACTCACTACTAATTACATCTAAGTAAGAATTAATGGTTCTATGAACTTGGAAGTTCTAAGTGAACTGTCAACCTCAAATTAAATCACATACAAAATTTCACTGAAATGCATTCAAAATGAAGAGTAACTTCTTTCAAAGGATCATGTTGACTTCCATTTTGTTTTAGGAAGACTAACTGAAATATAATCAATCCCATGATTATATTCATAAAACCTTGATTCAGTAAGGTTAGACATTTTATGAAAAATACTCAGCTTCTTTGAAAGTTATCGTGGAGCAAAAGAAAAAGTAATGGGGGACTGAAGCCTACATTTCTTTCCTTTAATACATCAGTGATATTTACAAAAATTTTTTTTTTAGCAGAACTATTTGGCATATATGTTCTCAGAAGGGACAATATTACCCCAAAAGGGATGAATACTGGTTCTTGGGAATGTGGGTGGAAAAACATCTTAGATATTGCAATGGTTTGTAGCCTTCCAAAGGACCGCGGTACATAAACAGACGTACAAGATATCTGTGGCATTAAATGTTAACAATAGGGGTCATTAGAAAAAATATCTAAAAAGACTCCCAGTGGGAGGAAGACAATAATGAAAAAAGGTTGAGAGACGTTGCTCTAGCATAATATTTCGACAAGTATAGTGAGGTAGCAACTACTAAATTAAGCAAAGGTATTTATTTTTATTCCCACTTGACTTTATTTATTTTGAGACAGGGTCTCACTCTGTCACCCAGGCTGGAGTGCAGTGGCATGCTCATGGCTCACTGTAACCCCAACCTCCCAGGCTCAAGTGACCCTCCCGCCCCAGCCTCCTGAGTAGCTGAGACTATACATGCACATGCCACCACACCCAGCTATTTTTTTTTCTTTTGTATTTTTTGTAAAGATGGGGTTTCACCATGTTGTCCAGGCCAGTCTCAAACTCCTGAGCTCAAGTGATCCTCCCACCTTGGCCTGCCAAAGTGCTGGGATTACAGGCATGAGCCACTGCACCCAGCCTCCTCTCAACTTTTTGTCATATTTGTTTTTCCATCTTTTTATCTAATTACAATATAATAGCATTAAAGAATTTTAATAAAACAATATCTATAATGTTATACATTTTTATGTTTGCATATTATTTAGGTAAATCATAAATATATTTTTTCAGTAATTTACATATATTTACTTTTCTACATAGTCTTTATAATTATCATTTTTGTAAGGATACATAAAATTTCACTTGTGCTGTTGTCCTCACCTTCTTGTACTTATATATCTCTAAAAATTCCTTCCCTGTCTTCTTTGCAATTCTGCTTCTCCTGACTGCCTGTTAAAAGTTGGGTTTCTCTGATTCTGGGGAGGGGATTAGGAAGACATTAGTCAAAAGACACAAAATTTCAGTTGGACAAGAGGAATAAGCTCAAGAGATCTATTGTACATCATGGTAACAGTAGTTAATAACAATATATTGTGTATTCAAAAATTGCTCAGAGATTTTAAGTGTTCTGACTACCAAAAAATGGTGACATATGTTAAACAGCTTGATTTAGTCATTCCACAATGTTTACATATATTAAAACATCATGGTAGGGTGCAGTGGCTCATGCCTGTGATCCTAGCACCTTGGGAGGCTGAGGTTGGCTGATCACTTGAGGTCAGGAGTTTGAGACCAGCCTGGCCAACATGGTGAAACCTTGTTTCTACTAAAAATACAAAAAAAAAATTAGCTCCCGCATGGTGGTGCACACTTGTAATCCCAGCTACTTGGGAGGCTGAGGCAGGAGAATCGCTTGAACTTGGGAGGTGGAGGTTGCAGTGAGCCTCGATCACACCACTGCACTCCAACCTCGGCAACAGAGGGAGACTCGGTCTCAAAAAAAAAAAAAAAATCATATACTGGGTGTGTGTGTGTATGTATATGTGTGTGTGTGTGTGTGTATAATTTTTACTTGTCAATTAAAAATTCTTAAATATTTTTTAAAAAGTTGAGGTTCTCTGGAATTGCATCTTCTATTCTATCCTTCTTCTAATATACTTTTTCAGGGTAGGTAATCTCATCCACCATCCAATGACACCCAAATCTTTAGCTCCAGCCCAGAGTTCACTTTTGCATTTCGGACCCACATTTCCAACTTCTTTTTCATTATTTCTACTTATATATTTCTTAGATATATAAAATAGATCACATTTTCTCATACTTGTTTATCCCTGGTCATCTAAACTCCTCTCCTTAATCTCACCCTCCTTCTCTTGCCTGCTAAGTCCTATTGACTGTATTAATGCCTTCAAAATATCCATCCTCTCCATTCACTTTGCTCTCTGTTTAGTTCAGGATATGTGTTATTTAGACAATTATGCTATGCACCTAAAAATTTCCCTGCCTTTTTTTTTTTTTGAGATGGAGTCTCGCCCTGTCACCCAGGCTGGATGGAGTGCAGTGGCGTGATCTCGGCTCACCACAACCTCCACCTCCCAGGTTCAAGCAATTCTCCTGTCTCAGCCTCCCGAATAGCTGGGATTACAGGCGCCTGCCATCACACCTGGCTAATTTTTTTTATTTTTAGTAGAATCGGGGTTTCACCATGTTGGTCAGGCTGGTCTTGAACTCCTGAGCTCAAGTGATCCTCCCACCTTGGCCTCCCAAAGTGCTGGGATTACAGGTGTGAGCCACTGTGCCCGGCTAAAATTTCCCTGCCTTTTGTCTCACCATCCTCTGAGTCATTCTCCACAATGCTGTCTAACAAGTCTTTCTAAAGAATAAATCTGATCAGGTTACTTCCTTTTGTTTATAGCTGATATGCCCAGTACAGTAACCACCATCTGCATGTAGCTATTGAGTGCCTGAAATGTGGCTAATCTGAACTGACGTGTGCAGAAGTAAATATGTACTAGATTTCTAAGAGTTAGTCTGATAAGAAGAATGTAAAATACATCATTTTGAAAATACATTTGGTTGAATGTTTACTTAATGTACTAAAAATCAATTTGGCCAGGCGCAGTAGCTCACGCCTGAAATCCCAGCACTTTGGGAGGCCGAGGCAGGCGGATCACTTGAGGTCAGGAGTTCGAGACCAGCCTGGCCAACATGGTGAAACCCTGTCTCTACTGAAAAATACAAAAATTAGCCGGGCATGGTGGCAGGCGCCTGTAATCCTAGCTACTTGGGAGGCTGAGGCAGGAGAATTGCTTGAACCCAGGAGGCGGAGGTTGTAGTGAGCAGAGATTGCGCCACTGCACTCCTGCCTGTTCAACAGAGTGAGACTCTGGCTCAAAAAAAAAAAAATCAATTTTACCTTTTTTTATTTTTTAATATTACTACTAGAATATTTAGCATTATTTATGTGGTTCACATTTATGGCCTGCATTTTATACCTAGTGAATCCTGTTAACTTATCGAATAGTGTTCAAGCCCCATATCATAGAATTTTCATCTTTCATCATCTGGGCACTAATTCCTAGTTCATTTCAACTTCTTCCAGCTATTGAGCAAAGAGCACTGGGCTTGGTATCAGACTGATCTGAGTTCATACTTGGGCCTCTCCACCACAGTTGAAATACATATAGTTCTTATCTCAGTATGTTGTGAGGATTAAAATATCTAACAACTGTAAAGTGTCAACTGCATATAATTTAATTCTCCCAGGTACATTCTAGCCATACCAAACTACCTTCAGGTCTTTTTTTTTCTATTGAAAAGAGCAGGTGATACTTCAGATGTGTCTGTGAGCTTAATGAATGTTGTTTTGTTTGTTTTGTTTTTGTTTTTGTTTTTGTTTTTGTTTTTGTTTTTGTAGATGGAATCTCAGTCTGTTGCCCGGGCTGGAGTGCAGTGGTACAATCTCAGCTCACTGTAACCTCTGGCTCCCGGGTTCAAGTTCAAGTGATTCTCCTGCCTCAGCCTCCCGAGTAGCTGGGACTACAGGTGCCCACCACCATGCCTGGCTAATTTTTATATTTTTAGTGGACTCTGGGTTTCACCATGTTGGTCAGGCTGGTCTTGAACTCCTGACCTCAAGTGAGCCACCTGCCTCAGCCTCCCAAAGTGCTAGGATTACAGGCATGAGCCACCACGCCCAGCCTCTTAATGAATGTTACAACTACACAATCCCCTTTCCATGTTTACTCAATGGGCTCTACTTCATTTTTCCTGTTTTCACCAAATATTAGACCTGAGAACCTCAGTGTTTCTCTTCATTTTTTTTTTTCATTCAATACCCCATCCTAGAGAGTTTATTTTAAAAGAATAAATTATTATAACATTGGAGAAGTTTCAGATCAAATGCAGAACATAATCAAAAAATATTTTAGCTTGCTCTTGTCCCATAAGAAAATGTATTTTCAGCTGGGCGCAGTGGCTCACGCCTATAATCCCAGTACTTTGGGAGGCCGAGGTGGGCGGATCACCTGAAGTCAGGAGTTCGAGACCAGCCTGACCAACAGGGAGAAACCTGTCTCTACTAAAAATACAAAAACTAGCCAGGCGTGGTGGCGCACGCCTGTAATCCCAGCTACTCAGGATGCTGAGACAGGAGAATCGCTTGAACCCCGGAGGCAGAGGTTGTGGTGAGCCAAGATCACGATCACGCCATTGCACTCCAGCTTGGGCAACAAGAGCGAAACTCTGTCTCAAAAAAAAAAAAAAAATGTATTTTCATTTGTGATCTCATACCCCATAGTTAATTTTTTAAACAAAGTAGGATTTAGATTTAACTTTGGAATAGCATCAGAAACAATGTCCTTTCCCTCTTCCCTCCTTCTTCTCTTAACCCTCTTGCCTGCAAATTGTCATCTACCTCACACTCACACATTTAGCTACCCTCAAGGTAGCCACCTATTTAGGGTCCTTTTCATCAGCTAGGCCAGTTAGGAAGAGCAGGCTGAGCTCACTGGGGATTATGCACAGTGTAATAGAGACTTTCTGGCCATTGACACCTTGAGACAAACACTCTAACAAATCTTTAAAGTGTTTTTCATGGCTAGAGTTGTCAAAGATAGGAGGAGGGTAAAATGTTTTAAATGCTGTTTCTGTTAGGAATTTCCACGAACATCTTCTGAGCATCCCACTTATGGCTCCTTAACAGTTCTTTCCCATAGGAAAAGTTTAGACACACAGCAGCATTCTAAAAAGGAAGTGGGACTCTGGCTGATGTCCCTAAAAGTTAAAATGTGGCCTTTCAGATAATGTGGTCACCTTTTTCTTTATACAGTGTTAGCATCTCAAAATGGTAAAGGATATGGATTAGGTAAGAATTGAATGCAAATGTGTTTTGCAAATAGTGTTTTCTAAGATAATCGCAGATGATGGTTGAATGCCGAAAGTATTAATACAATCAGTATTTAACCTTGTGTAACTCCGCTTCATCAAATCACGCCCTGCACATTGATTGCATTAAGCTGAGTCAGTGGTTTCTTGGTTAGGAATATCTTATAAGAATCTTAACAGGAAGGCAGCAGTAGCTGATCAGCTACTGTTTATTTGCATACTGAGCGTGTCATCAATAATACAAAAGACAAGGTCTTTAAGTTGAAAGAACAGTGGGATTGGCATGAATTTTTCTTAATGGTGCATAATAAGCAAAGTAGTCTGTGGTGCCAGAAACTGACAGGATCCATTATGTTAAAACAGATATATGTCTTTAATTTAGGGGTATTATGTAAATCTGACAGGAGTTTTTCCCTTTATTTTCCTGTAGTTTAACTTTAATTGCTCCAAGATTAATTCTGATTTCTCCCTTTCTCCAGAGGGTGATGAGACTGGTGTGATGGATAATCTTCTAGAAGCCCTACAATCAGGTGCAGCATTCAGAGACCGTCGAAAGCGGATTCCAAGGAATCCAGGTAAAACACATTCCACCTCACATAGTATTGTAAAATATGAATGTTCAGAGCAAAGTAGCAACACCAAAAAAAAAAAAGGAAAAATAAAAATACTTCCTCATGAAGACTTTTTTTAACAGTTGATCTCAGCTCATGTGTGAAATCTCAGCAGGCATCTACATGATTGCAAGTTTCAACTTGGTAAATGTATCTTCAAATAACTGTAGACTTTACAACAAAAATCAGAAACAAGGACTCCCACTGTGTTTAATATTAAATATTTTAATTGTTATTTTATGAGCATGTGGTTTAGGTGGAAAGTAGTTTAAAACCATAAATGTAATTAAATCATTAAAAGTAATTGGCCCTAAGGAGATCACATTAGCTATTCACAGGTAAGGAAACTGAGACAATGCTTGTTTCTAGAGACCGTTTTGGTTTTGCAGTGCAGTCTGTTCTCTGTGATCCATGTTAATAAAGGGAGGAGAGGAACAGATACTCCAAGATCCCCTCAAATCCCAAAGTTTTTGTTTTTATATTTGATTAGTAACAGTTAAAGCCACACTATGAAAATAGATCTCAGGGGAAGAAAAATCGTAAAAGAAGTAAAACAACCTCCCTCACCCAAGTGAACTGGAAAGTTGTCTACTTTCTCTGTTCATACCCTATGGTAGAAGTAAATAATGTAATAGCTCCTCTAAGGATAATCCAAGTAGGCTGAACTGTCTACCTCCTCTCAGTAAAGTTTTCTATTTGTAGCTCATATCTTTCTTGAAGTAGAGAAAGAAATTAGGTATGTTGATTTTAAGACTCCTCTTCATGGGCTGTAAAGCTATATGGAGAAGTAAATGAAAAATGGAAAATTAATAGTCAATATGTAAACTCTACTTCATTTAGATTAATAAGATTTGCCTTAAATAGCCTGCAATTCCAAAAATATTCTCTATTTGGACTGGAAGTTACCATGTGTCATTTAATGGAAATTAGTAGCTCTCAAAACCATTGTATTGCAACAAACGAGTGAGAGAAATGGGGCCCAGAACATAGTTGTCCAGGAAAGCTTTTGGCAGTGATGACCTTGATGGCAGAAGACAATATATGTTATATTCATCTTTTTCACATTTGGGTGAATCCTGATGGATATTGGATAACATTCTGCCTCTGCTATTTATGGATGGTCCCTGAGAGATTAACCTAAAGATAAGATTTGATTGAGAGGAAACAAGTGTTTTGGTTGGAGTATAAGACTACTTTTATGTATATGAATGCATCGTAGATGGCCTACAAAAAGGGTGGAAGACTGGACGAAAAAAAGAATGGAAGTCTGTATTTATAAGTTCATATTCATTTTGAAGGTAATGCTGCATGGCAGAATACTAGGAGCACTACTCATCTATAACTATGAGGCAGCCATTCCACTTATCCGCAGCCTTTGTCTGTAAATGAGAATGTTCTACCATGCCATCAAGCCCCTATCACCTCTTAAGGAAAATAAAAACCTTCACTGCTCTTTCTTGAACTATCAGAGCAATAGTAGTCAGTGAAAGGTGAACTGAAATCATTTTTGTATCAATTCATTTCTCTGTTAAGCAGCTGATAAGTGAAAACATGTTATTCTGGGCCATAAAAGAACTGCCATAATTTTTCTAGGCTGTTTATTTTAAAAATGCACATTTGCTAAAGCCCTTGTCTGATTAGTCTCACACCTCATACTGATTCCAGAAAAACTGTACTTGGAGAGAGAGATCATTCCATGGGGTTTCTGTGAGTTTGGTACTCAAGGGAATATAGTGTTGTCAACTGTGAAACACCAAGAATATATTCACAAACTGCATAATTTTATAGTACTGATTCCAAGTAATCTAAATTGGGATTTCCTTTGGTTTGTAGCTGGAGTGCCTCCATGAACACATAGGGTTAAAAATATCACTCGATTTAGCTGTGGCAGTCATTCCAAGTGGCAGCAGCCAAAGCAAATGTCCAGAGGTAAAACGAAACTCGAATGCAGACAGTGGCAGTGGTTGGGAAGCACCTTGGTCATCAGTAGAAGAGCTGGAAGTGAGGGAGTGGGGACAGAAGGCACAGAGTTTACAAGTCTGCCAAAAAACTCTGTCTGCCTCTTTCTGGAAGAAGCAGAACCGGGGACTTTTACAGATTTCCTCCTTGCCTCAGCCCTTCCTAGCTAGATCATCTTTTCCTGCTAGTCCCGTTATTTTTACTTTCTTAGGCACCTGATTTGTTTCCTTTCCAAGATCCCATTGACTTGGTATTGTTATACTTTCCCTGTTCAACATTGACATTCTTGATCTTTTCCAACAACCTCCACTTCAGCATGATGAGATAAAAGCAGAAAAGGCTAATTATAAAGAAGGCTATCTTCCCCCAAGTAAAGTAAAATAAAAGGAAAATCCAAAAAACACTAAAATCAGAGTCAACCACAATCAGCGGAGATGTACTTACTGCTCTGCTTGCCATTTTCATTACCATCGCTTATAGATGGGTATTACTGTTATGTAAAATACAGAGCTCTACCATTGTGTTTCTAATTGTAATCTTTTTATTTATTTTTTATTTATTATTATTTTTTTGAGACGGACTCTTGCCCTGTTGCCCAGGCTGGAGTACAGTGGTGCGATCTCGGCCCACTGCAACCTCCACCTCCTGGGTTCAAGAGATTCTCGTGCCTCAGCCTCTCCAGTATCTGGGATTACAGGGACATACCACCATGCCCAGCTAATTGTTGTATTTTTATTTTATTTTTATTTTTATTTTTATATTTTGAGATAGAGTCTTGCTCTGTTGCCCAGGCTGCAGTACAGTGGCATGATCTTGGCTCACTGCAGCCTCTACCTCCCAGGTTCAAGTGATTCTGCTGACTCAGCCTCCCGAGTATCTGGGACTACAGGTGCCCGCCACCACGTCCAGCTAGTTTTTGTATTTTTAGTAGAGATGGTATTTCGCCAGGTTGGCCAGGCTGGCCTCAAACTCCTGACCTCAGGTGATCCGCCCACCTCGGCCTCCCAAAGTGCTGGGATTACAGGCGTGAGCCACCATGCCCGGCCAAATTGTTGTATTTTTAGTAGAGACTGTGTTTTGCCCTATTGCCCAGGCTGGTCTCGAACTCCTGACCTCAGGTGATCTACCCACTTGGGCCTCCCAAATTGCTGGGAGTAGAGGTGTGAGCCACTGTGCCCGGCCATCTAATTGTAATGTTTTAAATTTTATATGTAAACAAGATGAGGTGATAGTCTGTATTCTTCATTAGAAAATCAAAATGTTAATAAATGATATGATTAGTTGCCTAAATTATAAATCGCCCACTCTGAGCCTGTGCCCCCTACCCAAGACCTACCATATTTAGTAACTCAGAAGGAGCTTCCACATATTGCCTCCAGCCCATTCAGCGGATGTGCTGTTTCAGTTAAGTACCAAAAGGCATTTCAAGGTAGACTATCATATCAGTAGTGATAATTGAAAATATTTTTTTTTAATAAAAAACAAAAAGGCTGGGCGTGGTGGCTCATCCCTATAATCCCAGCACTTTGGGAGGCTGAGGTGAGAGGATCATTTGAGCTCAGGAGTTTGAGGACAGCCTGGACAACATAGCAAAACCCCATCTCTACAAAAAAATACAAAAAAAAATTAGCCAAGCATGGTGGCATGTGCCTGTAGTCCCAGCTACTCAGGTGGCTGAGGTGAGAGGATTGCTTGAGCACGGTAGGCAGACGTTGCAATGAGTAGAGATCGTGCCACTGCACTCCAGCCTGGATGACAGAGCCAGACCCTGACTCAAAAAAAGAAAAAAAGAAAATATTAACTGGTGTATCACAGGCCCCAGATAGTCGAAATGTACACAGGTGATAAATAACGACTCTGGTTGTACTGGTGCATACTAGCTGAATATTAACCCAGATCACAAGCTTTGCTGATGTCAAAATCAGAGATTAGGAAATGAGCCCCTAAATATTCATTTATTGTACATCTGCTGTGTAAAAGGTACTATGCTGTACATGATGAGGGAAGATGTAGAAATAATTAAGATAAGATTTCCTTAGTTATAAGACCCTGTGTATTATAGGAACGATAAAAAGCACAGAAAGACTACAGAATAAGGCAGAAGATAATAAGTATCATACAAGAGGTGTTAATAACATACTGTGTGACTTCAGAGAATGGGACTTGCATGCATTATCAGATATATCAGAAAAATAATAATGGAGGAAAAGACTGAAGGATGAGTAGGGATTCCAACAGTGAGAGCTGGAGTTAGGGATAGTGGGCATTTTAGTCAAAAGAAATGTCATTAAGAAAAACAGAGGCAAGAAAGTTCAAAGCATTTTTCAACAATGGCAAACAGTACAGTAAGAAAATAGGATATATATAGCATAGAAGTATAGGGGTAATTCTGGAAAATTAGGTTTGCTCCATATCAGGGAGTGCTTGAATGAGAGACTAAGGTGTTAACTTACAATTCTCTAAGCAATGGGGATTTATTGAAGGCTTTTAAGCAGTGGAGGAACACAAGTTACGCATTAGAATATTTAAAGGAGTATAAGTAATCAATTAGGAGTCTATTGTCATATTCTTATTTAGAGATAATTTAGCGTGAGAGGAGTAGTCAAGAGGCAAAGATAACCCTATGGCTTTGAGTATGACTGGCTAAGAAGACATTTGGGTTACTAAACTTTTTTTTTTTTTTTTTTGAGAAGGAGTCTCACTCTGTCCCCAGGCTGAAGTGCAGTGGTGCGATCTCCGCTCACTGCAACCTCCGCCTCCCAGGTTCAAGCAATTCTCATGCCTCAGCCTCCTGAGTAGCTGGGATTACAGGCACACGCCACCGCACCCAGCTAATTTTTTTTTAATTTTTAGTAGAGACGAGGTTTCATCATATTGGCCAGGATGGTCTCAATCTCCTGACCTCATGATCCGCCCGCCTTGGCCTCCCAAAGTGCTGGGACTACAGGTGTGAGCTACCGCACCCAGCCGTAAGGTTACTAAACTATTAAGATCAAGAAAAGGAGTGGTGATAGTAGAAGAAGGTAAATTCAGTTTTGGATAAGTTAAACTGAAAGTGATAGCAGAACACTGAGGTCAAGATGTCCAGAAGATTTTTGGAAATATAGTTACAGATTTCATGACAAAATGAATTCTTGAGTGTTCTGGATATAGTGTGGATAGGGGAAGGGATTGTTATAGGGATTTTTAAGAGAAAAGAAAACCAAAGACAGAGACTTGGAAACACCTTCACTAAGGGGCTAAAAGAAGATAGACAAGGAGCAATTGGGCAGGTAGGAGAATCCAGACATTATTGTCCTAGAAACAAAGGAAGAGGGAAGTCCTAAGAAGGGAGGAGAGGTGAACATTTTTGACAATGACATACGCTCTGGTGGAATAAAAAAGGGTAAAAAACCGATGATTTGCTATTTGGGAGCTTTCTAATGACTTTTTGAAGAGCATCCTTTCAATATTGTGATGGAACTGGGAAGAGAATACAGAGCTATGCAGAGTAGATGGTGAGGCTATAGGGAAAGATCATATTCATTCAACAGTTGAGCAGTCTTATTGAATGCCTCCTCGGTGCATTATACTGAGTTAGGTACTGAGGATACAAAATCAAACGGGAGCCTAGAGGAGCTCACATACTGTTTGGGAAAACACGAATATAAACCATGTGATCAATTTACAATGCGGTCTTCTATATGCTGTAATAGAGATAGGAACAGTAAGCCTGTGCAGCATAGGAGTTAGAGTAACCACTCCCAACCCCCCACCTCTCTCCTTTGTGTCTGTATAATATGGGCTATTCTTTCTAGCAGTTTGGTGGGTGAAAGGTACATCTCATTTTTCCTTCACAACCTAGTATGGATTTATCTTCTCTGAATTTTGCTAAATCTTTCTTGATCCTGTGTTGTTACAGCCTTTGTTACCACATAAGATAATAAGTTGCATACATTTACCATCTACTTTGTAAAGAATTGCCCTGGCTGTGTAATTGTAAGATCAAAGATAAGCTTTGGAGGAAAAAGAAGCACATAGAGAGACACCTTGCAGGAGTGAAAATGACTCTTTTTTTTTTTCTTTTTTTCCTTTTTTTTTTTTTTGAGATGGACTCTCACTCTGTTGCCCAGGCTGGAGTGCGGTGGCGCGATCTTGGCTCACTGCAAGCTCCGCCTCTCGGGTTCATGCCATTCTCTTGCCTCAGCCTCCCAAGTAGCTGGGACTACAGGGCCTGCCACCACGCCCGGCTAATTTTTGTATTTTTAGTAGAGGCGGGGTTTCACCGTGTTAGCCAGGATGGTCTCAATCTCCTGACCTCGTGATCCACCCTCCTTGGCCTCCAAAAGTGCTGGGATTACAGGCGTGAGCCACCGTGCCCAGCCAGAAAACCACTCTTAAAATACAAATACACAACTCCACATCTGTTTTATTGCCAAATAGCTATAGATACTTAGAGCTTGCTTCTCTTTCTTCAACCAACCCGACTTTTTTATTCTTTGCCCACTGTAAGTAAATATAAATGGGCTTCTCAGCAATAGGTGGATATCTAACTTAGCATTTTGGCTATGACTGGATTTTGATATATAGTTCTAGACATTAAAAAAACACACAAGAGAAGCATTATGAAGAAATGAAACCAGGAAACAATAAATGTATTTTGGTTTTAGAACCACACGGGGCAACCAAGAAAACTAAATTTCAAAAATCAGGAGCAACTCAGGAGACACATGATCCTAGTTTTATGTGTCAGCAAGATAACAGTATAAATGAGAAGGTATAATTTACCATTTGAGAACAGATAGGGGACAAGAAACAATGTTATACAACAGAGAAAAAGAAACCTCCGTATGTATTAGGGAAGAATAATTTCACAGCAAAACAAAACCCACATTTCCCCAGGCCTCACTGCCTCATGTAAATAAGAAAACTCAAATTTTGCTGGCTCTTGTCTCTACATACACATTCAGCACCTCATCTGCTATAAGGGATCTATGAAGCATTTCTGGGAGTTATCAGGGGGCATTTCACAGAAACAAGCAAACACCACCGTTCCTCCACCTCTGCTATAATATCATGCATTTCTACGCTTGCTGTCTTCTGTAGCAGCAGGGACTCATGGCTTCACAACGCCAGAGTTTGACAGTCATCATTGACAAAGTAGGGGGGAAATGCCTCTCTCTTTTCCTTTAGTGCGGCACTCCACCTGTGTACCAAGTAGTACTGCTTATGCCTCAGACTATTACAGATAATTTTAGAGAAAGAGCTTTCAATTTTAAATGACACCCTCCCCCGCCCACCATCACAGAGGATTTGACCCAAGATGGCAAGAGCCAAAGACAAGCTCATAACAGATCCCACGTAATACTCAGCATCATCTTGATGACCAAGGTCTATTGTGGTTTTGTGCTTGTTTTGTTTTATTATTACTAGGTCTTGCTGGTCGTTCATTCCAAGCTGTTTACTTCTTTCTCCCTGAAGATAAGTTCTTCTTCATGAACTTTCTCAGTCTCTGTTTTATAAATGTCAGAATCTTATACTACCACACTAAGCCCCATTTAGTCTATAATACATTCATTATATTGTAATATACAATTAAAATCTGGTTTTAGAAAGTAATGCAAGGAAATAAATAAAAGCATGACATTCATCCAAGTAATACTTATTAATCAAATACTAGGGGCCAGGCAGCAGTGCTAGGGCCTTGGAGTACAAATATGGGTCTTGCCCTTAAAAACTCAGAGCCTCATGGGAAAGACATATGATATAAATTTCATAATATAAGTGTTCAAAAAGTGCTAAAAAGAGCAACTAACCGCCTGGAGAATTCAAGAGAGGCTTCATGATGAAAGTGGCCTTTGATCTATGTTTGGAAGGATGAGTAGTAGTTTGGGGGAAAACAAGAGGAATAGGCTTTTCAGATAAAGGAAATGACAAAAACATGTGATGGAGATATGAAGGAGTAAAGTGGCAATGATGAAAAGTTAGTTTGTTGTAGCAAAGAGCCAGCAGGGGGTTTAAAGTAAAGGATTACATGATTTTACACACACACACACACACACACACACACACACACGTAAATGAGTTTGAGGCTGGAGACAGATTTTGGGGACATCTGCACATATATATGTTTATTGAAACCTTGGGATCACCCAGAAAGGACATCTCAAATGAGAGGGTTGAGGATGGTACATTTGGGAATTATAATATTTAAGAGGTAAATAGAGAAATCAACAAAGGATACTCAGAAAGAAAAAAAAATTAGGGAAGAAGAGAAGCAGTAAAAAGTGGTACCTAAGAGCTGGGCATGGAGGCACGTGCCTGTAATCCCAACTGGCAAGAGGAATACTTGAGCCCTGGAATTTGAGACCAGCCTGGGCAACATAGTGAGACCCTCTCTTTAAAAAAAAAAAAAAAGAAAAAAAAAAGTAGTACCTGGAAGACCAAGAGTAGAGAGAATTTCAGAATGGAGAATTAGTCAACATGGTCACATCCTATAGAAAAGCTAGGCAGAATGACAACTGATAATTGACCAATGGGTTTTTCAACTAGCAGATTACACCTGACCTTTTCCCATGTACTTTCAATGTAATTTTGAGGGCCAAGAGGCAGCTTCTTGTTTTTTTTTTTTGTTTGTTTGTTTTTTTTTTTTTTTTTTTTTTTTGAGACAGGGTCTGACTCTGTCACCCAGGCTGTAGTGCAGTGGTGCGATCACCACTCCCTGCAGCCTCAAACTCCCAAGCTCAGATGATCCTCCCACCTCAGCCTTCTGTGTAACTGGGATGACAGGTGCATGCCACCACGCCCAGCTATTTTTACTTATTTATTTATTTTTTTTGTAGAGATGGGGTTTTGTCATGCTGCCCGGGCTGGTCTTGAACTTTTGGGCCCAAGCCATCTGCCCGCCTCAGCCTATCAAATTGCTGGGATTACAGGCATAAGCCACCACGCCACACCAAGAGCCAGGATATAATGCATTAAATAATGAAGAATATATTTTATACCTTGAATGCTGAGATTTGAGGGAAAGAAAAGTAGTTAGAAGACAATGAAAAGATAAATTGTGTCTCTTTTAGAGATTCTGACAGGAAACGCTAGACACACCAAAGATCTTGAATGGAATTGTCAATCACTAATAATTATGCCAAATTTTACTTTCAAATATGTGATGCCCCCTGCTTAATTCAGTTGCATTTGTTGAGCATATACTGTGTGATTTAGCTAAACTACCTTAGCATGCCTAGTGATTTGTAGTTGTGTGATATGTAATTCATAGCCTCCAATGTAGAGTTTTACTCTCATAAGTTAAAATGAAGAACATTTATGGCTCATACAAAGAGGGACTGGATTGAGGGTAGAGGAGAGATATTCTTGAGTTAACAGGGTAGAAGAGGGTAGGATGGAAAAGGTGCCAAAAATGAATAGGAGTTGGGCACAGTGGCTCACACCTTTAATCCCAGCACTTTGTAGAGCCAAGGCAGGAGGATCTCTTGAGCCCAGGAGTTCAAGACCACCCTAGGCAACACAGGGCGACCTTGTCTCTACAAAAATTTTTATTTGAAAATTAGCCAGGGGTGGGGTGCGGTGGTTCACACCTGTAATCCCAGCACTTTGGGAGGCCGAGGCAGGGGGATCACAAGGTCAGGAGTTCGAGACCAGCCTGGCCAACATAGTGAAACCACATCTCTACTAAAAATACAAAAATTAGCTGGGCGTGGTGGCACGCGCCTGTAATCCCAGCTACTTGGGCTGAGGCAGGAGAATCGCTTGAACCCAGGAGGCAGAGGTTGCAGTGAGCCGAGATCGTGCCATTGCACTCCAGCCTGAGCGACAGGGCGAGACTCCGTCTCAAAAAAAAAAAAAGAAAAGAAAAGAAAATTAGCCAGGTGTGGTGGTACACACCTGTAGTCCGAGCTACTCAGGAGGCTGTGGTGGGAGAATCACTTGAGTCCAGGAGGTTGAGGCTGCAGTGAGCTGTGATCGTGCCACTGCACTCCAGCCCAGGTGACAGAGCCAGACTCTGTCTCAAAATAAAAGAGGGGCGGGGGGTGGGTGGGGCCACCTTAAGAAAATCTTTGTCAACTTCAGAATTAACTGGTTTGCAAAGGGTGAAAGTCAGGAGCAGGTGGGTGGTAGTACATATGTAATTCTCTTGATGGGAGGGAAGCAGGTGGTCGAATAGGGGCAAATCAGATATCCTTATGCTAGCCACTTAGTTTTCTCAGCAGCATGAGTCCAGGAGTCTCGGAGAAATGATAAACATCCAGGTGATAGTTAATAACATGAGGGTGGGTCAGATAATCTCTGGAGAATGAGTAGAGCAGTGATCCTAAGACAGAACCCTGGAGAAAAGAAACATTTATGGCAGTGATTCTCAGCTCTGGCCACACACTGGTATTACTTTGAGGTACTTCTAGGAAATACCCACGTCCAGTTCCTCTCTGAAGCAATCAAATTGAAATCTATAGGATTGGAGCACAGATGATAGCATGTTCAAAAATTATTTAGCCAATTTTAATGTGCTTCCAAAGTTGAGAACCACCAATTTATGGGACTAGCTCGGAATTTGGAGCCTATGAAAGACAGCATGGGCCAGGCGCAGTTGCTCATGCCTGTAATCCCAGCACTTTGGGAGGCCAAGGCAGGCAGATCACCTGAGGTCAGGAGTTCGAGACCAGCCTGGCCAACATGGTGAAACCCCGTCTCTACTAAAAATACAAAAATTAGCTGAGTGTGGTGGCAGACACCTGTAATCCCAGCCACTCGGGAGGCTGAAGCAGGAGAATCGCTTGAACCCGGGAGGTGGAGGTTGCAGTGAGCCGAGATTGCACCATTGCACTCCAGCCTGGGGGACAAGAGTAAGACTTCGTCTCACAAAAAAAAAAAAAAAAAAAAAGAAAGAGAGAGTGTGAAGGTATTGATTATGGAGATATGGGGAGAAGAAAGCTATTGTGGTATCACAGGGGCCAAAGGAGTAGAGCTTTTCAAAGAGAAAGAGCTTAATAACATCAAATATAGCAGAGATTACATGGACATAGAGTGTGGAATAATAGACATGGGAGACTCAAATGACATAGAGTGTGGAATAATAGACATGGGAGACTCAAATAGGATGTAAGGGTAGGAGGGGGGTGAGAGATGAGAAATTACTTAATGGGTACAATGTACATTATTTGGATGGTGGTTACAATAAAAGCTCAGACTTCACCACTACAGGATATATCCATGTAACAAAACTGCCCTTGTACCCCTTAAATTTATACAAATTTATAAACATGTACCTGAGAGGATGACTAAAATAAGGATTGGAAAGGATCCACTGGATTTCACTAATAGAAATTCATTGGTGACCTTAGCCAAAAGAGTTTCAGGAGAATCTGTTTGGAGGGAGGCGATAAGAAAGGGGTAGAAGTAGGCTGGGCGCAGTGGCTCACGCCTATAATCCTAGCACTTTGGGAGGCTGAGGCCGACAGATCACCTGAGGTCGGGAGTTCGAGACCAGCCTGACCAACATGGAGAAACCCCGTCTCTACTAAAAATACAAAATTAGCCGGGCATGGTGGTGCATGCCTGTAATCCCAGCTACTCGGGAGGCTGAGGCAGGAGAATCGCTTGAACCTCTGTCTAAAAAAAAAAGGAGTAGAAGTCAGATTGCATTGAGTTCTCAAGTGCTATTAGAGACCACTTAATTTAGTGTCTTTTTTTCATCACTTCATATGAATCTTCTGATGAAGTGTGTACCTGTATTGGCTATGTAATTTTTGTTTGTTTCCATTTTCTTTTTATTTTTAAATGAAAATTAAATTTTACTTTTGGGGCCAGGCGCAGTGGCTCACGCCTGTAATCCCAGCACTTTCGGAGGCTGAGGCAGGCGGATCACGAGGTCAGGAGATCGAGACCATCCTGGCCTATATGGTGAAACCCTGTCTCTACTAAAAATACAAAAATTAGCCGGGCGTGGTGGCACATGCCTGTAATCCCAGCTACTGGAGGCTGAGGCAGGAGAATGGCTTGAACCAGGAAGTCAGAGGTTGCAGTGAGCCGAGATCGTGCCACTGCACTCCAGCCTGGCGACAGAGCGAGACTCCGTCTCAAAAAAATAAATAAATAAAATAAAATAAAATTTACTTTTGGGACAGACATCACATGTATTGGCTAATAAGATCTAGCTTTGCATTAAGGAAGCTAGAAACTGAAGATTGCTATGTAGTCTATCCTTGATCATTCCTTGACAATTAGAGAACAAATTGAGCATGGACCATTTATCCCCTATTTATATGCAAAATTGTTCTAAGTAAGTATTGATGATGTTCTCTATAGAAATTTCAATCACTCACTTCCTTGTCTGTTCTCCTACACAATATTATCAGCTCTGCTGCACATTTCCTCATTGGTGATCCCTGCAGGAAAATAGGAGATAAGGTCAATTCTAGTTGACTTTTATGAGAATATGATTATAGCAGGCTTTCTTTAGTTATTGGAATATGTGATAAGTTAGGACAAACAATTATGCAGCAATAAATTTATCTTGGTTGTTTTAAGTTCATGTCAAAAATTCAGACATGCTAATGTTGGTAGCTAAGCTCACACAACTACCTGCTTATTTACAAACTTGCAATTCAGGAATAAATGATTGGGATCTTATATGGCAAGTGCATGATGCCAGTCTAACAGGAGCAGACGCTCTGTGCATTTGCAACTACAAAAAACAAAAAGATACTCAACAGGTTGTCATAAGTACCTTAAAATTTCTAGAAAATTAAGTGCTTTTACAACTAAAGGAAAATAAACATTTATTCTAATTGGTGGCCTTGATTATGGGAAAGTTTCTCTCATACAGGCTCATTTCTATATTATTAAGTATTTTCCTAAATAGGGATAAGAAATTTTAAGCTCTGCTTGCTTTACAGCAGAATCCATCTGCTTTCCCAGTGGACATCCCAAGACAACCAGATTTACCTGGACATGAATGTACTTCTGACCCTTCAATTTTCATTAAACCTTTAGATACACCTCTTCTGTGTATTAAAATTTGAACCTTACTCCTGGTAGTTCCTTTTCTTGTTGCCCATTAAAATGAGAGGAGTGGAAGCTGAAAGAAGGAAGGAAGAAAGCAGTAGGTATCTTAAGCGCCACAGTTGTTTTGTTTTGGGTTTTGTTGTTGTTGTGATTGTTTGTTTTGAGGTAGGGTCACCCTCTGTCACCCAGGCTGGAGCACAATGGCATGATCATGGCTCTTTGCAGCCTTGACTCTCATGGGCTCAAGGGATTCTCCCCCACAGCCCCTCAACCCCACCCCCAGCCTCCCGAGTAGCTGGAACTATAGGCTCACAGCACTGTGCCTGGCTAATTTTAAATTTTTTTGTAGACAGAGTCTCACTATGTTGCCCATGCTGGTCTCGAACTCCTGGGCTTAAGCAGTTCCTTTGCCTCGGCCTCTCAGAGTGCTAAGATTACAAGCGTGATCCACTGCACTCAGCCCACAGAACCCTTTTGAGATTTCAGTTCTTCTATTATTTCTTGGTATCTTTTGCATTTGCAAAATACCTTGAATCTAAGATAGTGCCTCACCTATTCCGGGAAGCCTTTTAAAGTTATGCTCAAAGTCAACTCTCTTAAAGATATATTGATAGATGATACAAAGTATAAAAATACTATGCTTATAACTATATTCTGCTGTTAAAAGATTGTGATTTATTTTTAGCATCTAGCACATAACTCATAGCATATGCTTTTGATACCTGCTTGTTGAATACTTCACAATTATTTTAAAAAGATTGAATCTACACAAAAGCCTGTTTAATATATTATACCTAAAGCTGTCTCTGAAGTTTGAAATTTGAGGGATGGAGGAAATAGAAATTGTATTCTACATCACTGTAAATGAAATCCCATTAAAGCTGAGTTTTTATGAGCAAGCTCGCATGTCCTATGTATGTTACCTTCACGTGACCTTTCTACTCAGTAATGTTTATGCTTGACAAGTAAAGAAAAATGCCGACTTTATATAAAAAACACAATGTAACTGTATGCCATTATTCTTATTCTTACATTCATTGTGTTTGCATTTGACTGCTACCCCTATGTCATTCTCAACTCAAATCATGGTTTGTTCCACTCCCACATGGCTACTTAGAGGGCAAATTCCTAAATACTGCCAGAGAAAATAAGAATAGAGTGACAATAATACCCTTTTGTTTCAGCTTTACATATGTTCTCGTCAGTCTTTGCAAATACTGTGATGCTCTATAAGATGGGGAAATAGAAGTTAGTGAATTTCTTTAGAATATCAGTAAGTAAATAATTGCTTTTCCAACTGTCACACTTATTTGCTCAGAAGAATAGATCTTTCTCGTTTAAGGGTTTTATTCAGTTCTACGTAATAGTATGTAAGACTGTTATAAGGATTTGATCTGTTTGTTTGAGGGACTTCTGGAATCCAGGATGGTATTTTCCCTTTCCACTTGGGAAGGTTTTAGCTTCAGATTTTAGGTTTACTGGTCTGTTCTATTGTTTGTCTAGCATAGATACAGTATACCACAAGCAATACAATACTCTCTGGGCAATGAACAGGAATTTTTTTTTTTTAATTTCATACATTATTCACAAATCTGCAGTGGTTTCAGAAAGTCAGTGTATATCCTGGACACAAAGAAATGAAAAACAAAAACAAGGGTATGATTTTCATATAGTTCTTTGGAAAGTTAATGCTATTGTGCATGGATTTCATTTTTATTTCAGTTATAATACCTGTTCGAGCTTTAGCAGCCTTATAGTTATTAATCAAAAGTGTACATGTTTATCTTTTTTCATAATAAACCGATAGATTATCTCCAAATACTTGGAGCTAAACTATGAAGGAATGTTTGTATCAGGAGGGGTAAGCAATATGATTTTCTGTGGATAATCCAGTGTTTATTTTAATTATGTTTGTGACATCATCTCAGTTGTCTATATCAGTACTACCTTATGTGGAAGAGATAATGAGAAATGACAGCGCTTTGTACATAATATTTGTGGATTTAATTCTATTGTCATATCATCAACCATAAACAATCATGAATTGAAAAGAAAAAGGACTTTAAAAAGTACTTTTCTAGTACATAGATTTTACTTTATGGTCCAAATTTAAACAAACTCTTTTGCACCTGGAAGAACATTATAATAAGCTCAGTTAGTAGTCCTAAAAACCCAGAACGTGGAAGCACCCAGATGATGCCTATCCTTAGTGACTGGGTATAATAAATTAGTGAGTAATTATTAGAAATTATTAGAAAATAAATTTAGAAATGAAGTTCCAACATCATGTGTTTCTAGGAAATTATTAGAGAATCTTTTAAATGTTGAATTTCCATAGGATACAGGTTGGGAAGGACAAATGGGAAGAAAAATGTCACATCTAACAATTGAAATAATGTTTTTTTGTTGCCATAAACAGTATTGATCAGTTTGCATGGCTTATTTAGAACTGAAACTTCCTGGCAGAGGAAGATGCAAAGCACTGAGAAAATATTATGGGCAAGTTGAATGCTGTCCACACAGATTGTAAGCATTATAGATTATCCCTTTTTCACTTTTTTCCTGCTTCCCGTACTTTATGGTCCTGAGGCTTTTTGCGCACTACTTTCCTCACTTTGTTCTCCTGATTCAGAAGAATTTTGTTTTATCTGTTTATCTCCCTCGTAACACTGTTTCTTTTTTCTTTTTCTTTTTTGAGAAGGAGTCTCGCTCTGTTGCCCAGGCAACAGAGTGCAGTGGTGCGATCTTGGCTCACTGCAACCTCTGTCCCCAGGATTCAAGAGATTCTCGTGTCACAGTCTCCTGAGTAGCTGGGATTACAGGTGCCCGCCACCATGCCCAGCTAATTTTTCTTATTGTTTTTTGTTGTTTTTTTTTTTTTGTATTTTTAGTAGAGATGGAGTTTCACCCTGTTGGCCAGGATAGTTTCAAACTCCTGACCTCAGGTGATCTGCCCGCCTCGGCCTCCCAAAGTGCTGGGATTACAGGCGTGAGCCACCACACCCAGCCCCTCACAACACTGGTTTTCACCTCCATTGCCCCAACCTGCTATTCTACACATTAGTTGTGGGTAAGAAAAACTGGGGGGAAAAATCAGGAAAATATAGGTGTCTAAGCATTGTTTCAAGTCTTTTATCTGTCTTAAGTCTCAGCATTCTGTCTGGTTTATGGGGGGGAAAAAAAACCAAGAGCGACGATACACATTACTCCAAATAAACCCTCTCTTAATTTATGTAAAATTGTTCTAATCTTGGTGGGGGTGGGGGAAGAAGCGTTTAAAAGGGATAGATAAAAATTCCTGGATGAAATTCTTGGTTGCCAGCCTTTTTGGAATTATGACCTCATCACCACTGGAATTTACAAGTGTTTGTGATAGTGAGTAAGGCATCAAGTAGATAATTAACCTTTTGTATTTCTATATTAATGATTTCATCAATTAGTATACACAATTGCAAAATGACTACATAATTATTTTGCTCTCAAAAAAGTCTACACTCTTAAAAAAACTTTAAAAGGAAAAAATATCTTTTCATAAAAGTTCCTCAAACTACAGTGCATATTTATTTACATTTGACAAGTGTGAATGTGTTTAATGAAAAGGAAAAAATTCTGTATTTCAATATGTAGAACAGGTTGGTAGGTTTAGCATTTTTTATTTTTGTCTCTCCAAATTCAGTCAAAATAGTTCTTACTAAAACAGGTCATACTTAAATTCTACTCTAGGGGGAGTTCTTTATTATTAAGGCATGTAAAACAAAGAAAAAAATAATTTAAAGCACTTTCCTTATAACCTAATTGATATGTTAATGTTTTTCTCTAATATTTTGAAAATATACACCTATGTTCATCCACGTGTTTTTGTTTTGTTTTGTTTTTTAAACTTGGAGGCTTGCTCCAATAAAAGTAGGACTCTGTAGTGCATGTGTTTATCTGTTTACCTAAACTGAAGTATGGCCCCAGGAAAATAGTATATTTGATTGATTGTGTGTGGTTTTTTTAAACCAAATCATGCAAATCATTTTAATTATGCATAACTTCAAACTACTACTTAACTCCCATTCTTGACAATTAAAGAGGTTTTGTTCTCCTAATTGGGTGGGTTATAAAAGTTAAATGTTGCAAAAAAAAAAAAAAAACTATGAAAGAAGCTCAATTTCGAAGTATGGCTTCTTTTCTGGGCCCTATAATATGTGGTACATGTCCTGGCATAATTGAAGGTAAAAAGGGTAGTGGTTAGGTGGAATTCATCACAGAGTATCTCTTCCTCTGTCTCCAAAGCTGCTTTTGCACCAATTAGCTATGACCTTTTCTTCTAGCCTTGGGGTGTAAGATTACTAGGGGCAACAATTTCTGAAATATTTTCTTTCTAATATTAGTTTAAGCAAATTTCCTTGCAGAGCTGACTATTCTTTCATGGTTTCTGGTTTTCTTTTTCTTTTTTTTTTCTTCCGTCTGCTGCTTCTTTCCACTAAGCTGCTAAATCTTTCGCTGAGGAATTAAATGTAATGTTTCTAGAAACATTAATAGCTTGTGCCCTTTTCTGAGTGTCCTACTTCAGAAATATTGCAGCTGCAGTGGTATTACGGGCTATCATTTCTTCCTGTTTCTCTCAGCAGGGAAGTTCCAGCTTTAAGGTAGATCTGAGTTCTTTTATTCCTGGGCTAGGTCTCGGAGATTTTCTTTTTCTCAATGATGTGAATGCCTTAGTCAGGGTTTTAAAAGCCTATTGCTTCTTTGTCAACTTATTTCACATTGGTTCACTATGCAGCTCATAGTAATAATGGAGACCGGGCAAGAGTATAAATGAATAATTATAAATCAAACCCTCCTATTGGAAAAGCAACCCAAAGCAGGGGGCTGTGTGGGTACTGTCATGGTAACCTCACCTCTAGAGATGGTGGGTGGTGCGTTAGCTCTGTATGTAACAGGGAAAATCCTCCACAGGCTGTAAAATGTTGAAAGCACGGTTAAAATAAAAACAAACCACCGTTACATTTTTTACGGTAGTTTGGGTTATAGGACTACAATGTGGCCAAATGAAAAGGTTTTTTAATTTGACTTGCGTGTGGGGCAGAGAATGGCAGGGCTTTGTTGAGGCTCCCTCCCTTGTTTATTTCTTCCCCTCCAAAGCATGCCTGTTAGATGGTTCTTCTTTCTTATCCCATTTCACTTGTCATTTTATTTGTTTTCAATTTAAATATCACGCTATTTAAGAAATAGTCACTGCTTTTGAAGTTTATTTTACAGAGCTGTAAGTTTTATTGAGACAAAATAATTTTCTAAAAATATTAGTTGAGAAAATTAGCTAAATCCTTTTCAAATAATAAAAGAAGGCAGATTTAACTTATTCAATTTTGACATCTAATTTGAATCTTTTGTGCTTGTTGTCCTAAAAGCTACTACCACTTGTTAAATTTGAACAAGTGGAGAGAACAAAACAGACATAGTAGAATATTCTACTTAACTAGCTTTAAATTAATTTTAGATTACACAGAACCACATCTTCATTATTAAAGTCAGAAATTCAATATATATTCCAAATTGTTCTACTCTTCTAACTCCTTTAATAATGTCAAGATTTTGTAACAGGAAAACAGGGAATTAATATTTTGTTATGGTATAAATGTTTTTCTTTCTAACCTAACATGAAACTAAAAATTATTTTTTCCCACACTTATGACTCTTAATAGCTAATTGAAACAGAACTCACATGAGTAATTTATATTACCGACTACCTGCCACTTAAGCGTTAATAGAGACTGAGCAAGAATATAAATGAATAATTACAAATCAAACCCTCCTTTTGGAAAAGCACCCCAAAGCAGGGGCTCTGTGAATACTGTCATGGTAACCTCACCTTTATGGAAAGAGAAATAAAGTTTTGAAATAAAAGGAAATAAGCCTACTTTGAAAAGATTGTATATCATTAACAATTTTTGTGGTTTATATTTTCCTGAATAAGCTAGTTTTAAAACATATAAACACATTAAGTTGGAAGTGAATCTTACTAATGCCAGCACTAGTTATAATTCATGATTAGCACTGGGGCAAGCTGATAATTTGAAAATCTCACAGATTTTTACTGCTATTTGTACCCGTCTATGTTAACTGTACCAATGATAAAATAATAATCAAAGGACTGATGGCTTAATATAATAGCTATTGTGTTCTAAATATCTTTTATGCTTTGACATTAAATGTCTCTCTTGCTTTCGTATCTGCTTTCAAAAATCTACTACCCATTCCTGATAGTATTTAACTGGAGTTATTAGTCCTTTGACAGTGCTGCATGCTATTGACAGTATCTTTTAATTTGCTTAATTTCCTGACATTTGCTATGTTAATTTTTTACTTTGGGACTTTTTAATGCCAGATTTGTGCTTAAAATAGAAAAGCCCTCTACTAATAAGATTTAGTCATATCACCTAAGTACTACAGAGTTGTCCCAGATGTAATAGGGAGAGATAAAGAAGGGATCACAGATAATAAGTTTTCTCTGCTTTCCCCACAAAGTTATTACTACAAGCTTTAAGTCTCAGCTTTTATTGATAAATATAAGTACAGGTTATCTAAGGAAAGCCTATGCCTATTTATAATAGCATTCAAATCTGGTGTTAGTAATTGCTTTAGGCCACACCACTCCATAAACAGTCCCAAGGCAATTTGAAAACAGGTATTTGTTGCATAATCTGTTTTTATTACAAATGCCTTTTGTTTTATGATTTTTGTATTAAAGTAATGAAACTAAATAATACTTTCTGGTTAACTAGCAGGTAAACGACTTTATGCAATATAGATGTATTATATTTTGTGAAACTACCGATGGTCATTCAAAGGGAAGATTGTTGGGAAGGGGTGGAGGAAGGTAGTATTTTCAATTGGTTACCCGGCTTTTAACAAAACAATTCCTATTATAATCCCAGGGAATTTCATCTGACTAAATCTCCACTCAGACGACAAGCAAGGAGTGAGAGCTGCAGCCAAAGGGACAAAGAGTGGGGGGAACCAGTGGCTGAATGAGTCCCACCATGGTGCCCTTTAGTGGGTCCCATTGTGCCGTGGGTTAGCACTTCTCACCATTGCTTATGAAAATACTCAGCATTGAATAATGCTGTATGTCTTACATTCTACTCACTAAAATTGCTTATGCAATTTCAATTGGCTATGGTATTTATCATTTACTGTCCTCTGCATTATATAGCATGGTTAAGCCTAAGAAGCAGCTGCCTTTTTTTTTTTTAAGTGGATCAAGCGATTGTTATGTATTGTGTGAATATCAGTTCAAGTTTCTTGAGTGCTGTAGCATCTAGATGAAGGGTAGTAAATAAACATTAGGCTCTTAAAATAAAAAGACTTTTATGCGATTCTTCAAATTCTACATTGCCTGGAAATAAATAGTGGCTATTGGTCCCTTTTATTTTAATAAAATTTAGATATATCCACCAGCTGTGAGCACATATAAATCTGCACTTTAATGTTAATGGAAGTTAGGCATGGGTATCAAGAGGTAAAAATCCTAGAAGATATTATAAAATCATGTTATGTAGCTCAGTTTTTACAGTGGTTCGAATGTAAGGGGTATTCTACATGCCATAAATTACTATGTATACAATCTTTAACCTACAACATCCTTGAATAAATAGCTTTAGAATCATAAGCTTGGTTAGTTTCTTTTAAAGTATAGGGAGGCGGTGAATGTATTTTAATTATAAAAGCCTCTTAGAAAATCTGACATGGTAAAAGGAGCTATATTATGTGTACACGTATGTAGCTCCTTTGGTGTTTGGTAAGAGCACTAGTTGCCACTCTAGTATTTTTTCCCATTGTCTGCTCAGGCTGTTTTCGGTCTGAGACTTTCTCATCCCGCAGCCCCCACCTCTGTATAACTTTTGCCCTGAGTCCTTCAATTGCATAGACTCTTTTCTTTCTCTTTTCATTTCTGAGGTGAATCTGGGAGCCCTTATGTCCCACAATTTACTGAAGTGCTATAATTATGGCCTTTATCTTTTATTAACATACCTACATGCTATGCTTTTCTGTGGTAGCCCAGAATATTAATGCAATTAGCACCCTTCATTAAGATGTACTGTCCATTTTGAATGACAGCTTTAAGTCACAGGATAAGCCTCCTATACAATGGGCTACTTTTTTTTTTTTTTTTAAAGGAAGAAGGGAAGATTTGTAATTTTTAAGAAGTGAAAACTTCTAGAAAATCTTTCATTGCTAATCCTCCCAAACCACCCAAAAAAGAGCAAGTTTTGACGTTGAAACTTCAGGAAATCTTCATACTGATAGGATCTTTTCCACACTTTAAAAAGTTAATCCTTAAGTTAATCACAATGAAGACACCCTGCTTATTTCCTACAGTGGCTAAGAAGATAAAGTGAGATGGTGAATGTGAAACTTCTTTGAAACTTTTAAAGTGTATTTATTTAAAATTTGAATAGAGCTTTAAAGTGTTTAAAGATTATTATCAATACTATGTTAAATCAATGCCACTTAAACCCTTCAGTATCTTCCCATTTCTTCTAGGAGAAATTTAAATTTTTTACAGTAGCTCAAAAGGCTCTGTGTGATCTGACATGTATGTACATTACCTGCCGCATCTCCAACAGTCCAACGCTGTGAGAAAATGTGATATCCATTACATTTGAACCACAAGACTGTTGTTATATTAGAAAGGGAAGCATTGTTTTGGTGCAGATATCTTCTAGTATTCATCTCTCAAATAAGTCTTTTTGGTAAAATTAAGCAGGATTTTGACATTAGAAGACATGATGCCGAATTTAAGTTGTATGATGATTATTTTGATGTTATTATGAAAATAAGTGCAATGTTATTGGTTTCATTTATTTCTATTATATAATTGATTAAAATAATGAACAATTAAAATGTAAGCAATGATTTATGGGGTGCTTAACTCATAGCAGTAAATATAGTATATTGAACTTACAGTTGCATTGCCTGTTAGACACTATCAATATAGAATAAGTCTGATATTTTCTAAATGGAACAATTAGAACAAACCTTATTTTAAAGTGTGCCTTTCCCCATACTCCATGTTCCAAATAATTATAAGAAAACCTACTGCTTCTGTTATTACACGTTTACAAAGCAATAGAAATATTGCCTGTAACCTGGCCTTCATAGTTCAACTTTAGACTTCTTTTTTTATGACTACATCTATACTGTGGAAAATGTTTTATTTTCCTAGGTAAGCTATGCTATTGTAGTAAAATTTTTGAAAGGAAAATTATTTTGGATCAAGGACAAGCAACTCTAGCAGTTCAGTTGTTTTTTTATCTCATTATTTTTCAATCTAGGAAAAATATTTAAATATATAACACCAATATTTTGCTTGGATAGATTGAAGCTTCAGATGTTTTAGTTAGAAATGGACTGCAAAAATAATATCTCTTAAAAAAAGAAACGAATATAGTCAAATATGTGTCTAAGAAATACAACTTGTGCATACATCCTATAGTATCTCTATAAAGATTTCATCTTGTTTTTCTGATTGAAGTGTTCATTACTAGAGACAAATGTATTTTTAAGTCTTGTGATTAGAGGGGGCCACAGCCATCATAGCTCTATTAGAGGCAGAAATATAACATTAATATTTTAGTGTTTCATTTGCTTTCATGAAACTTATGAACAGAAGCTATCAGTGTCTAGGGTTTATCTTCAAATGACAAATTTAGCATTCTGTAAAAAGTGATACTAGGACTTCCTGCTGAGGTCATCTAGAGTTTGACCATCCTTAGAAATGACTGTGGGTAGATTCTTATTCTCAAGTGCTAGAGGTTCTTGTTCTCTTTTTACATTGGATTTTGATGGTGACCAACATGACTGTGAAAAGGAATTGTACCACATGAAGAGATACACTTATAGAATTACAAATTGGTCAGTGCCCCTTTTCTAGTATTCCAGAATTATCTGACTAAAATGATTTTGTTTAGTTCCATTTTCTAAAAGTTAAAACACAAAATACAATGGACGTAGGCTTCTGAAGTGTTCTGAGTCACCCACGTGAAAAGTCATGGCTAAGATTGTTTATGTCCCTGGCACATAATATGTCGTCAGTAAAGATTTCTAGAATGAATAAATAACTTTTCCAAATAAATGCTCTGTTTTATCAATTACATATCCCTCTTGTCTTCCTTCTTTTCTTGGCCAACTTCTTTGAAGTGTACTGCCATCATATATTTTTCTCTTTTAAAATGTTTTCCATTATTAAAGGTAATGTATGTTCATTGTAGAAAATGTGGGAATGTGTAAAATATAAAGACAAAGGAAAATGCATAGTCTCAACATCCAGAAGCAACCACCTTTACATTTTGTTTTTTTCTTCTATCTTGTATTTCTATGCATATTTTACATTGTTCATATTATACTGTATACAAAGTTGTATATACTACTTTTCCACCTAAATTTATAAGCATTTTTACATTAATGAATATCTTGATAAGTCTCCTTTTAAATGGTTGTATATTATTTGAACGTAAGAATGTATGATATTCACTCCATCCATCCCTTAAATTAGAAATTGAATTTGTTTCTTTTTTTTTGCTACCATAAATAATGCTGTTGTAAACATCTTTCTACATATAGTACATATACTATATGTAGAAAATCAGTACAGCTTTTCCCTAGAAGAGATTCAGAAAGTAAATGACATGAGGATTTTTTACTACTTACTAGATGCAAAGCATGATTAACTTGGGTCAAGTCAGTGCATAAAATCTGTAATCACTGATTTGAATATACTATATTTACATTCTTTGAACAAATATTTTAATATTTATTATAGCCAAAGCCTGATGGTACAAAGATGGACCTTACCCCAAAGGAATATACTGTCTAGTATGAAAAGAGAAACACAATAAATTAAACTGTTAGGTTGAGCCATATGACGTTGTTGTTTGACCTATGAAAATATTTATTTCATGTGATTCAATTTAAAATAATATAGGATGATAAGGATAATATTGAAGCAAGTACATGGTGGCTTGGGAACACAGATAAGTAAGTAATTAGATCTTCCGAAGAGAGATAACACAGATTATTGCTGCTTATTCAGCAGAAATAAATTTAAACGAGGGAACTTTTATATCTGTGTAGGTGTGTATTAGAAAGCTGCTAGGTCAGGCTCATGCATCAGATTTATGGTATTCTGTAACATTGCAGCACAGGAACACTTCACCTCTCTGAAAGTCCACTCTTCCAGCAACTGTACCTACCTGGAAATGCTATCTATCTCTTCAAAATATGGCAGTAAACCTGAAAGTAAGCAAAAACAAAAATATCCCTCAACAGGCGAAAGGAATGTGATCAAGTCCTTAAAAAGCAGCATGTAGACTTTTATCAAAAGAGAGTCTTCCAAGTACCTTACTCAAAATCTATTTATTATGTTAGACATAGTTCTATCAAATTGGATTTTCTATTTTTTTCACCGTCCAGCAAATGGGAAACAGCATACATACCAGGATTGAGAGGTAGACAGATACTTTAAGACTCACTGGAAGCACTAAGACGTGATAGTTAATATCTTGACTATAGTGGAAGAGATGAAATAATTATCAAAGCAGATAATATCTTAAAAAACAAAAAGCAGAATACAGACTGTATAATTGGTCTCAACTATGTAAAAAAAAGAAATAGGTATATATATACGCAGCTGCTAATTAAAAAATTGGAGTGAAATACACCAAAATATTAATAGTCTTTGTGGCTATACCATGGTATATGAGTGATTTGTACTTCCTTCACATTTTTTACAATATTCTTCAGTGACTCTCTGCTGATTATATCATTAGAATAAATAAAATAATAATTGGCTGGGTGCGGTGACTCACGCCTGTAATCCCAGCACTTTGGGAGGCCTAAGCAGGCGGATCACGAGGTCATGAGATCGAGACTATCCTGGCCAACATGGTGAAATTCCATCTCTACTAAAAATAAAAAAAATTAGCCGGGTGTGGTGGTGCACGCCTGTAGTCCCAGGTACTCGGGAGGCTGAGGCAGGAGAATCGCTTGAACCTGAGAGGCGGAGGTTGCAGTGAGCCAAGATTGCACCACTGCACTCCAGCCTGGTGACAGAGTGAGACTTCGTCTCAAAAAAAAAAAAAAATTAAAATTAAATTTGTAAATGAAAAAGATCTTTGAGCATAGAACAGTTTTGGTCTATTTAGAGAAGAAACAAATAGACACACCTCAAATATGCCCTACAGACCTTGTAGGTACAGCACAGCACAGTATTTGATGTTCATGATAATTATGCGAATTAGCAAAAATGTATTTTCAATAGATTGTCCTTACGGAGGCAGCAAAGTGTACAATATATCTTCAAAATATTTCTATACAAAATGGCTAAGATAAAAATTGTTGCTATTTAGGACGTATAGACTCTCTGCTATCCAGATCAACTCACTGTGTGAGGTTTCTGGATAGCTGAGATCCTATTTTAGCTTTTCTATTTTAAAATGAAATTACTCAACAGCTATTTGTCCTATTAAATTATGCAATATTATTATATCTAAGCTTCCTGTTCTAAGTGTCCATAGCTATTTGTTGAGGCATTATTCTCAGATGGGCATGGAAACAAATATTTATCTGATTATTCTTTTGTAAATGGCCCAGTTATATGTTAAAATATATCTTTTTTCCTCAAATGTGATGTTTCTACCGTTTGATGTTGCCTTTGTTCGTTGACCCTTGCTTTTTTCAGACTTTCACTAAATAAGAGACTATTTACATATTTCCAAACGATTGCAAAATATTAAAATCAAATCATAAATTATTCAAGCTATTGGGGAAGTTTCCTGTGAAAACATATACACCATAAAGAATAATGTATTTAGAATATCTCCCTGTTGGTAGTATTACAATTGAAGCACAGTTGTTGTTACTCATTCCTCTCCTCTTACATGTAATAATCAAATAATACAACAACAAAACCAAATATAGTAAAAATAAATTCACTGCCCGTGGGGAAGAATCTTAAATATTACCTTTATTGTATATGTTTGAAGTATGTTTGTAGCTTTAGTTGCATCTTCATCACTCCTTAGCAGTCTCCTTGTTCATTGTTTACTGAATCATATGCCTCTGCTATTCTTCCAGATTTTCTCTATTCTCTGTAGTCCCTCAAACTGAAACTTGCACCTGACAGTTTTAGTAAATGACCATCTTTTTCAAGTTCCCTTCATTTCCCTCAGTGTCACTTCCCGAGGCAAACTTTGTGCTCCTAATCTCATTCCTCTTACCTCCTTCAGAATCATGCTTCTTTCCTTCTTAATGTCTTTCTTTAAATTGACTTCTTTCTACAGAAATGCTCATGTCCTCCTTGAACTTAAAAGCAATCCTCAGGCCGGGCGCGGTGGCTCACGCCTGTAATCCCAGCACTTTGGGAGGCCGAGGCGGGCGGATCACGAGGTCAGGAGATCGAGACCATCTGGCTAACACGGTGAAACCCCGTCTCTACTAAAAAATACAAAAAATTAGCCGGGCGTGGTGGCGGGCGCCTGTAGTCCCAGCTACTCGCAAGGCTGAGGCAGGAGAGTGGCGTGAACCTGGGAGGCGGAGCTTGCAGTGAGCCGAGATCGCGCCGCTGCACTCCAGCCTGGGCGACAGAGCAAGACTCCGTCTCAGAAAAAAAAAAAAAGGCAATCTTCAGTGATAAACCAAACAATAAATAAACAGAGTATGTCCCTAAGTTACTATCCTATGTCTAGCTGGGGAGAAAAGACATGGACACACCAAAGAAGTAAGAGATAAGATATGTATATAACAATATTTGTGTACCATGTATGAATTTGCAGGCACTAATACCCATTGATGAGCTCTATTTGGCTATTGGGACTGTGCCTCTCCTAATTGTGTGGCTTGGTTGGAATTGCTTCATCTGATGTGGAACCTCAATAGTCAGTCAATGATTTGTTGTCTCTTTACTTATTCACTCTTTATTTTGAAATTTTCAAGTATATACAAAATACAATAATATAAAAAAAACTCATGAACCCAGCTTCCACAATGATCAATTCATGATCAATTTTGTTTTCTCCATACTGCTACTCTTGGATATTTTGAAACAGCTCTCAGACATTATGTTTTTTTCATCTGTGAACGTTTCTGTAAGCATCCACAAAAGATGAAGACTATTTCTAACGTAACCAAATACTATTATCATATCTTACTAAGAAAAAAAATCCTTAATAACAAATATCTATTTAGTGTTTACATTTCCCTGATTATCTGCTTTGGTTTTTTTGTTTTGTTTTGTTTTTTTGTTTTTTGTTTTTGAGATGGAGTCTTGCTCTGTCACTCAGGCTGGAGTGCAGTGGCACTATCTCGGCTCACTGTAACCTCTGCCTCCTGGGTTCAAGCAATCCTCCTGCCAAAGCCTCCCGAGTAGCTGGGATTACAGGCACCCGCCACCATGCCTGGCTAATTATTGTGTTTTTAGTAGAGACGGGGTTTCACCATGTTGGCCAGGCTGTTCTCCAACTCCTGAGCTCAAGTGATCCACCCCTCTCCCAAAGTGCTGGAATTACAGGCGTGAGCCACCACGCCCAGCCAATTATCTACTCTTTTTGGTTAGTATGAATTGGAAACCAAACAAAGTTGATTCATTATTATGGTTCTGTTAAGTCTCTTTTTAACAATGGAATCCCCCTTGTGTTAATTATCAATTATTCATCAATTGCTGCATAACAAGTTACCTTTAAAACGTAGAAGCTTAAAACTACAAATGTTTATTATTTCATAGTTTCTGTGGGTCAAGAATTTGGGAGCAGCTTAGCTGAGTGATCGTTTCAGTGTCTCTCATGAGATTGCAGTCAAGATATTGGACCGGGCTATGGTTGTCTCTGGGTCTGAGGCTAGAGGATCTACTCCAAGATCAGTTCTTCACTATACGGGCCTCTCTATAGAGCTTCTTGACTGTTGCTATGGTCTGAATGTTTTGTCCCCCCAAAATACATATGTTGAAACATAATCCCAATGTGATAGTATTAAATGGTGAGGCCTTTGGAAAGTGATTACCCTTATAAAAGAGGCTCAAGGGAGCATGTTTGCTCCTTCAGCCATGTGAAGACACCTAGAAGGTACCTCTGTGAAACAGGGAACGAGCCCTTATCAGATACCAAATTTACTGGTGCCTTGATATTAGACGTCCCAGCCCCCAGAACTGTGAGCAATAAATACCACTGGGTATGTTGTTATAGTAGCCCAAATGGACTAAGACAAGCATCTTTACAACATGGCATCTGGCTTCCCCAAGAGTGAGTGATCTAAGAGAGAAAGCAAAGAGGAAACCACAGTGCATTCTGTATCCTAGTCTTGGAAGTGATATAACAATACTTCTGTCATATTCTGCCAATCACACAAACCAACCCAGAAACAATGTGGGAGGGAATTACACCAGAGTATGAATACCAAGGGGTTGGGATAATTGGGGGGATTCATCTTGGAGGCTGACTGCTCCACCTTTTCATCTATCTCTCCTTTTTTTCTTGTAATTTTCAGGGGTTTTTTTTCCATTTTCTTTTTCTTTCTTTTCTTTCGTTCTTTTTTTTTTTTTTTCTCAAAATCTTGAGCTCAAGCGATTCTCTCACCTTGACCTCCCAAAGTGTTAGGATTACAGATGTGAGCCACCATGCCCAGCCCAGTTTTTATTGTTGAAGCAACCAGGTCATTTGTCTGATTGAGTTTATATTTTGTTCATTGCATCCCACTGTGTTATTTACCTGTTTCTTTGCCTGTCCCCCTACTCCATATATTTTCTGTAAATTTATAGTTAGATAAACCAAGCCACTCTAAAGCTTGATCAGATTCAGGTTTTGTCTTTTTGTCAAGATGTCCTTTTTTTGTTGGTGTTGTGAGGTTTTATATTGGAGCACATGATGGCTAGTTTACTCTTTTTGTTATATTAGCAGCCACTGATGATTCTCTAGCTCCATTAGTTCAAAAGAGTACTATTCTATTATTCCTCCTTTAATTAGTTTGATTACTTCATAAAAAAAATGCCCCCTCATCAACTATTTGATTACATGAAGGTACATTTCATATAATGAAGGGATGAGAAGTACTTCTCTCTTTTTGTCAGTAAGTTGTTGTCTCTCTAGAATCCTCTAAAGGTAACAAGTGAGGTCTGGGAACCAACATGGGTATGCTGAAGCAGAGTCTCCAGGGATAGGTGCTGGTCATGGGGATCTTGAAAACGCTTCCTATGTGATTCTAATTTGGTCCTCTATTAACTTCTACCAATCTCCATTCCCAGAGTCTGACTTAGGTATGGGAGGGGGCCAAGGATTCTGTTTTTGTTTTTTCTTTTAATCTCTAGATACTCCTCTTCAGCTGACAAGTTTGGGGAACACTACACTAGAAAACACCTTTTTAAACTTACTGTGGCTATATGCATCTATGCTATTCTCACAGGCCATGGGTGTCTCAAGTTTACTCTCAAGCCAGCTGCCATGTTGTAAAGATGCTTGTCTTAGTCCATTGGGTTAAGGAGAGTTGAGAGTCTCGCTTAGTGCTATAGTTATAGCAAACACTATGGAGTTAGACTGTGTGGGTCTAAATCTTGGCTCTGCCACTTACTAGCTTTGTGACCTTGGGGCAGTGAATTACCTTTCTGCCTCAGTATTCTCACATGTAAAATGGAAATGATAGTAGGATTTTCCTCGTGGGTGTTTTGAGAACTATATGAGTTAACATTGTGTTTAGAACAGGGTTTTGTAAGGATTTCTTAAATACATAATAGAGTTATCTCCCTCTGGGAGCACTTCCTTGGAACGTTTTATTGATAAAAGCCAAATGTGGTGGTTACTAATCTCATCATGATAACATTGTCATTTATTGGATGTTTATATATGCCAGGCATGATGGGTTATGTATATTCTGCAGTTCACATAATCCTCATATCAATCCTACAAAATTAGCAATATTATTTTAATTTTACGTATCAACAAACTGAGTCTCTGAGAAGTAACTTGCTCAGTGTAATAGAGCTCATAAGTGATGGTGTAGATATGACATATATTAAAGAGGCAGCATGATGGTTAAGAGCACAGAATCTGAAGCTAAGCTCTCTGGGTTCAAATCCTGGCACTACCACTTCCTAGTTGTGTATCTTGGGCAAGTTATTTAACCTATGTATCAGTTTCCTTATCTGTAAAATGAGGATAATAGTTATACCTACCTCATGGGTTATTATGAGGATTAAATGAGTTAATACTTTCTAAGCACCTAAAATGGTCCCTAGCACAAAATGTTGCAGAACTCTTCCTTAGTTCAGCTAAAGACAGAGTTCTTTGTCCCACAGCCACAAAAATTCAGGCCCGCAGACAATTTGAATGGTGAACAAGCAGGGTTTTATTTGGTGAAAAGGAAGAAAAGGGGGAAACATCCTGCTAGAGCAGGATGTTAGAATCCCAACTTCCACACAGGAAAAGGAGGGGCCAGGCTCCTCCCCAGTGTAAACTTAACGAGGCTCCACCTTAGTGGGCAGGCTGTTTGGAGTTTCTCCAGGGACCCCCTCCCACCTGACTGTCTCAATAATAAATACTTTGTATGTACTAGCTCGTTATTATTACTGCTATTATTATTTTTATTAGTTAGAGTTTAAAGAAAAAGCAGCAGTAAAAAAGGAGAGACTGAAGTTGCCAATAAGGAAGGGAATACATGTATTTCAATAAATGCCTTAATAAATAAATAAATCTTCAGGAGGAGAGAAAAGGAGAGTTGTCTCGCCACAAAGATGAGCAGAATAGAAAACAGTTGATTTCTAGGCGAAGGCAGATGATTAAACTCCTGGGAGATAGATTCATTTTTACAAGGTAGAAATCAAGCTAATCCTTTAGAAATGAAGAAAGGAAGGTAGAATTGGAAGCCTGTGGAGGCAGGGGAGGTCTGGGGACACTTGGGGAGTCAAACCACAGAGCACGCACTAGACATAGCCAAGTTGTGTTTTGTCAATGCTTGATCATGGCTGAATTCCTTGTGGCTAAAAAAAATTATGCCTGGTGGAGGGGATAGCTCAGCAGCCTAGTGACAGCAACAAGTTCAGACATGGTTGAATGGGATGGTTATGATGGTAAGTAGAAGTGAAGGAGCGTGGAACAAGGAATCAGGAGACTTGGATTCATTTTTTAACTTTAGTATATCAACTAGCTTGTATGACCTCGAATAGTTCGCTTGACCTTTGGATCTCAGTTAATTCACTTGTGAAATAAGAGAGCTACATCAGTTTATCTCTAACATTACTTCTAATTCCAGAATGTATGACCCTACAGGGCCGATTCTAGCATCTAGCTGCACCAGAAAGGAGTCAATTGAAATGGCAAGAGTTAAGAAAGTAATGGGAAGGCCCAGGGAGGTTGGGATGCAGGTTCAATAAAAGTGAAGGTAGATGAGGGAACTCGTGTCAGTCTCTCAGTCTTTCTGCCTTTAAGATTTTTCTTTTCTGCACTCAAAATTCTAAGACTAGTTTGTCTTTTTTTTTTTTTTGTAGCAAATATCATTATGGCTATTGTGAATTTAATAGGCTATGTTTGACACACACAAGAGTAAATGTTATTTTAGTTTTACATATCTAAAATGTTCATTAACACATCAGAAATAAACAGTTCACTTGTAGGGAGTTATTTTTTTTCTTTTAAACAGAACATAACAAAAGAGTATTTTATGCTTTCCCGTGCCCATAATAACATTACATTTTGGAGTAGCTAACTAGGTTGCTTGAACACGCTGTTACAGAACTGGTTAATCCATAATTCAGCAGGTTCTTGGCTTCCAAGTTGCCTTATTGACAAGCCTGAAGAAAGTGGATGGAACTAATTAGCACTCAGCATTATAAAATAGGAAGAATTAGATAAAGCAGCTTCAATATTAAACTCAGACCCCTATGAAGATATTCCCTTTAGTTATGGGGATTTTGAAATGATGGACAGGCTAAACCAAAACTCATAATCCTATTACAGTCTCCTACACCCACCTAATAAGCTTCAAGAGCCGTTTCCTTGGAGTCTGGGATATTGCCATCTTCCTCTAGGCTTTTCTGTATATAGCTTATAAATTCTTTACTTGTTTCCACTAAATACTTTGTTATTTAAAATAGCATAAAAGAGAGTATATAAGTATATATACATATTGAGGTATTTTGACTGTAATAATACCCTTGGCCTGTAGGGAACTTCAAATTATTAATAATTTCAGAGGAAAGCTTTTTAAGAAAAAAGCTCCAGGCTTAGCTGTAATGAGGCATTTGAAAAGGAGGAGGGGTTATGTTTATGTGCGTAATGAAAATATTGAACCCTTTGGGATGTTATGAACCATGGTGCACTAATAAATGATCTTCCCATTTCAGTGTTCCAGCAGACATCTTTGTACCCCTGATGTACTCTTGCAAAATGCCTATAGCTCACATATCCTTTTAAATATTTCTATCTCCTAACATTCGTTACTGTGGGTGGGGGTGCAACAGGATAAATCTGATGGAGAAAGGAGGACAATACAAGAAGCAGACAAAGTTGGTGGTTTAGAATAATGAGCCCATTTTCAGCTGAGCTGTGTAGTTCATATGAATTAATTAACCCCTTACAAACATTTGTCTGACAATCCAAATTCTCATTCAGTTCAATGGGTTTTATAATTATCATTTAACTAAATAGCACTAAGAACTGTTTATATCCTGACATTAAGGAAGCTTTGTCGAATTCTTTTTCTGTAAATCATCTGAAGTTGTTTACAATTTGCAGTAGTCTTGGTTTGTGCTCAGGTTGCTGTTTTGCTGCTTTAAAAA